>NC_000006.12:83898261-84523261 GCF_000001405.40 Homo sapiens | reverse complement strand
ACTGAAGGCTGTAGGTCCAGACTTATAATACACATTATACAACGTTAGCTTAAAGTGAATGTATCAATCAGTATAAGCTAGGTTATGCAGTGCAGTAACAAACCCATCCTGAAGCCTCAGTAACAACACAACCAATGCCTGTTTTGGATTTTTCCCCCTTATTCATGTGCCATGTTCAGTTACAAGCTCTGGTCTCTCTAGTCACTCAGAGACATGGAAGACATAGTACAAGGAGTGATTTAGAAAGATTGGGCAATACCAAAAAAAAAAAAGAGAGAGAGAGAGAAAGATAACAGATTAGAATAGTTAGTCCAAAACACAGGTATCAATTAGGTCATTTAAAAAAGTTTAGTTCAAATGGGTTCAGAATGTTATCTGAATACTTGAAGGTAGAAATGATAACGAAAACATGTAGCAACAAGTATTATATAAACATTACCCAGTCAGGTATGGCATCGGCATATACCTGATTAGGCTCTACCAGAGCAGACCTGCTGGAGATCAGCCCTACCTAAAGGGAGAAAGAGCCTGAGAATGGAGATGTTCACAAAATAGGTAGAGACCAATGCTAGTCAAACAGAATCAGCATTCCCTGAATTTTACAGTCCAGTTCAGTGTTAAATCAATTGGACTGCAAGATTAATTTGTGTTGACCATAATTCAGTGAGAGCGGATTAATCCACTCTATGATACTGCTGCCCTTGCATCCCTGGATTTCTTCTTTTCAGACTGCCTATGGCCTCCCTTCTTGTCTTTACTCTGTTCCAATGATTTGCTCTCCCTAATTGTGCATCCCCCATCATTTGTCAAGTGCTTGATAAATGTGGACATTTCTTCTTTGTTTTCTTCACATTCTGTTCCTCTCATGAGTCATTTCTGAGGGCACTGAATCATTTTCATCATTGCTCAGCCTCCTCCTGTTTGAAGTCCTTGCCTGGATACAGGCTTATTCATCACCACTCTCTCTACAACCCACATGTGTCCAGCACACTGTTTACATTGGGCTTTAATCTGTTGTTAGTGGCCAACTCTAGTGTCCCCTTCTTCCCCAAGGGGCCCATCCCTGTTTCTCCTGCCTGTACAGCTCCCAGTGGGAGAGTGCAAAGAGCAGAAGTTCTGGCCCTTAACCTTGGCGTATGGACTCTTGCCCAAATCTTCATTCCAGACCTCCCCCTTTGCTTGTCTTTTATAGCAGCTTCTTCCTTGGCATTGTACAGCCAAAGAAGCAGAAATGGGGTCCCCTCCAAGGTGGGCTCAGAGACCATCCTGGGATAATAGGCTGAGATGGGGGCTTATATGTTCTTTCATTCTACTTATCTTCTAATGTATGTTTTCCTCTTGCTACAAATGCCCATGTTTTCTCTTGTTTTGTTTAAGTGCACTTCAAAGTGCAAATTAGATAATCCCCACTGGTCCATGGAATGCACTGTTTTATGACCCTGAACACTGGGATTTTGCATGAACACGTTGATATTTAGTAATTGGTAATAGATCTTGACATTTCAACAGGCTCCAATGGGTTATCCTCCATTCTCCTTTCACCTCCCCCCAGCTAAGTTGCTGTGGAATTGATTTATGAAACTAGCTTGCTTTTTACTTATTTTATTCCTCATCATTCATATTTACTGTTACCCACACTTGACCTTGTGACTCTAATTCCTTAAACTGAATAATGTACACACATTGACTTTGTTCTTCTTGACAGGTCTTATCATTTTTTATCTTTGCCCTCCCTCTTTCAGCCTTTTAAAGATCTAGGGCTTTCTGAGTCTCTTATCTGTTTACATTCTTCTTCATTATTTAGTATTAATGTTCTTCTTTCAGTCATTATTCTCTAGGTTGTTATTTTCCCTCATTTACTGATTTTGGTCTTTCTGTCACTAAGCCAGATCTCTCACTACCACATTTGAGAGGCCAATTATAGTTTCAGCCATGAAACTAATTCAGATGTTATAAAGAAAAAACTCTGTAACCAAGGATTCAGCAACAGTTCAATGAGATCTTGCCTGAGACTTTTAGTGTCATTTAAGAACATCATTTGTGAGTTGTTGCTCTGAGTATCTGTTTAATTAGGGAAGGAAGATCACTTGGTAGTTAAAGAATAGGATATAAATTTGGCCCTTAAATAATTCTCAGGCCACAGATACACCAAAGGACACATGTGGCAGTGATTTGTTCAGTGGTGTTACATAGGAAGAGTATGCTGTCCTTTGGGAATATTTTTCACAAAGTCATGAATTGGTAACTAAGCATTACTGTGCATCCAATGATCTAGGTACAAATGATATTCCTTTTCTTATCTTCTTATGAAGTAACATAATGAAGGTTGGCAGGAAAATCAAGTAAATACTAGTAATTCTGCATATGTACTTTTTACAGTTTGAATGATTAGTTCCATTATTTAGATTTTTTTTTCTGCTAAAACTAAATGCAGGCCAGTTTCATATGATCCCCCTGGCTGGGGGAAGTGTCAAGTGTCTCCCAACTGCACATTATAGAGGGAACTAAGAGGAACTATTACCCTGGTGCAAAACCAATCTATTACCGGACTAGAAAAATGATGTTAAACTTTTGAGACACAGAGAGTAAGTTAGACCCATGCTTTTGAGATGAAAGGACTCTTTTGTTATTCCTGTAATATCATTACTATTATTAGCATTACCATTATTATTATCATAACATGTCACATACCAGGTTCAGTGTAGACAGCTCAAAGACACGTAGTTCTTATCCTAGCTTAAAGTTTTTTTAATACTACTATGTGGACTAATACTGTGTTTCTACTGGCTGGCAAAACATCACTGTGATACAACAAAATAATTAGAGTCATCAGGAAGTGATGTCTGCAAAACAGGGAGTTAGGAATTTAGAAAAGAACCATTCAATGATTTTTGATATCAAAGAATTGCCACACATCTTAGATTTTTCAGTGTTGCTTTTTGTCCCAGGGTCTCTAAAAGACATTCTTACCACAGAAGCCAGGACAGCATCAGCAAGCAGTTTCTATTTGTACAGCCCTCAGTTTTTCTTCCTTCATCTATTTGTTCCCCAACCAATAAAAGATAAAGGATAAATAATGCCGTAACATTTTCCTCCTGAAGAAAATTTTCTTTGAAAACTATCTTTTGTTTACCTGATTAACTGCCTTCCGATACAAGTCACCAAAATTGACCAGAGCTATTTGCACCTTAAAGCAGGTCAAGTCTTTGAAGTTATAAATATTGATTAGTCATTCACAGCAAGGGCCCTACCCCTAGGTTGGATGTGATTACCTGGATCCAAGTAAGTTGCTGCAAACAAAATAAAGACAAAAACATAAATGGAATGGCTCAAAAACTATAGGTCATTTTTTCCACTTTACAGTCCATGGAGTAGGCAGGTAAATGCCTCTTGTCTTCAGTGTCATCCAGGGATGTAGGTTCCTTCTGTGTGGCTCCTTCTGTTTGCAAATTCCTAGGATTATAACCTTGCTTATATGGTTGAAGTAGGGTCACTATCCTAAATCCAGCCTGTGGGAAGGGAGAAAAGAAATGGAGGTAAGCAGCTTTCTTTCCAAGGACATGGCCAGAAGTTATGTACACCACTTGCGCTCCCATTTAAATGTCAAGAAATGAGTCACCTGGTCACACATGGCTATAAAAAGGGCCTGGAAAGGCTGGGTGGGCATGAGCCTCATTTAAATTTGAAGGTAGGTTTTCTCTAACTAAAGAGATGAACAGACAAATGGATCCTGGGGGCAGTTAGTTGTCTCTGCCACACTTACTGTAATTGGGAAAATACTGTTATTGTAAATGTAAATGTTCAGAGAAATCCACGTGTGTGTGTGTGTGTGTGTGTGAGTGTTCTGTGCTCTGAGATTTTCCACACATTCACTAATAAGTGTTTCCCCAATACATTTAATATAGGAGAAATTGAACATGGAAGAAAATTTAAGGCAATCTACTTAAGGTCATCAAGTAATCACAGAAAAATGTCTTGATATACCAAATTTTATCTACTTAATAAGTCAGATCTGCTTTTCTATTATTCATTAGAATAGATGAAAACTCTAGTCTTAAAATTTAACTTATTGTCCACTTCACACTCTCCAAGCCCCCAGCTTAAATTAAGTGTAAATTGTTGAAACACTCTTTGAATCAACATTTTTTGTTTTTATTTTATTTCCTGTTGAAAGTTAGAGTAGCACATTTTACTGATTTTAGTAAAAAAAACAGACAAAAGAACCCAAATGTCAGGGCTTACTACCATGGTTTGGACCCTGTTTAAATGCTATATTTTAATTAACCTTTTTACCACCCTGTGAAATAAGTGTCCTCATGCATTCTATAGATGAGTGAATTGATACTTAGCACAGCAAGTCCCTTGCACAAGGTCACCTGGCTAGTGTGCGTTCCATTATAGCCCGGGCTCTAAATCATAACATTGTACCCTAAAAGGAAGATTAAATCCATTATCAAGCAATTGAGACATAAGCTAAATTCTACTCATATGGATGTATCAATACAACTTGTGCCATGTATAATCTCCAATATTCAGAGTGTCCTGAATTCAATCCTTTGAGTTCATGGTATTTTGAAAAAGTTGTAAAAAGAGATATGTGCTTTCCTCAGCTTTGGTTTACTCATCAAAAATCACACCACCCCTCATTGAAAGAGTAAAATTAGTGAGTTAGAACAGTCTTTTTTAATGTTTTCATAAAAATGGAAGTACTTTTGATCCTTTCCCTATTGCCAAGTGCAAAGTCACCATCCAGCCTGTTTTCTTACTAGAAAATGACTATAAAAATACAGCCCTTCATCTCTCAGCAGTGATAGATAAGACATACTGAAACAGCATTAATAATTAATGGGCAGACAAGATGAAACTCCAGTTGCTCAGACTGCTGTCTCCACATAATCTGTATTTTATACAAAAGGAGAAAGAACTCAATGGAATTTCAGCTGTGACCGGATAAAAACTGCCAGCAAAATGTGATAAGGAAAGTCTAATGTGTATATTAATCATGTTTATAGCTCCTCATTTGTTGATATATTACCCTAAACTCCCTTTAAAAATATATTTTTGATCACCAGTAGATTCATTTAATGCAACCAAACTCAAATAGAGTCCAATTAAAGGTTCTAATTTTTATTAATCAAAAATAATTAATCTATCTCATAAATCAAGAAACAAATGAGTTAAGGATTTTAGTGCAGGATGAGAAGCATTAAGAAAAGAAATCTAGAAAAGTTTGATATATGATGTAAATATGCCATTGTATGTTTATAGCTTGAGTTAACATTTGGCACTTTTATTATTCAAATTGTTTTTCTAGATATAATGAACATATAAAATGACTCAAAGTGAGACATAGTTTACCCTTGAATAGCGTAGACTTCAAACATGAGGCATTTTTATTTTCTCTGGATCAGTTATAACAAAACAGATTACAAAGTTAGGGCTGGAAATGAAGTGTTTCTAGAGAGGTCTATATTTTTGTGGTTAAAAGCCTAAGAAAATAAGTCTCAGTTTAACCTAGAAGAAAAGGAGTTGTTATGTACAACTTAGTAAATTTTTTTACATTGAAAAAAGCATAGACACTAAAACTTAGGGGAAATTTGTTAAATAATTCCTGAAAGTAACACCTACCTATAGTCATAACTCAAATTTGACACAAACATCAGAATTGAATGGCAGGTGATGGGTGAGAGAGGACAGGGGAAGATACATTAAATGTAGGAATGTGACATTTAGCCACATTATTAAGGATGTTGAAGAGTCAGAAAGCTTTCCCAGGTACACTCAGATGTGTGCTCACTATTTAAAATAGTTTGTTACAGATGTAGTTAAATATTTAGTCTTATAATTTAGATATTAATCTAAATATGTTTGTGGCAGCCATGCTAGTGAAGGAAAGTCCATGAGTCTTGGGAGTAAGATAAATTAGAATGAGCTTTAGAGAAGTCAGGCTGTGGAAAAGTGTAGGGGAAAAAAAAGTCATAAAAATTTTAAAAAGTAAGACCGAAGTACTAGGATAATAACTCTAAAAGGCCACAGGTTGTATTAGCTAAAGGATTATATTAGTGGAATATGTTAACTAATAGGATCAAGGCATAGTGTAGGAACACTTGTATGAATTCATTTCTTTAAAGGGTCAAATAAAGTTACATAGACAAAAATAATTCCTCAGATACAAATTCACCCCCAGCCATGGCTATGTGTAATAACTAAGCCACTGGACCCCACTGGGTGCAGGACAGATGAAGCAGAGTGTATTAGGCCATTCTTGCACTGCTATAAGAAATAATACCAGAGACTAGGTAATTTTTAAAGAAAAGAGGTTTATGTGGTGCATGGTTCTGCAGACTATACAGGAAACATAACTCTGGCATCAGCTTCCACGGAGGCCTCAAGAAGCCCACAATTACAGCAGAAGGCAAAGGGGGACCAAGCACCTCATATGGTGAAAGAGGTAGCAAGAAAGAGAGAGTGTGGCAGGGAGGTGCCATACACTTTTGAATGACCAGATCACACAAGAACTCACTCACTGTCATGAGAACAGCACCAAGGGGATGGTGCTAAACCATTCTTGAGAAATTCTCCCCACAGTCTGGTCACTTCCCACCAGGCCCCACCTCCAATGTTGGGGATTACAATTCAACATGAGATTTAGGTGAGGACAAATATCCAAACTATATCATCGAGGTACCTGAGTTTAAGTCAATTCATCAACACCTTTGGAAAAGTAATTCACAGCTCTTTCTACCAGTGGCCAATCAGTATAATCATTATTCCCATAAAGGAGATAATACATTATTAGTAAATTTAGCAAAAATCTCATAAGCTGAGATATTGCTGGAATCTGAGCTTCCAGGTCATCTAAAGCTTGGATGTATTATGTGATGAATAATGCACAAGATGTAGAAATGCATGACATACCAAGGCAATCTCTCTGGGTTTGTTTATTCACTTGTCGTAAGAGTTTGTTTATTCACTCATATAGAGATAATAATAAGCTTCATCTGTATGGCTCACAGGAATCGAGTCAGGATTTTATTTTTAAAGTGAAAAGTGTGAAAGGGGGCCTACAAAATTACAAAAGCCACACAAATATTAGGTGTCATTATTAAACTACAAGCTTTTTCACCTTTCTATAAAGATTCCTAAGTATTGGGGATTAAAGCTGGGACTCTGGGTCTCTAAACCTTGTTCATCTCCCTTAGAAAGTCTACCATTGGCTTGCAATCAGAATTTCCCAAATGAGGCCTGCAGAGTACTAGTTCCACAGAAAATTAGTAAATCTCATCCCCAAAACAAATTCCTATGCTGAAATCTATTTGAGAAGTAGGTTTCTTTCCTGCAGTATTTCTCAGAGCCTTTAATATGCAAATTAAGGATTTCTAACAAGAAGTATATTAGATGGAGCTTTCCCAAACTTATCTGACCATGGAAATTGTTTATTACAGATAATCTCTTCTGGTTGTTATTCTGCATAAATTGCTTTAGAAAACACTGATGAAATTTTTCGTAATTTCTCAAAATGTACGCACTGAAGACACACTAGCTTCTAATCTTCTTAAAGTTCAGAGTGCTAATATTGAGACCAGCATTTCTCAAAATGTGGTCCCTTGAGATCCTTGTTTAAAACATGAATTCCAAAGGCTGGCCTCAGAAGTCATGCAAAATCACAGGAATCTGCATTTTTACAGGCTCCTTGGGCAATTCTAAACCAAGTTACCCCAGACCATGATCTGCAAAATGCTGCAGAAGTGGGCAGTGGTGTGGATCCTGTGGTTTTAATGGTTCATTAGAATAAGATGTGCCTCATCTGTGATAGACCTGTGCTTTTTGAACCGGGAAAACAGAAGATCATCCTCAAAAATCTCGGTAGATTGCCTTAAGTACCCACTAGTGCCTACTTCTGCTGATTGACCAGCAGGCTGTCAGGACCGTTGTATTATGCACATAATGCCTCCTGATGTAATATACTGACTTTCTAAAAAAAAAAAAACCACCGAGGCATACTTCCATCCTTCATGAGTAAGAGCGCAAATATTTTCCTACACGAATTCTTTGAAAAATCCAAATTTATATGTCTGGGAAAGAAGTTTAACATTTGCTAGCAGAGCTACTATAAATAGAAATAGAAAAACTGGACACTCTCTTTGATTTTGAACATAATAAAGTGAAGTAATACTGTCTAAAAATATTCAAGATGCCTACATGACTTTATAAACACAGCAAGCTCTGGATAAGAATACATTTTGATATTAACCTGGAAAGTTGATCTTAGGCTATTTTCTCTGTAAAACCCACCTATTCTGCAGCTCATATTAATGAGCAGAAGTGCTATGTTAGTGTGGAGGGGGCACATTTATTCTCTCTGTAGCACTAAAAGTCTTTGGTGCAGGACCCTTTTTGCGTATTTCTCAAAATAGTATGAGATTGCTGTGTATCCATGAATACCCAAATGAGAAAAAATGCCTGTTCGGCTGGCTCTGGGCAGTATTTGTCACTGGCTGTTCGGTCCATCAAACCGCAAACTCATAAGTTAATTTCTCATCACATTTTTGTAAAATGAAGGAAAGAGTGAGCTCTGGAGTCAGCTTACTTGAGTTTGAATCCTAGCTCTTTCATTTACTTAGGCTCTTAAACTCTTTAAGTTTCAGGGTTTTCATCTGTAATATGAGACAGTAATAGCACCTACTTCTCAAAATTGTAATGTGACTCAAATGACAAATGCATAATGCCTGGCATATATACTCAGTGCTCAGAACCACTAGTTTCTATTTTCTCAGTCCCCTTCAGCGCTGGGATTATATTTTATAGCTCTTCTATATTCCTCACTGAGCCTAGAAAAGAGCTTCACACATAGAAGGGAACCATTAATGATTTCTGGAAGTTGAAACAATGAACATGTTTTGCTGAACTGAGGACTTTTAAAAATATCCAAATGTTTTCTTTGGACATTAAGAATATTGTGAGACAGTTTACATTCCCACCACTAGTACAGCCACTATGTAAAACAGTGTGGATATTACTTAAAGAACTAAAAGTAAAACTATCATTTGATCCATCAATCCCACTACTGGGTATCTACCCAGAGCAAAAGAAGTCATTATTCAAAAAAGATACTTGCACATGCATATTTATAGCAGCACAAATCACAATAGCAAAATTGTGGAACCAACCCAAATCCCCATTAATCAACGAGTGAATAAAGAAACTCTGGTGTGTGTATATATACACACACACATATACATATATATGTGATAGAATACTATTCAGCCATAAGAAGGAATGAATTAACAGCATTGGCAATGACTTAGAAAAGATTACAGACTATTATTCTAAGTGAAGTAACTCAGGAATGGAAAACCAAACATCATATGTTCTCCCTGATATGTGGGAGCTAAGCTATGAGGGTGCAAAGGCATAAAAATGATACAATGGACTTTAGGGACTTGGGAGGGGAAGCGTGGGAGGGGGCAAGGGATAAAAGAAAACAAATATGTTGCAGTGTATACTGCTTGGGTGATGAGTGCACCAGGTTCTCTCAAATCTCCACTAAAAAACTTACTCATGTAATCAAATACCACCTGTACCCCAATAACTTATGGAAAAATAAAATTTAAAAATATAAAAAAATAAAATTTAAAAAAATGTATTGTGAGACAGGTGGGATGCTGTGGCTCATGCCTGTAATCCCAGCATTTCAGGAAGCTGAGAGGGGAGAACAGCTTGAGCACTAGAGTTCGAGACCAGCCTGGGCAACATAGCAAGACCCTGTCTCTATTAAAAATTTAAAAAATTAGCCAGGCATGGTGGCACACACCTGTAGTACTAGCTACTTGAACTCAGGCAGCTTGGCTCCGAAGGCCCACACTTGACAATTATTAGGAATCAGTCTTAGTTCATTTGGGCTGCTCTAACAAAATATCACAAACTGGGTGGCTTATAGACAACAGGAATTTATTTCTCATAGTTCTGGAGGCTGAGAAGCGCAAGATCAGAGCTCCAGCAGAGTCCATGTCTAGTGAAGGCCTGCTTCCCCATAGATGACATCTTTTCACTGCGTCCTTACATGGCAGAAGGGGTGGTGGAGCTACCTTGGGCATCTTTTATAAGGCTGAGGCAGAAGGATCACTTGAGTCCGGGAAGTCCAGGCTGCAGTTGGCTGTGATCATACTACTGCACTGTAGCCTGGGTGACAGAGTGACAGAGTTTCTGTCTCAAAAAAAAAAAAAAGAAAAAAAATATTGTGAGACAATTCCAAGAAGAGTAAGATACGTGGTAACATGATTTTGTCTCAAAATCCTGCTTCTCCATTCTGAAGGCAGGAATCACAGTGGGCTTCCCACTCCTGCCCCTCTCTTGACATCGGGCCTTGTCTGTGTGCTCCTTTTAACACATTTTTTGAAATGATCCTTTTGAAAGGTGGAGATAATCTTCATGGAGAACTTAAAGGTGAAACATGCTGTCAAAATAATAATGATTTATTGGTGAAATTACCATACTGCTATCTGCACTTTGGTCTTTAAGAAAGTATCTTTTTGGTCCTACCCAAATAGCAAGGCAGTGAAGTACTTCGTAAGGTAAAAGTAAAATTACTACTATGAAAAATGTAGTGTGTGCTGACAAATATCTCTTACATGCTGGCGTGTGGTAGAAATGTTGCAAGACAGAATGCCAGGAAAAGCTACATTGGCTGATTGCACTTTTAACCCAATGATAAGTGGACACTGAAAATCCAATAGAAGAACCACAAATATTTAAGCTGTCATTTCAACCCTACATGTGATGATGGAAGGGTTTATATTAAAGTCTGTATAAAAGTGAAATGATTAGCCTGTATATACACATTAGAATTTTGCTAAAGCATAACTAGTATTTTCCTTGCAGCTGGTATGGCAGGGATATGGATTTTGGGAAAGGGGGACCAAGAGACAAAAAACTGGCTCTTTTAGAGCTGGAGGAAAGTTCAAAGTGGTCTTTCATCCATGAACACTACCTTGTGAGCCTGTTCCTAACTCTATTGAACCAAAATACATTTCTTTTTACTTAAAGCTAAATGTGACCTATTGGGCTGAGACTCGTCACTAGGTCATAAAATCAATTTAGTGGTCAGAAGGCAGTACAAAGAGAATAGAATAGAAAAGTGCTGATCAAAGTGCAAAGTACAGAGTAAGGGTTAGATTTGTTTTGTGAAATTTTCTTTCAGTTATGTGCGTGTATAGCAGATCATGGTGTAAATCGTATTTCTGACTTTGGGTCTCAGTTTTAAAAATTCTGAAAGCTACTAGCTAATAAGCAATATTCCTGTATCAATTTGTAATACAGGTTACCAAGTAGCAAAGAGAGATGTTTCCACTATATCTCTCAGGATGGTGGTCATTGCATATACCTTTTCTGTGCACTTTGCTGAGTTGCCCACCCAGCGGCTAATGTAGCTAATAACTAACATTTACTGAGCACTTATCTGCTGTCAGGCAGTGTGCTAAGTGTTTTACCTGTATTTCAGTCCTTAAAACAACTCTACTAATAAAGTAGTATTATACAACTATTTCAATTTCACAGGTGAGAAAACTGTAACCCAGAGATGTTAAACAAGTTGCTCAGCTTTACACAGCTAGGATTTGAACTCAGGCAGCTTGGCTCCAGAGGCCCACACTTGACAATAATTAGCAACCTGTCTTAGTTCATTTGGGCTGCTCTGACAAAATATCACAAACTAGGTGGCTTATAGACAACAGAAATTTATTTCTTACAGTTCTGGGGGCTGAGAAGTCCAACATCAGAGCTCCAGCAGAGTCCATGTCTAGTGAAGACCTGCTTCCCCATAGATGACATCTTTTCACTGTCCTTACATGGCAGAAGGGGCAGTTGAGCTTTCTTGGGCATTTTTTATAAGGACACTAATCTCATAGCCCTCATGATCTCATCACCCCTAAAGGCCCCACCTCCTGATACTGTCACCCTTGGAGGTTAGGATTTCAACATATGAATTTGGGAGGTGGTAGTGGGGCAGGGAGGGAACACAAACATTCAGACCATAGCAGAGTCTGAACCTCAAAAGGCCAGCCCCTCTCCCATTTTATTTCCAATACCTTCTTCACTGTCCCAAATGAAGGACTTTAAAATTGGCACCTTCCATGGCAATATCCCTGATTATCTCAATTCAACACAACATTCATTAGGTTAAACCATGTGAAATTGCCAATATTTGCCCATATTTGAGCTAGAGGAATGACAGTTTCTTTTATATAGTTCAACCTGATAGTTCTTCCTATGTACAAATGGGTAGTAAAGGATGAATAATGTATTTTCTCCAACAGCAAAGTGGGCAATACATTTATTATCTAATATATTTATTATCTACAGATTGAAGAAAACAGACATTTAAGAGCTTTTCTATTTCACTTTTTATTCCATTCAACTTGGATTTTCATAGAAATATGTTTGCTGGACTCTGTATAATTTTATGGTACAATGTTAGACCTGGGAAGGGCTTTGTCAACTATTCAAACTGAACACTTTTTTTTTAATATATGAGGAAACTGAGACCTAGTGAAATTAAATAACTAATGTCAAGAGTCAATTACTGGCAGAGCTGAAATAAGAATTTAGACTTGTATGCTATTTTATTTCTAGTATACTTTTGTCTACATCAAAATAACTGCCTAAAGGTAGATTAAAAAGTCCTAGAATGTGTGGATCTTATAAACCCCTCCCGCTTTGATTGCCAAGAAGCTCCAAGCTCAATTTAAAACCCACTATTTGTAGTTTCAATCCAATCTTTATTTTCTCTTTGCTTTTGTTTGTTATGTTTTATTAAATGTTTTTGCCCTGACATTTTTATCTTTTAAAATTTTGCCATGTTGCACAATTTGGGGAGATGTCTCATTTTATTTTTCAAAGGAGAGAAAGTTAAATTTCAAAAGTATTTCAGTTATATAAAAGGATTCAACCATATCCATTTGAATTATCAAATGGGCTGTGAGAGGGGAATCAGGATGCTGAATGAGGCTAGCCAGGAAAGGCAACGGGGGCACGAAGGAGCTGGGAGACATAGGGGAAGTTAAGAAGCAATGAAGAATCTGTCCTGAGGGAGCAGCATGCTGCACAAGCAACAGGACTGCGGTAGCGTCATGGTGCTGCCCATCGCCCCTCAAGTGAAAAGTAGCGCCCATCAGATTGGTAACTACACCCTGACCTCAGCTGATGCTTCCTCCCACCACTCTCCTACATAAACCCCTACAGAAAGGCCAGGCCCTTTTACTGTTCCCACTTACTGTAGGGTCTCAACCTCCAGTTGTAACTTGTGTTATTGCCTCCAAGTCACCTCTAAATATATTAACTTTTCAAGGAATTCATTCTTCATTGTGAAACTTCCTGAACACTGACTCCTCAAGTAATCTCTTCTTTATATTAATTTCTATACTAGGTGTAGTTACCAAAATGCTCATATTTTACACCCATATTTTATATTGTGAGCTTCTTAAGGAATGCAATGTGTGTGTCTTCAAAACATGCATCAACACTTTACACAATGGAGATGACCATAATGTATATTAAATAAAAAGAGACAATGGAATTTAACTAATCGTATGTTTCCACACAATATGTTCAGAAATTAAAAGATGCATTAATGTATGAAAGTTTATCTCACTTTTTGCAGCTCTTATTTCTGATTTCCCACAACTATTAGGAAAGTCCTTATACTAACAAAGACAAACAGATGCCAAGGTGCTTTTAACCATTTGATGGAGCCTTAATGATCAATAGGTACTGTTTGCTTTTACCATTTCCAAGAAGTTTAATTTTATATATTAGCTAATTCTCCTAAATCTACTAAAAAGGCATAGGCATTTCAACTTATTGGAATGCTTTTGTTTCCCTAAAATATTTGGTTTTTCATAATTTTTTTCATTCTGCCACTGAAGTGGAAAGGGCAGGGAAACTTTAAGGAATGTGCTACCAATCATACTGTTTATTCTGTCATCAGAAGATTGTGAAATGAAAGCAAGATGGCTTCCAGAAGTTTCCTCAGATAGCTGTTACTTTAATGACCCAGAGCTATGTAACTTTTCAAGTGATAACTCCCTCATTAGTTGGAGCTTTGGTATCCTCTGCCTACATCTTGTTCTCAGCCCAAATCTTCCCTTATCTCACCCAAAGTGCTACATGACATCTTTGTTGTTTTAGGAACCCACAGTTACCATTCCCAGACTGCCCCCACACTATCTCAGTTATGTGTTATATGACACATCTTCAAATTCAGAGAAGGGTACAGAGGAAAAAAAAGGATTACTAGTTTGAATTTTTTTGCTAACAATGTAAAATAACTCATTCTCAAGATAGATTTTTATTCTACATGTGGCTGAGTCTCAGTTTGTATATATAAACTTATGGCATGCAATTGTTTTGCACATACAACATGGTGAGAAGTTGAAAGAATTCAAAACAAGACAGCAGCAACAATATGAATATGAGTAGTAGTTCCCACATGGAAAATACAAATGTTTTGCCTCTTAGAATTTCAAAATATAAAGGACATTTTGGAAAGGGAAAGGAGAAAATATCATACAGAAGAGGGCTAGTGATTGAAAAGGCATCAGACTGCATTTTCTGATAAAAATTTTTGAGGGAGAATGAAAGCTTCTCCCAGTGAATTAGGAGAAGCTATAAGTATCCAAAAGTTAGGAATAAGTAAATATATAGAGAGGGTGTAGGCAGTATGAATCATGAGTCAGGATGGCCAGTATTGTTGTAGCTTAGGGTAGTCAAAGGGGTGTGTGAGGTAAAAAAAGAAATCACCAGTAACTTCTTTAATGTGATGATTATCAATTCCAAGCTGAGGCCTTGAGAAGGCTAATAGGTTTGGTCTTATCCTTAGAGTAGGAACCAAGGTGAAAGATAAGTGAAAAAATAAGGGAACATAGCCTAGGACAGAAAGTAGCATAGGGAAAGTGAATTTGGTGTAAATTTTTAAAGGTAGCAATTACAATTGCATGTATACTGTGTACACACACACACACACACACACACACACACACACACATACATATGTATCCCCTATTCTATGTGTTTGTTTCTTCGGAGAACCCTGATATAGTCCACCATCCAGGAAAAATAGCTCCTGAGGAAGTCCAGATTTCGGACTTACCTGACAAAGATTTTAAATAATCTATTTTAGATATGCTCAAAGAACCAAAGAAAATCATGTCTAAAGAATAAAATGAAAGATTAAAAACATTGTTATACCAAATAGACAACATAAATAAGGAAATAGAAATTCTTGAAAAGAACTAATTGAAGTTGTAGAGTTGAAAAGTACAAAAACTCAAATGAAAAATTCAGTAGAGAACAACAGATTTGAGTTGGCAGAAGAAGAAAATCAATGAACATGAAGAGAGCTCAATTAAGATTATATGGTCTTGGGAATGAAATGAAAAAAAAAAGAATGAAAAAAAAATTCCAGAGCCTCAAAGACTTGTGGCACATCACCAAGCATACCAATATATGCATAATGGGAGTCCCAGAAGGAGAGGTGAGAAAGAAAAAAAAACAGTATTTAAAGAAATAGTAGCCAAAAACAATACCAAATATGCTGAAAATCATTTATCTATGTATCCACAAAGTTCAACAACTCCAAGTGGGATAATCTCAAAGACATTCAAACTTAGACACATCATAATCAATCTCTAGAAAGAAAGACAAAGACTCTTGAAAGCAGGACAAGAACAACTCATCGAGTACAAGTAATCCTCAATAAAATGAATAACTAACATTTAATCAGAAAATATAAAGGCCAGAGAGCAGTGGGATAAAATATTTAAAATGCTGGCAAATAAAACTTCTCTATCCAACAAATATATCCTTGAAAATAAAGGGAAAACTAATATATACTCAGATAAACAAAAATGGGCAGACTGTGTTGCTAGCAGAACTGCCGTACAAGAAATACTCAGGAAAGTCCTTCAGTCTGAAATGAAAAGACCCCTGAAGAATAATTTGAATTTATGTGAAGAAGTAAGGAGAACTGGAAAAGGTAAATATAAAAGACATAGAGATTTATTTTTTTGTTTGTTACTCTTTTTAAAAATCCTATCTGATTTTAACAACAACTGCAAAAGCAATAACTATAAATCTGTGCTGATGGCCATATAATGTAAGAAGATGTAATTTGTGTGCAACAGTAGTACAAAGGAGTAGAGTTGGAGTGGACCTATACATATTTTATATGCTATTAAGTTGGTATTAATCCAAAATAGAGTATTTAAATTTAGATACAAATTGTAATCACCATGGAACTAATAATACAATATGTAAAAATATAGTAACAGAAACAAGAAAATAAATAAGTTAATTATTGGTGACTCATGATGTGGAGCATCATTTCATATGCTCACTTGCCATCTGTATGTCTTCTTTGGGGAGGCATCTGTTAGATATTGGGGCCATTTTTAATTTGGTTGTTTGTTTTCATATTGTTGAGTTTTAAGAGTTCTTTATATATTTTGGATAAGCGTTCTTTATCACATGTCTTAGTTCCCAGAGAGTGACAAGAAGACCTGCTGAAGTTTGGTCTCAGTCAAACGTTGCTAATCTTTAAATGTTGGCCCACTGTCTGAGCCACAGAACCTGCTCAGTGCAGTTTGTCTTAACAAAGTGTATTCATCTATTTTCACACTACTGATAAAGACATACCTAAGATTGGGAAGAAAAAGAGGTCTAATAGACTTACAGTTCCGCATGGCTGTGGAGGCCTCACCATTATGGCAGAAGGCAAGGAGGAGCAAGTCACGTCTTACATGGATGGCAGCAGGCAAACAGAGAGCCTGTCTAAGGAAACTCCCGTTTTTAAAACCATCAAATCTTGGCCAGGTGTGGTGGCTCACACTTGTAATCCCAACCCTTTGGGAGGCCAAGGTAGGCAGATAATAAGGTCAAGAGATTGAGACCATACTGGTCAACTTGGTGAAACCCTGTCTCTGCTAAAAAAAAAATACAAAAATTGAGGCGTGGTGGCACACACCTGTAGCCCCAGCTACTTGGGAGGCTGAAGCAGGAGAATCACTTGAACCCAGGAGGCAGCAGTTGCAGTGAGCTGAGATCGCATCACTGCACTCCAGCCTGGGTGACAGAGCGAGACTCTGTCCAAAAAAAAAACAAAAAAAAAACCACCCAATCTCATGAAACTCAATCACCATCATGAAAACAGTGCAGGAAAGACCCACTCCCATAATTCAATCACCTCCCATTGGGTTCCTCCCACCAAATGTGGGAATTGTGGGAGTTACAATTCAAGATGAGATTTGGGTGGGGACACAGCCAAACCATATCATTTCACCTGTGGCCCCTCTCAAATCTCATGTCCTCACATTTCAAAACCAATCATGCCTTCCCAACAGTCCCCCAAGGTCTTAACTCATTTCAAGTCCACAGTCCATCTACAACCATCTGATCTTTGACAAACCTGACAAAAACAAGAAATGGGGAAAGGATTCCCTATTTAACAAATGGTGCTGGGAAAACTGGCTAGCCATATGTAGAAAGCTGAAACTGGATCCCTTCCTTATACCTTATACAAAAATTAATTCAAGATGGATTAAAGACTTAAATGTTAGACCTAAGACCATAACAACCCTAGAAGAAAAGCTAGGCAATACCATTCAGGACATAGGTATGGGCAAGGACTTCATGTCTAAAACACCAAAAGCAATGGCAACAGAAGCCAAAATTGACAAATGGGATCTAATTAAACTAAAGAGCTTCTGCACAGCAAAAGAAACTACCATCAGAGTGAACAGGCAACCTACAGAATGGGAGAAAATTTTTGCAATCTGCTCATCTGACAAAGGGCTAATACCCAGAATCTACAAAGGACTCCAACAAATTTACAAGAAAAAAACAAACGCCCATCAACAAGTGGGCGAAGGATACGAACAGACACTTCTCAAAAGATGACATTTATGCAGCCAACAGACACGTGACAAAATGCTCATCATCACTGGCCATCAGAGAAATGCAAATCAAAACCATAATGAGATACCATCTCACACCAGTTAGAATGGCAATCATTAAAAAGTCAGGAAACAACAGGTGCTGGAGAGGACATGGAGAAATAGGAACACTTACACTGTTGGTGGGACCGTAAACTAGTTCAACCATTGTGGAAGACAGTGTGGCGATTCCTCAAGGATCGAGAACTAGAAATATCATTTGACCCAGCCATCCCATTACTGGGTATATACCCAAAGGATTATGAATCATGCTGCTATAAAGACACATGCACACGTATGTTTATTGCGGCACTATTCACAATAGCAAAGACTTGGAACCAACCCAAATGTCCATCAATGATAGACTGGATTAAGAAAAGGTGGCACATATACACCATGGGATACTATGCAGCCAAAAAAAAAGGATGAGTTCATGTCCTCTGTAGGGACATGGATGAAGCTGGAAACCATTATTCTGAGCAAACTGTCACAAGGACAAAAAATCAAACACCGCATGTTCTCACTCATAGGTGGGAATTGAACAATGAGAACACTTGGACACAGGAAGGGGAACATCACACACCAGGGCCTGTTGTGGGGCGGGGGTAGCAGGGAGGGATAGCATTAGGAGAAATACCTAATGTAAATGACGAGTTAACGGGTGCAGCACACCAACATGGCACATATATAGATATGTAACAAACCTGCACGTTGTGCACATGTACCCTAGAACTTAAAGTATAATTTAAAAAAAATGTCCAAAGTCCAAAGTCTCATCCGAGACAAGGCAAGTCCCTTCTGCCTATGAGACGGTAAAATTAAAAGCAAGTTAGTTAGTTACTTCCTAAATACAATGTGTGTACAGGCATTAGGTAAATACAGGTGTTCCAAATGGGAGAAACTGGCCAAAATAAAGGGGCTATAGGCCACACACAAGTCCAAAATCTGGCGGGACAGTCAAATCTTAATTCCAAAATTATCTCCTTTGACTCCATGTCTCACATCCAGGTCATGCTGATGCAACAGGTGGGCTCCCACAGCCTTGGGCAACTCTGCCCCTGTGGCTTTGCAGGGTACAGCCCTCTCCCAGCTGCTTTCACAGGCTGGTGTTGAGTATCTGAAGCTTTTCCAGGCAAATAGTGCAAGCTGTTGGTGGATCTACCGTTCTGGGGTCTGGGGGATGGTCACCCTCTTTTCAGAGCTCCACTAGGTGGTGCCCCAGTAGGGACTCTGTGTGGGGGCTCTGATCCCACAATTTCCCTTCTGCACTGCCCAGCAGAGGTTCTCCATGAGCACCACACCCTGGCAGCAAACTTCTGTCTGGGCATCTACGTGTTTTCATACATCTTCTGAAATCTAGACAGAGGTTCCCAAACCTCAATTCTTGACTTCTGTGCACTCACAGGCTCAATACCATGTGGAAGCTGCCAAGGCTTGGGGCTTGCACCCTCTGAAGCCAGGGCCCCAGCTCTACATTGGCCTGTTTTAGTCAGGGCTGGAGCAGCTGGGATGCAGGGTACCAAATCCCTAGACTGCACACAGCACAGGGACCCTGGACCTGGCCCACAGAACCATGTTTTTGTCCTATGCCTCTGAGTCTGCAATGGGAGGGGCTGCCGTGAAGACCTCACACATGCCCTGATGACATTTTTCCCATTGTCTTGGAAATTAACATTTGGCTCCTTATTACTTATGCAAATTTCTGCAGTGGCTTGAACTTCTCCTCAGAAAATGGGATTTTCTTTTCTTTTGCATTGTCAGGCTGCAAATTTTCCAAACTTCTATGTTCTGTTCTCTTATAAATCAATTTTTTTAACAGCACCCAAGTCACCTCTTGCATGCTTTGCTGTTTAGAAATTTCTTCTGACAGTTACCCTAAGTTATCTCTCTCAAGTTCAAAGTTCCACAAATCTCTAGGGCTGGGGCAAAATGTTGCCAGTCTCTTTGCTAAAACGTAACAAGAGTCACCTTTTCTCCAGTTCCCAACAAGTTCCTCATCTCCATCTGAGACTATCTCAAGTCTGGACCTTATTGTTTGTATCACTATAAGCATTTTTGTCAAAGCCATTCAACGAATCTCTAGGAAGTTCCAAACTTCGCCACATTTTCCTGTCTCTTCTGAGCTCTCCAAACTGTTCCAACCTCTGCCTGTTACCCAGTTTCAAAGTCACTTCCACATTTTCAGGTATCTGTTCAGCAACACCCTACTCTGCTGGTACCAATTTACTGTGTTAGTCCATTTTCATGCTGCTGATAAAGACATACCAAAGACTGGGAAGAAAAAGAGATTTACTGGATTTATAGTTCCACATGGCTGGGGAGACCTCACAATCAAGGCAGAAGGCAAGGAAGAGCAAGTCACATCTTACATGGATGGCAGCAGGCAAAAGGAGAGCTTGTCCAGGAAACTCCCATGTTTAAAACCATCAGATCTCATGATACTTACTCACTGTGACGAGAACAGTGCAGGAAAGACCCACCCCCATAATTCAATCACCTCCCACCAGATTCCTCCCATGACACATGGGAATTGTGGGAGTTACAATTCAATATGAGATTTGGGTGGGAACACAGCCAAACCGTATTACTAAAAGTGTGTAACATGGAAGTGTAGAGGGCAATATAACTCGCTGCTTGCACAGGTCTGTCACTGCTTAGCAAGGACCAAGACTAAGTAAGGAATTTACAGACCATTTTTCTCTTTTCCTTTTCTTTTCTTTTCTTTTCTTTTCCTTTCCTTTGCTCTTTCTTTCTTTCTTTCTTTCTTTCTTTCTTTCTTTCTTTCTTTCTTTCTTTCTTTCTTTCTTGTTGAGGAGGTTACATATACAGGACTGTTATGTGGATATATTGCATAGTACAGGGGTTTGGGCTTCTATTGAACTCATCACCCAAATAGTAAACATAGTACTCCATAGGTAGCCTTTCAAGCCTTTATCCCCTGTCTCCCTCCCCCTTTTTAGAGTCCTCAGTGTGTTCCCATCTTTACATCCATGTGTACCCATTGTTTAGCTCCCACTTATAAGTAAGAACATGTGGTATTTGATTTTCTGTTTCTATGTTAATTCACTTAGTGTAAATGCTTCTAGCTGCATCTATGTTGCTGCAAAGGACATGATTTCATTCTTTTTTTAATGGCTGCATAGTATTCCATCGTATATACACACCACATTTTCTTCATTCTCTCCACCATGAATGGGCACCTTTATTGATTCCATGACTTTGCTATTGTGAATAGTGCTATGATAAACAAACAAGTGCAAGTGTTTTTTGTTTTTTGTTTTGTTTTTGGTAGAATAATTTCCTTCCCTTGGGGTGGATGACCAGTAACAGGATTGCTAGGTCAAATTGCAGTTTTATTTTCAATTATTTAAGAAATCTCCAAACTGCTTTCCACAAGGCCCAAACTAATTTACATTTCCACCAGTAGTATATAACCATTCCCTTTTCTCCACATCCTCACCAGCATCTGTTATTTTTTGACTTTTTATTAATAACCATTCTAACTGTTGTGAGATATCTCATTGTGGTCTTGATTTGCATTTCTCTGATTATTATCGATGTTGAGCATGTTTTCATATGTTTGCTGGCTCTTTGTACATATAGACCATTTTTACGGTTACATTGAGAAGTGTCTGCGGTAGCTCTCAGTAGGAAGCAAGAAATGGAGTGTGCACACAGAAGGATCTTTGTGGTTCCAATTTACAGGCAAATCCCCTTCTAGCAGCATGGGGAGCCTCCACATTGTAACCTAATCTAGAGGTGTGTTAAGCATTAACACGGCAAGGCTTAATCTGCAGGGGGGATTCCCCAGCACATTGAAGTCTAAACCCTGGGGAAATTGCATATGAGCTCCAGCTGGAAAACACATATGGGAGATGAACAAGTTTATCTTTGTAAACTCTGTTTACAAACAAGGTGCATTTGCTCTCCACACAGTTTGTCTTTGCCACTGGCACTTGAGGAATCCAATTTCAACTTTAGAATGACAACTTTGAGTTACCCCCAAAATTGTATTTGTCTCTTGCCAGGGTTCTCCCTTTTAAGGCAATCTCCTTGGCCCAGAATGATAGAACTGGGATACATTCGTTCAGTCAAAAACATATTCTAATACTTATTGGATGAGCTCTATGGTTCAGGATATGTAAGAAGGGCACACAAAATTTAATTAGACATTCTCTCTATACCCAAAAGTCATCTGATAATACACAGAAAGCAATAATGTTAGTACAAGACATCTAATGCTAAGAAAGGAGGATTATCAGCAATAGCATCAGAAGAGTTGTGGGGAATCAGAAAAAACTTGATGAACACCGTAGCTTGTGAGCTTAAAAAAACAAACAAAATTTCAGCTGAGAGAAATTGCAGCTCAGTGAAGGCTGATGAAACTAATAGTAAAGGCTTGAAAGACAGGAAAGTAGAGGAAGTGTGAGAAAAGGATAAGTCATTCAATTTTACTAAAACACAGACTACGAAGAGAGTGTGAGGAAAATCCATCAAGGAAAGGGGGCTGGGATCAAATCAGATAGGTCCAAAAATGTCAAGCTATGGACGTTATAACAGTGACCTGCGGATACGGGAGTAAGCCAAGCAGACACAATTTCCTGCCCTCATGGAGCTCATATTCTAGTGGAGGGACAGGGTGTCTTAAGGAAGCCAGTTGAGATGAAGGGCACAGAAAACACAGTGGCAACAATAGCTGTTGCCTACTGTGTGTGTGCAGAGTGTTAAGCATTTTCCATATGGTACACCAAGTTTTCACAGAAGATTTTAACTGCAGGATTCAAGTTAAGGAAACTGAGGCTTTAGAAAGGCTGGTGACTTACCCAAGAGTGTCCTGATGGCTGGACCAGAATCCAAATTCATGTCTCTCTGGTACCACAGCCCATATCATTCTGCTCCAGTATGGATGAGAGAGAGAGAGAGAGAGAGAGAGAAGACAAGAAGCTGGGAAAGTAGTTGAATTTCTACTCTTAAGAATCCAGGAGAAAACTGGTGAAATTTGGTTGGATTCTCCTGGTTAAGAATCCAGGAGAAAAATAAGGTGAACTCAGGTGAATGAAAAAGAAAGGGTGGCCACGGCTGATGTCGTGGAAGTAGATGGATAAGATTTAGTGACTCACTGAATTTGAGAGGAAAATAATAAGGAGTATTTAGAGACAAGCCTATGGGAGTGATCCTGGGGAAATGAGAGAATGCATGAATAGAATCATGCGAGAAATGGAAAATTTCTAAAGATTTGGGGGCTAAGGGGGATTCAACAAGTTTATCCAACGAATATTTGTTATTCATCTGCTTATTTAACAAATATAAAATGGAGCATGCCATATGCTAGGCACTGGTTGGACACCAAGAACAAACCCAAAGTAAAAGCCACTCTCCTTGGGCTTGTGCTCTGGTGAGGGATGGGGCACTAAAACTGTAATCACACTAAAAATGCATAATGACAAACTGGGAAAAGGCTCAACAGCACGGATTTCCTAACCTTTTTGCATAGTGGATTCACCTGATACCTATGTCCCCCTCTTTAGAGTGCATGGTTTAAATGTTCTGGGAGTGGCCTGAACTTTGGAAGTCTCAGAACCTCTCTTGGTAGTTCTAATATGCAGACAAGTAGACAACAGCAGAACTAAGTACTTGTGACCTAGATCACATGGCCTGCAAAGCTGAAAATATTTGCTATCTAACTCTTTACAGAAAAATTTTGCTGACCCCTGCTCTAAAGGAAAAGAATATGGTCTCAGAGAGCATATAACAAAGCAACAGGAGCTAACATGAATGGAGGGGCACTGGGGATGCAGTTAGGAGGCTCCTTTGATATTTCAGTTTGTGTAGGAAAGTTATCTGGGAGAAGGGGACAGTAAGAGCACTACAGGCAGAAGAAACAGAAGGAGCAAAAGTCCCGTTCCAATTGTTCATTGCTATTTAATGGACCAGCCAAAAAACTTAGTGGCTCAAAACAACACTCAGTTTAGGATTATCTTTCACAATTCCAGGGGTAAGTGGGCTCCCTGAGGCAGTTCTTGCTCAGGGTCTCTCCTGTAGTTGCAATCAGACTGGCAGCTGAGGCCAAAGTCATATTGAAGGCTTCTTCCCTTCCTGTTTGGAGGATGATGTCACTGTAAGCTCGACCTTCAGCTTGGCCTGGACTGACAGAAGCACCTACCCACGGAAGACCTCACCACATGTTCTCTGTGTTCTCACCATGTGGTGGCTGGATTTCAAGAGTTAGCCTGTCAGGAGAACCAAGTGGAAGCTCTGTTGCTTTTTGTGACTTTTGTTTGTAAGTCATAGAGCATAGTTTCTGCAGTAACCATAGGACCACTCAGAATCAAAGAGAGAGGGCATAGGCCTATGTCTGCTTAGGAGGCTTGTCAATGTCACATTCTAAGAATGGCCTATGAGCTGGGACCTATTGTGATGACCCTCTTTGGAAAATACTATCTGCTGCAAACACAAAGAAGCATGGAATGCTTCAGCATCTCAAAGGAAGAGCATGTGGGAGAGATGAGGCTAGAGAGATGGTGAGTCGAGACGGGGCCTGTCTGCCCATGTGAAGAATTTTTATCTTCTTCATAAGCCATGGGATTTTAATGGATTTTAATAATGCTGGTATTTAATACAGTGGTGAGGCTATAAGCACAAACTGGACACAGACAACTTGGGTTCAAATCCCACCTCTGCCATTTGCTTGCTATGCAATGTTGGATGTTATGCAATCTCTCTGCACCTTGATTTCCTTATCTGTAAAATGAAGGAAGTTGTTATTTTCTTTACTTTGTCTTTTTGTTTGTTTGTTTTGTTTGTTTGTTTTTTGTTTTTTTAGTTTTGACTAGGCTGTGTCTTTTTTATTTTACTTTTATGTTCAGGGATACATGCAGGTTTGTTACATAGGTATACATATGCCAAGGTTGTTTGCTACACCTATCAAGCCATCTAGTTTTTTTGTTTTGTTTTGTTTTGTTTTGTTTTCCTTTTTCTTTTATTTTTTTGAGATGGAGTTTCACTCTTGTCATTCAGGCTGGAGTGCAATGGCACGATCTCGGCTCACTGCAACCTCCGCCTCCCAGGTTCAAGCAATTCTCCTGCCTCAGCCTCCTGAGTAGCTGGGATTACAGGTGCCCACCACTACACCTGGCTAATTTTTGTGTTTTTAGTAGAGACGGGGTTTCACTAAGTTCGCCAGGCTGGTCTTGAACTCCTGACCTCAGATGATCCACCTCCTTGGCCTTCCAAAGTGCTGGGATTACAGGCATGAGTCACCGCGCCCAGCATGGTTTTTTTTGTTTGTTTGTTTGTTTTGTTTTGTTTTGTTTTGTTTTCTTTTTGAGACAGAGTCTCATTCTGTCATCTAGGCTGGAGTGCAATCTCAGCTCACTGCAACCTCCACCACCTGGGTTCAAGTGATTTTCCTGCCTCAGCCTCCCAAGTAGCTGGGATTACAGGCGCCTGCCACCATGCCTGGCTAAGTTTTTTATTTTTAATAGAGACAAGGTTTCACCATGTAGGCCAGGCTGGCCTCGAACTCCTGACCTCAGGTGATTTGCCCACCTTGGCCTCCCAAAGTTCTGGGATTACAGGCGTGAGCCACCACACCTGGCCCATCATCTAGGTTTTAAGCCCTGCATGCATTAGGTATTTGTCCTAATGCTCTCCCTCCCCTTACCCCCCAACCCCCAACAGGCCTCAGTGTGCAATGTTCCCTTCCCTGTGTCCACGTGTTCTCATTATTCAGGAAGTTGTTATTTTCAACAGTAAGTATCTCATAGAGAAGTTGGGACAGCTAAATGGTTTAGTACAAGTTAGTACTTACGAGTTAGTGTCTGGTCCTTAGTAAACATGACAAAATGGTTATCTAATGTTATTACTCGATACCTGCTGGGTAGTTAGTGTTCCATCTCTGGCTTAAAGTGGAATGCTAGCTCTCAGGATAAGCTCGGTGCCTTTCTTGTACTCCAATCAGGGGTTGCAGGCAACTCGAACCCTTGTTTCCTTCATTCTAGATTTTAATACTGTTGCCCAAGGACCTGACCAGCATCCCCGTGTCACCATCACATCTTCTGCCTTAGAACACAGTGTGGCTCCTGCAGGGGGAGAAGTGCTAAAGATTTGACATCCGTCATTACCCAGTGGGCTGTGCAGAAGAGGTTCCTCACATTCCCCAACCCACCACAGCTTCCCAAGTCCTTTCTCCTGTAAGGAAAACCCCTGAGGCTAGCCAGTTTCCTCAGTTGTCCTCCCCAGACCAAGCTCTGTTGGGCACCTGCAGGGCCCTCAGCCTGCAATGAGGTGGAGCTCCCTGCTCCAAATAACTTTTTTTTTTTTTCTGGCTAACTCCTTCTTATGTTTCAAGATTAAGCTTGGGCAGCACTTCTTCTAAGACCATCTTTCTAACCCTTTCCCTGCTCTATCCCCATATTATACCACTTCCATTTGTGTCAAGACCAGGAGCTGCTATGCAATTTGTGGGACCCAGAGCAAAATGAAAAGGTGGGTTTCCTTGTTCAAAATTATCAAGAATTTCAAAGTAGCAGTAATACAGCATTATATCAAGCATGGGGCCCTTCCAAATACTGGGTACAGCAGGACTGCATAGGTCACAGGCCCAGGAAGTCAACCCTGGTCAAAACACTTACCAGGCTACACTCTAATTGTCTGCATCCTTGATTGCTTCTGCCATTAAACTAGAAGCCACTTTAGGGAAAGGACAGCCTCTTTGTATCTGCTACTTAGTACAATCAGTCTTGAAGAAAATTACGTGAATACACTAACTGATAACTAACACCAACAACACAGCAATAACAAAAGAGGATAGAAGAGACACGTCTTGAATCTCCTGCAGACCCTGATAGGAAATGGATCAGATCAGAGACTTTGGAATCAGATGTCATGACGCTAACCCACCGAGACCTCTCAAAACCTTGGGACATCTTCCTAACACTCACCAATCCTCAGTGGCTTCATCTGTAAAATGCACAAAATCACAAAGCCTACCTCTTAGAGCCGCTCCAGGGATGGAATGAGAATAATGCATGCTCAGCTATGCCTTGTACTTACAAATTAGTTCATTAATAATAATTATCCCTAATGAACCAAGGCAGTTAAACTAGGAATGGTGTTTTCTGCTTTTCAAAGGACTTTTATATGAATGATCTCATTTGACTTAAAATTCACTATTATTATTTTAAAGATGATGGAAAGAAAACAAGCTTTAAGTTATCCATCCAGAAGATAAGGGTAGAATAAGCCAGGCTTAGATCTCTTTATCCTAATTCATATTCCTTCAATTGTACCAGGGGTGATATTGCTTTCAATGAAATAGATCTATGAAAATTTTCTGCCCAGGGCCTTTTAAATAATATAACTAAAATTTGATTTTTTTTCTGACTACACTACACGGTAAATAGCTGCCATATGATTTCATACACTCAGAATTAAGGAACTAGTGGGGGTGATTTTGATCTTACAGATTGCTTCTGGCTCTTTAAGTGCAGTGAGACACACACTGAGACATTCATTCTTTAATTTGGTGCCACTTAAAGGTTCACTGCTTTTGCTGATGTTGGGTATAAAATATAGATCTACAAATAATTGTCTAGAGAGGGAGTAGCTTCAACTTAAAGATAAAAGCTTCACTGAACCTTCCTCCCTAGGTCAGTGGGATGGTCTTTAAATCTTATGATCTTGACTTCTTGCTGACTGATAAGGCAATTGTAGTTTTTTAGGGAAGTTGAAATATTTTAAAAGAATATAAAAGCTTTCACATTGGAGTGACAGTGAATAGACTTGAGAAGGGAGAAATTTTGACATGGTTGTTATGTAGAAATTATTTTTTCCTTGAAAAAGTAAAGGTCTGGGAAAACAGATAAAGAGAGTGACCTCAAGTTTTTCTCCATTTTGTCAATCCTCTACTGAAACTCCCATTCTTCAAATGTTAGGCCTCATGAATTATTCTATATCAGTATTTTCTCTAATGTTTTTTACCTGATTTCAGTAAAGTCTTCTCTAGTCACTTAGCAACTCCATCACCCCCATAACTAGTCCCCATTTCCTGGTTTATTTTTATTTTTCTCCGAACAACTGATCTTTTTCTAGCTTACTTTATTAGCAAAGTTTAAAATACATATCCATTCTACTTTTTCTTCCACTCCTACAGTACACTGTGCAGTCCTCTTGATCAGAGCTGAATGTGGCCCCTTGCAGACCATAGGCCACTGAAAAAAAAAAGACATGGTATCTGTCACCCCTACCCCATCCAGTCACAAATATACCTCCAACATGCAATGGCAAGGCAAAGCCAATTAACCTGCAATGAAACTCCCAATTGGAAAAAGAAAGGGGACACCTGGAATATATGCAGCAGTCAATGATCTGTAACAGTGATAAATCCTTCTGGGGAGAAGTTAGGAAGGGGTTGCAGTTTTTGGTAATGACAAGGTTGGTGACGACACAGAGATTAAGGTGGAGTAGGGACAAGATCACTAGAAGAAAGGAGTTTAAGGAACTGTAAGACCCAATTACCTGAAGAATCATCAACCTGGGTAACACTGTAAAAAACACCAGCCAGAAAAATGTTTAAAGGAAACTACTTTCATTTCTCAGGTGGACCAAGAGCCCAAGTATATGTGGTAAGGCACAGCATTCAGAGTGCTTGATCATGTGTTTCCTAATTTATATAAAAAGAGGTTCATCTAGGAAAAAAACTCATGCATACATTTACTCTCTTATAGTTTTGTTTCACTGCAAACTTATCTAGCATTCCCTGTCTCTCAACTTTAAGCTTTTGGAGACAGAGATGTACAGTACTCCTACCTTTTTCATTTTGGTGTCCCCAGGCTTAATACAACAGTAGACATTTAATAAACATGTGCTTGGAACTGAATGTAAGTTCATGAGAAAAGAATGTCACTAGCAACTTTGAAATCATCATTCTAAGAAATTTACACCAAGGTAATCTATTGTGAGAACATGAGGATTTTAGAAATACAATGTCAGAGGAGATATTCCCCTAGCAATGGCTATGTGGACTGGAAAGACTTTCACATTTACATTAGTTTGTTTTGAACAGTTCTGAAATTTTCAAATACATAAATCCATTTCCCACAATAACCAGTGTTTTGAAATGTCATCTGATTCCAACATGTCTTACTCTTACTTCAAAATCAGAAGACTTTGACCCTGCTTTAAGGACAAATGATGCTTGTTTTGATATCTTTATTTTTATTTCTAGGCAGGATGTGTCCTTTGGTATCAGAATTTCGCTAGTGTGGATGCAGTTGATTTCAGCAGTGCCCTGGTCGTCCTGTGAGAATGCTGCAGAAGTTATAGCACCCATCTGTTATGTTCTTATAGAACCTGGCCTGTCATACCCCTGGCTCCTCTTTTTACCATTCTTGCTCTGCCTACTCAGACATTCTTGGTCTTTCTTGAAAAAGTAGAATGCAAATATATCTTTCTTAGCCTTTCTCTGCCTCATTTGTTTCATGGTGAATTCTTGGCTTCCCCAATATTTTACGATAATCTCCACAAAGTAGAAAGGGATAGCTGGGAAGTCCAGGTTAAAATATCATGCTGGACAATCTAGATTTTATTTTCATTTTCATGGCTTGAATTACATAATTTCACTGTTAATTATCTTCTTCACACTCTAAAATATCTATCTAGCCTCAGAGTCCAATGCTTTTTCCATCATATTAGTCATTCTTCAAGATACCTGCAGAAGGAAATTTTCCATCTTTCCTAATGTGTAGCCAATGTGAGCCCATTGTTTAGGGTTATGTAGGAATCACTGAGCTCAGCCTGTTCGAGGTGGTTGGCCCTTGGCAGTCATCTATTTTGCTCCCTTCATTTAGCAGATGAGGGAACCAAAGCCCAAGAAAGATAGTGAGCTTATTCTCCATCACACAACTGGTAAGTACTGGAGTTGGGATCTTGACAATGCTACTTCTTCAAGCAGGCTTAAAATATTAAGGTTCAGGACTCTAAGTGGGCCCGCCTGGGAACCTGAGGACAGTTCCTAGTTGTTTAAATGGCCTTTCCATATTTCATTACCAACAGCTACAGCCCAAGTCTGAAAACTCATCTACAGCTATCTAACCTGCAACATGCTTTCCAGGCCCTCTCTGAGGGGGTTAGGGGAAGCTGGGGAGGGCACTGCACAAATAAACACAACAACACTGGCAGACTTTGGAGCTCTGCCTGAAGCAAAGCGCTGCCAGGAGTGAAAGTCATTAAAGACCCTTTGCAAAGGCTGTTAAGAAATGTGCAAACAGCCATATAAACAACACCAGGTCAGGTCATGGAAGGAGACTAGCAACTGGGGAGGCCCGAGAGAGCCTGCCGAAGTGGGAAATTCCCAGCAGGGAGAAGACATTTGGAAAAACAACTCCATCAGGTTTTATCAACACACATCATTTCCTAAGTGCTATATTTTATGTAGAGTATGTGTGGCCTAAATTTAACAAGAGAAGCTTTTATCAATTGCAGTTTTTATCACTTCCAGATATCTCCGTTTCTGAATTACTGGCAACATTGATGCTGTGTTCATTTATCTGGGCTTTCCTGTCCAAACACACCATGGGTGACGCTCTCGGAGAGACCATTTCGGTGGAGAGCAGCGATGACCTGCACACACACGCTTCCTGTTGGACATGCTGTGTTGTTCGGGCCCTACACATGCTGACACATGCTGAATTGTAAACAAACCTAATTAGGCCTGTTGTTCTAATTTTAAGCCTTAGATGAAACAGACATATTAATAATCACAGTGGTAGAGAAACTCCCGCATAAAGGCCATGTTATGAAATACGAGTTTCTCTGCCAGAGTAAAAACTTTGGCACTTCCTTCTTGAGGAAGCTGATGCTGGAGGAAAGTGATTTCACCCATAATTTCCTTGACCTTCTTGGGAATAGCATCAGTGGTCACAAACCTTTAAGGGAGTTGTGCTGAATGCAGAAAAATGATTTCTCCATGTCTGTGACTTTACCTACATGCGGAGAGCAATTATGTGAAGAACAGAGGGAAGTCTTGTTGTGCAGATGACTGCCAGTAGCCTAAATTTTTCTGCTTCTGCTTCTCCATCCAGATTCTTTCCTCTCTAGTCATTCAGGAAGCTCTTTCTGACTGGCCTACCTTCTATTTTTCTCCTGCCAAGATTTTCTTCTTCGCCTTCTTTGCACACACACACACACACACACACACACACACACACACACGGCCATTTTTTCAGCCTGGTTGTTCAGCTTTTGCTCTAATTTAGGAGGACTGACTCTCTGAGTACATTCATCTGGACTCCTGGAGCCTCAGACATATACATGGAAGTTTCTTCCACAGCAGTGTCCTTGTTGTCTGTCATATTAAATAAAAACAAAAGCCTTTTTTAAATATAAATAAATAGTATTAAACTTTGGAATGTACTGAAAGTAGCTGGAGAAATTTGCACTGAATTTAGATGGTATGTTTGAGCTGCTCTGATTTAAAATCTAGACTGTGTACCCCATGAGGAATTTCCCTGTGGATAGACCTCAGAGAGACATGCCGTCACCCTTCAGGACAGCTGAAAGCAGAGTTCATTGAGGGGCCAGGCTGTTATGGATGCTCTTGAAAGAGAAATAAATCAGGGGTCTTCCCCATGAGTCCTGACTGAAAGTCACGACAGATTTTCAGAAAAGAAGGCATTACTTTGTAATCAAGCTGCTTTTCACAAGTTCAACTCTCTGTGGCTTTCACCAGGGGTGTAGAATTAGGGTTTAATTTGTTTAGCAATGAGTTTTTCTTCACCTGTGTAATGCAAGCTGGGATCAGCATTGGACAAGTATAGCCTGCGTGGCACATCATGTTTTTCTTCTCGTTCCACTTGGCACAGGAACTGGTTACTCTTCCAGAGACCCACATTATCAGTCAAACACTCTTAATTATCTCGTCTAGAGAAAATTTAGGGCTGGATGCAGTGGCTCACACCTGTAATCCCAGCACTTTGGGAGGCCGAGGTAGGTGGATCACCTGAGGTCAGGAGTTCGAGACCAGCCTGACCAACATGGTGAAACCCCATCTCTACTAAAAATATAAAAATAAGCCAGGCATGGTGGTCGGTGCCTGTAATCCCAACTACTTGGTAGGCTGAGGCAGGAGAATCGCTTGAACCCAGGAGGTAGAGGTTGCAGTGAGCCAATATCTCACCATTGCACTCCAGTCTGGGTGACAGAGACTCTGTCTCAAAAAAAAAAAAAAAAAGAGAGAGAGAAAATTTAGATTTTTCTGCCATTCTTAATGACATAATCATCTATTCCTATTAATGGTAATACCAACAACTAAAGTTTGCAAGCACTTAATATTTGTCAGGCAGTGCCAAGCACTTTCTTAGTTCTCATTTATCCCTTTTAAAGTATACAATTCAGTGCTTGTTAGCATGTTCACAGAGTCATGTCACCATCATTACTATCTCATTTAAGAATGTTCCATCACCCTAAAAAGAAACTAATATGGTCTGGCTCTGTGTCCTCACCAAAATCTCATCTTAAATTGTAATCCAAATTATAATCTCCACGTGATGGGGGAGGGAACTCATGGGAGGTGATTAGACCGTGGGGGTGGATCCTCCTTGCTGTTCTCATGATAGTGAGTGAGTTCTCATGAGATGTGATGGTTTTATAAGGGGCTCATCCCCCTTTGCTCTGTACTTTTCTCCCCTGCCACCACGTGAAGAAGTACATGTTTGCTTCCCCTTCTGCCATGATTGTAAGTTTCCTGAGGCATCCTCAGCCATGTGGAACTGTGAATCAATTAAACATCTTTTCTTTATAAATTACCCAGTCTTGGGGTATGTCTTCATATCAGGGTGAGAACAGACTAATACAGTAATTGGTACCAGGAGGTAGTGGGATACAGCTATAAAGATACCCAAAAATGTGGAAGCAACTTTGAAACTGGGTAACAGGCAGAGATTGGAACAGTGTGGAGGCTCAGGAGAAGACCAGAAGTTGTGGCAAAGTTTGGAACTACCTAGAGACTTGTTGAATGATTTTGACCAAAATGCTGATAGTGATATGGACAATGAAGTCCAGTCTGAGGTGGTCTTAGATGGAGATGAGGAACTTCTTGGGAACTGGAGCAAAGCTGACTCTTGCTATGCTTTAGCAAAGAGACTGGCAGCATTTTGCCCCTGCCATAGAGATCTGTGGAACTTTGGACTTGGGAGAGATGACTTTGGGTATGTGGTGGAAGAAATTTCTAAGTGGCAAAGCATTCAAGAGGAAGCAGAGCATAAAAGTTTGGAAAACTTGCAGGCTGACAATGCAATAGAAAAGAAAAACCCATTTTCTGAGGAGAAATTCCTGCTGGCTGCAGAAATTTGCATAAGTAACCAAGGAATCAAATGTTAATTGCCAGCACAATGAGGAAAATCTCTTCAGCACATGTCAGAGGTCATCAAAGCAGCCCCTCCCATCACAGGCCCAGAGGCATAGGAGGAAAAAATAGTTTTGTGGGCCTGACTCAGGACCTTGCTGCTTTGTTCAAGCTTAGGACTTGGTACCCTGTGTCCTAGCCATGGCTAAAAGGGGCCAATGTACAGCGCAGCTGTTGCTTCAGAGGGTGTAAGCCCCAAGCCTTGGAGGCTTATACATGGTGTTGGGCCTGTGGGTGCACAAAAATCAAAAACTGAGGTTTGGGAACCTCTGCCTAGATTTCAGAGGATGTATTGAAATGCCTGGTAGTCCAGGCAGAACTTTACTGCAAGGGGGTTGGAGCCCCCCACACAGAGTCCCTACTGGGCACTGCTTAGTGGAGCTGTGAGAAGAGGGCCACTATCTTCCAGACCCCAGAATGGTAGATCCACCAACAGCTTGCACCATTTGCCTGGAAAAGCTGCAGACACTCAACACCAGCCTGTGAAAGCAGCTGGGAGGGGGCTGTACCCTGCAGAGCCACAGGGCTGGAGTTGCCCAAAGCTGTGGGAGCCCACCTCTTGCATTAGCATGCCCTGGATGTGAGACATGGAATCAAGTGAGATTATTTCATAGCTTTAAGATTTAATTACTGCTTCATTAAATATCAGACTTGCATGGGACCTGTAGGCCCTTTGTTTTGGCCAATTTCTCCCATTTGGAATGGGTGTATTTATCCAATGTCTGTACCCCTATTTTATCTAGGAAGTAACTAACTTACTTTTGATTTTACAGGCTCATAGGTGGAAGGGACTTGTCTTTTCTCAGATGATACTTTGGACTTGCACTTTTGGGTTAATGCTGAAATGAGTTAAGAGTTTGGGGAACTGTTGGGAAGGCATAATTGTGTCTTAAAATGTGAGAAAGATGAGATTTCCAAGGGGCCAGGGGTGGGATGCTATGGTCTGGCTCTATGTCCCCACCCACATCTCATCTTGAATTGTAATCTCAATTGTAATCCCCATGTGCTAGGAGAGGGACATTGTGGAAAGTGATTGGATGATGAGTGCAGTTGCCCTTGCTGTTGTCATGATAGTTAGTGAGTTCTCATGAGATCTGATGATTTTATAAGGAGCTCTTCCCCCTTCACTCTGTTCTCAATTCTTCTCCTTGCTGCCACCATGTGAAGAAGGACATGTCTGCTTCCCCTTCTGCCATGATTGTAAGTTTCCTGAGGCCTCTTCAGGCATGCAGAACTGTGAGTCAATTAAACCTCTTTCCTTTATAAATTTCCCAGTCTTAGGTATTTCTTTATAGCAGTGTGAGAACAGACTAATACAGAAACCCTGTACTTATTAGCAGTTATCATACTCCTACTGCCATAACCCAGTGTTTGGCAAGTACTAAACATCTTTCTTTCTCTGTGGACATGGCTATTCTGGATGCATCACACAAATGGAATCATACAATATGTGGCCTTTTGTGTCTGGCTTCTTTCACTTAATGTTTCTAAGGTACATCACTTTTGTAGCATGTATCAGTACTTTCTTATGGCTGAATAATATTCTAATGTATGAATTTACCAAACCTCATCCATTAATTGAGTGATATTTCATTTATTTCCACATCTTGGCTGTCTGGAATACTACCGTTATGAGCATTCATGTACAAGCTTTTTGTGTGGACATGTGTTTTCTTTTCTCTTGAGTATATACCTAGGAATGAAATTGTTGAGTTATATAATAATGCTGTTTAACTTTTTTTTTTAAAAATGGACTTTATTTATTAGAGTAACTTTAGGTTCAAAGCAAAATTGAGCTGAAGGTACAGAGATTTCCCACATACCCTCTGGACCCACACATGCACAGCCTCACTCATTATTGACATCCCCCATCAGAGTGGTACATTTGTTATTATACAATTGGTAAACCTACAATGACACATCATTATCATCCAGAATTCATTGTTCACATTAGGGTTCACTCTTGGTGTTGTACATTCTTTGGGTTTAGACAAATGTATAATGAAATGTATTTACCATTATAATATCACATAGAGTAATTTTGCTGACCGAAGAATCATCTATACTCTCCCTATTCACCCATTCCTCCCTCTTTATCCCTGGCAATCTTTGATATTTTTACTGTCTCTAAATATTTTCCAGAATATTATACACCTGGAATCATAAAGCATGTAACCTTTTCAGAAGTGGCTTCTATCACTTAGTAATATGCATTTAAGCTTCTTCTATGTGTTTCCCATGGCTTGATAGCTCATTTCTTTTCAGCACTAAACAATATTCTATTGTCTGGATGCACTACAGTTTATCCATTTACCTGTTGAAGTACATTTTGGTTGCTTTCAAGTTTTGGCAATTAAGAATGATGCTACTATAAACATCCTTGTGCAGGTTTTTGTGTGGACATAAGTTTTCAAGTTCTTCACATAAATTCTAAGAAGCACAGTTGCTAGATTTTTTGTTAACAACATGTTTAATTTTGTAAGAAAGTGCCAGACTGTCCTTCACAGTGGCTGTACCATTTTGCCTTACAAACAATTAACAAGATAATTCCTGTTCCTTGCCAGCATTTGGTGGTGTCAATGTTATAGATTTTGACCATTCTAATAGGTGTGTAGTAGTATCTCATTGTTGTTTTAAGTTGCATTTTTCTGATGACTTATGATGTGGGGCATCTTTTTACATACTTATTTGTCATTGTGTATCTTCTTTGATGAGATGTCTCTTAAGGTCTTTGGCCCATATTAAATTGAGTTGTTTGTTTTCTTATTGTTGACTTTTAAGAATTATTCATATATTTTGGATAACAGTCATTTGTCAGATATTTTCTCCCAATCTGTGATTTGTCTTTTTAATCTCTTCACAGTATGCTTCCCAGGGCATAAATTTTTAATTTTAATCAAGTGCAAGATATCAATTCTTTTTGTCATGGATGTTTAGTGTTATATCTAAAAAGTCATCATGAAACCCAAGGTCATCTAGATTTTCTCTTTTGCTAACTTCTGGGAGTTTTATACTTTTGAGTTTTACATTTAGATCTGTAATCTATTTTTAGTTACTTGTTGTGAATGGTGTAAGATCTGTGTGTAGAGTCATTATTTTACCTGTGGATGTCCAATTGTTTCAGTACTATTTGTTGAAAAAATTATCTTTTCTCCATTGTATTGTCTTTGGTTCTTTGCCAAAGATTAGTTGACTATATTTATGTGGGACTATTTCTGGACTACTATTTAACTTTTTAAACTGCCAGTGTTTTTTCCAAAGATGCTTCACCATTTTACAATCCACCAGTAATATGTAAGGATTCCCATTTTTCTGTTCCCTCTTCAATGCAAGTTATAGTCTATTTAATTATAGTAATCCTAATTTATGTGAAGTGATATCACATTTATAATTTTGATTTTCATTTCCCTAATGATTGAAGATGTGGAGCAGATTTTCATGTGCTTATTATCCATTAATGTGTATTTTTTTTGAGAAACGTCAGTTCCAGTTCTTTGCTTATATTTTAATTGGGTAATTTCTGTTGAGTTGTAAGAATTCTGATACATTTTGAATACAAATTCTTTATCAAATATATAATTTGAAAATATTTTCTCTTCTTCCATTGATCATTATTTCTCTATCCTGATTGTATAATTAGCAGCACAAAAGATTTGAATTTTGGTAAACTATTATTTTTTTCCTGTATTGCTTGTGCTTTTGGTGTAATGTCTAAGAAACCATTGCATAATCCAGTATTAGAAAGATTTACTTTTGTATATTCTTTTGAGTTTTATAGTTTTATGTCTTATAGTCTTATATTAATAGACCTTATTATTAGATCTATTTTAGGTTAAAATAGGTTTATTTTAGATTAATTTTGTGTAGGTTTGAGGTAGTGGTCCAAATTCTTTCTTTTACATGTGAATATTTAGCTGTTTCAGTGATATTTGTTTAAAAGACTAATCTTGGAATCGTCCTCACTGAGAGAATTCCATTGAATTATCTTGTCACCCTTTATGAAAATCAATTGATCATAAATGTCAGTGTTTAATTCTGGACATTAAGTTCTGTTGTATTGATCTATATGTTTATCCTCATTCCAGTATCATACTTTTTTTTTAATTTCTGGAAGTGTATTTCTTCCAACTTTGTTCTCTTTTTAAAGATTGTTTTGGCTATCCTGGGTCTCTTGCATTTCCATCTGAATTTTAGGATCATCTTGTCAGTTTCTACATAAAGTCAACTGAGATTTTGATAGGAACTGATTTGAATCTGTAGATCAACTTGGTGAATGTCATGATCTCAACAATATTGATTTTTCTGATCCATGAACATGAAATGTCTTTCCATTTGTTTAGGTCATCTTTAATTTCAACAGTGTTTTATCGCTTTTAGTATAAAGTCTTACGTTACTTTTATCAAACTTATTCCTAAGTATTTTTTCTTTGTGATGCTATTGTAAATTGGGTTATTTTCTTAGTTTCATTTTCAGATTGTTTGTTGCTAGCATATTGAAATACAATAACTTTTTGTATATTAATCTTGTGTCCTGAAAACATAGTGATCTCATTTATTAATAGGTTATTATAATGAGTCGTTAGAATTTTCCATATACAAGGTCATATCGTCTGTGAATAGAAAATAGTTATATTTCTTCCTTTTTAATGTTTTTTTCTCTTTCTTTTTTTTAAATTTTTCCATAAGTTATTGGGGTACAGGTAGTATTTGGTTACATGAATAAGTTATTTAGTGGTGATTTGTGAGATTTTGGTGCACCCATTACCTGAGCAGTATACACTGCACCATATATGTAGCCTTTTATCCCTTGCCTGCCCAACCCCCAAGTCCCCAAAGTCCATTGTATCATTCTAATGCCTTTGTGTCCTCATAGCTTAGCTCCCACATATCAGTGAGAACATACGATATTTGGTTTTCCATTCCTGAGTTACTTCACTTGGAATAATAGTCTCCAGTCTCATCCAAGTCACTGCAAATGCTGTGAATTCATTCATTTTTATGGCTGAGTAGTGTTTCATCATATATATATATATATATGTGTGTGTCTATATATGTGTGTGTGTGTGTATATATACACACCACAGTTTCTTCATCTACTCGTTGACTGATGAGCATTTGGATTGGTTCCACAATTTTGCAATTATGAATTATGCCGCTATAAACATGCTTGTGCAAGTATCTCTTTTGTGTAATGACTTCTTTTCCTCTGGGTAGATATCCAGTAGTGGGATTTCTGGATCAAAGAACTTTTAGTTCTTTAAGGAATCTCCACACTGTTTTCCATAGTGGCTACACTAGTTTACATTCCCACCAATAGTGTAGAAGTGTTCCTTGATCATCACATCCACGCCAACATCTACTGTTCTTTGATTTTTTTTTTATTATGGTCATTCTTGCACAAGTAAGGCAGTATCGCATTGCGGTTTTGATTTGCATTTCCCTGATCATTAGTGATGTTAAGCCTTTTTTCATATGTTTGTTGGCTATTTGTGTATCTTCTTTTGAGAATTGTCTATTCATGTCCTTAGCCCACTTTTTGATGGCATTTTTCATTTTTTTCTTACGGATTTGTTTGCGTTCATTGTAGATTCTGGATATTAGTCCTTTGTCAGATGTACAGATTGTGAAGATTTTCTCCCACTCTATGGGTTGTCTGTTTACTCTGCTGACTGTTCCTTTTGCTGTGCAAAAGCTTTTTAGTTTAATTAGGTCCCAACTATTTATCTTTGTTTTTATTGCATTTGCTTTTGAGTTCTTGGTCATGAAATCCTTGCCGAAGCCAAAGTCTAAAAGGGTTTTTTCAATATTATCTTCTAGAATTTTTACAGTTTCATGTCTTAGACTTAAGTCCTTAATGCATCTTGAGTTGATTTTTGTATAAGGTAACATGAGGATCGCAGTTTCATTCTCCTACATGTGGCTAGTCAATTATGCCAACACCGTTTGTTGAAAAGGGTGTCCTTTCCCCACTTTATGTTTTTGTCAGCTTTGTCAAAGATCAGTTGGCTGTAAGTATTTGGGTTTATTTCTGGGTTCTCTATGCTGTTCCATTGGTCTATGTGCCTATTTTTATACCAGTACCACGCTGTTTTGGTGACTGTGACCTTATAGTATAGTTTGAAACCAAGTAGTATGATGCCTCCAGATTTGTTCTTTTTGCTTAGTCTTGATTTGGCTATGCGGGCTCTTTTTTGGTTCCTTATGAATTTTAGAATTGTTTTTTCTAATTCTGTGAAGAAGGATGGTGGTATTTTGATGGGGATTGCATTGAATTTGTAGATTGCTTTTGGCAGTATGGTCATTTTCACAATATTCATTCTACCCAACTATGAGCATGGGATGTGCTTCCATTTGTTTGTGTCATCTATGATTTCTTTCAGCAGTGTTTTGTAGTTTTCCTTGTCGACATCTTTCAACTCCTTGGTTAGGTATATGCTAAGTATTTTTTTCTCACAGCTATTGTAAAAGGGGTTGAGTTATTGATTTGATTGTCCACTTGGTTGCTGTTGGTGTATAGAGGAGCCACTGATTTTTGTACATTAATCTTGTATCTGGAAACTTTGCTGAATTCTTTCATCAGTTCTAGGAGCTTTCTGGAGGAGTCTTTAGGGTTTTCAAGGTACATGATTATATCATCAGCAAACAGTGACAGCGTGACTTCCTCTTTACTGATTTGGATGCCCTTGATTTCTTTCTCTTGTCTAATTGCTCTGGCTAGGACTGCCAGTACCATGTTGAAGAGGAGTGGTGACAGTGGGCATCCTTGTCTTGTCCCAGTTCAGTATCAGAGGGAAGGCTTTCAAATTTTCCTCATTCAGTATTATGTTGGCTGTGGGTTTGCCATAGATGGCTTTTATTACATTGAGGTATGTCCCTTTCCTGACGATTTTGCTGAGAGTTTTAATCATAAAAGGATGCTGGATTTTGTGAAATGTTTTTTCTGCATCTATTGAGATGATCATGTGATTTTTGTTTTTAACTCTGTTTGTGTGGTGTCACATTTATTGACTTGCGTATGTTAAACCATTCTTGCATCCCTAATATGAAACCCACTTGATCATGGTGTATTGTCTTTTTGATATGTTGTTGGATTTTGTTAGCTAGTAGTTTGTTAAGAATTTTAGCATCTATGTTCATCAAGGATATTGATCTGTAGTTTTCTTTTTTGGTTATGTCCTTTCCTGGTTTTGGTATTAGGGTGATGCTGGTTTCATAGAATGAATTATGGAGAGTTCCTTCTCTCTCTCTGGTAGAATAGTGTCAAAAGGATTGGTACTAATTCTTCCTCGAATGTCTGGTAGAATTCTGCTGTGGATCCGTCTAGTCCTGGACATTTTTGTTGGTAATTTTTAAATTACCATTTCAGTCTTGCTGCTCATTATTGGCCTGCTCATGGTATCTAATTATTCCTGATTTAAGGAATAATTGTATTCCTTAATACAACAAAGGAGGGTTGTATTTTTCCATGAATTTATCCATGTCTTCTAGGTTTTCTAGTTTATATGCATAAAGGTGTTCATAGTAGCCTTGAATGATCTTTGTATCTCAGTGGTGTCAGTAATAATATCTCCTGTTTCATTTCCTAATGAGGTTGTTCAGATTTTCTCTCTCTTTTCTTGGTTAATCTTGCTAATGGTCTATCAATTGTATTTATCTTTTCAAAGAACCAGCTTTCTATTTCATTTATCTTTTGTACTGTTTTTTGTTGTTGCAACTTCATTTAGTTCTGCTCTGATCTTTGTCATTTCCTTTCTTCTGCTGAGTTTGTATTTGGTTTGTTCTTGTTTCTCTAGTTCCTTGAGGTGTAATCTTAGAATGTCAGGTTGTGCTCTTTCAGTCTTTTTGATGTAGGGGTTTAGGGATATGAACTTTCCTCTTAGTACCACCTTTGCTGTATTCCAGAGGTTTTGATAGGTTATGTCATCTTTGCCACTTATTTTGAAGAATTTTTTAATTTCCATTTTGATTTTGTTTTTGACCCAATGCTCATTCAGGAGCAGGTTATTTAATTTCCATGTATTTGCATAGTGTCGAAGGTTCTTTTTGGAGTTAATTTCCAGTTTTATTCCACTGTGGTGTGAGAGAGTGCTTGATATAATTTCAATTTTCTTAAATTTATTGAGGCTCATTTTATGGCCCATCCTATTGTCTATCTTGGAGAAAGCTCCATGCATTGTTGAATAGAATGTGTATTCTAAGGTTGTTGGATGAAATGTTCTGTAAATATCTGTTAAGTCCATTTGTTTACATCCATTGTTTAAATCCATTTTTTGTTTGTTGACTTTCTGCCTTGATGACCTGTCTAATGCTGTCAGTGGAGGATTGAAGTCCCCACTATTACTGTGTTGTTGTCTATCTCATTTATTAGGTCTATTAGTAATTATTTTATAAATTTGGGAGCTCCAGTGTTAGGTGCATATATGTCTAAGATTGTGATATTTTCCTGTTGGACAAAGCATTTTACCATTATATAATATCCCTCTTTATCTAACTGCTGTTGCTTTGAAGTTTGTTTTGTACGATATAAGAATAGCTACCCCTGCTTGCTTTTGGTATCCTTTTGCATGAAATGCTTTTTTCCACCCCTTTATTTTAAGTTTATGTGAGTCCTTATGTGTTAGGTGAGTCTCCTGAAGGCAGCAGATGGTTGGCTGGTGAGTTCTTATACATTCTGTGGTTCTGTATCTTTTAAGTGGAGCAGTTAGGCCATTTACATTAATGTTAGTATTGAGATGTGAGGTACCATTGCATTCACCATGCTATTTGTTGCCTGCATACTTTGTTTTTTGTTTGTTTTTGCTTTTTAACTTGTATTTTTGTTTTATAAGTCCTGTGTGATTTATGCTTTAAAGAGGTTATGTTTTGATGTGTTTCCAGGATTTGTTTCAAGATTTAGAGCTCCTTTTAGCAGTTCTTAGAGTGGTGGCTTGGTAGTGGTTAATTCTCTCAGCATTTGTTCACCTGAAAAAGACTGTATCTTTCCTTCATACATGATGCTTAGTTTTGCTGGATACAAAATTCTTGGCTGATAATTGGTTTGTTTGAGGAGGCTGAAGATAGGGCCCAAATCCCTTCTAGCTTTTAGGGTTTCTGCTGAGAAATCTGCTGTTAATCTGATAGGTTTTCCTTTATAGGTTACCTGGTGCTTCTGTCTCACAGCTTTTAAGATTCTTTCCTTCATCTTAACTTTGGATAACCTGATGACAGTGTGCCTAGGTGATTATCTTTTTGTGATGAATTTCCTAGGTGTTTTGTGCTTCTGTATTTGGATGTCTAAGTCTCTAGCAAGGCCAGGGAAGTTTTCCTTGATTATTCCCCCCAGTATATTTTCCAAGCTTTCAGAATTTTCTTCTTCCTCAGGAACACTGATTATTCTTAAGTTTGGTCATTTAACATAATCCCAGACTTCTTGGAGGCTTTGTTCATATTTTCCTATGCTTTTTTCTTCATCTTTGTTGGATTGGGTTAATTCAAAGACCTTGTCTTCGAGTTCTGAATTTATTTCTTCTACTTGTTTAATTCTATTGCTGAGACTTTCCAGAGCATTTTGCATTTCTGTAAGTGTGGCCAATGTTTCCTGAATTTCTTATTGTTTTTTCTTTAAGCCATTTCCTTGAATATTTCTCCCTTCACTTCTTGTATCGTTTTTTGGATTTCCTTGCATTGGGCTTTACCTTTCTCTGGTGCCTCCCTGATTAGCTTAATAGCTAACCTCCTCAATCCTTTTTCAGGTAAATCAGGGATTTCTTCTTGGTTTGGAATCATTGCTGGTGAAATAGTGTGATTTTCGGGGGTGTTAAGGAGCCTTGTTCTGTCATATTACCAGAGTTGGTTTTCTGGTTTCTTCTCATTTGCGTAGGCTCTGTCAGAGGGGGTTCTAGGGCTGAAGGCTGTTGTTCATATTCTTTTGTCCCACAGGATGTTCCCTTGATGTAGTTCTCTCCCCCTTTTCCTATGGATGTGGCTTCCTGTGGGCCAAACTGCAGTAATTGTTGTCTCTCTTCCAGCAAGTCTACCCAGCCCCAGACTAGTACTGGGGGTTCTCTGCACAAAGTCATGTGAACTGTCTATGGGTCTGTCAGCTGTGGATATCAGTACCTGTTCTGGTGGAGGTGGCAGGGGGGTACAATGGACTCCATAAGAATTTTTAGCTTTGGTGATTTAATGTTCAATTTTTGTGCTGGTTGGCCTCCTGCTGGGAGGTGGCACTTTCCAGAGAGGATCAGCTATGGTAGTATGGAGAGAAACCAGCAGTGGGTGGGGCCCTGGAACTCTCAAGATTATATGCCCTTTGTCTTTCACTAATAGGGTGAATAGGGAAGGACCATCAGGTGGGAAAAGGGTTAGGTGTGTCTGAGCTCAGATTCTACTTGGGTGGGTCTTGCTGTGGATGCTGTGGGGGCTGGGGGTGAGGTTCCCAGATCAATGGTGTTGTGTACCTAGGAGGATTATGGCTGCCTCTGCTGAGTCACACAGGTTGTCAGGGAAGTGAGGGAAAGCTGGCAGTCACAGGCCTCACCCAGCTCCCACACAAACTGAAGTTCCTATCGTGTCCCCCCAATAGCCCCAAGTCTGTTTCCAGGTGGTGGGCAAGCTGGCCTTGAGAACTTGCCCCAGGCTACCCACCTCCCAGCTGCAAAAGAAAAGGGCTCAGTTCTTCCCCTACCTGTGGAGTCTGCACACTGGATTCACATCCTCCCCTGAGTTCTGGCCAGGAGGCTTCTCCTCCCATTCAAATTGCTATAAAGTTCAGCTGGAGATTACTTTCTCCCTTTGGTTTTCCACCTCAAGCTCCTCTAGCCAACCTCCGGATGGATCCCTGTGATGCCAGGCAGGAATGGCCTGCTTGGGGACCCAGCGAGATCCCAGGGCCTTTCTGCTGCTTCCTCTACCCCTGTATTTTACTCGGCTCTCTAAATTGACTCAGCTCCATGTAAGGTAGGAAACTTCTCCTGGAAGCAGAACTTCAGTTCTTCCAGTGGGGGTGTGTGCTTGGGAGAAGAGGCTCTCCCTTTCCCACTTCTGCAGCTGGGGCTCTCACAGTATTTGGGGTGTCTCCCAGGTCCTGCAGGAGCAGTCTGCTTCCTTCAGAGGGTCTGTGGATCCTCTCGAGATTGCTGGTTTGTTCCTGCAGTCAATCTGCAGCTAAAATTCACAATGCAAGCCTCCACATGCTGCTCTGTCCATCTGAGTCAAAGCTGCCATTCAGTCCTGCCTCCCATCTACCATCATGATTCCTTTTCAATCTTGATGCCTTTTTTTCTTTTTCTTTCTGAATTTCCCTGGCTGAAATCTCTTGTATAATATTGAATGGAAGAGGCAAAAGTGGACATATTCATCTTATTTCTGATCTTAGAGAAATTACGTTTCATCTTTTATGATGAAGTGTGATATTAATATTATTTCTTCATAGAAGCCCTTTATCAAGATGAGGAAGTTCTTTTCTATTCCTAGTTTGTTGAAAGTGTTTATCTTGAAATGGTGTTGGAATTTAAAAATGCATTTTCTGCAACTATTAAGATGACCACGTGGTTTGGCATTTTATTTTATTAATATGGTGCAGTATATTTTGATTTTCAAATTTTAAGCAAATCTTACATTCCTGAGATAAATTCCACCTGGTCATAGTTGTATAATCTTTTTCATATGTTATTGGATATAGCTTGCTAGTACTAAGTTGAAGATTTTTGTGTCTTATTTTCACAAGAAATATTGGTCTTTTGGTTGTTTTGCCCCCACTTCCACCTTTTTTTTCTTGTGATGTCTTTATCTTGTTTTGGTTTTAAGATAATACTGGCCTCAGACAATGTGTTGGAAAGTGTTCCCTCCTCTTCTGTTTTTTGGAACACTTTGTGAAAAGTTGATGTTAATTTTTTGTTAAATGGTGGAATTCACCAATGGAGTTATTTTCTTTTTGGAAAGAGTTACTTCTACTAATTGAATCTATTAGCTTGTTATATGTCTTCAGATTTTCTACTTCTTTTTCAGTCAGCTTCAGCAATGTATGTATTTCTAGAAATTTATCCATTTCATCAAAGCTATGTAATTTGTAAATATATAGTTATTCATTTTATTCCCTTATAATTCTTTTTATTTCTATAAAGTGGGTAGTAATGTTCCCTCTGTTGTTTATGATTTTAATAATTAGAATTGTCTCTCTTTCTTCTTGGTCATTGTAGCTAAAGTTCAATCAGTTCTGTTAGTAATTTCAAAGAACCAACTTTTTGTTCCATTAGTTTTCTGTTGTTTTTCAATTCTTTATTTCTGTCAAATCTTTGTCATTTTTTTCCTATTTCTTCTTTTGGATTTAGTTGTTCTTCATATTTTAATTTTTGAAGGTAGAAGGTTAGGTCATAAATTAAAATCTATTCTCCTTTTTTTTATTATACTTTAAGTTTTAGGGTACATGTGCACAATGTGCAGGTTTGTTACATATGTATACATGTGACATGTTGGTGTGCTGCACCCATTAACTCGTCATTTAGCATCAGGTATACCTCCTAATGCTATCCCTCCACTCTCCCCCCACCCCACAACAGGCCCCGGTGTGTGATGTTCCCCTTCCTGTGTCCATGTGTTCTCATTGTTCAGTTCCCACCTATGAGTGAGAACACGCGGTGTTTGGTTTTTTGTCCTTGCTATAGTTTCTGAGAATGATGGTTTCCAGCTTTATCCATGTCCCTACAAAGGACATGAACTCATCCTTTTTTATGGCTGCATAGTATTCCATGGTGTATATGTGCCACCTTTTCTTAATCCAGTCTATCATTGTTGGACATTTGGGTTGGTTCCAAGTCTTTGCTATTGTGAATAGTGCCGCAATAAACATACGTGTACATGTGTCTTTATAGCAGCATGATTTATAATCCTTTGGGTATATACTCAGTAATGGGATGGCTGGGTCAAATGGTAATTCTAGTTCTAGATCCCTGAGGAATTGCCATACTGACTTCCACAATGGTTGAACTAGTTTACCATCCCACCAACAATGTAAAAGTGTTCCTATTTCTCCACGTCCTCTCCAGCACCTGTTGTTTCCTGACTTTTTAATGATCGCCATTCTAACTGGTGTGAGATGGTATCTCACTGTGATTTTGATTTGCATTTCTCTGATGGCCAGTGATGATGAGCATTTTTTCATGTGTCTGTTGGTGGCATAAATGTCTTCTTTTGAGAAGTATCTATTCATATCCTTTGCCCACTTTTTGGTGGGGTTGTTTGATTTTTTCCTATAAATTTGTTTCAGTTCTTTGTAAATTCTGGATATTAGCCCTTTGTCAGATGGGTAGATTGCAAAAATTTTCTCCCATTCTGTAGGTTGCCTGTTCATTCTGATGGTAGTTTCTTTTGCTGTGAAGAAGCTCTTTAGTTTAATCAGATCTCATTTGTCAATTTTGGCTTTTGTTGCCATTGCTTTTGGTGTTTTAGACATGAAGTCCTTGCCCATTCCTATGTCCTGAATGGTATTGCCTAGCTTTTCTTCTAGGGTTGTTATGGTCTTAGGTCTAACATTTAAGTCTTTAATCCATCTTGAATTAATTTTTGTATAAGGTGTAAGGAAGGGATCCAGTTTCAGCTTTCTACATATGTCTAGCCAATTTTCCCAGCACCATTTATTAAATAGGGAATCCTTTCCCCGTTGCTTGTTTTTGTCAGGTTTGTCAAAGATCAGATAGTTGTAGATGTGTGGCATTACTTCTGAGGGCTCTGTTCTGTTCCATTGGTCTATATCTCTGTTTTGGTACCAGTACCATCCTGTTTTGGTTACTGTAGCCTTGTAGTATAGTTTTAAGTCAGGTAGCATGATGCCTCCAGCTTTGTTCTTTGGGCTTAGGATTGACTTGGCAATGCGGGCTCTTTTTTGATTCCATATGAAATTTAAAGTAGTTTTTTCCAATTCTGTGAAGAAAGTCATTGGTAGCTTGATGGGGATGGCATTGAATCTATAAATTACCTTGGGCAGTATGGCCATTTTCACGATATTGATTCTTCCTTCCCATGAGTAAGGAATGTTCTTCCATTTGTTTGTATCCTCTTTTATTTCATTGAGCAGTGGTTTGTAGTTCTCCTTGAGAAAGCTTATCCACCATGATCAAGTGGGCTTCATCCCTGGGATGCAAGGCTGGGTGGACATATGCAAATCAATAAATGTAATCCAGCATATAAACAGAACCAAAGACAAAAACCACATGATTATCTCAATAGATGCAGAAAAGGACTTTGACAAAATTCAACAACCCTTCATGCTAAAAACTCTCAATAAATTAGGTATTGATGGGACGTATCTCAGAATAATAAGAGCTATCTATGACAATCCCACAGCCAATATCATACTGAATGGGCAAAAACTGGAAGCATTCCCTTTGAAAACTGGCACAAGACAGGGATGCCCTCTCTCACCACTCCTATTCAACATAGTGTTGGAAGTTCTGGCCAGGGCAATCAGGCAGGAGAAGGAAATAAAGGGTATTCAGTTAGGAAAAGAGGAAGTCATATTGTCCCTGTTTGCAGATGACATGATTGTATATCTAGAAAACCCCATCGTCTCAGCCCAAAATCTCCTTAAGCTGATAGGCAACTTCAGCATAGTCTGAGGATACAAAATCAATGTGCAAAAATCACAAGCATTCTTATACACCAATAACAGACAGAGAGCCAAATCATGAGTGAACTCCCATTCACAATTGCTTCAAAGAGAATAAAATACCTAGGAATCCAACTTACAAGGGATGTGAAGGACCTCTTCAAGGAGAACTACAAATCTATTCTCTTTTTTGATATAAAGATTTACAGCTACAGATTTCTCTTTAATAGGTCACTGTTTTAGCTGCATCCCACAAGTTTTGTATGTTTTGTTTTCATTTTAATTCATCTCAAGGTAGTTTCTGAATTCTCTTATAATTTCTTCTTTGACTTATTAGTTATTTAAAAGTATGTTGTTTCAGAGGCAGGATGACACAGTGTGAGTAAAACTTGACCAGTCACTGTTCACTTTGAGACAGAAGGGACCAGCCAAGAATTGTGAATAGTGTACAGAAGCTCTAAAAGGTAAGAAAATGGATTTCCTTTTAGAGCTTTCAGAAAGAAAGCACCCTTGGTGACACCTTGATTTTAGCCCAGTGACACTAATTTCAAACTTCTGACCTTCAGAACTGTTAGATAATAAATTTGTATTGCTTAAGAAAGTGTGTTGTTTACACATATTTTTGAATTTCCAAATTTTCTTCTATTATTGATTTCTAATTTCATTCCATGTGGTCAGAGAACATACTTTTATAATTTCAATCCTTTTAGATTAATAAGACTTGTTTTATGACCTAACATATGATATAACCTTAAGAATGTTCCATGTGCACTTGAGAAAAAATTTGTATTCTGCTATTTAGTATTTATTAGATGACTGTTATGTCTCCTTCATTTATAGTGTTGTTCAAGGCTTGTATTTTCTTGCTGATCTGTTAAATTGTTTTATCTATTATTGAAAGTGGGGCATTGAAGTCTCCAACTGTTATTGTGAGTTGTCTATTTCTCTCTTAAATTCTGTTTTTGCTTTAAAAATTGGGGGCTCTGCTGTTAGACACATATTTGTTTGTAATTATTATATCTTCTTGATGGATCATCTCTTGTATCATTATAAAATGTCCTTTATGACTTTAGTAACAATTTTTGTTTCAAAGTCTGTTTTGTTTCTATTGGTTACTGTTTGCATGGTATATCTGTTTCTATGCTTTTGCTTTCAACCTATTTGCGTCTTTGAATCTAAGGCATATCTTTTATAGATAGCACAGAGTTAGGTCATAATTTTTATTTATTCCACCAATCTCTGCTTTATTATTAAAGCATTAATTTACATTCAATATAATGAATGATAAGGTAGACTTTACATCTGCCATATGCAATTTGTCTTCTACATATGTTTTGTGTCTGTTTTGTTCCTCTGTCTCCATTAATGGTTTCTTTGTCTTAAATAGATATTTTCTAATTTATCATTTTTATTTTCTTGTCATTCTTTTGCTATATTTTTATTTTCTTGGTAGTTGCCCTAGTGATTAATATCACCCAAAAATCTAGTTCAAATTAATAACAATGTAATTTCAATAATATTCAAAACTGGCTTTATGTAATCTCTCCTATTTTGCCTTCTCCACTTTCTGTTGCTATTATATTTATAAAAATAACATCTTTATATGTAAGGCATCCAGCTATACAGATTTATAATTATTGGTTTTTGCAGTTGTCTCTTAAATCAGATAGGAGAAAAATAAGTTTACACATTTTTAAAAATACATTTATGTTGTTATTTATATTTGTCTATGTAGTTACCATTTTTGCTGTTCTTTATTTCTTCATGTGGATTTAAGTAACTCTCCATAGTCCTTTTATATCAGCTTGAAGGACTCCTTTTAGTATTACTTGTCAGTCAAACCTGTTAGCAGTGATTTTTCTTAGCTTTTGTTTGTTGTTTGTTTCTCTTGAATGTCTTAATTTTTCCTTCCTTTTTGGAAAGATATCTTTGAGGGATATAAAATTCTTGGTTGACAGTCTTTTTCATTCAACAGTTTGAATAAGTCATCACACTCCATTCTGACCCCCATTATTTCTGGTAAGAAATCACCTATTAATCTTATTGAGGATTCCCTATACATGAGGATATATTTCTCTCTTGCTGTTTTCAAGAATCACTCTGTCTTTGGCTTTTAAAAGTTTAATTAGGATGTAGCCAGGTATTGATCTTTTTGAATTTATCCTACTTGGAATTCATTGAGCTTCTTGGATGTGTAGATTAGTATTTGTCATCAAATTTTGAGGGTGGAGGGTTCTACCATTATTTTCTCATTCTTCCTCCTCTTCATCTCTCTGCTTACATTCTGGAATTCCCATGATGTGTTTAGTATGCTCAGCATTGTCACACAGATGCTGTTCAATGCCTCACCATCACTCTCTTAATTTTCATTTTTAATTCTTTCTGTTATTCAGACTTGATAATCACAATGGACCTATCTATAAGTTCATTGATTATTTTGGCAGTTCACATATGCTTCTCAGACAAGTTTTTTATTTGAATTACTGTTCTTTTCAATGTCACCATTTCTACTTTATTTATTTTCATTTCTTTCTATTTATTATTATTCTCTATTTAGTGAGACATCAATTTGCTTACTTTCTTTTTATTCTTTCAACAGTTTCCTTTGATTCTTGAACATATTTAAGATGCTTGATTTAAAATTTTTGCCTACTAAGTCCAATATCTGAGCTTCTTGGAGAAAGTTTCTATTTACTGCTTCTTTACAAGTATTTGCCATTCTTGCTTGTTTTCTTGCACTTGTAGTTTTTGGTTGAAAACTGAACATTTAAAATAATATAATGTTGAAACACAAGAAATCTTATCTCCTTTTCCCTGAGAGTTTTTTCTTACTGCTGTTTATTGTTGTTGCTTCTGTCTATCTAGTCAATTTCCTGAAGTCATTCTGTAAAGTCTATACTCCCTTTGGTGTGTGGCCAGTGAAGCCCCCACTCAGGCTATTGGTCAATGAGTGATTGGACAAAAATTTCCCTAAATCTTTAAGGATCTAGAATCAATAAATCTTCTATCCTTTGGCAAAGGGTTCAGTGTGTGTTTCAAGATTCAGGCAGGCAGTCACAACTCTGCTTTGCCTTTCACTTCTTGCTTATATTATACCTCAGACCTCAGGTCAGACAGAGCTGAGAGTTTAGGACTTTCTCAGATTTTTTTCTGGACATGTGCAGAAAAAAATGTATGTGGCTTACTAGATTCCCAGGAATAGTCAGACCTGATCAAAACCCTCTGTGGACATCTCATTTCCCAACTTTTCCTTATAAATATTTTGGTCAGTTTCTTGCTTGCTCCAACCCATATCACTGCCTTAGGTAGCTGCAACATAACACAATTGTTGCTGATTATTTTTGACATGCTTCCAGGGAAATGCATAATTTGCACTGAGAAAGGACAAATTTTTAGAGTTGGGGTTTCCAAGGAACAACCAGACAAGTCAAATAGTGACAATTTTCTGAGACTGTTGTTTGTATTAGTTAATTTTCACATTGCTGATAAAGACATACCCAAGACTGTGCAATTTACAAAAGAAAGAAGCTTCACTGGACTCACAGTTCCACATGGCTGGGGAGGCCTCACAATCATGGTTGAAGGCAAGGAGGAACAAGTCACATCCTACATGGATGGTGGCAGGCAGAAAAAGAGAGTTGTGCAGAGAAACCCTCATTTTTAAAACCATCAGATCTCGTGAGACCCATTCACTATCATGAGAATAGCACAGGAAAGACCCACCCCCATGAGTCAGTCATCTACCACCGGGTACCTCCAACAACACATGAAAATTATGGGAGCTACAAGATGACATTTGGGTAAGGACACAGAGCAAAACCATATCAGTGTTTCTGGGGAGCTCCAGACCAGTGCTTTGTCCCTCCAGTGGCTGCTAGGCTACTGTTTTTCAAAGCTGTTATGGTTGAGAGACTGCTGGTTTTCACATCTATGTCACAGAGTTGGAGAAAGAGTGATAGGAATAGGATAAGTGCAAATATCACAAAGGTAATGTTTTTACCCAGATTCAACTTAAAAAAAAAAAAGAAAAAACCTCTCCTTGGATTGTTGCAAGTGTTTAATGCATAAGGTAATGAAAAAAATTGATTCTGACAATTTTTTTCAGTATTTCCCTTGCTTTTACCATGGAGAATTTCTTTGTGAAGGTCCTTACTCCACCATTTGCATTGATGTGCTTTTCCTACTCTATTCCCTATTGCCTTGAAAGAGAATATTTATGACCTGAAATAATCATTCAAAAAAATCCTGACCATTAATCTTTTCAGTTATTTGCAAATAATTAAATGATTTACATATTCATTTAATAGATCTAACTTTATTATTCTTTTCTACTAAGTTGTTCTTTTTTCTCTATATAAAATATAGGTTTTCTTTTTCTCTTTATAGCCGTCGATATATAGCTAAGGATGATAACAAGCACAACAAGGACTTACAGCATTTGCTTTGCACCAGACACCATCTAAAACACTTCACAAATATTAACTCAAAGGAACCTATCATGTAAGTGTTGTTATCCCTGTTGTAGACATGAAAAAATCCAGGCACAGCAAAGTTAAAGTTAAATAATGCGCCCAAAGTCAGACAGCTAGTAATAGGCAAAGCTGGGTCTTAAACCACAGCAGCCCTAGCTCTTAGGTCTTAACCAGGACACTATACTAATAACAAATTAACCAGTCTTAACGTTGACAGTTACATTTTTAAAAAATGCAATGCTATTAATTTTTGTTAGTTTTAGAGCTACAACAACTTTTGCTGAACAAAGGAAAGTATATACCTATTTGCTGTCTTCCACATCACAAATGTATAAAAACGTTCACTATGGAAAATGTCATGAAGGAGTAACTTTAGCCAACTGATGTTACCTAAGAGGTGATAGTGTTAGGTAATATGTTAGCAAGTATATATTATATACATTTCTTAAAACAATAAGAAGTCAAAGGTACAGATACAAACCTTGGCATTTGAATCTTGAATCTATTCCAAATCTTTTCACTCTATAAAGATGTATAGTGCCAGACCTATTCTGAAGCTGTGTGTAAAATTCTACATGCTGCAATGAGATTAATATTTTTTAAAGAGTGATTTTATAGAAAGTTGGCACCAGAAAATAAGGTTCTGTTTCATTATTTTGACATAAAAGTTTATGCAGGTCACAACGTATTCTTTTTTGGAAAAAAATCTTTAGCACATGGTGAAATACACAATTTGTTGGCAAAGCCACAGTAGCACTTTTTTGGTGTAAATTTCTCACAGTCCATCCAAAATTATTTGAGATGACTTCTAAATAGAGCTAATTGATGAACAGATTAACATGAATAAAGTTCTTCATGCCAGTCTTGAAGTTACTAGTTCTCAAATAACATTGCTGATCATTTAGCCTCATAGGGCCTGCTTTATTTTTGAAATTCCTCTATACATGCTTTGCAATCAACACTTCCCTTTCAAACGCCTTGTTCTACCTTCTTTATTAAAACACCCTTTGTGTGACAGCTCACCAAGCACCTTTCTACCTCCCAAGCCTGACCTCTTTAGGAGAGGTTCCACTGTGCTTTTCTTCCCCCATTGATACTAACGACATAATGGAGGTGTTGATGTTTTTCAAACACTAAAATTGAGCAAGTCTTGAAATAACTGACCTACAGTTGATTTGGGCCAAATAAGTAATTTACAGCTTGCCTCTCTACCTTGGTGTTAACTCACTGTAAACTTCAAAGTTCTTTTGGGTACAGAGGGAAACCTGGAAAAATATTTGCATTTATAGGTTAAGTCAAAATATATATTCCCAGAGCCCCTCCCTTTGAGGAAGCCCATAAGTTTTAACATAAACTTTATTTATATGTAAGAGTTACTACAAATTATACCTGAAAAGGACTTTATCATTTAGCTCAAGCTCTACTGACAAATGAGGAAACTGAAACCCAGGGAGATGATTAACTTGCTCAAGTTGACACAAATCAGTCACACTTGAAATATGGCTGCCTAGGCTGGGTTCCTAGGACACATTTTGGAGGTACAACAGTGAGCGTCCAGGTCCAACCTAGAGAGTGATGGTAGTGCCACCAGAAGATGGCATTCCTATCATGATGATGGAAAAAAGGCCAAGTTCAAAGCCAGAGATGCATTGCAGTTGTTCATACTACAGCAAGAAATTTAGGACAGTGAGCAATGTTAGGGTTTTGAAGGCCTATTTGTAGGGAGGCTGTAGCTGTGTGGCTGGGGAAAAGCCTCATGATTTAAAGGAGTTATGTGGAACTGGACTTTGTAGAGTTATTTATACATATGTGACCCATTCTGGACATTTCCTTTTAGGAAACTGTGTTTTTCATCAAATCTCAGAAGGAACTCATATTTGGGAAAGGTCAATCCTGATCCCTGCAGCAACACCACCAATCAGTGATGCAATCCTAGGTTTATCAACAAGGCTCCTCAAGTTTGGCTGCCAACAGAAAACTTCAACTAATAGCTGTGTTGTTAGTCCCACCTTTGGTGTTTTCTAGCCATATTCTGTGTTGTAGTCAATGGCTCTATCTCTTGAGCACTAAATGTGTGAGACTGATAATGTCTTAGCATTGCTGTTGTCTTTGGAAATCCATGCAGCACTCATATCTGGCCTCCTCAGCTGGATACATCTTCTTTCCTTCACTTATTTCCCCTTTCCTTGAGGGTCAAAACGATAACAATATATATATACTTTCTGGCTCTGGGATGTGAGCATCAGTTGTCGTGATAGGGTAGAAGAAAGAATGGAGTTTGTCTATTGGTAGGAAGCAAGGACTACTCATCTGCTGGACTGATGGCCCCATAATAAAATAAGAGTGAACAAGTAACACTGGCTATCATCAGAAATAGTGAAGACCATGCAGTGTAGCTACAGAGCTGTCCTCTGTAGTAAATGCCCTCATCTCTTCAGAGCTCCGTCCCCTACACATGTATGTTTTGTCACTTCATGCCACTCGAAGGGAAGATAGCATGGTACCTTTACCTACGCCAACGGAAAGGCAGTGAACACTACTACTGAGACAGCCTTCCACCAGTTTCTGTCTTCTCCAAGGCTGATGGGTTTCCTTCAAAAGAAAATAGTTACTATGTGTAGCCTTATCAGGTCAGCAGAGTTATTGTACTGGAGTTAATGAATATCTTTTTATTGTCTCTAATGGGAAACAACTACTTGCTTTCAGCATGATGTGTACGTAGCAGAAAGAGTATGGACAGAAAAACCTGTGCATATCCAGCTGTGTGAGTTTCAGCAAATTATTTAGCATCTCTGAGCTTCAATTCCCTCATCTGTAACATAGAGAAAATAAGAGTCTATTGTGAAGAATTATATGGATTAAATAAAATGTTATTTGGTTATATGAAATGTTAATTATAGTTATAATCTGATACATATTGAGTGATTAATATATGATTATTCAGCTCCTTCCCAGTGGTAAAACAAACAACACTGTTCCTTCTCATCCATGAGGGAGAATAAGAAGAAAGGGGAAGAGAAGGGAGGAGTTTATTCCCTTTAAGGATAACTTATTTCTATTATTTAGGGATATTGTAATTCCTCTGCATTGGCAGCCTGAATGTAGATTGAAAATACTGAAACTCCTGCACCCAACATGCATCAAAAAGATGAACTTCAGGAAATAAAGAAGTGCTATATATTGTCATTATAGGAAACTATGGTAGTAGGAATGCTAGTAGATTTACCAACTAAACAGTGGAGTATAATCAAATATCTGTTCCATAACTAAACTAAACATGACCATTTAGTACATTTGTGCCAAATATGAATCATGAGATAGGTGTTTATTTACCAGCATATCTCCTTACAGAAAAGCAAATAGTGTTCCCACATAGCTAGAGATTCAACTTGTCTCACTTCCTACTTTGATAAGATATTGAACTATTTCTTTATAAAACTCCTTATGGGCTATTCAAGATTTTTCATGGATTTTTAAATCCTTAATTAAAACAAAATCCACCAGAAATAATGAAGTGGGAAGCAAAAAAAAATCATTTCATTACATAATCATTTTTAGAGTCTATTCTCTAGGATGTATTATTTTATGCAATCAAGATTTTACACATCCATAAATGGCATTCACATTCTATTTGGTCATAACTGTTACATTAAAAAATTAATTCATCTTATTTGTAAATTTGTTTTCAAGAGTATTTATCTCAAGCTACTTTTCCACAGGGTAAAAGTCTAAGATTTCTTCACTAAGATAACTTCAATACAGAACTTCTATTGTTATTTTTTGCTTTTAGTAAAAACTATTTTCCTTTATTTAATGCAACATATACTTATATTTAATGTGGTATTTTTTGCCACATTAAATATGCGTAGCTTGTTGACAGACTCAGAGACCAGAAAGGATGTATAACATTCCCCCAAAATACTGTGGCCAGCACCTAACCAAGAGTGGCCAATGGCAGCAAGCCCAGGAGGGAGCAGGTAGAGCACACCCATGCTGCAGTGGCCAGGTCAGCCTTACCCCAGCATGACTCTAATAGGTGGTCACAGTCCTCCTGGAAATGACTTCCCACGACCTGCTGTTGGCCACGATACAAGGAGTCAGATAAATGATCAGAGCTGATGACTAAGCCCAGCAGGACCGGGCTTAGCTCAGGCAGCCACATTCAGGCAGACACTGGTACAGTAAAAACACACAAAATAGCACCATCAAAGTTCACTTCCTTCTATGCTAGCGTGGTTTAATGCTTTTGGGCCAGACAGAGCATTGCCCACACTCTGAATCACAGACCATATTATAGAGAGTTTATGAAGGTCTTATGAAGGTTAAATAATTTTTCAAAGCTTTATGAACTTTAACAGTAGAAATGCCAGTTTGCTTATTGTTGTTAATCCTGAAAGTGTGAAAAAAAATCTGAAAAAAGAAGCATCTTTTTTTTTTAACAAATGCCAATTGCAGGTTTTCTGAATTCCTACACTGTTCGTGATTTATTTTGTTTTCTATATTCCAACTGTGAACCACACTAAAACAGCAACCACAGTTGGTGAAAATATGATAGTACATAATGAACATTATTTTGACTTCATGGCAAAGCAAAAAGAGCCAGGAGCTACAATCAAGTCCCATTACACAATTAATTTTGAGACAAAACTATTTATCTAAAAAATTTTAAATTTCATGTGTTTTAGCCATTTTTAATATTATTTCAAAATTTTCAGTGGCTGAATGTTTACTCTTGTATATTTCCTAAACATTCCTTATGAATTACCAATCTAATAACCAAGAAAAGTATAAACTTTTACAGTTTTCCAGGTTCAGTGAGAATACATTGAAGAGCTAGCCAGGGGACAAAAGAGATGGATGTCCCTACTTCAGTAAACCTCAGTTGAATGCTTGAGATGTGCAAAACTCAACCTGGGCTTTCTAGAGAGACAGGTGTAAATTGGTTTCTTCACTTGAAGGAATTTGTATTTAGTGGTGAAAACAAGGCAACAAGTAAATAATGCCAATTTAAAGCTGATTATGTCAAAAGCCACGGGAGGGGCACTATGCTACTGCGTATGCAAAATGCTCTTGGATCAAAGGAGACCAGAGATCTAAAAGACTCTGCCCTGCTGAAAGCTCTGACTTCACTACTTCCAGATTCTCCCAAGATATGGAAAAATATTCAGAATTAAGGTGGAAGTGTCAGAGTACCTTTACTCTAAATTGCTCAGTTAACTCACAAGTTTTTATAGATCCCATGTGATCCTAAACAATTGTGTTATGCATGCTTCCTGATCAATTTTATTGACCTCTGATAGACTGGTAAAAATAACTGGGAAAATCTGTCACAGAACAGGATGCTTGGAAAATGCTGCCATAATGACCTTTAATTGCTAGAACAGAGGCTAGTCTACTTACAAAATAAATGGAGAACCAAGGAAATCACCTGTGTGATTCAGGCAAAAATGACAACTTTGCTGAAACTGTCTGAATGGATTAGAGACATCTGATTTATTTGGATCTAATTTATTTGCATGACTGGTAAAGTTGTGTTAATCTGCATTATTTAGATGATCGGTAAGGTTGTAGTAAGCCAGGTGATGATCCACATTTCCACAGTCATAGTGGAGGAAAGCACAGTAGCATTACACCTGCCATTCTTTTATTCATTCAACATATAGTTGTCAGGTACCTATTGGGTGGTGGTGTGCTAGTAAAGGTTTAAAACCTGGCTGGTTGGAAGTGGAAGGGAACCCTGATTTGTAGTATTTGCTAATTTTCAAAGTGTTAATAGATCTACCGTGACCAATTTCAAGCTACCAAAATGAATTCACTGAACATGGGATTGGGATGAGATATGCATAGCACACTGTTATTCAGTATTTCCACCTATAGATATAATAGACATAAATAACCACAAGACCATAGACAATAAAATGTAGTAATTAGGAAATAATGGCTTTTTGGTATTTACTACCTCTGTTTTAAATATAATTTATTTAATCATCAGTTGCTATTGTTTAATTTTTAATAATGGCTGTTTGATAACCAGCTTACAATATTCCTGGGAATTTAACAATCATCTGTCATGAGCCAGCACACATAGGCTCCAGCACACCACTGCTGTTAGCTGTCAGACACCATATGCTTCAGGCAGGTGACCTTGGTGCTAGATGCATTTCCTGTCCTAATAGAGAGTGCAGTCTAGTGAGGCAGACAGATTAAAGACAAAGATTATTTAATTCACAATAGCAACAGATATTATAAAAGGGAAATAATGGGAAGCCCAGCCTTTTGTTGGGGCATGAGTGTGAGGAAATGTTAGGGAAAATGACGTCCCCGAGGGAGGGAGTGATTTAAACTCACTGATTTAAACTGAGGCTTGAAGGAGATAAGTAAGAGGCTAAGGCCAAGACTAAGATAAATGAAAAACAAAAAAGCTTTCCAGAGGAGGGAAGATCTGACCCAATAATCCTGTGTATGGATAGTAGTGACCAAGGGAGACAGCAGCAATCTAGCTGAGATGGTTAATGGGCAGACCATGCATAACCTCTTACATCCTCTTTAGCATTTGATTCTTTCCTAAGATAATGGGCAAGCATTGCAAGATTTAAATAATAGTAAGCAGTTGACAAGTTTATATTCATGTGTAAGATTACTTGGTCCACTGGGGGAAGAATGGAACAATTATGAAAATAAAGAACTTCATTAGGAAGTTATTGCAGTATCTCAGATGCAAGAGTCTAGTGGCTTGGATTAAGCTGTTGTCAATGGAGAACGAGAAATAAATAAAAGATCTGTTTTGAAGACAGGACTGAAAGACTTGTCATGGAAAAGAAAGCTCATGGTCACCAATATCCATGTTTCTTCCCCTTTTCTTAGGTGCATAACTAAACTACATTTTCCAGCCTTCTTTGAAGCTAGGTGGGACCATGTGACTGAGTTCTGAACAGGGGTATATTTGTATGAATGTTATGCCCAACACTTCCAGGCAAGTTCCATAAAAATTTCTCACATGCAATCCCTTCATTCTTTTATCCCTCCCACAGTAATCTCAGAGGCCACATGCTGAACATGGCCTATCCACAGTGTGGAAGAAGCCTTGGATCCTGAGCCACTGTTCTGACAACCAACCAATTTATAGAAGAGAGCTACATAAGTAATAAGTCCATTTTATTGTGTTAAGCCATAGAGATTTGCATGGGGTCAGTGTAAAGGGTTGATTTTGAGACTTCTCTTGGCTTGTAGGCAACTGCCATCCCACTGTGTACTCACATGACCTCGTCTTTGCATGTGGAGAGAGGGAGAGCAAGCTCTCTGGTGATGCTTCTTGTAAAGGCACTAATCCCATGATGAAGGCCCCACCCTCATGACTCCATCTAACCCTAATTACCCCCCAGAGGCCCCATTTCCACACATTACATTGGTGGTTAAGGCTTTAACATATGAATCTGGAAGGGACATCAACATTCAATCTATAACAACAGCCAACTAAAGCTCTTAGAGAAGGAAGTCAGCTATGCTGAAAGCTGAGAAATAGTTAAAAAAAGATGAGTACTAAAATTGCCCATTGGAATTGACAGCACGGGGTCATTAGAAACTATAGTAAAAGCAACTTTAGTAAAGTAGTGGGAATGGAAACCAGCTTCGGGTTTATTGGGAAACAAATATTGTATGAAGATGTGGAGAAGTTTGACTGTGAGAAGAGAGAGGAAAGGTACCTGGAGTGGTTATAGAGCCCATGGAGAATTTGGGGGTTTGGTTATTTTTTACATGGTATAGAATGTTTCAACACTCCAGTAGTGAGGAGAAGATAGGAAACATGAGTTTTCCCTGAGAATATGCCTAAACGCCAGTGAACATGAATATTTTCTATGACTAAGCTGAGCAGAATGTCTTACCCCAGACAAAGCCCAAGAAAAAAATAAGAAATAAATTCCTTAAGCATTTTGCCAGGGAATGAAAGTCCTGAAAAAATTGCTAGAGGATCTTCTGCTTTTCAAAGAATATTTTCCTTAAAACATTTTATGTTTAGTCACATTTGAACTTTTCAGGAAAAGTTGTTACTGGAAATCATAAAACACTAGTCAGTGGTAAACTTAGATATGCTTTCAATCTCTGAGTAATTGCAGTATAAGCCATCATCCTGATTGTTTGTACTCCCTCTTGGATTTTTGTTTTGTTTTGTTTTTGGTTTCATGGGGTCAATTTAAAATCCAAATTTATATTTCTTCTCACCAAAATTGCTGTATATGCCCAGTAGTCCAATGCAAACACTTTAAAAATTACATTTGAGAGAACCTGTGGTTGTAGACCGTAGGAGTTCAGGGCAGTATTAAGTCAAAGGAATTTTCATATCCATAAAAGATGGTTTGCTAAAGCCCTGCTAGTACCACCACAAGAAAGAAAGCAACATGTTATACCACATCCATTTTATATGTAGATATTAAAATCCCTTCTTGTTCATCCCTTTAAATCTCTCACCCACCCTATATATATTAAGGGTTGTCACATTCTGTGTCATTATCTTTCCTTTTTTGCCTTCACTATCATGACCCCTGTTCAGGCTTCCACTACCTCTCACCTGACTCAATACTATGTCCTGAATTGTTCTCTAATATAGAAAACATTCTGGGTACTGTGTGCATGATAGGGTGCCTAGTGTTATTTACCATGAAAGCCCTACTTCTCTGGGTGACTTAAAATCTTTGCCAAACTCCTCCGACAAATCTGCTGGAAGACATCATCTCTTCGGATTAATTATTTGCACAACAATGTTAGGATGTACAACAGTTGTATGTGTTTGCTGTCTATGCATTTTTTAAACTTAACTGAGGAAAACCAGATCTGCTGTTGAAGGAGCTCCTGGCTGGCAATTTCAGGCCTGAGAAATTGTTGCAGCAAAGTTAAGAGATGTGACTAACACTTCAAGTCATATCAAGAAGAAGGTAGTCATCACTCAATCAAATAATTCTTTCTTTGGAAAATAACCTGAATTATTGATACTTGATATTGCTAGGATTGCTGCATTTAAGACTACGCAATTTACAAAGCTCAACTTTAAGAATTGCTACCCTCCATTTTCTGACACTGTCAGTAAGGTTATATTCACTGTTCGTTTGATCTATAATGAAGCACATGAACTTTGCGCTTAAAACAAACAAAAATTCCCGCTCTGTGGGTTAGCTGGGCTGAGATGGGTGATTCTTCTGCTCCATATGGTGTTGACTGAGGCTGCTTATGCAGCTGCATACATTTGGAAACTCATCTGGGCTGGAACAGCCAATCTGCCTCACTAATATGTCCAGGACTTTGGTGCTGATTATCAGGTGGAGTGCTTCATTATTTCTCCATTTGGCCTCTCTCTCTAAATTGTTTCTCATTATTCATTAAGAAGTTCAAACTTCTTACAAGATGTCAGGCATTCAAGTGAGAAAAAGGATAAGCCATCTGGCCTCTTTAGGTCCAGAAGTAGCACAGAGTCACTTTTGCTGCATTGTATTGATCAAGGCCAGCCCAGATGCAAGGGGAAAGAGGAGAGTCTCCATCTCTTGAATGGAGGAGTGTCATGTACGAACAAGCATAAGAGACACAAAGTTGGTGGCCTTCTTTGTAGATCATCTACTACATCTACTATTAGACCTTAAGCTTATAAAACTCCAGTTAATTCCTCTTCCACTAGGCTTGGATATTTTAGTTATTTAATAAAGAATATGCAACCAAATTCTACTTGAAAATGGATTATCTATCATGACTCAATAAAGAGAAAACTTGCTATATATCCTTTGACTTGACAAGAGATGCTCAGCCATTATGAGATTGTCACTGAAGTCCTCTCAATGCCAACCCATTTGTTAAGAGCATGAAACCTTTCTTTGCTATGGTGGGCAATAAGTAAAGCATTGTTTTATAAACCTTCTGAATTAAGTGGATTTTTTTTTACAGTAAGCCATAGCACCAACAAATATATAAATATTCTCTTATCTTTAAAGGTTAGTCAACTGGAAAATTCTATGAGTCTGTTATTCTAAAACATTGTATAAATATTACTCAGGATTGCTTTCCAAATTCAAGCTCAGATATTTTAGATAATGCCTTTTTTTCCCCTGCCTACTTTTAGTTTGACTTCAAACAATTGGAAATCTTTTAAAGACAGAGAGTTATCTTATGCAATAAAGAGTGGACATTGTGTCAATATCTCCTGTAAGGAAGAAAAACAGATTAGATTAGTTGTCTATGTCATTTTCTCATGACTGGGTTTTAGCAATTTTTTTCTTTTTTTTTTTCAGACTATTACAAGACTTAGCCAAGTCTGTAACAATGAAGGAAAATGTTTGAGTGTGAGAACTTCTATCAGTGCTTGGGATTTTAAAACCATCTGAGAAGTTAGGATAGATTTTGAAAGATACAAGGAGTAAATACTTTCACAATTAACTCAATGGGATTTGGGTGATTAAAAAAAGATAATTTTGTGTGGGGAGGAAGCGGATTCTTCCTGAACCTCTTCCCTACACCATATAAAGAGCATGGAATAATTCAGCTCCTGCAGACAAGGTAGTTACAAATTATTGAAAATCTACTCTGAACCAACTGCTCTACTGAGTGCCTTATGTACATGATTTCCTAGCAATTCATGGGCTATTCCTCCATTTTACAGATAAAGAAATTAAGGCTCAGTGAGGTCAATTGTCATGCCTGAGTACCTTCTAGCAAGAGTCAAAGCTCAGATTTGACTCATGTGTTCCTATCTCTAAATCCAGAGCTGCTTACATTATGCTATACTGCCGTCAAAACCGTAAATGAATTAAAATCATGGTAATAAGGTTTCCTGCAAGTATCTCTTATTTCCAGTCTCACTTCTCAGTCTTTTAGATTCTCTCAGTTCAAATTTTTGTTCAGGCTCCTTTCTTTACTCTTCCTCTTTAAGCTTAGGTTCAAAGGAGGCTCTCAAACAGAGTCGGGTAGAGGAAAATGTAGATGGTATACAGGGAAGAACATGCTTTTTCCAATTTTCTGATTTCTGGGATGGGTCTTGTGGTTCTTCCTCAAAACTTTTGTCTTTAGCATTGTGAAATTTGGACCTTGAGGATGCTGGGGATTTTAGCATTTGATGTGTAGCCTACGTTTTTAATGCATTTTTCACATAAGAACCTCAGAATGACTGAAGGCGCAACCTAAACATGTAACCCAGAAGACCAAGTGCCAAGTTCTTTGAACATGGCTGGGAAATTGCTGACAAGGATTTTCAAACAGTTTTCATGCCAAATAACTAAGTCTTCAGCAATTCCTCACCTAAGAAGAAGTTGCAACAGGCATCAAGGTCTAATGGAAAGCAGCCTAAGGTTATTTCACTGGTCACTAATCATACAAGGTTGCTTCCTTCTTGTTAAGTTCTTATGAAACAAAGTAAGTTTGCAACGATATGGCTGGACCATAAATTTAGATTTATTACAATCTACAGTAATTCCTCTTATTCAACCTTCACCATACACACCTAATGACTTTTTCTCTCTGGGTGTTGTGAGTGCTTCAGTTTTTCGGAAAGGTACATAGTAACATGGAGCCTCTGACAACATTGCTGCAGTTAGGTCTTGATAATAGGCCTTCCGCCTCTGGTTATAACTTCTGAACCTGGCCCCTCTGAAGGGGAGAATGGGAATAAAAAGTAAAACATTGAGTACCATGATGGCTTCAAGAAAAAGCCGTATCTGAAATGATCTAAAATTGTTTCTGAAGGATCAAGTGAAACTACCATTCAACTAGAGCATTTGTAAGCACAAATGGTTTGTATTTAACAGACATTATATATTTCACATAACTATAGGTATTGGTTTCATCTAATAACTCAAAGTGTGTTTTCCCATGAAAATTTACTAGGTTTCTTTCTGCACTCCTTACAGGGATACTAGCTGACTGCTGTAAACCTAAAGGTCTTTTCCAACCAAAAATTTATATGAAGTTAAGGAGAGTATGTTTCTGCACAAATTCAAGACCAGTACTGCCAGGAAATCAGGACTGTGTCTTAAATCCATACTCAAGGGCATACGACTGAGGGTGGAGGAGACGATTGTATTTAGCATACCTGGACCAATGAAAATATTGGTTCTTGTCCTAAATCCACACAGTCATAATGTGCTGTTTGTAGTCCTGATCCTGCCCTGGAACCAGTGTTCCCTGGTTGCTAGCTCTTCCTCCCAAAGTCAAGCTTCCTGTCCTGTTGGCCCCAAATCCTGGTAATTTCATGATAATTCCCTCCAATCACCTTTGCTCCTAGGCCCCATGTGTGCCAGAGTGAGCCCTTCCTGTATGCTAGCATTGATATATTCAATAAGCAACACTGTCTGACTTGAGAAGGCAGAATCTTTATTGAATCCTGCAGAAAACAGGAGTGAGTCACACTCACTGCTTCATATGTCATTATGTATTAGGTAGGTTGGTACAAAAGTAATCGCGGTTTTTGCCATTAAAAGTTTTATTGCACTAACCTCAAATTTTCCTCTAATAATAATGATAACGGTTATGTATTATTTTTTATAATGTGTTCTAGTTTTCATTATATCTTGTTTTGATTTTGATTTTACAGAATGCTGTCATTATTCCCAGTTCACAGATGGGGAGGTAAAAACCCAGAGCTTAATAGCATGTCCAAGATCACATAACTAGTAAGTGCAAGACCTGAACCCAGCTCCTCTGACTGAAACCCTTTTGTTTTTCTCCCTGAGGAAAGCAATGTAATGAGCAGAATGAGAAAAACATTTCTAAGGAATATGTCCATAGTCACCAATTATCAATTTAACTGAAACCTCTATAAAGTGGTTGAACACTAAGTAATAACATTTTATAGTGGTCTTTATAAATAATTCTCTTAACTGATAATAAAAATAAACCTATGAAAGATTTCAGAAAAATGAAGCAAGCTGTGGGAATACCAATTTTAATGTTGGCACAAAAACTGAAACACTTGCTCATGCTTTTGCTCAATTGGTGTTTAAGCAAATTGTATTAAATATCCATATTTGATTCAGTAGTGATTTTTGAAACTTTTTCTATTCTTATATAAAAGTCTTAGCTCTGCACTATTATAATATATCAAGGTTGGTCACCAAATGCATATATAGTGAGTACAGCTGTAGAATTTAATAAAACCAAAGGTTTGAGCTAACAAATGAAAAATTATATACTATTGGAAACTTGTGCTCAAAGTTGAAACTTGAAGGAAATATTTTAGCACTATCACAATATTACATTGCAACCATTATTTAATCTATCTCCTCTGAAATGACTTAAGGGAAGTGCTCGCAAAGCCCTATTTACTTCAGCCAGGAAGGAACGCAGTGGTCAGAGAGTGAATGAAGTCATGGAAAGCTGACAATGCCTCTATTGTAAGAGCACCTCAGAGTATTGTTTGACGTTGACCAAGTGAGGAGTAAGTGTTGGGAAGTTTTAATTTCATCTCAACAAGAGGGTAGGGCCAGAGGAATAGTGTAAAACTAGCCTTTACTTAAATTCTTTTTTTTTCTTTAATTAAAAAGCATCAACTTGAATGCACCTGGAAAAAAGGAATGTCTTTTAGTGGTTACCAAGATTTTGAAAAACAGTTTTACATTTTTAAAAAAGTTTCATAAGTAAATAGCACATTTTTGGCCTATAAGCAGATACTATATACATTTTCATGAATGCTATGTATCATATACATGGATGTATAATTTACATATTTGCCATTCAACTTTTCCGTAAGAAACTTCAAGAATCCCTAAGCAACCTGTGCGTTGCAATTGTCACTTTGAACTTTAGAACAAAGCAGAGACTGTAAAACCAGTTTATAAAAAGTATTATGAGATACCACAACTGGCATTTTTACGACCTTATTAAACTACATTCAAGTGGCATAAATTATATGTAATGAAAGTGAAAAGGATCTCTGACCCGATTTTAATAATGGGTGCATGCTTATTAGTTTGAGTTTTTTTCTGAATAGAAACCTTTTTTCAAACTTCAGCAGTTGATATTATGTGGAAGTCATAAATGTCAGATTACATTAAACTATTTTGGTTCATAGAAGAGCCATTAAGTTACTAGAGAGTAATGAGTAGGTCTTCTCACAAAGTAAAGCCAAAGGTGTTAATTTAGATTTGAAACATTCCACCTCATTATAAAAGCCAAATTAATTTGCCATGTGTAGAAGCAGCAAAAACCAATATTTGAAATGTGAAAGGCCTCCTTTTTGTAGAAGAGTGATAGAAAAGGGCATTACAAAGTTTCTATTCCTAAAGAGTGGGCAAACTGGTCCCTCTGAGGTTAATTATGATTAAGTCTTTGGGAGCCTCTTACTGGAAATTTCTATTCAAGAAGTTGAATTGATAGAATTAGTTAAATGTTAAAAATAAAAGGAAGTCTGGGCATTTAGGCAATTCCAAGTTTGAAAATCTGTAAACTTAAACATATGTAAAGTTGATTTATCTCCTCCAATTTTTATAACTTAATGAAGAATAAATAAATAATTGTATTTTGTTTATTACAAATTTCGAAAAAAGAGAAAAAAACACATTAATTTGGAATACTATAGAACAAAGTATAGAGCATCCTGACTTTCAAGTGTCTATTTATTAAAAGTCAGACCAAATGAAGAATATTTGAAAACCCAAATAAATAAACATATTTTATAAGAACCCTAGAAACAACAGCCTTTTCAAACCTAGAAAACAAATTGAACAAAAATGGTAAAGTGATAAGAAGAATAATGTTGGATTGGTTTATCATTTTTAAACTGTGAAAAAAATAGAAATGCAAAAATCAGTTAATGAAAGAAAAATTCTAACCTATAGTAGTAACCTTGCCCAGAAATAGACAAAAGTACCGATCATGGTGTCTACAGAATCAACCATATGGAGTGGTCACATGAAGGACCATGAAATAAAGTTGCTCTGTTCAGTATAGCCAGCTACTGAAGTATTACTAAAGATCCCACAAGGATTGCTAGGAACTCCTCTGCATTCTCTAGCAAGAAAGGCAGGCGGTGGGTAGTGATGTAACTTCCTAGAAGACATCAGGAAGTGACATCATGCAAAATCATTTAAATTTAGAGAAAAAATGCTTTCTAGCTCAGGAAGTATTTTTATATCCTGACAGCAACCACCCTAGATGACTACTTATATATTTTTTCCATATTAGGACACAGGTTAGACCACTTGCCCAGGATCACTCAGCTAGTTAATGCCTGAGCCGTTTACAGATTAACTTGCTATCTGGTCAGTGGCCATCTCATTTCTATTTCAGTGGTTCCACCAAGACTATTTCATGATTCATGATTTCTTATGAAAATTTATAATTTATTTTATTAATAAAAAGTTTTATTTGAAAAAGTTCCCCTTAATGATATTTTAAAAAAAATACTTAGGCCCTAATATCTAGGTCTGGATAAATAATAACCATAACCAACATTTATGTGTTGTTTTGTTGTTTGCAAATTGTTTCAATACAAATTACCTAAATTTTAACATGAGATTGCAATTTCTGCTTTTATACATCAATGATTTTTATTTATTTATTTATTTATTATTTTGAGACAGGGTCTGTCTCTATCACCCAGGTTGGAGTTCAGTGGTGCAATCACGGCTCACTGCAGCCTCCACCTCCCAGGCCCAAGCTGATCCTCCCACCTCAGCTTCTCCAGTAGCTGGGCCTATAGGCGCACAGCTCTACACCCAGCTAATTTGATGGTATTTTTTGTAGAGGCAGCGTTTCACCATGTTGCCCAGGCTGGTCTCAAACTCCTGAGCTCAAGCTATCTGCCCACCTAGGCCTCTCAAAGTGCTGGAATTACAGGCATGAGCCATTACACCTGGCCCATGCTGCAATGAGTTTTGAAAAAACATATAGGTCTCTCTCATTTCTCCTTTAACCTACTCACATATCCAGACTCCTCACCCTTTTCTAGATGGATTCCTTTGTCCCTCTTTTAAAATGTGGTTTCAGGGCTGGACACAGTGGCTCACGCCTGTAATCCCAGCACTTTGAGAGGCTGAGGAGAGAGGATGCTTGGGCTCAGGAGTTCGAGACCAACCTGGGCAACATAGGGAGACCCTGTCTCTACAAAAAATGAAAAAATTAGCTGGACGTGATGACATGCACCTGTAGTTCCAGCTGCTTAGGAGGCTGAGGTGGGAGGATTGCTTGGGCCTGGGAGGTCCTGGCTGCAGTGAGCCATGATTGTACCACTGTACTCCAGCCTGGGCAAGAGAGCAAGACCCTGTCTCAGAAAAATAAAATAAATTAAATATGGTTTCAGATATGGAACAATATTCCAAGGCAGTCTGAGCAGAATTGAAACAAAGGGAGAAGAGGGACAGAGTGGGTTGATCAGATACAGAGAGAGCAGATAGAGGAAGTTTCTTGTAATGTCTGTAACAAATTACCATAAAGTGGCTGGTTTAAAACAGCATAAATCTATTCTCTCACAGTTCTGGGGAAATCTGAAATCAATGTGTCAGAAGAGTTGGTTTTTCTGGATGCTCTGAAAGAGAAATCATCTTGTATTTCTTCTTTAGCTTTTGGTGTTGTAGCAATTGTTAGAGCTCCTTGTTGTACATGCATTGTTCTAGTCTTGCTCCCTTCTCTAGACTAGCCTTTTCTCTGCCTCTCTGTATCCTTTTTTTTTTTTTTTTTGTCTCTTATAAGGAGACTCTCATTGGACTTAGGGCTTACCTTAATCCAGTATTATCTCATCTTGATCCCTAACTAATTACATTGGCAATAACCCTTTTTCCAAGTACAATCATGTTCTGAGGTTCCAGGTGGACATTAATTTGGGGCAGAAACTATTAAATCTACTAAAAGGAGGAAGAGGCTTTGAGAACCACATGTGTACTTGATGCCTATGATGATATCCAGGCAGTGGGCAACTTAAAAATAGAAAAACTGATTATCCCATTTGGTTGAAATGAGCAAATTGACTGAACTAATGTTTTTATGTTATGAAGACAAAAAAATAAAAAGAGAATAATTGGAGATATGTATTCATTTAGCAGAATGATTTTTATTAGTAGAGCTGGTACAATCCCAAACAAAGAGGGACTTAATTCACAACATGCCAAGTTTCAGTGAGGCTCCCAACATTCCACTGGAAAGTCACTAGATAGTCACAGAGCATGGAGATGGGCCAAAATGAAACAGAGGAAGTGTAATAACTGAGCATATGGAAGCAATGTAGTGATTCTATTAAGAACTGACAGATAAATGCCATGGGGATTGCAAATCCATCACCTAGTTTTCAGTGATATATAAAGATCAGAGACCTAAAACACTGTTCATTTATATGTGATGTTTTTGCCCTCATCTAAATTTTCTGAAGACCTTGGCTAATGGTACAGAATGTCAATGAGAATTGAATGTGTGATCTCAGAAAATTCAGTGAATTTAGGGACTGAAGAAGAGGAAAACTGATGCTCAAGATACTAATTGATTAAAAGTAGGGTATCAAGCAGTTGAAAATGTTCTGAACAGATCTTACCAGAAGGATCCATTATAAATTGGGGTCCAGACAATACACAAAGTTGTATTGTCATTCTCACCTGTAAAGAATAAGAAAAACAGAAAGTAAATATTCTTACAGAGAATAGCGGAGCATTAAGATTCATTTGCATTTTAAGTCCATTTTATTTTGCCAATGTATTAATATTTAGAGGTCTGTTATACTAATGTTATTAATATTTTTCATTTCCATACACAGTTAACTAAAGAGCTTTTTCTTTAAAAGCTGTAATGTCTGTAAAAAATACTTTTAAATAAAGTTTATTTTGTTAAAAAAAAAAGCTTAACTTGCCAATGGAAGAAAAAAAATGAACTCAATAGATATGTGTCTTATGAGAGGTAGCTGGTGGAGGGAGAGAAGTGCTGGTAGTTATAACAGAAGTGCTAAGAATCATGGTCTAATGGGGGGACTGACTTTCATTGGCCTCTGTACTTCCTCATCATGGAGCTAGCTAAGCTCAAGGTTGACCTGAGCTTTTCTAGAAAGGTGGCATTGCAATAAAATGCAAACCATTCAAGCATGGGATGATGGTGAGAGATGGAGCACAGGCATCAAAATAATCCATTTCCTCTTTAGCTTTACTTCAAATTGATGTTACACAACTAGAGTTCAGTGAAAACAACATGACAGATTAGAAAGAGCTCACAAGAAACAACATGTTCTTAATTTTATTTATAAATGTGACCTGTGACGTGTTTGTGTTCTATCTAGCTAGAAAAGATACAAGAACTCCTTCCTTATCCCCAAATGAAAAGTTACTAGAGTACCCCATCCTTCAACAGCTGCTCCTTCAGTGACCGCTTCTTATGCCCCTGCTGTGACTTGTTCATCAGCAGCATGAGCATCACACAAATCTAAGGGATGCTTCAAGATTACTCAGGGCAAAAGCTTTTATCCCCTTGCAAAGAAATACAGGTTTGCAATCTTGATATTTCCAGAAATGAATTCACTCTTTTCTTACATCCACTAAACACAACCAAGGCATTGTGGTATTTTTCTTAAAAGTATAAAAGTATATTTATTTTTTATTTTTTTATTATACTTTAAGTTCTAGGGTACACATGCATAACGTGGAGGTTTGTTACATATGTATACATCTGCTATGTTGGTGTGCTGCACCCATTAACTGGTCATTTACATTAGGTATATCTCCTAATGCTATCCCTCCCCCCTCCCCCCACCCCACAACAGGCCCTAGTGTGTGATGTTCCCTTTCCTGTGTCCAAGTGTTCTCATTGTTCAGTTCCCACCTATGAGTGAGAATATGTGGCATTTGGTTTTTTGTCCTTGCGATAGTTTGCTGAGAATGATGGTTTCCAGCTTCATCCATGTCCCTACAAAAGACATGATAATTTTTTATGGCTGCATAGTATTCCATGGTGTATATGTGCCACATTTTCTTAATCCAGTCTATCATTGTTGGACATTCGGGTTGGTTCCAAGTCTTTGCTATTGTGAATAGTGCTGCAATAAACATAGGTGTGCATGTGTCTTTATAGCAGCATGATTTATAATCCTTTGGGTATATACCCAGTAATGGGATGGCTGGGTCAAATGGTAATTCTAGTTCTAGATCCCTGAGGAATCGCCACACTGTCTTCCACAATGGTTGAACTAGTTTACAATTATTTATGTTTAATAAGTTATATTAAATTGTCACACCCGAGTCTGGCCCAAAAGCCAGAAAAGTAGTCTTCTGATCCTTAGAATCTGCCATAGCATTAAAACATATTAAAGTTGCAGTTGATGCCTCAGAACGTTTGCAAGAATAACAGACTGAAAAACTGTGAACTCAAAGCAAATTTAGTGCCTGGCTCAAGATAGGGAATAAATCAAGAGCAAAGCAGATTTGCATGTTCTGTTAACCCAGAGATTTAGTTGCAGTTACCTGCAGATGGAAAGGTTGTTTCCTACTACTTTCTATACTCTTGAGATGATCACTGATTGATCTAAAAGCATCCAGACTTCCCAGAATATTCAGCATCTCCAGTGTATAAAAGCAAACTGACTACATTTGGTTATGTATTCACTCACTCCATAATAAAAAGTGGACCTCTCATATCTGTTAGAGACTATGTTAGTTTCTTTGGTTGCAGCAAAGAGTAAATGAGAAATAACACCTAGCCTTACAGAGCTTATTCTTTTATCTAATCATTCAATACATATTCACCAAGTACCCACCAAGCACCATTCTGGGTGCTTGGGATCTGACAGTGAACAAAACAAAAATCCCTGCCATCTTGGAGCTTACATTTCACTGGAGGACAATAAATAATGGACATATCATAAATATGTCAATTTTACAGTATATTCAAATGAGATAAGTGCTATGAAGAAAGAAAAGCAGATCAGAGTAAGGGGGATCTCGCAGAGTTAATGCCCAGTAAGGGAGTACAGCAGTATGAGTTGCAATTTCAAGTCAGAGTAGACTTCATTGTATATGGAGATTTGGACAAACACTTGGAAAAAGTGAGAAAGTTTATCTTGTAGCTTTTGGGAGCATGAGGATTCCAGGCAGAGAAAATAGGCAACACAAAGAACTAAAGGCAGAAGCATACTTGGTGTATAGGATGAAGGGCAGAGTTCCACTAACTAACTTGTATATAAATAGGAAGAGAAATGAGTACTTTACCTGGATGCGTTGGCCTTTTCTCCTGAACTATTTTAGATATATGTAAAATTCACTTATTTTAGAATAAAATTCACTTATTTCACATTTTATTGGAGAATATGGAATTAATACAGTATGCTACTACAATCGAAAATTTCTATTTCTTGAGTTTTAACATATCCGTTTTTCAATGCAGTTAGAAAAAAATAAAAATGCTTGGCTATTAATAGTAACATACTGTACTTTCTAGTATTCTTTTCAGTAATTTTCATTATTAGCCATACAGGTAAATATCTAATATCCTTTCTTTACATGGCAATGTTCAAGGCATTTGGATTCAGCTATGAAAGCAATTCTTCACCCTTAATGTTAACCTAGACAGGAATTGACATCAAAACAGAGTACTCACCAAGGCTTTGTTAATTAACAGATGTGGCTGTAGTGTGGCATTTTTGCCACCCACCAGACAATGAATATTTTACACGCATGCTGATTTAACATAAAGCTGATTGATGTTAGAACCCAGTTCCTCTTTCAGCCACATGTAAAGTTATAGCAGTATGTCTGATTCTTCAGTGAAAATATTTTAAGGAAAGAAAATGGATTTGCTAACACATCCATGTTTTCCATGTTGGACATGTTTCACTGCTGTTTATAAAATAGTCGGTCCTAAGGATGACAATTAAATCTTGAAATTATGGCAAAACAAGCAAACAGACTATCAAGGAAAAATAAAGATTTACACTTATTTCAAAGTAAAATTTCCCCACTTTTACCATCAGGAAAACCTAGACTTTGGGCCTCTTTTGCACTAAGAAATTTCACAAGAATATGATTTCAGTATCCTGGAAACAAATTAGTCCTTAGGATTCTACTGTTTTCCTTTAGAATGAAAGCACTGAGAACTGAGAACTTTGCTTTAATATCGCATTGTGGCTCAGCAGATGTCTAAACCTTAAGGGAAAAATGAATTCCAAGTGTCTGTCATCCACTTTTTCACTACAGAATGGAAGGTAGAAGGGACCTGTCTTTAAAGCAAGAGCTGATGGCTCCCTGCACACACCTGTGTGGAAGGCCGCTCTCGCAGGGTGGTGGCACACTCCCAACATCTGCTCCTTTCATTGAATTTAGCTGTAAATTGAAATTCCATTGCAATGTTTTTAGAACCAGTTGAAGTAAGGAGACTGTCAGAAATCCTCTTTAAACTCACCCTTATCCAAACAGGAAACTGACCCTTGGCCCCTGGACGTAACAGTACACCAGTGGAAATTTCATTATCCCCGTTTCAGCTGAACTAAGTGAAAATTAATTGTGTAATTATCTGGATGAGCGCATGTGTAAAATTTTACAATGTGCCAGTTAGATTAAGTAACGTGTTAGTGGCATGGTTTAGTGCAGAGTCAAAGCTGTCCTATAAAAATGGAATAAAAAAATCTAACAAGGTTGGAAGAAAAAAAAAAACATATGTCAGAACAAATGCTTAACATGAGAAGGTAAAGTTAGGCTTAATTCTATAACCTGATGAAAATCTTACCCTCCTAAACCATAGGTAAATCTGGCAGGGTTGGAAAGGGTGTGTGTGCATGTGAGCTCACTGGGACATTTGTGTAAAGGACTTCTCCATTTACTGTAATTTTAAAATGAAACTATTATTAAAATATTTAATGTGCTAACTATTGTATTTTGTATTTTTTTGTATGTAATTTTACTTTACTAACTACATTAGAAATTGTACGCTATATTCAGTAGATGGGATTATTTGTCTCAGGTATACTTTGTTCACCTGTTCAGTGAAAGGTTCTGACTTTTATTCTGGATTTAATTCTTCAAATGATAAAATAAATGCTGCATCCTGACTTAAGATTATTTCATTAAAATATTTAGATGAGTATGAACTGATTTTAACAACAAATGCATGGGGATTTTCCTTCTGAAGTCTTACTCACTTTGATAAAGATTCTAAAGGACATTTTTCCCCTGAGATTTTGGCCTCACCCAGCCCCCACAAATATTGCATTATGGAGACTATTTCCATTTGAAAGTCTCTGGAATGTTTAGATAGCAGAATTTCTGGATGGAAAGTATGATTTGGGGAGATGTTTTTTGAAAGCAAGGATCATCTTTAAACAACATATGAGTAGTGTGTTGAGATCTTAGCAATTCTGAATGTCAGATTTCACAATGTCAGTGCTGTCTTGGCAAATTGAGATACTAATTTACGTATCTTGCCAATAAAACGGGTCTCTTGTTTTTCTCATTTCTTATACTATATATTGTCTCTTTAAAGTTATGTTAATGGTAAAAGTCTGTTGAGATTTTTCTTCCATCATCCTCCTCAAAAATGAAACCTCCACTAGACAAAAATAGTAACATTCTCAAAGAAAATGTACTCAAAAAAGTGTTTTAACTTTTTTTTTAACTTGGCTTACTATAATGCTCTTAGACGTTTGTATTGGGTTACTAGTGCTTTAAGAGATTGTTAGTACTTTAAGAAGCTATAAAGAGTATGTCTATATTTAGTGGAAAATATTGTAGTGTATATAAGCATGATTAAAAGGAAGAAAGCACCAATGTGATTTATAGAACAGCAGGGCAGTCAAACGACATTAAAAATAATCGAGACCATTCAGAGGGAAAGGCAAAACTTCAGGTCAGAGAACATTAGCCTCAACATGAAAATGAGACTGTGGTATTAAACCTACATTTTACCATAGATTAATTATCGGGAAGGTGTTGGAACAGTCCGTTTCATTTTAAATAAGACACAATGCCCTCTTCACCAGTTTGAAAGTGTCGGGAGTTGGGGGAGGGGCAGTTGTTTGTCAAACCTTAGAGAACAAAATGGATACCAGGAGGTGGCCTTGCAGACTCCATGTGCAGCCCCCAGATTCTAGAGCTGTGCTTGCATTTGAGAATGTATCACATCAGGCATGACTTGCCCCTTCTTGGAAGCAACTGTGTTGGCCACCTTTTCTAAAGCCAGGCCTGGGAGTTTCTCTGTGCCTTTCAGGAAATGGTAAAAATCAGGAGAATCTAGTCATTTTTTTTTTTAATAAAGCATTTTATGGTTGTTACTGTCCCAACTTTATATGAATAAAATTTAAAAAATTTAATCCAGATTTAAATGTATAACTATACTTTATACAAAGACTTTTTAATAGTTATTGTTTTTACATATTTCTCCTTTTTGAATAATGTAAATTTGGAATATAATTTCTAACACTGAGACACTTAATATTTTAAAATCATATTTTATTTTAATTGACTCCAATTAAGACCATTGTTTTACCGTAGAATATTAGGACTAAAAGAGGCCTTAAAATCCTCCATGTTCATTCTACAGGTAAGAAAACCAAACTCTACAAAGAATAACTTCTCTTCCAGGTCAGCGCTGTCTTAACTAATCTAGGTTTTCTAGTCATCTGGTGCTTCCCCAGGCCTCAATAGGATGAGAAACAAATGTGTGATTATGTAAGAAGTCAGATGCTAGGTGTAATATACAGGAGGAAGAGGCACAGGATTTAAAGCCAGGATGACCTGGATTTGAATCCTGGATCTGTGCCTTGCTCTCTGTGTGACTTTGGGTATGTAACTTAATTTCTCGAAATTTCAGAATCCCAGATTCTGTGTTGTGTCTACCTCACAAGTTAGTTGTGAGCATCAAGTTACACAATCTGTATGGAGCTGCCTAGCACATAATGAAAAACTAATAAAATTCAAATATTTGAGGAGCAAACTTTCAAAGTCAAGAAAGTGGTTTATTAAATTTATGGTAAAAAGCATATAGAAAAGCTTTGAGAGCAATCCGGAGGAAATCAGATTAGCATAACTTTCCTTTTTAATAATATTTATTATGCATATTCCATATAGAACATGTTTATTCAGTATGCAAGTAAATCTTTCATTTGAGCATTTGGAGAATAGCTGAAGAGGAAAAGAAATACTGAATAACCTAGGAGAAAAATGGGTGTGAATTTACATATATATTTATAATTATATATTTATATATAAACATTTAGTGAACTTATATATAATTAACATACATATGAAACATGTACATATATGTTAATTTTATTGTGATTTATTATTTACACCCCATTTGCTTCCCAAATGAATTCAAAGTGGCAAGTTATATTTTTTCTTTCCCATTTTGGGAATGTTTATAACATTTCAAATTTCATAACTGGTAGAGAGCTTTGGATTCTGATTTTGCCAACTGCTGATGTATTTTGGAAGACCATTTAATAGATAAATTTCTCAAGCCAGATAATTCTTGCAGAATTACAGGAAAACTTGGGAAAAAAGCTAAGCACCTGGTGCCAGGATATGAAAATACAAAGAACTAAGTCCATGTGTGTGAGAATCTGAACACTAGAGCTCTCTGTGAAAGAGGGAGAGAGAGATTCCTTTCCCTCACTTCAGTAATAAGAGTAAGGTTACAGGTTTCTTTCTTCTTTCTCATTGCTTCTAGAATTGATGAAATATTTTATTACAAATCTGAGCCAGAATTATTTAAGATGAGAGCTTAAGAAATGGAATAATAGAGTTTTTGAAACTGGTTTAAGGTTTAAAGTCAGCTTTTAGTTTCTTCAAATACACAAATTCATTCATTTGCCATATAGTTCGTGAATGCCAGAAGTACAGCAGAAATAAAATCCAACCCTTAATTTTATGTAAATTCCATTCTAGTGGTTAGAGACAGAGAAATAAATAAGCAAATACTATGTTAAGTGTTGCATGCTATGAGGAAAAATTAAGAAGAGGAAATGTGATGGAGGCAGGGAGAGTGCAATGTTATGAAGGGTGATCAGAGAAGCACTTGTTTATAAGCTATCCAATGGATAAATTCAACCTTATTCTTACAGCTCACACCTCACAAACTTCTAGTATGTACTGTTTAAGGGTGTACTAGAAAGTATATTTACTTTGTTAGTTTTTAGTTGTGATTATAGTTTCTAAGTAGGGAATACTTGGGTTCTTCATTTCCATTAAGTTGAGGGAACATGAAGTCAATAAGCCTATAATGTGTGAAAGATACTACCTGTATTTTAGCCAAAAGTAGAATCCCATGAAATGATCCAAAACAGGAAGAAGTAGAGGGGGAGATATTCCGTTGAAAAAAAAATGAAACTGGGGGATGTAAAATAATACAGTCACCAAAGCTAAAAATAAACGAGAATATCTGATCTTAAAAAACTTATTTTCTTGGAGAACAGAAATCTAAGACAGCAAAGGGAATTCTTTTCCTTACTGTCCCACTTTTATCCCAAAGATCTGAGGGAGCCAAATGAAAATTTCCTGGCATCCTGGGGCAATAAAATAATCTTGGTCTTCTTGTGAAACCACATTAGTATGGAGAGGGAACAGAGGCCTTTTGAGTGTTCCTAAGTGCTGTGTAAGCTGCATTTTTCTCCAGGAACTCAAAGCTTTGTTTATTTGCAAAGAATTGTGCTACCAAGGCATGGAGGCCTCAGTGGCCCAGGTGACATACTCAGATCTGAGCACTTACCAATTAAGAAGCTCTCAATTAAATGCTTGTTCAAGAGCCCAGGGAGACACATCAAAGGTTACTATTGGTTTCTTTAGATATGTTGGTGAAAAAGAAACTGGCATTTTCTTGGGGAAGGTGGACCCAAAAGAAATTGTCCTCAGCAAGCTATAGCTTAACGAAGCCCTGGATGATTTGAGCCAGCTCTTCCTTTCACCTTTGCTAGCTTCTAGCACTTTAATGGCAGAAAACCTGATAAAAAGTACTTGAGTTACTCACTTTCCCATTCAAAAAGACTTTAAAATTTAAGTGACTGCAATTGTGAGTGTGTGTGTGTGTGTGTGTGTGAGAGAGAGAGAGAGAGAGAGAGAGAGGGAGAGATGGGACTGATTGGCCAACAGTAGAATATTTGCGGAAGAAGAGTTCATTTTATTTTATAACTGCCCCATAGCAAAACACTATTTCTATTCCTAATGATATAACATGAAGTCGCCAGCTGCAGGAAGTGTATGGATTACTTACCTCCTCAGAAGCATAGATGTAAATACACACGTAATCACTGATGCTACTTAGAGTTTGGTCTCTTTATTTGGGGCCTGAGTTACCCACCTCCATTTTTTCCAAGCCACAATGTTGGAATTCAAGCTTTAACTAATGTTTTGCTGGTCGATTTAGTGCTTAGTAAAAAGCTATATTGACAGCACACAGAGAGAAGTTCTGTATATAAGAAAAATAAATTTGTGTTCTCTCCTGCAGTTCCACTGCTCAAAATTACTCCTGAAGGGATGAGGACACCAGGATATGCCACCGGACCACTGAAGGTAAGGGCTCTAGGGAGGGAAGATTAGAGGCAGCCCCAAGTCAACTCGCTTACTTATTGTTAAACACAACTGAAATGCCAGCTTCTCCCACCTGTCACTTCTTTCCCTGGTCACCCTGCTTATAACTTGTCTGTAACATGCCACCTATGGTAGCTTTGCCTTTTTTCAGGATACCTGAAGGTAGTTCAAGGCACTGCACATTCCAGGAAGGGAATGGCCAGCATCTTTCCTAGATTTTGGCCACAGTTGTGATTTTAAACATTTGCCCTGTGTCATACCGTGTCCCAGACTTGGTTTAGAAAACCTAGTCACCATAGTGTTGTGTTGCTAACCTGAGTCTCCCCACTGACTCCAGTTGCACTTCAAATTCTCCTGACTTTGCTCATGGTTCTGACTTCTCCCCACAGCCAGCAGGTGCCTCCTAGAGTGATTCTAGTCCCTTCATTTTCATTCCCCCTGAGTTTCTGCTTCTTCATTTTCAAGAGCTGGCTTTCTCATTTCCTGGTTAACCTACTAGGAACGCTTCTCCAACTCTATCTACATCATTTATTTCAAGATTGCATTTTCTTTATCTGCTAGTTTCTCTTATTGAAATCCTTCCAATAACAAAATTCAGGTTTGTAAATAATCACTGTAAGATCACTAATTTTTCTAGAAAGAAAAATAACATTTTAAGCAGGAGGTGAGAAGCAGGCTTTCTTAATGATTATGGTGTCTACCCATTCCCAAACATTCCCAAAAGATACTAAGGAATCTTGGAGAACTCTCTGTTCCATCCTTGGCCTACTCCCCTTACTCTCCTCCTGTTCCCTGCGGGATTCTATCCACTCTCATGTTTTTAATCAGACTTATTTATATGCTGAAATTAACAAAATATCTACTTCTCTAGTCAAGACCTTTCCCTGGAACTCTGGACGAACATATCCAGCCAAATACTACTGGATATTGTCATGTGGATTCTCAATATTAACATGTCTAAAACTGAATTCAACTTCTTCCCCTTTCAAAGAATCTTTCCTATAATAAAAGTGATAAACACTTCTATAGTACTTTCTATGCATCAGGCATGATTCAACGCACTTTCCACATATTTACTCATTTGATCCTCGCAGCAATCTTAAGAAGTACATATTATTATTATCACCATCCTATGAAGAAACAATGGCACAGAGAGGTTAAGCAACCTTCCCAAAGACAGACAGTTAGCAGTGGCAAAGCTGAGATTTGAACTCAAGCTATCTGGCTCCAGAGGCCATGCTTTTAACCATTGTGCTGTTTCACTCTCACACCAGTTAACCTGTCACCAGGACTGGACATCTAGGAATCAGCTGTCACCTTCCTCTCACCTCTTCATCTAAGCAAGCTTGTATTTCTGTATTCCATCCCTCTCCTCTCAGATAATAGTGCTCCATTTTTGCAAACCATTCTTTGCAAAATGGAAAGTCATTCTTAAATGACTCCCCAACACAGAGAGGACTGTGTCTGACCCTGCCCTGCTCCTTAGCTTTACCCCTTCCCTCCTCTAGCTGGAACAAGAGGCTCTAGTAACACTCAATCACTTCCCATTCCTTTAAACACAATGCCGTGCTTCTCCTATGGATTTTCTCATGCTGTCCTCCTGCCAGAAATGCTCTTCCCTTTTCCAAGCACCCTCCTCCTAATTCCTGTTCATTCCAAAGCTTCAGTTCAGTGTGTTTTTGCCAGTTAAGTCCCCCCTAATATCTCTACCACCACCGCTTGCCCTCCAAGTGGGCTGGTTAGCTCCACCCTTCTCATGTGCTTTATAGTACATCTTTCAACCTTTGTTTTTCTTTTGTTTTCCCCTTTTTTTTTTTTTTTGAGATAAGGTCTTGCTCTGTTGCCCAGGCTGGAGTGCAGTGGTGCAATTTTGGCACATGGCAGCTGCGAACTCCTTGATTCCGTCATCTGGAATCAATGATCTCTATTTCATTATTCATTCTGTTCATTTGTCTGCACCTCTCACCAGAACTATTTGTTCTCTGAGGTCTGTGACTGCACTCGATGAATCTGAAATTCTGTAGCATCTAGTTTGGTAACTGGAGAACAATATAAAATGGATAAATTTTTCATGGGTGTATAGACATAAGGAGTGACTGAAAATAGAGTGCCATATGGTGTTTATGCACTAAATGTGCATATGTATAAGGAAGAGAAGGGTCAAGACATGCATAGGTCATTTAGCGTGTATTTATGAAACTTCTGATTTGCACCCAGCCTTGGTCATTTGCAGTGATGGACAATGTGACAAACAATTGAAATGAAAATAGGATCATTCCAAATAAAAGCCAAAATATCATTTCATAAGTGGGTTTGCTGAGCCCGAGTCACTCTCCAGCTGTGTCAGTCATCCCCTTGGCCAGTGTCATGAATTCTCTTGAGTCTGTAGAGTTACAGGTCATACCAGAAAAGAAGGGCCTCTGCCATTTGCTCCTGGAGGGTTTCCCTCTCAAGGCAGGTGAGAAGCCCCAAGGCCTGGCTACCCTGACATTGTTCTTACAGAGCCTCTTGTTGGCAGGTATGCTGAACTGGACTTCTCTCCAGATGAAGCTCAGAAGTAAAAGTGGCTTAGAAACAAAAAAAAAAAAATGAAGGTCAAAGTCAACTTAGACTTTTCACCATGCTAATGACGTATCCCAGATTACAGGATAGGAGCTTAGCTCACCAGGGTGCTGGTTTGAGGTATGACCAAAAGTATAACATTCCTCAGAGTTGTTCGCACATAATAATTAGTCATCCATTTAAACATTTTTCGAGAATCCATAAATGCCAGTCATTGTGCCACATTCTGGAAGTGAAAAGAAAAATAAGAAATACATTTTGCCTTCAAGAAGCTTAGAGATTGGTGAGTGAGACAGACAAGAAAAGGCATCCAAAAGAATAGCTCATGGGATAAAATAATTTTTTAAAGAAAAAAAGAAAAGGCACAGTTACTCGAAATCATATGGGGGATGCGTTACTGGGAAGCAAAAGGTTTTGTGACAGCATGCGAGGAGGGTCCCTAATACAGAGTAGTGGAGTGGGAGGGAGAAACAAGGACCTCCCACCTCCCCTATATGTCTTGCCCTCTCAAAACAAGATTGAGAATGACTAGGCTGAGGACTTGCAATTTATCTTCCCTCAATTGGTAAGCCATTGAGCCAGCATAGGTGTGAAGCTGGGCTGTGAATGATGGGGCATGAATTCTCCCTGGTATTAGAAAGTTCCAGGAGAGCACTACAAATGTCCATCATTTGTGAATACCATGGAAAATTGCAAGGGGTTAAGTCACTTCATCAGTAGCCCCAGAACATCTACCTGCTAGGTGAGAGGAAGCCCTAGCAGCCAGACATGTAGAATGGGCCCTCCCTTGCTTACTGAAGACCGAAAAACTGAGAAACAGCCTCAGCCAGATCTCTCACCCCAGAAGACAGAGTAGGTGAGGCCCCATTTCCAGTCCCTAAAGAACAATAGATATCCCCTACAAAAAAATCCAGCAGCTCAACGTCCAATCCAGAGAGACTAAGAGAGTGGAAAGGCTAAAGTCTGAGGCAGGACCTCAAAGTATAGGCTTAAAGTGAAAATAGAAACAGGCATGGCCAAGGCAAGTTCCTAGGTCAATCACTATAAAGACTAAGGATATTGTGCTACCTACCATATGCCAAGAAAGGTGGTACAAAGTGAGTCTTTAGTTTGCCCAAACCCCACCCCAAAACATAAAGTATAGGTAAAAATAGAATTGCCAACATAATTTGAAGCCCTTTAGCTACCATCCCCCTTCCAAGGAAAGTGTGAACCCAAAGTCCCTTCTATATATAGGGTAACCATGTGTCCTTTGTCATGGGGCAGCATTGGTTTACAATTGTCTCCTAGAAAAATTATTAATATCATCCTCTTTCATTCTCAAAAGAGTTCTGATATGGGCTATAAATTATCACCATATATGAAAATTCTGGAGCCCCACTTGTGGCAGGAACTGGGCTCAACACATTTCTTTCTTCCACTATGATATTTAGTCTCATTATTATCATCTCTATATTTACAGATGAGAACTTGAAGCTTAGGCAGTTTAAAGAGCTTTCCCAAAATCATAGAGTCATTGAATGGAAATAATGGGAATTGACCTCAAGCCTATCTGAGGCTAAAATTTGAGCTACAATTATCTATATTTCTTCAGTGAAACACCACTCCCTTGTCAAGAGCACGAAAAGTTGCATCCAGCATTAAACTAATGAAGAAGTTTCATGAGGAATTGTCAGACAAAAATCACTGTTTACTTAATTGTATTTCAAGTAAATACGTTTTAATGTATTTGAATTTGGTCTCAAGGACAACTGGTTTCACAATAAAAAGAAGCTAGCATGAGGGATTGTGTTTCAGGAAGAGGTAGCATGGGTGAGAAAGAATATGGCCTGATAAAGAACTTATGGATGTTTAGTGAAATGAAAATAGAAGGTTTGGGTTTGGAGAATAAGCAGAGAGTAACCATTGACAGACTTGACTAAAGACTTGGACTTCACTCTTCTTGAACTAGGGATCCCTTGAAGGCTCCTACCCAAGGAGAAATATAAGATAAGCATCCCAGAGACTGGTGGGGATGGGATTATAGGGGATTAAACTGAAGGCACTAAACTGTTCATGAAGGCCAAAACTAAAGCAGTAACAGTGAGGATGGAGAAGAATGGTGTGGTTTGACCGTTTCTCAATAGACACACAACAATGGGCATATCCCAGTAACAAAATGGGTGAGGGAGGAGTGACATAGATGGAGAGAACAAGAATGATGCTCAGTCCCATTAGTGCCTCCCAAACTTCCCACTGCAGACAACTACATCAGATTTTCCAGGCAAGAGGCCTGGTAGTCCGATTATATAACAAGGGCTGGGGGTGGTACTTATCATCTGGGAAGTTGGGAAAACACTGGACAAAATGGATAAGATTCCCTTAATACAGCCAAGGATAGAAGAGAAGGAAGAGCTTTCATTAAAAAGATAATAAATTCATTTTGGAAATAGTACTTTAGATCCAAGATAACTGAGTGTTTCAGTATTAGAAACTAAGGAGAAGGCCATGCTTGAAACTTTAGATTTAGGGGATTATTCATGGATACATGATAATGGAAGTCATGCCTAGGGATGAAGTTACTCTGGGACCAGATAGTATGATAAAAGGAAACAAGGACAAAAGTTCAAACAACAGTTAACAGTTAAAGAGCAGATGTGGGAGGAAGAATCAATCTGAGAGAGAAAGAGGTTTCAGAAGTCAGAACTAAGAAGGAGTAATGTCAGAAGCTAAAGAAATATGCTTTTCAATGAAAAGAGAGTGATCACCAGTATCAAATGCCACAAAGATTAGGAATTTAAACTATCCCTTGAAATAGGCACTTAGAAAATCATTTGTAGCCTTTCCAAGGCATCTAGATTACAATGAAATTCAAAGTAAATGGGAATGAGAAAGTGGAGACAAGCAGCATTTGCTATATTTTCTACGGTCTTGGTGGAGAACAGAAGAAATGCGGAGTGAGAGGATGTTACATTCAGAGGGATTTGGAGGTTCAAGACAGACTGCTTTTTTCCTGGTCTGTCAGGAGTTTTCAAGGAAGCAAGGGATAGAAACCCATACAGAAGAGAAGAACAGGAAACCATGGCTAGAAGCCCACAGACCTAGTAGATATTATTTTGTACTTAAAGACACATAATTATGTTTGAGGGCCAAGGGAAAGGAATCAGTGAGAAGTGAGATGGTTAGCATGTGAGGAAAAACTGATAAATAATAGATGAATGGCTATTACTTGATAACTGGTAAGTAATAGATGAATGATAGGAACTGATAAGTAATAGATGAATGGCTATGAGGACAAGAACAAGACTATAGTATAGATAGGGTTTTAAAAGGAGGAATGCATTCTTCTCTAAGAGCAGAGGAAAGAATAGATGAAATCAAGGACTTTTTGTTGAAGAAAAAATATTTAAAGAACATATGCCTAGTGATGACCTGGTCCCAGTAAAGTAGAAAATCAGGTCAGCCATTGAGAGGGAGAGGTAGGTATTGGATCAAGAGCCTATGGTGATAGCTCCAGTAAGAAACCTCTGGAAGACTGGCAAATTGTCAGTTTGAACCTCTTGGTTCAAAATCCTCTCCTTGCTCTATCCACCAAGCCTATATTATAATCCTTATCCAGTACTAACAAACCTCCACCTCCCACACTGAAAGCTTCACCTTAAATCTGACTTCAAAAAGTCTATAAAGATTTCAACTTTGGCCAGGCGCAGTGTCTCACACCTGTAATCCCAGCACTTTGGGAGGCTGAGGCGGGTGGATCACTTGAGGTCAGAGTTCGAGACCAGCCTGGCCAACATGGCAAAACCCCGTCTCTATTAAAAATACAAAAATTAGCCAGGCGTCATGGCGGGCACCTGTAATCCCAGCTACTCAGGGGGCTGAGGTAGGAGAATCGCTTGAACCCAGGAGGTGGAGGTTGCAGTAAGCCAAGATTGCGCCACTGCACTCCAGCCTGGGTGACAGGAGACTCCATCTCTCTGAGATGCTAGTGAGCCTTACATACTGCTATCCTAACATGGTTAGCAATAAACTAAGCTTTCTCTTCTCCACAGATAGTTTTGGTAACATTCTTGGGAGTCAGCCAGCATTCAGTTATTATTTGTAACATAAATGAACAGAAGATACTTAGACTTTCCTTAGTGACTAGAGGCCAGCCATTGATATGATAATTGATTTCTAAAGATGGATTTTCAGAAATGGGAACGCTGAATAGTTTAGGATTCTTGATTAAATATATACATCTTACGTATGAGAAAACTGAGGCTCAACAAATGCAAATGATATGGTACAAAGTGATGAACAAATGGAAACCTGAAATGGGACCCCACAGTGCTTCTCTATAACCAAGGAAGCTGCTTTCTCTTCTCTTTGCCACTGGCTCTCTGCTACTCTGCTCACTAAACAGTAGTTTCCATTAGCAAGTCCACCTACTAGCAGCCCGGCTTCTACTCCATTAGGGATGTCCCCCTCCTTAAAAGACAGGCATGGGTGAGTCAGGGAGAGTCCTGTACCAAGAGGGGCAGTGCTTAGGGCTGACAGTTAAATCTGAAATATGTCAAAGATGGCAGGAAGAGTTCTAAACTCAAGCCAAAGAAGTCTGTCCAAATGAAGCTCTCTATCTACAGAGCCCTTTCCCCCTCCTCAAAAAAAAATTTCTCTGCTGAATATTGTTCTATCACTTTGCCTTTTTGCATTTCTTCGAAATAGCTCACTTCTCCTATTACCAATTAAAGTGCTGCTTTTGCTCATATTATTAGCCTAACCAATGATAGTGTTATGAGCACAGTATTTGTTTCATTTCTTTCACTCTTCAGGATAATTTAGTTGCTTTCTTGTTTTTGGTCTACAAAGACACTTTTTTTTTCCTTTTTTTTTTATTTTACTTTAAGTTCTGGGATATGTGCGCAGAATGTGCAGGTTTGTTACATAGGTATACATGTGCCATGGTAGTTTGCTGCACCTGTCAACCCATCATCTATGTTTTAAGCCCTACATGCATTAGGTGTTTATCCTAATGCTCTCCCTCCCCTTGGCCCCCACCCCCTGACAGGCCTCGGTGTGTGATGTTCCCCTCCCTGTGTCCATGTGTTCTCATTATTCAACTCTCACTTATAAGTAAGAACAAGTGGTGTTTGGTTTTCTGTTCCTGTGTTAGTTTGCTGAGAATGATGGCTTCCAGCTTCATCCATGTCCCTGCAAAGGACATGAACTCATTCTTTTTTATGGCTGCATAGTATTCCATGGTATATATGTGCCACAGTTTCTTTATCCAGTCTATCATTGATGGGCATTTGGCTTGGTTCCAAGTCTTTGCTGTTGTAAATAGTGCCGCAATAAACATACATGTGCATGTGTCTTTATAGCAGCATGATTCATAATCCCTAGGGTATATACCCAATAATGGGATTGCTGGGTCAAATGGTATTTCTAGTTCTATATCCTTGAGGAATCTCCACACTGTCTTCCACAATGATTGAACTAATTTACACTCCCACCAACAGTGTAAAAGCATTCCTATTTCTCCACATCCTCTCCAGCATCTGTCGTTTCCTCACTTTTTAATAATCACCATTCTAACTGGCGTGAGATGGTATCTCATTGTGGTTTTGATTTGCATTTCTCTAATGACCAGTGATGATGAGCTTTTTTACATATTTCTTGGCCACATAAATATCTTCTTTTGAGAAGTGTACAAAGACACATTTTTATCATTTGCTCTGCTTCTTGGATTTTTATTTCCTTATTTGCTATTATTCAGGAAATCTATAGCTACCTAAAGCTTGTTTTAATTTCTAAATAAGAAAGTTATTTGTCTCTCTGTCTCACAGTGATGAACACATACTTGGTATTCAGTAAATGCATCTTGGATCAGAAATTTTCTTTTGCCAGACATATATATATATATATATATATATATATATATATATATATATATATATATATATATGCCCTTGACCTATATAATCCATGCAACCAGATTGATAAATGCTGTAAGAAGAACTACCAATAACTACTAATAGCAATGTACAATGACAGAAAATTACTTTGTGTGAGCCATTGTTCTAAGATATTAACCTGGGTTAACTGATTTAATCCTTAAATCAACCGTGTAGGGGAGGGACTGTTACTAGCTTCTTTTTCAGAAAAGGAACATGAGACACAGAAAGGTTGAATAATCTGTCCAAAACAAAGCAACTGAAAAGTGGCAGGACTAGGATTTGAACCCAGACCATCTGCTTTCAGTCTCTTAACCACTGCACTATACTAAGGACCACTATTATTTTATGTGATTTGCAAATGTAAAAATAAAAACAAATTATATGTTTAAATTTGGAATTAATAGTTATTTTTTGGAATAGATTTGTTCATATAACTTTTCACAAATACATGGCCATTTTCTATTCAACAACTTTTAAAGAAAGATTGTATAATTCTGAAAAATGAAAGATAAACCAATAATTTTAAAATTCCATGAAATATTTTGTGTAAACCTATCTTGCTTGCACAAATGAATCAAAGTTCTTTCCTTACCTTTGACTAAACTTGACTTTCAGGATGATATACAAAGAGAAAATGTGATTTATCCTCTCAATTGGAGAAACTTAAAAGAAAATAGGATTCCAAACATTAATGACAGTGGCAGAAAAATTAGGAAGTGAATATCTTTGCATTTCTAAAAAAAAAGAATGCCCAACCAAGGAAAACTCCTGGGCTGCATTTCCCCTCAAATGTTGGGGTATGTTTTCTCCACCGCCATCCTATTTCCACCTGGGAAAGGAGGGAAATCTTGGCAAATGACTGTGAAAATCCATTTTATTCTTCTTGAAGTAAAATATGTCTTCTTTGTTCTTTAAGGCACTGCCTCTGTGCTTGTAATTCTTAACAATCCTTCCTTTACAGGGGCTCTTACTGGCATAGAAAATGGTTGTCAAGAATTCAAAACCATCACAAGTCATAAGAAATTATATTTGAGTGAGAAGCTGCTTAAATTGTTTCAAATCACCCAATTTCATGTAGTTGAGATGTGAACAGGGGAACAGAGGTGAAATGTAAGCTTTTAAAGGAATGTTAACTGCTATCATCAGGGAAAGATACATGTGTGTGCGTGTGTGTGTGTCTGTCTGTGTATACACACTACTGTCAGTAAAAATACGGATATGTTCTCTAGGATATATGGGGGAAAGCCAGATGGGAAAAGTGATGGAACAGAAAACAAAAGGCCAGACAATACGAAATCTCCGTTTAATAAACACAGCTGGGATGCAGCTGAAGTTGAGAAGACAGTGAAGCTACCTTTTTACTCACAAAGAAAATCTGCTAATAATAGAAGTAAAATTGAATATTTGGTGAAATTGACATTTTCATGCCAAGAAATAGGCATGATTATTTATTCCCAATAGCTTGTAGGATTTAGCATTAAAGAGAAATTGCAAGAATCAATGACTGTCTAAAGATAATGTCTACTGACTTGCATGGGAAACACATTGATATAAAAAGAGGAAATATGCAAACCTTTTGTAGTAATAAATGCATTCATAAAGGCAGCTATCAGAAATAACTCAATGCATTTGGGCATTTTAATGCATGCATAATATTCTTAATTAAGAATGATATGTATTTTTAATCTCAAAAATAAGATTTCTTTTACCTATTCTTTTATGACCAAATGGTTTATCTATGAGACAAGTCAGTTAAAAAAGTAGTTTCTTCTTGAAATATAGCCTCATATATGCAAAAGTTGTGACATTAGTAGATTTATAGATTTTAATTTAAATTAATTTGGGTTATTAAAATTTTGACTGGAATGCATGACATAATGCATCCTAATCCTAGCTATTATTCTGAGACATGAATTGGGTTTTCACTTACCTTGATAATTTAATATGATAGGCTTCATTAGCAGCATGAATTCAAAGAAAGACTAATTTATCATAACAATTATTATATTTTTATTTTTCAACAAAAATACACACTTCCTTTTCCAAAATTACCAGGCTTTCCTCCCTTCTGCCAATGCTAAAGCTTAATTAATGTAAATATTGCTCATCTTTCAAGATGATAACTGGATTTTGCAATCACCTTAAAACTTTGTTAGTTTTTTAGAAACCTCAACTAAAAATTTCAGCACATTTAAAGTGACTATAGTTCATACCAATGTTTCCTGAATAAAGAAATTTCTTTATTAGCTCCTCAAATACTACCTTATCATGAAAATGCCCTCTTTATAGAGTCAGACAGACTCTATCCTTAAATTGAGAGCAGGAAATAATGGATTTGTAGATTTTTTTTAGATAATAAGCTCCTATTTATTTTATATAGCAAACATTTATTGAGTATCTACTTTATATGAAACACTATGTAAATCCTTGGGTGGGATTAAAAAATGAATAAGGCACAGTCCCTGTCCTCAAGGGACTTATAATCTAGTAAAAACATAAGGCATTGAAAAGGTATGTGGAAGAGGGTGAGGCTGGTAACTGGGAGCTAGGACAGTTTAATGTTGAATATGGTAGTAACCAGCAACAGGATCCCAAATTAGTATTTTGCCGTGGTAGTAGCTGATTTTATTTTGGTATGGGTCATTGCAAATTCGTATGCCATGCCCAGATTTAAAGCCATATCTGGGAAAGCTGAAAATGAACAAGCAAAAACAACAATAAAATAAAACATGTCACACATTATTGGAGAGGGGGTGCTAATAATAATGAAGGTGGAAATAAATGCCTCAGCCTACGAGTCTGGAGATTGGGAAGTCAGCAGCCCATTTGTCACTTCTGTTTAACTTTGAACAAGACACTTAATCTTTTTGCAACATAATATATCCACCTTTGAGATGATGCTAAAAATGTCTATTAATAGGGGTGCTAGGAAGACAGTAGTGTTAACATTTGCTTATTTAATGAATGCTACTTGCTAGGTTTAAATGGCCTATAATGCTCTACATGCATCATCCTATGTTGTGTTCTATGTGTAGGGCACTCCCTGAAATTGTGCAACTTAGGCAGCTGGTTGAAACATCTTTCCCAAGATAGTAAGCTGGGATTTAAACCCAGCAGTCCTGCTTGTGAATTCTTGGTCTTAAACACTAAGCAGCACTGTCTCTCTGAGGATAAAGAGAAGATAAACAAGTAGAAATATCAGATGTGATGAAAATACTGCAAGTTATGAGATTACAGTACACTTACTTCCTTGCATTGTATGGCAGAGAAAAGTCATTCTCCAGGCAAAGGTTTTTTCAAGACTATCCATTATTTTTTGTAAGGCTTAGTCCAATTTCTTTCAAGGATTAATCCTTTCAAATCAGCAGTGCTTGGAGAAGCCTCCTCACTAACAAAAGCATTGACAAGTCTCAACTGAATCATACTGTCTGAACCAATAATGCAGGGATATAATATCTCAGGTGGGACGGACATAATGGATTTCCCTGTCAATAGGTCAGTGAAAAGAGGCGCGGCTGGCTAGGTTATTAAGTGCACTAATTTATTTTAGCACATTCTTTATTCTTTGATGTGATGTAATAAATAAACATATAGAATTCAATCATAGCTTTTCCATTTCAATATCATGAAAGTTGGTTTCATGGGGTGGTTAGGGAAGATAGTGGATATTAATCTATCCATCCATCCACCATTCACTCAGGAAAAACATTTGTTGTATTGTAGTTCTAGGGTTCAAAGATGATTGAGAAATGTTCCTGCCCTCAGATAGCTGGGAGGATGGAGAGAGACAAATCAAAAGATAATTAACACTTTGTCGCAAGAACCAAAATAAAAGAAGAAATTATGGGAGATAAGCCTGCAGAAGAAGAAGAGACTGGGAGGGAGGGAGGGAGGGAGGGAGGGAGGGAAGGAAGAAAGGAAGGAAGGATGGAAGGAAGGAAGGAAGGAAGGAGGGAAGGAAGGAAGGGAGGGAGGGACGGAGGGAGGGAGGGAAGGAAAGGCAGGCAGGCCATGGTCTACACTTGCTGATGTTCTTATTGTTGTTCAAAGGAGGTTCCCTGGGTGGGGCCTGAGAGGAAAAACAGGAAACAGAAAGGTAAATCATCCTTCGTTTGGAAAGTCCTTCCTGGAGATTTGTAAGATCAGAGGTCCTGGAAATGTGGCAGATGACTGACTCAGGAGAGAGAATGGTCCGAGTGAAGGGAGGATTGTGTAGGTAGTGGTGTGGAAGGACAGGGCAGGTTAAGAAAATAGTTAGTCATTTTGTGTTCATCTTTAAGTTGTTCCCTGTGGGGTACTCTCTGTTGTGTTTGCTTGTGGTGCTTCGGAGGAATGGAGAAAGAGAATGATATCTTGTGTGAGCGAAAGCTGTGGCCCCTCAAGAGCAGGACCCACATCTGCTTTGACCACCTTCACATCCCAGTGCTGAGAACAACGCTGGGCACATGCTGGGGCTTCAATATGGAAGAAAGAGCAAAAAGAGGGTTTGTGAGAACATTTCATATGTGGGAGTATTCATTAGTGTATCCATTGTGAAAACTAATCTGGTCATGTCTATTAAATAAAATCATGTGCCCTAAGATCCAGCAATATCATTTCTGAGAAACTATAGGCCAGAAATAAAATTACCGGTATGAAAGAATTTGTATACAGAAATGCTAATAGCAGCATTGTTGGAGGGTGGTCAAGAAATAAGGACAGTCTAAATGTCTATCAAAGACATTTGATAGATAAGCAGACAGGTTCTAAAGCTCAGGCTCTGGAACCTGTCTGCTTGGATTTAATCTGGGTCCCACCACTTACTAACTACAGTATGTGACGTGGGTAGGTTATTTAGACTACCAGCGATTCAGTTTGCTCATCTGCGTATTGATGATGACAATAATATCTACTTCATATGTTTATGATAAAAAGTAAAGGAAATCATTCAGGTAGGGTGCTTAGAACAATGTCTTGCTCTCGATAAATATTCTCATTAGTGGGGGCGTGCATGGGACAAAGAAAAGCGAAGCCGGAGCTGCCAGCGCTTTGTCTACCTGCGGTGTCTCAGATTCATTCTTAAGGAACTGAGAATTTAATCTTCCAAAATGCCAAAAAGACCATCTTATGCCCCATCTCCCACCCCAGCTTCTGCAACACAGATGCCCAGCACACCAGCGTTTGCAGGATACAATCCATACTGTCATCTTGCCTACAGCAACTACAGGCTGGGAGGGAACCCAGCCACCAACAGCCGGGTCAGGGGGTCCTCCAGTATTACGATTCCAAAACCCCCAAAGCCACCAGATAAGCCGCTGATGCCCTACATGAGGTACAGCAGAAAGGTCTGGGACCAAGTAAAGGCTTCCAACCCTGACGTAAAGTTGTGGGAAATTGGCAAGATTATTGCTGGCATGTGGCAAGATCTTGCTGATGAAGAGAAACAATATTTAAACGAATATGAAGTAGAAAAGATAGAGTACAATGAATCTATGAACGCCCATCATAATTCCCCCGTGTACCTCGCTTACATAAATGCAAAAAGTCTTGCAGAAGCTGCTTTAGAGGAAGACAGTCAACCCAAACAGTCTCACATGGAGAAAGGAGAACCTTACACGAGCCTTCTCTGCTGAAGATCAGTTGATTATGATGATGGCTTTTCAATGAAGATACAGCCACCGTCCGTTTCCAGAGAAACCGCCGCCTCATCAGTGAAATCCTTAGTGAGAGTGTGGTACCAGAGGTTCAGTCAGTTGTCACAACAACTAGAATGCAGGTCCCCAAACAACAGGTCCAGTCCTTAATGGTTCATCAGCGAAAACTAGAAGCTGAACTTCTTCCAAAAGAGGATCGACACCAGGAGAAGGCGAAATTCCTGGAAAGCACAGATTCATTTAACAATGAACTTAAAAGGTTGTGTGGTCTGAAGATAGAAATGGATCTGGAGAAAATTGTAGCTGAGATGGCACAGGCAGAGGAACAGACCCACAAAAGGCAGGAGGAAAGGGAGAAGGAGGCAGCAGAGCAAGTTTAGTGCAGTGAGAGCAGCATCATTCCTGAGGAAGAGCCAGTGGCCAACAAAGGCGAGGAAAAAAAAGACAATGAGAACATTCCAATAGAGACAGAGGAGACACGCCTTGAAGAAACAACAGAGCCAACAGAACGGTGAAGAAGGCAAATCTACTGAGGACAAGGAGAGTGGGCAGGAGAGGGTCGACAGTATGGCAGAGGAAGGAACCAGTGACAGTAACATTGGCTCAGAGAGAAATGGTGCAACAGTGGAGGGGCCACCAAGAGATCCCATACTAGAAGATGAGAAAAAAGAGTAAATGCTGCCTTGTTTTATGTGTTCTAAATACTTTTTTAAGTGAAAAAATGGTTTTTAGTTTCAATGGTAAAAGAAATTCTCCTTACTATCATGTATTATTATTATTTGCTCATAAGAAAGAACACAGAGAAAAGTGTAAAAATGTATTCACCACACTATAAGCCTTGGTGATGGGACTAGAGAGAGAGAAGTTATTAACTTTATATATACACCATGCTCTACTGTTTAATTTATTCTAAGACACATGTGTTAACATAGTAATTTGAAAATCAAATCCAATACAATATTTTAAAAGAGTAAAAACAAAATAGAAAAAATGATGAGGTAGACCAGCCCTACAATATCTTAAGGTGTTTTGAAGAAACAGGTGGCTCTAGTAGTTAAATAAATTCCAGTGGGATAGAATGGAAAGGTCTGAAATAGGCTCCAGTGGATATAAGGCTTTATTATAGGCTAAGGTAATATCTCTAATCTTTACAGAAAGGTGGGATTATTAAAAATGGTACAGAAACAGTTAGCTCTTTGGAAAAAAAAATGTCGATTTTCTCCCCAGTACCTTAAACTGAAATAAAAAACAGATGCATCAAAAAGTTAAGTACTTAAAAAACAAAGGAAAGGCAGAAGAATATTTTTCTGATTTTGAGGTAAAGAGAGCCCTTTTAAGAATGCAAAGAAACAAATCTTAAGGAATAAAATAGAAATGGCTATATAAACATTTAAAACTTCTGTATAACTTCCTTATCCAAGTTTTAAAAAACTATGAATTAAAAGACAAATGTAAACCTGAAATAATACTCATAATGTACTGACCATAAAGATAATTTATAAATAATATGACAATGATGAACACCCCAGTATAAAGAGAATGGGCAAAAGAAGTGAGAAGACAATTTGCAAAAGCAGTACAGATGAACATGCAAAAAACCATTCAGTGTTTTTTAATAACCAAACCGAAATTCAAACAAGAAATACCATTTTTACTTATAAAATTTATCCCTTTTAAAGGTTAACGTCTAGAAGACTGCTTTAATTCGTAAAGTGTCAAATGCCTCCATCCTGGTAGCAGCCATCGCCACCTGTTGGTGGCACTCAGAGGTGACTCGGGTTTGCTCTGAGTTACAGCTTTGCCTTTCGGAGAAAGCTTCTAAATCAAAAGTTAGAAACTTCTGTATCTCTATGGTGTGGTATGTGGGGAAATGGCTTTTTCAGTCTATGCTGCCACAGGGATAAAACAGTACATCTACAGAGAGCATTTAGCAATATAAAAATCATTTTATCTGTTAATAAATTATGATTTAATGAGTTTGCATGAAACTATAAGAAAATAATCTCACACAAGAGAAAGAAACCATCTACTATCAACAGCAGATCTGTTAAATAAATTAATTTAATTTAATGAATTTAATAAAACTGATATATAAAAACATGAAAAATATTTACTACATCAAGCTAAGCTGTGGGGAGGGGAAGGAAATGGCAAAGTTCTATGTAGATTTAAGTCAATTTTCTTATTTTATGTCTGAAATTATACATGGAAAATGCTGAAAGTGATTATCTCTGGGATGTAGAATTAGAAATGTTTTAATTTTCTCTTTTCCTCTGGGCATGTGTGTGTTTTATTTTTTATATTTTCTACAATAAATACAGACTACTTTTGCAACTAGAAAAGAAAATTCTGTAGAAAATGATGGCAGTCAGGGGCAGGGAAGAAAAGCAGTCTATAGATTTCCTAAGTTCTTTTAGTCGCTGTAATAGGTGAAAGTGACAAAATGAAATTTCTGAGTGTCAGAAGCTGGACCATAGCCGATCATCACTTACTGTAGCTGCCCTGGTGTCCCTGTCAGCCCTATGGCTGTCATTTCTCTTCTGCCCCAGACGGGGCCCATTTTCTTTCCAATCCAATTTTACGGAAACCTCCAGCATCTAAAGTCTGTGTTCCTTGTCTATCTGCCTCTGTGGGACAACAAACCCCCATTCCTGCCAGCCTTTAATTCCCATTTCAGAACCTGATTCCTCTAAAAGGTTTTCCCAAGTTTGACTGCTATTCTCTGCTATCTCACCAGCACAATCTGTGATCTTGTGTAAATTAACCTCTCTGTGAATCAATTTCCCCACAAAGTGGGAATAATAAAAGTACCTACATCATAGGGTTGTTGTGATAATTAAATGAATTACTATTTGTAAAATGCTTACAATAATGCCTGCTAAATAGGTAAACCACAATAAATGCTGGCTACAATTTAGCAATTGTTCTTTTATTATTTTTCCAGATTCCATTTCATAGCACTGTACTTCTATAAAATATTAATAGGTATACTATTACATTAAAAGAAAAACTAAAGAAAGTGAGAGAAAGGCCATCCTAAACAAAATTAGTAGGGTTCTTTACTGCAAAATTAATAGGATTTATACTAAATCTGAATGAGTGAGATAACTGTGGAGGGTTTTCCAAAGTTCTGTTTTTTAGAAGTCCCTAGACCCCTTTTCTTAAATTATCTTAATGAATGGTTGAATTTCACTCTTGGGAAGGCTGTATTTGTTTGTTTGTTTATCATTTATCAAACATTTGTCTTTCTACTCCTCTTCACTTCTGCTCAGTTCAAGGCCTGCTTGCTTTTACTTTTTTTTTTTTTTTTTACTTTTAAATCGATTCGTTAGTTATTTTGAAAGCACTCTGAGATAAGAACTATATGAATGTAAGGGGATGGCTTGTTTCTAAACGAATTGCATTCCTGAGGCACAAAAACCTTCTTGCCAAGCTCATGAGAGTTTGAAATAAATTTTTATTGAAGGAAGAATGAGCAGATGAATGCAAGAAAAACTACCTCACAGTCTAAAATAACGAATTCACCAATTGTTTTAGAAAGCTTATTAAAGCAGAGGTTCTTAGAAGGGAGACTTCATTCTAACATGAAATGTGTGTGTTGCATATATAATTTATACTATGTCGCTGTTGTTGATGTGTTTTTAGAAGTATAACTCAAGAAAGCCTTGCAAATAGCTCAAAAATACCCAGCACATTTGTGTCATAACGAGTACCTCAAAGCCCATATGAGTGCAAACACAAGGGCTGACTCAGGCAGTGATCTTGGCTGTCTGCTCTGTTTGGGCTCTTGGCATATTGCGATCAATGACATGGAATCTTCTACTGATTCACAGTTGTTTGAGTGGGACACATGCAGGTGGTCTGGGCTTGTAAGCTTGGAGGCTCACCGGGTCCTCAGTATACAATCTCCACTCTTGTTCCACCCCTAGGTAGGCTTTTTGGTACCTGACCCTTGGTCACCCAAACAATGTGTTTAGACCCAGAAAAGGAGTTTTATCTAAATTACAGGATGCCTGGGGCTGCCTGCCCTTTGCAGATGATGGATGTAGATTAGCTGATCTAAACAATTAGTTAAGGAACAATCTGATCCCTAGTGACAATTAGGATGTTTAAGGCATCCTGCTGACAGCTGTGGTGACAGCGGACAGTAAAACTACCCTTCACTGAAATCAAGAAACTGGGTCCTTATGATTTACAGGCAGTCCCCTCCCCCTCTTCCCCATATGGGCTTTTAAAGGACTTAAAAATGACTGAAAGGAGCTGCTGCTATGTAGTGGAAAATGAAGAAATGGCAACCTATAATTCTAGCTGAATCATTTCTCAGATCTAGCTCTTCAGAGGACTAAATGGGGAAAACAAAGAAAACTGATAGGGTCCACTTCCCCTGAAATAAGTTGATTTTAAAATGTAAGTCAAGATATTTTCAGAGACAGCACATATGGGGATCCCCTTGCCTTTTAGTTTTCCCATGCATGAAAGCGTTCTGCAGTTTAAAGAGCGATACGTTCTTACCCTTTACTAAATAAGTTTAGGATAACAGAGTTTAGAGCAAATACTTTATTCAGGGAATCTCGAAATCCTAAAATGCCAACAGAGTACTATTGTTTTGCTACCACTCAAAAAGGAAACATTTTAAACATAAATGCTCTGAAGAAAGAATTAATTTTTTGAATTTAAAATATTTTGTATATTTACATAGGATCGGTTCCCAATTCCTCTATCAATTGAATAAGCCTGTGAATGTGCTCCAAGCTGGCTCCTTCCCTAAAGAAAAGAACACATTTCTCCAGAGAGGATTTTGAGGAATGTGTCCAAATCCTAAATCCCTTCTTCCCCAAGAGAAAAAAAAAAATGGGAGAGAATCAGGACATGGATTTCTATTTCAACTCTTCTTTCTTAGATCTTTGAATTATGGGATATTAAAAATAAACCTAGAGGATATTGCAATGAATTTTTGGAGCAGCTGGAAAAGAAACCATAAAACGAGTGATTACAATCAGCAAAGTGTGATAACAGCTGAACGCATTAGACCCATCCTTAAAAAGCCAGACCCCACCCCCTCCCCTCTTGAGCCTGTTCGATAGAGAAGGGGATGTCACACAATACAATCCAAACACATACTCTGTCCATATTGGGTTAAGAAAATATAGTGCTGGTCATTGTCCCCAAATGACAGACATCCACAGATGGAAAGCAGGAGAATCTGACTTCCACGGTGCTTCTCATTCCACCAGACAGATTCTGTTTGGAAAACACCCACCTGCACTAGGATCTGGCCTGAGTACTATTAAAAAAAAAAAAAAAAAAATTCTTCATCATGGTCACTGCCTTGTAGAAGGAAGCTTAACTTCTCTTTGTACGTCTTCCTTTGGTAAAGATAGTGAAAGGAAAGCCCTAAAGGCATGTAACCTTTTCTTGCCTTCATTGTTTAAGTAGGGAGGGTTCCCCCTTAAAGGAGTCTTGTTCTTTCTAATGCAGAACACAAAAATTGTCCTATTGAAGGAATGCCTGTTTGATGTGTGAGTATAACATTTCACTTTTCCAAGTTGTTATCTGAATGCATTCAAAAATTATTTAAGCAACAATGGAGGGAAAAAAGGTGAAATTTGGTTCAAGGAAAATAGAATTTTGAAATATCTGCCTTAAACTGTATGTTTTTTTCTTGTCATAACAGCTTTGCATTGAAAATCCAGTTTCACACTGTGACAATTTTATTTTCTTACTTGCAAATTTTTAAAACTGGAAAATTTTTCTTCACTAGGAGGTTGCGACTATGACGTGTAAACAGACAGTCAAAGAAAAAGAGACTATGCTTGCATATCTATGAAAAAGATCATGCCCAAATATAGAAAGAGAATTTCAAAGCAGACACCATATGTTTAACTCTATCTTCAAACATAACCCTTTATATCTTCAGGTTTTCACCTATTATTTTGAGATTATACACATATGTCTTCTGTATTTAGCAGCCTTCACTTAGGGAACTCATTTTCAATGCACGACATTGAATACATAATTCTCTCAAAAAGAATGAAACTTTTAATTTTTAAAATTTTTATTAATTTAATTAAACTTATTTATTAATTTATGGAGTACATGTGATATTTGATACAAGGATACAATGTGAAATGATCAAATCTGGGTAACTGGGATATCTGCCACCTCAAACATTTATTCTTTCTTCATGAAGAGTAACGCTTTCTTAGGGTCAGGGGCATCAAAGTTTTTCCCAATATAGCTCTTGGTTTCCTTTTTAAACCCAAATATTTGTGTAGAAAAAATATAAAATGTCAACGTTTAAATAGTAAATTAGATTGACTCTTTCAGATTTGTTGAGTATATAAATCTGACATTAATGAGATATTAATGAATAGTTCTGGAAATTTGGCATCTCAAAATTAATCCAAGTAGATACAGTATCTGTTTATTCTAACTGGGATTTTAAAATCCTGACACTCTCCAACCCTCCCCCCACCCCCCCGACAAAAAAATGCTTGTCTATATAATCAATTTTATATTATGTAGGAGTATATTTATCTACGGTTTCTTTTTAAAAAACTTTTTAAAGTTAAGATTAAATTTTTTTACATTAAAATAAAACTTTCTTTAAAGATTTAAAGACAGTTGCTTGACAAAAATTTATGTACATATATCTCCTGGGCAATTTTATTTATAAGGACTTATTAGACAATTGTTTAGAAAAATTAAAAATAGTCTGTTCAATGAGTAATACGCAAAATTTTTTTAAATGATGATAGAGCCATGAATAATGAGATTTTCTAAGAGTATTTAATAATTTGGGAAAGTGCTCATGATATGATATTAAGTAAAATGAATAAGATAAAAAATGGTAGATATGGTTCATATGGGAGGATATTTTCTTCTTGGTAATGGAAGATGCTGATGGTTGACCAGACCACTGTCTTTAAGGCTCCATTTTAAAATGAATCATATGTATTTTTGTAGCTGTGAACCTTATCCTCTATGCTTCTTTCCCTTTGAAAATCGAGCACTCTCTTTTTTCCCTTTACACAGAGCAATATATCTGCCCAGTAAAACAATAAAAATGATGGAAATTATTTGGGTAATGGAGATTAATTTGCAGTTTATTCAAAGATTTTGCATCTTTCTTTAATGCTTTCAACAGGGCATAGTCCAGGGTGCTAAACTAAAACAAAGGTGCTAGCTTGAAATCTTCATTTATTTAAAATCTATTCACCTTCCTTCTTTTATCATGAAAAAATACAGTAACTCTGACTTCATTAATAACTAAATTACCTTGAATCTTTGGATTTTAAAATTGTATTATATGGCATAATTTATTAAAAGGTTAAAAGTGGATTTCTAGGAGTTTAGATATGAGCGGTTTTTTTAACCTAAAATATTTTCAGGAAAAAAAGTAATTCAAACTTTGAAATTATATGATAGTGCTATTATTCTTTTTATCCCAAACCTTCATTTCTATCAGCTGTATAAACATACTTGAGAGAGCTAAGTATACAAATGTCCAACCAATTTCTAATTACTTAGTTATTTTCATCATTGCTGACGGTCAGTGGGTTTTCAATGTAAATATTTTACATGTACAATGAGAAAGAGACACAAGAACGAAAGCTTGAGAGGGTTCATTCTCTGCTGCTTGCAATAGCGCGTGGAGGACGAGGGCGGGCAAATCTGGGCCTTAGAGCGCCACCCCATGGTAGACTGGGCGAAGGGCACTGCAGGGGTGTGCTCGGCCCTTTGGCCCAATATTCTCCGCTTTGTCCGCCTGAAGAGCTTCCTTCACTCGGCTTATTTAAAACATCAACAACTCTAAATAACTTACCTTCTCTGCACCAGTGGTTGAGTAATTGCTGAATTTAGGAATCCCTTTGAGTATTTCGTACTCTGACTTTTAGAAAAGGCTTCCCCACGCCTGCCTCCGCCCAACCCCAGGATAAAACACAAAATGTGTGGGGATCTGAGTAAATAAATAATCTCACAACAAGGAAAGTCTGTGAGCTTGTGAGCCTGGGCTACAAAATTCCCTCTCACAAAAAGTCTGGTTTAATTATCAGCTTCAACATCTACCATCAGCATTCATACTGTCTCTACGTTGTTACTTTGCAAAAGATCATAAGATTGGCTAAAATTGCCAAAACCAGTAAACAAGAATAAATGCAATTAAACTTTCTGGGGTGTTAAACCAGAATTTGCACGTGTGGGTCGTTATCAGCTTAGAAAATTAGAAAATAAGGAACAGTACAGAACAGGATTAGAAAATTAGGAACAAAAGCAAGGCACTGTGAAATGGCAATTAAATTCTTGCTTGACTTAAATACCTTTCTTTTATAACAGCTATACATCCCTTCCATTTTTATCCCAGTGATTTCTTTTATCTAAAGTAAAAAGAACATTACCTTTCTTGAGTTCATTCCAAAATTGTTTTTTAGGGTAACATGGAATAATACAATTGAAAATTCTGTGTGTCAGTTTCATACCACATTAGCGGAATAGAAATGTGTTAATAATGTTAACTCTTAAGGCTATTTGTTTGCATCAACTTTTAAAAATGTTTAAATTGTTGTTACCTGTTTCAATATTAGTAAGTTCTCAAGACTCCCACACACAATGGAAAAAAATTCATTTACAAATGTAACAAGCCCCAGTAGAGGCATTTCTTCAGGCAATTCCCAAGGAAAAGAATTGGGACAAGGAGTCAGATGCAGGGGCCCCATCTAGCATTTCCAGATCTACACACCCCCTTTCTGTCAAAAATCTTCCAGGTGACTTCACAAATGGCTTTTACAGGTATAATTGGGGTGAAAACCAGCAACATTAGGTGAGGAGATATAAATTCCGTAAAGAAAATAAAAAGTCAAACAGTGGAAAACTTCCCAGGAAAGCACTTGGAAAAGTGGATAGGAAGAGTAGTTACATGGCAGTTTTCTGCCCGTCCCACCCTCCCTTCTAACGACTTCTTTTATGTCAACAGAACTGCCACTTTACTTATCTCAGGATTTCTCTTTTTCAGGAATGGTGATGGTATGAAGAAAGTATTTTTAATGAGCAGAGCCATTGTTTGCTCTGCTCTGTCCTCACCCCTCAAGAGAATTTCCCTTATTATTATGAAAACTTTTTATCTTAAAAGATATTACATGTTAATGGAACTGTCGTTTAACAAATGTTTTATAAGTGTACCAATCAAGCACATTGTCGAAATAAAAGATATGAAATAAGTGAAAAAAAGTCTTTTTTATACTTTATAGTCCAATTTAACACTGCTATCTTTTTAAAAACTGCAGAATATAGCATACACAGGGAAGTATTTACTGTGTAAAGAATAATAATAAAATAAACTCACATGTAACCATCTGATTAAGAAAGAAGACATCTCTCCACTTTGGAAGTTCTCTACTGCCCCTTCTTCTCTACAGTAACCTTTATCCTGACTTCTGTGACATTCCTTCTCTTGTTCTTCTTCTTGTTGTTGTTTTTAAAATATAGTATTACTACCCAGGTAAGTATAAACCGAATTATTCTGCATGTTATCTGCTGACCTTTCAATGCCACTTGGAAGGAGAAATCTGTCTCCTCCAAGGTGTAATTTGTAGAGACGTCATCATGTACTCCCACCTTTTTCCTATCCAAAAGACTCAAGTTTCCCAAGACCCACATCCCTTTCCTAAGAAGACTTCAGTGCTCTTAATTCCAGTTTACCCTGTGAGATTCTTAAGCTGTAGATGATGGAGTGCATGTGGATAGCTAATAACCAGTGCATTCTATGGATGCTCTGAAAATGCCTGCCCTGAGTCTAGGCTAATATGTAGGAAAAGTGGGTGGACAAATGTTGTTTAATTTCAAAGCATTAGACCCATCATTCTGTTATCTCAAAATATGTCTCAAAATCAGGCTAATGCCCAAGTGTTATAATTTGGAGCTTTATTGCTTCGACCTAACACTGTGTTTTGAAAGATGCCCTCAGATGGGCATCCTCATCTGCTTTATCAACTGTGCATTCTTTATTGTAAAAGAAGGTCTTAGGCTGGTTTCTGGGATCATGTTTTCAAAGGGGACATAGGTGAGGCTATCAGTACAGAAGGGATCAGTAATGGGACCTCTTGAGGATCTGCCACTTGATGACTGAATAGCCACGCCAGGTAGAAAAGTACTTTGAACCTAACGTGCAGGGGACCTATTGTGCTGCAGCTTTGAATAGTGGTGGTGTTTGATTGTGATACATGCTGGCCTCCTGAGTCAGGTGGCACAAGAGCAAGTTTCCTTCCCAAGTCTCTTCTGGAGTTTTGCTTCAAAAAGAAACCTATAATCCATGCAGAAGGTCAGCGACTGGAACAGTGTTAAAAGAAAACTACTGAAAGAATTTGCCAACACCTTGGACAGACTAACCCAACAAACATCACCTACTCTAGTAAACACACTAAAGCCTCCTGCAAAAGAATTGTATGATGTTTTTATTTGCAAGGTATGCCTAGGAATGTCAGAAAAGAATTTTTCCAGCACTACACAGTCTCTTGTACTGCCCCAGAGCCTTAGCTTGATTTAGATTTGGAAACAAAATATTATATCCATATCAAGCCCCACTAGACAGAGTCCTCTGGGATCAACAATGTCACTGAAATTGGAGCTTGTCTCCTAAATTTCCTATCTAGTCCTGCCTTAAATCCTTCTACTAAATTTCACTCCTACAGATAATGAGAGTTAGCATACAGCACAAGCAAAAATGGTGTGCAGAAGTCAAGGACCATGATTTGCATAGGTGTGCTGATAAAACAATAAATTTCTGTTTCTGTACCCCAAAAGTCTTGGTACATTGAACAGGTAAAACCCAAAGATTCTTGTTTAATCCAGAAAACCCAGGACTTCTATGGACTGGCCTTCAATTGAGCCCTTGTACCACAGTTCCTAACCTTGACTGTGCATTGGAATCACCTGGGGAACTTTAAAACATACCAATTTTTGTGTTCCACTCTCAGAGATTCTGATCTAATTGGTCTATAATGCAGCCCAGGTGGGTACTGAGAGGTTCAAAGACACCCCAGGTGATCCTAATGTACAGTCAGGATTGGGAACTGCTGAGCTAATCACTGCAAAATTGACCACATTTTATGGTCTGAATCAAGGACAATAGAGGTAGAAGGTGCAGGGGTTTGTTCCCAGGCTCTGGGTTAAATTGTGACAACCCCCTCCCCCAAAAAAGATATGTTTATGTCTTACTCCTCAGAACCTGTGAATATGACCTTATTTGGGAAAAAAAAAAAGAGTTTTGTAGGTGTGATTGAATTATGGATCTCAAGATGAGATGATCCTAAACTTTCGCGAGGGTCCTAAATTCAAAGACAAGTGTCCTTAAAAGTGGAAGATAGAGGGAGATTTGGGATGGAGACTGAGGAGAAGGCCATTTCAAGAGACAGAGATTGGCATTAATCAGTCACAAACCAAGGGACACCTGAAACCAGCAAACGCTGGAGGAGGCAAAGAAAGGCTCTCCCTGAGAGCCTCTGGAGGGAGTGCAGCCCATACATATCTTCGTTTTGGACTTGGCCTCAGAATGGTGAGAGAATAAATTTATGTTGTTTTAAGTCACTCAGTTTGAGATAATGTTATGGCAGCCCTAAAAATCTAATACATTGTTCAATGGCTTTATTCGTATTATCACATTTAATCTTCACAAAAATCCCTATGAGGGAGGTATTATTATCCCCATTTTAGAGATGAGGAAGCTAAGGCTAAGAGAGATTGAACAGCTTGTTCCAGAGGCAGAGCTAGTCGTGGTACAACTGGCTTGACCAGAGCCATGCTGAGTGGCATAAAACTGAGAACGTGAAGCTTCCAGAATGTTAACTGGCCACCTTGACTTGGATCCAATAAGTCTAAACACATCCTGGTTCGAGTCCCCCATCTCAATCTTAAGGCCAATATGCTTCATCTTTAAAATAATTTTTAAATGCGGTTTGTGTGAATGGTTCTCTGTTCATACACATTCAAGTATACAGTTGGAATTAGATACCTAGAAGAAGGATGTTAAAATTCATACACTGTTGCTGTTATGAAGATTCCCCAAGCCTTAGGAAACTGTCACATCTGTGCTTGTTTAGTGGTCTCTAAAATTACTAGATCTGGGCTTGATGTCTCAATTCAAGTACAATTCAAAACTTGAATTGTACTTCTAGCTCACCTTCTAATATTTGGGATCTACCACTCGACTTTCTGTATCTCAGCTTCCTTATCTATAAAATAGCCGTGAAAACTGTCTACCTCTCAAGGTTATGTGTGTGAAAATGCTTCGAAAACAATAAAGCTCTCTACAGATGTACATTGTGAGTGTGTCTGCCATGGTTACTGCTGAAAGCCATATAGGCTCTGTGATTTAAAAAACTATGGACGGTGGGCCGGGCACGGTGGCTTATGCCTGTAGTCCCAGCACTTTGGGAGGCCAAGGTGGGTGGATCACTTGAGGGCACGAGTTCGAGATCAGCCTGGCCAACATGGCGAAACCCTGTCTCTACTAAAAATACAAAAATTAGCTGGGTGTGGTGGCAGGCACCTGTAATCCCAGCTACTTGGGAGGCTGAGGCAGGAGAATCGCTTGAATCAAGGAGGCACAGGTTGCATGAGCCAAGATCCTGCCACTGTACTCCAGCCTGGACGACAGTGAGACTCCATCTAAAAAAAAAAAAAAAAACAGCTATGGAGGGTGGAGAAATCAAATTCTTTTTTAAATTTAGAACTGGATGTTAAAATGGTAAGGAACACATTGCAATCTGCAGAGTCATTAAGTTGTCATAAGGCTTTGATCTCTACAGAGATTCATGCAATCGCCTTAATATGACTAACAATACAAATAAACTTGTTCAAAAAGGAATGTCATAATTCTGGGGGTTTGTGTAAGAAATTTATTTTTATTAGTTTTTTTTTCTTCCAATACCCCTAGTCATTGTCATCTAGTTTGAACTTAAAGTCAACGGATATGTTTTATTTCTTAATAAATTCAATGGAATGCTTTTTTCTTACATATAGAAAACAATATGGTTTCGTACACACATGTTCAGACACACTCACAGATTTTTTAAATAATGCTCAAATTAGAGAATAATTATAATGAAGCAACAGCTTTTCTTTAATAGCACCTACCATAACTGTACATTGCAACATAGACAATATATGATTTTATAGAAAACTAAGTATTTATTACAATTTCGAGAAAATGTTCATAGAATTTGGTTGACAAGAGAAGATAACATAATTTTATTACTAAAGTGGAATTTTCTTAATATACTATTGCTTTAAATTTAAATGGTTTTAATTGGACACAACATCTAAATAGTGGAGATCCAATCTCCCATTAGAATTACATAGTATGCTATTAAATAGTGTTTAATAGCATCTCATAAGGAAGGAATGGAAATTAGATTTATGAACACATAGTAGTTCACATTTGTTTATGACATTTTGAGAGCATCTATTTAGACTTTAAATCAGAAATAATCTACCACATTTTAACTATTTAAAGTTTAAAAAATAAAAAAGAACTGTTTATTTCTGTTTCAAATATTTCATTTGCATAAAATTCATTTATTTTTCAAATATAGCCTATATTATACAACTTGAATAATGTTATAAGAAAAATAATTTTTCTGTCATGTGAGAACAAATGCTATGTGATGCCCCAAAATAGGAACCCTGATCACTTTCCCAAGCAACATAGTATTTTCCCCCATGCAATCATTTTATTTTTGCTTGTGCAATATCAGACCTCAATTCTCTCTCTAAAGTAATCATGCTTTGGGACATATTCAAATATTTGGTATTCTGAAATCCCAGGGTTACAGTATTTTAAACCCTTATTACATACTGGGACTTTTTCAGAGAGCCATCACAACATGGTAGAAAATAAAAAAGAACACGTTCAAAAATAAATACTGATCACGGCATTACAAAATAAATATGCCCTAATTTTTATCTCATGTTAGCCAAAAAAAACTAGGAAGAACATGGTAGACATGGATCAGAACCAATTCTTTTCTTAGATAACACTGGCTTTGCTAAACAGAAATCTCTCAGGTCCCTGAAATGATTTAAGTTTTATTGTTCCCTGATTTCTATCCAGGGAGTTACAAAATTACTTCTTGTTGTTTTATGAAATACACTGTTTGGAAATCTGAAAATGTGATGCTATTTAACAATCAATGTTTAAGCTAGCTGTGAAATTGCCTGTTTGCATTTTCAGGGTTTGGGTTTGATGGTGGATGAAGCATGAGTTGTGACTTTCAGTGTGAAATAATTGCATGGCCATATGTAAACCTCCTTCATATAGCACTAACATGGGTTTATGAAACCACAGTTTACTTAAAATCAGAAAAAAATCTAACTTTTATGAGAAAATACATTTGCCTTTCGATAATACTCTCTCCCCTGCGATGTGCATAGGATTAGTCCTCCAGCTTTTTTTTCTTTTAGCAGGTTTAAAATATCAAAGCCCTGCAGTTATTCTGGGGAATCACACCGTTCCCCATGCAGGAGGCAGAGCACCGCACACCACACCTCCACCTCCTCCACAGCCCTTGCTCCTGTGGAACATGTGTACACGTGCCCTGAAGCATCTTTCAACAATAGTATCAGATTTGCTTGTAGATCTGAAGTAAATGTTTTCATAGTCTGTCACCTTGCTTTTATTAAAGGTGTTGGGACTAAAGCATTAACCATGGTTGAAAAAAACTCATATAGCGGTCCTTAAATGTTGAGAATCACCAATCTTTTTCAGCCTTTTATTAATTGTTTTCACATAGGGATATCTACAATTAATCAGGAGTAAGACACCACAGATGCTTTCAAGTACTCAGCATTTCAGTTTTGTGCCTGTAATGCTTAGATTTGAGCAAGGCAGCTAGACTGGGGATCTTTTTTAGTCATTTTAGGAAGCACTTTGCCTTGCTTGCTGTGGGTAGAATCAAGAGTTTTCAGGGAATATCATCTGAATGTCAAAAATATTCCCAGTTCATAGCAGTCTCTGCGATTTCACAATCTCTTTAAAAGATTCTATGTCCAGAAACGATCAGAATAGAAACTAATTTTATAAAATTTGTATTGAATTTCCAGGCTTTTGCAATAGGCAGGCTTAGTCTTGCTTTAGTGCTTTACTTTAACTAATATTCACACAATTGTTTTAAAATTGCTCTGAAATAAAAAAATAAGATTGATAAATGTACATACAATTTATGCATGTATAGTGTGTGCAATTTCAGAGCAAAAACTTAACTCTCTTCTTTGCACACTGCCCCTCCTTCTCCCTCACCCACCTTATTTTTTCTTAAAGGAAACATCTTTTTGAGACTGAACTACTTGGAAGAATTATATACTTTTTACCAACACAGATTCTGCATCACTGAGCTAAGTGCAAAATTTAATTAAATGGCAGGAGCGATCTAGTCCCCCCTGTGAAGAGGTCCTGGTCTGCTGATAGGTGGGTGAAACAAAACAAGTGTATGTTGCAGGACTCTCGTGCGACGTGGCTGAATCGTGTGTGGTCTGGGTGGACATTTTTTGTCATCCTGTTTGGGAACCAATTCAAGATCTGTTTCTGTTGGCACTTTCCGCCTGTTGTGAATATATTAGTACATCTCTCAAAGTCTCTGTAGACCTGAAAAGCTGGTAATTTAAGCTCTGTGGCTATGACAGACAGTTCTCTTCCATCAGTTCAAACATGGGTGATGGGATTTCTCAGAAAGGGAGAGATGTCTCAAAAGCAGAAGAAATAGTACTGGCCCAGGATTAGTAGTGGGTTCTTAACTGTCTTCTTTTAGTTTTTACCACAAATGTTCAAGAGTGCTTTATCTCTGGTCTGGAAAAGTTATAAGAAAACCATGCCTTGTGCTTATATTCTTCAACTGATTGAGCCACAGCCTGAAAACCGAGATGAGAAACTCAAAGTTTTCCATAGGCTATAAAATATCAGATCCTTGTGAAAGTCATATTTATGCCTATCCTTATGAACTGTTTCTCGCTCTCCCCTCTGTGTTCTTTGGTAGAGCCACTGAAAGATTTCAATTTCTCTTAGATTTAATTTCCTCTCCCATCACACTGAGCTCATTAATATGTAGTTATGTGGGAGGATTCCTTTTTATTAAATATCCACAGTATAGCTGTTTTCCTCAGCAGTAAAGAAAAATGAAAGAAAAACTATACAGATATTCTGCTGTTTACATATTTCTAACACAGTTAATATAAAATCAAAGTTTATTTTAAATGCATTAAAGTTTCTTTTTATATTATACAATTAAATATTTGATAAATCCCAAAATCCCAGTGTTAAGTGAATGCCAGCTACTCCTCAGTATGTTTTTTTTTTTTGCAGATAAATAAATTTGATGTTGACTTATTTTGTGTACAATGATTTATAAACATAGTGACATTACTCTGTGTTTTCAAGAGCTAACAGCAGTGAAAAGATATAGGTGGGCAAATTTTGATTCTTCCAAAATGCCTAAGTAAAAGCACCATATTAAATTCAGGTGTCAGTCCTGATGGTTCTCTGTATGTTCATTTGTGTGAAATTTTGCACTCATTGAAGTTAACTATCCACCTGACACTATAAAACAGTACAACCACGATATAAGCCACTCACACTGACCACATCTGCAAATATTTTTTTCTCTAAATTTCAGACCCATTAATGAAGATGTGATTGTTTCTCTATGACCTTTTAGCTTTCTCCAAATCCTAGGAGACGTGCTGTTTCTCTTCCTTACCCTACTGAACCACACGTGTTCCCATTCACAATGAGCATCTCTTATCTCATAGTGTTCCCACCTCACCATTTAAGGAAAGGTTCAGGACTCCCCAAGATTCAGGACTGAAAATGAAGCGTAAATCTTACGGGCTAATAAGCACGGCAGTTACTTCAATAAAATGTTACTTAAAAGTCAATAGGCTGCACATGTTAAAGACATTAGAGCTGTTAACAGACCATTGTAAAGTAAGCAGAATCTTTAATAACCTGCATGCAATGTTGCACGATTCCATTTTCAGCTCAGGGCAGGTTTAGCTCTGGCACTGAGGCACTGGGCTCATGGTATGAGCCACTCTTGCATTCTCAGAATTAACAATCCAACAGGACTGGATCCAGGGCTAAAATCTCAGGGCTCTAGGAAAGCTTAAAACTCAGATAGTTTTGCCTTGCACCTATCTTTAGCTTAGAGACAGTGAAACTGCTTGACGCTGTGCATCAGACCCAACTTTCTCTGATGCCTGAGTCTCTGAGCCTTCAGTCTGAGAAGCAAGAGACACAGAACTGTTAATGAGAGCTGGCTGCAGTATTCTGGAGAAACTAGACGAAACCCAAGGGGCACCTTTAATGCATACTTCCAGAGACTGAATTGTAAGCTAGAGAAGGCTAATTATGAAAGAAGTATATGACCACAGCCAAAGAACAACTGGACAAAATTAGTTCTGAAGCATTTTATTCTACTTTGCTCCTGAAGGAAAGCAAGATGCTAGTTTTGTCTGAAGTTTCTTTTATACTCCCCCAAACTGGAATATTTGTGTCTTAAACTACTACTTTGAATGACACCTAATCTCACAGACACCAAACAAACAAAATATAAGGGTGAAACTCATAGAACATTGTATTACTTAGAGGGTGGTAATGCCTGCTTTTCTGATGTTTCTAGGCTCTTTTTCATTTCAGAGTATGTAGGCTTCTAGATGGAAAAAAGACAATGAAGAAAAACAAATTTTCTTTCCAGTCCTGGCAACTTTTATATTTTGACAAACACACAAAGATTTTTTTAGCCTGAATTATTAAAAGAATGAAAACTGATTAGAAATTCTATTCATAAATTTAAACTAACTAATAACCTTTCCCTTATGGCAATTCATCTTATGTCCTGACCATTTTCATTCATAGATGGAATTTATAGACCTTCCCTTTAGAATGGAATCTCCACCTCAAATTTGAGAAAGTCATGTTACTAAAGATAATAGTAATTTGGGAAGGGGCAAGGAGGGATGAATCAGAGGCTGGGTTACAACTGAAGATTATTATAAAAAGAATGTGATAACTGTACAGAAATTCTTACTTTTAGAAGTTCTAATAATCTCACCACCTAAATGATCTATATTTTTGTTTGACGTATTCCATTTCAGGCTTTGTCCATAGGCATATGAATTAATTGGAACCTAATAAACACAACACTTTGCATATGTGTTTTTTCACTTAACACGTTACTAAAATTACTTTTTCATAATTCTCTGCAAACTTTATTATCACTTAGAATATTCCACTGAGTTGAGGCATATAAGATGTAGCCATTCTCTAATTGTTGTACATTTAACTTGCTTCTCAATTATTTTTTGATAATTAATTTGAAGTACCTACTCTAAGATCAACTTCTCAGATGGCAATGATAAGAGGGTGAGAGAAATGGATGCAAAAGAGAATGACACGGGAGTTGTTCCTTCAAAACCACTGAAGAGTTCTGAGAAGTGATGTCAGGGAAGCAGAAGATTGCTGGCCATAATAACTAAGAAGGAATATACTAATAAATGATGAGGCAATGTAGCAAAAAGGGGGCAGAGAGGATAAAATATGAGGTGATTCCCTCTGTCCCCCAAAGATAGAACCAAAACAACAAAAATGAGGGTAAGCAAAGAGCCGTGGCATCCCACTTGGGAAACAGTGCCAAATATGGCAGTGAGATGAGGCATTCCCTAGAATTTCACAGAGTGACTAAGTATGCAATGACTGGGAGAGGCTCCAACAATGCATTTAGGGAAGGAGTTGGAAGAGAGAAGGAACTGCAAAACTAGCTCTCAGTGAGCATTTAAGTACTTATTTAGTTGTCTAATGCCTTTACTCTCAGTTCATGAGTAGAACAACTAGTTAGTTCTGCTTCTATATCTGACACAGAGTGTGGCCAAGGACAACTTCTTTCCTTTTTAGTTTCCCCTCAACTATCACAGGAGGGTAATACCTTGGAGCTCTCCCCTGGTCTATTGTGTGGGCTAATGAGGGGTTGTAAAGCATGATATATGAGTAATGTGTGGTGTAAAATATTTAACACCTCTCTTGAGAAAGAAAATCCTAATTGTTCACCTGAAACTGTCTCCCTCACCAATTAATTCCAGTTTAGGAGATTGACACAAGGGGTTCCCCCAAATCAAGTCCATGCCTATGAAGGGTTTAGACAGGTGATAGAGTGAAATTCCACCCCTACCCCCACACACAAAACCACAAGGCTCTTTGGAGGAATTACTGCCTCCAACAGACCAGCCAACCTGCCCCTGTGCTTTGCAGGTAATATTTTCATAAAAGGGGTTTCTTTTTTCTCAGTTTGCCTGGTAAGAACATTTAGAAAGTAACGAGTAGCTACTGAAGCTAACCAGGGACATTTTTCTATCCAGGGATTTTTCATTATGTTCAACATTTGGAAATTTCAACTAAAGATAATTGCAGGTAAGCGTCCACCAACCGATGTATTGATTTTCCACTGTAGTTTTTAAAATGGGTACTTGTACACAAAAGACCTCCTTCCTGTATATTTCAGCTCTCCAGGGTACAATTACATGAAATTATTCAGCAGCCAAGTTTGCTTTGTATCACTTCACTGGGTAAGGACACAGAGAAAGCTGCTCCCTGTGGCACTGAAAGCTGCAAATCTTTTTTGCCTAAATGTTTAACAGCCACATTCATCATGGTCTCATAACAAGGCCGCCCACAGACAACATAGTTCACTTGTTTTCGCCCTATTGTTAAGAGTTTACCAGAAAGACCAACTCAGGTCATAGCATTGATTTTATATTCCAACTAATTGTACATTGGGTTATAATGGTCTTGAAGGTTCAACATTGGACTGGTGTCATAAAAATTGATTTTTCATACCATTTGCAAATCTTCCAGTACTATCTATAGTTTAGAAGTTCTTGCATAATATTTACATTTTTTGAGTAGCAAAATCTGAAACAAACTATAGCTAATTTGATAACCATAATATACTTGAAAAAACACTTTTCAATATATAGTGCATTATTTCATTTATTCCTTAGAGTAATTCATTAGAGTAGGTTTAATGGTAATATAACGGATTAGCAGAAAATGTCTTATTTGCTTCTGTTCTGTTTGATAATGTTTAACAGAGCTGGGCAAAGAATTTATTCCTTTAACCTTTGAACCCCTGCTTCAACATAAAAATAAATAGGCTTATTTGTATTTTGTTTTTGTTTTCTTTTTCCATCTAACATTTATTAAACTCAGTGTGCCAGGCTTGAAGCAAAGCCCTTTACATACATTGTCACATTTAAGCAGGAGACAGGTAAAGAATTTGACTGGGGTTCATAGAAGTCCTTCAATTATTTTCCTCCTGAAAAGAGCAAATATAAACTTCTGTATAGATGATACATGAGGGTAACAATAAAGCCCCTCTCCCACAAAGATTTTGGCTATAAAGAAGGGTAGGGGAGCTGCCTTCTGAAAGTGAAACTGTAAAACCAAAAATTAATGGAAGAGCTTAGAGATTTTTTTCAAAGACTTTAAGCAAGATAGATTGTCTCCAAGACCAGAGCAAGAATGAGACTTCAGTATGGGGATTTATATGCACTAAGGAAAAAAAACGAAGATCCACAAAGAGATGGGACAGCCATGGACGCCTCAGAAGGGATGACTTAGGTGCATGTCCGGGCGGGAGGGGCTGCTTCTGGCTCTAGAATGTGACTTAGTCAACCTCAAAACTAAGTTTACCTTTTAGGGGTAACCAGGGTCCCTTGGTACTAACCTCTGAGTTACAAAATAAACTCTATGTTATCTGATTCCACAGACCCCAAGACCTCTTCTAATGATGATATGACTTCCCTGCCAGATGCTACCAGGAGATAATTCATTAACAAAGCTGCTGTCAGTGCTGACAGATCGGTGGTAAAATAATAAGTTAGTTACTTATACATCTAGTTCTATAAGTTTTGTGAATTTGAGTATGCTCCTGAAAAATAGGCCACTAGCAACATCCGAGGGCTGCAAACTTCAGGACTACAGTCTGGACTGTGATAAAGTCACCAGGGGAAATACCAAAACCGTGCTCTTCCAAGGTGCCTTTTAAAAATTATTTAACATTATAAAAAGTTTTTAACCATGAGAACATTACTTGCTTCCATATGAGACTAAAGATCATACTAAACCATGACAAAATACTTAAGATGCTTTCAGTATCTTTTTTAAATAAACCTTATATAAATAAGAATAAAATCTTATTTACAGATGAGGAAAAGAGATCCAAAGAGATGAAATGGCTTAGTTAATGCCATTCAGCTAATTAGTTATAAGAGTCAAAGAAAACTTCAAATATTTTTCCTGTGCAAGGCTTTCATATTTTATAAGGAACTACTAATTTGCTTTAAGTATTTGAGAACACAGGTGGATTTCTTATGACTTTGCATTTCCCTTGTGTTTGCTAAACATTTCAAACACAACCATCATCTATTCACTCTTCCATATCCCTTCCCACTTCTACATCTTTTACTCACTTTAAACTTTTCCTGAAGTCCCAACTTCAGGTGAAACACATCACATAAAAGGAGACCGATGTTACAGGAATACTCAGTGCCTTTAATTTGGTAATGTTAGTTAGGAATCTCCAAGGAGGATATAAGATGCATTATCTCCAAGTTTGCTTGACAAATCTTTGCACAGAGCATCTCATTACACTGTGAATATACACGTCAGAAATGCTACATCTGAAATGTCATATTGCCTGTGCTTTTTCCTCTCAACATTAAATACTCTAGCCTCAGGAAGCACATGAGGTAGGGGCGATGGAGAGAGTTGAAAGATAACAAGGGTGGTGAGTGGAGAAAGTTAGCAGAGTCATTTAACACGCCTGCCTGTAAAACCAACCAACTAAAGTGCTATAGTATTTCTTCACACAGGTCCAGAGAGGATTCATTAATTAGTGTTTGAAAACAGATCATTGGGAAAGGTACCATGTGAATGTGGTAATCATCAGCACCATTTACAATCACGTCAATAACATGTGGTGATGGCATGTTGACTCTGATTGTGAACAGTTGTTGCTGTTGATAAAGCTGTGAACTTTGAATCATTAAACGTGCTTGCTTTGTGGTTTTGAAACCCCTTAGCAGATGTTATGTAGTAGAGTTAAGTTCCATCTTGAATATGTTCCTGGAGCCCAAAGCTAAGAAAGAAAATCATCAAAGAACGCAGAACAATGACAAACAGGTTTTGACAAAGCCTCTCCCATGAGAGCTGCCATTGAGAAGTGATATGATAGGTTAGCTCCATTGTCCCATTTCTCTTTCCTGTTAAAGAGAATTTTGCAGCTTGGCTTGCAGCACACTGAATTTCATAGTGGACTGTCAGCCTTAATAAATTTTCCATTAACTTTTATGTATTCTTAACACAAAGCACCAGAATTTTTTTTTGATGATCAAATACATTCCCAAGTGACTCTTCGCTCCTTAAAATGAATAGAGCAATTTGAGAATAATTTATGAAAATGGATAATCTTCTGAAAAGTTCCCATGGGATGTCTGCCCACTCCCACTTGCCAACTACATTGTCTCATAGAAGACTTATTTTTCACACCAAAAAAGGGGGAGCAAATTGGGGATAGAAGCAAAGTACAGAAATGTATCTGTCAGCCATTGAAATGAGATATTTGGCTGGTCGAAAGAGAAAGACTTGCTGTATTGCTTTGACCTCTAACTTCTGTTTGTACTTTGGCTATTATCTAATTTTGATTCACTTCTTGACTTTTCCATCTAGTGCTTGAATTGCCCTTACATTAGGCTCCTCTTCTGTCTCCAAACACCAAAGACCTGCATGTTCAATTTCTGGACCATTTGCCTACCTTCTGATACTGGATTTCACTGTAACTACCTGTTGCTGGCTACTTACATAGAATGGGCATATTCTAGCAAATCATGCCTCAATGTAGCATACTCAATTCTGCTTTGGCCTTGGTTCTGGCTGGCTGCTGTATTTTAGTGACCACAGTCCAGACTTATAAAAAATAAATTCTGAGCTTTCTTCCACGCATTTTGGAACACAGTGACTAGACATGAGGATAAGGATATAGGAGGTAGTGGTCTTAATATATTTGTGAGAGAGTTGTAATAACATCGCAATAGTAAAAGTTCATTAAAATGAACATGTTGAAGATTCCTATGAATTCTCAAATTTTTTGGACTCTCTCATGATCATAAAAGGTATATTTGAGTTGTAAGGAGATGAGTGCCTATATTTTCAGCAATTTTTTCAAAATTGATTACTTTTGGTGTCTCAGGAGGAAGGACACTTTGCAAATAGTGATGCCTGTAAATTATGGGGCTAATCATTTAGTGGATAATGGTAACAAATCCCTGGTGACAGGATGGCTATTTCTGGTTGCTACGCTCCTGTTTTAGCCTCCACTCCCTTCTTCCACCTTCTAAAACCGATTTAATAAGAATTGCAACATCTGAGCAGCCCCTGCAAGCCTTTAAGATGGCAAGTCAGTTACATACAACAGTATGGTCTGACGGAAATCAGGGTAGGTGGGGTTAAACTAGAAGATGGGGTATGAAGTGGGGATATTGATAATTGTCTTCGGTCATTTCCAAACCAAAGAAGCCACCCTATATTTCCCACAATATGCAAAATGTCCTCAACAAATTTTATTGAGGGTGTTATGAAGGATCTCTGTACTATTTCCCATGTTTTATTATTGGTAGGTATAATTTGGCACATGCATAATAATCCAAGCAAATTATAGAAGGTGTTTCCAATGTGTTTTTTTATATTTACATAAAAGCCTTACATGCTCAGAACTTATGTGGCATGATTTGTGTCTAGAAAGAAGAGTTTGTCCCCTTAACTGCTTAATGTATTCATTTACCTGCCTGTTTAAGCAAAAAAAAATTGTGACCACGTTCAACCTGTTTGTTAGAAATTAAAATTAGCATTTGAATATCAGTTCACACACCATCAAATAAGAAAGTGTTATATTTAAGGTATATGGAAGTGTTTGCACCTGCACAGTAATGCTTACTATGTATAGAAGCTCTTCGTATATATTTACACACTTAATTCTCACAACAGCTTGCTCTGAGTAGGAACTTTTATTTATCCTCAGTTTACAGATGAAGAAAATGAGGCACAAAGAGGTTAGGAATATTGCCCAAAGTCACATAGCTCTTAAGTGGCAGAGGCAAGAACCGAACATGGATAATCTGGCTTTGGCGTCCTTGTCCTTAATTGCTAGACAACATGCCTAAAAGTTCATGCTGGACTGCATAATTATTCATTATATATTGTCTTTAACTGAGCCAATTTCTTATGTTTCTGATTATCTCTCTTATTTTGGTGCGCCTATTAGAATTATCACTACTCAGTGTGAACATTTGTAACAGAGGTAAGAGTTTTGCCAATTAATCTCAATATTTATAATTTATTGAACAATGGAAGCAAATAATTTCCTGTTTGAGTTTTCTGATCAAAGTAATGAAGCCAATTGAGAAAAATGTGACTTTATAATCTTAGAAACATGTTTCTAAATAAATTAGTGTCACATCTTTATTTTTGTATGCTGGGTATATTCTACCAATACTGAACAAAACTCTACCATTTGTGAGCAAATTCTAGGAAGGACCCAGCAGTAAGTATATACATAACCATATACATATGTATGTAGAAATTTACAAGCTGCAATATCCAGACATCATGGGGCTCGGCTCATAATTTTCTCAACCTTGCCAGACTGTAGCAACATTTATGATCTGAAGATTTATTGATTTTAGTTTTTATCCCTCTCATAATAGGAAACCACCCTTTAGACCATTGACCTCCTCTTGTTATAATGAGAGTAGAATAAAGAAACATATTTATAATGCCATTCTTGGAAACAGGCAAGTTTTTTAAGGTGTTATAAAGAAGTGCTGGTGATATAATGGCAGTGATTGTAACAAAGGTTATATGAAATAGCCATTTAACACTTGAAGCTTATATTGATTGGATTTTTCCCCTGTCTTATTACCTAGGTAACTTGACCATGTTTCATATTTGTAACTAATTATTTAAATAATTAAGTGTATACATTTCAGAACATCGTAGTCTAGAAAGCAAATGCTCTCCAAACAAAATCAGATGTCAAACAGGTCACTGTTTTGAATATGAATTATTCTAGAAGGAATTTTTTAAAGAAAGAAACAGAGAAAGAGAAAAATATTTTTCTCTAGATAATGAAGATTTAGAAACAATACACTTTTAAACTTTTATAATGACGTTGGGAAGAAGGTATTAAAAATAAATATGCAGCCAGGCATGGTAGCTCACGCCTGTAATCCCAATATTTTGGGAAGCCGAGGTGGGCAGGTCACTTGAAGTCAGGAGTTCAAGACCAGCCTAGCCAACATGGCGAAACCCCATCGCTACTAAAAATACAAAAATTAGCCAGGTGTGGTGGTTTGCACCTGTAATTCCAGCTATCTGGGAGGCTGAGACATGAGAATCGCTTGAACCTGGGAGGCAGAGGTTGCAGTGAGCCAAGATTGCACCACTGCACTCCAGCCTGGTAACAGAGGGAGACCCTGTTTCTAAATAAATAAATAAATAAATAAATAAAATAAACATGCAATGTTTGAGTTATCTTGAATTTAATGTTACAGTTTATAGCTCAGGGATCCAGGCATGTTTAAGGCATTGTACTTCCCTATGGCTAAACTCCTCTTTCTAAAACAACGTCGTTAGGCCTATCCACTATGTCACAGATTTTTTTTTTTTTTTTTTTTTTGAGGATTGAGGGGAGGGGAAAAAAGTCTCTTTCTGTCACCCAGGCTGGAGTGCAGTGCCGCAATGTTGTCTCACTGCAATCTCTGCCTCCCAAGTTCAAGTGATTCTTTTGCCTCAGCCTCCAGAGTAACTGGAATTACAGGCACAGGCCACCACACCTAGCTAATTTTTGTATTTTTAGTAGAGATGGAGTTTTACCACGTTGGCCAGGCTAGTCTCGAACTCCTGACCTCAGGTGATCCGCCCACCTCGGCCTCCCAAAATGCTGGGATTACAGGTATTACCCACCGCTCCTGGCCACAGAAATGTTTTGATTAAAAATAAATATTATAAATATAAGTGGCTATCAATGATAAGAAAACTTAAAAGATATTAAATAGCATCTAAAAATTTAAGATTCTGTGTATCTACCCTTGGGCCCAAAAACAAATTCAAGTACACCATGTTTTAATCAAATCTATATGTGTATATTAAGGGGTGTGCTGCTTTTGTTTTTGTTTTTTTTTTTTTACTAAAGGAGCTGTGAGGTAGGTCTGACACAGGATAGAAACCTTCATATTCACAAGAGGGCAGGGTTGCTGAGTCTCTGAGTTCCCCTCAGCCAATCCTCCTAACCCATACACTCATTCCAAACTCAGAATTGGGAGCATCTCCCTATCCTGTATGAGAGACCAGCACCAGACCTGAGCCCTGAGTCAGAAACACACTGGTTCTGCACAGCCCCCACTTCAGCCTGCACCAGGTGGAGCCAGCTGGGGCTTCACCCCCAGCTCCAGGACTGCAGGTAAATAGTCATCAATCTATTTTAAACCCTCTCCAAGCTTCAGTTCCCCAATGTATGAAATTGAAATAGTGACAGTATATCCCCATAGGTTGGCTGTGAAGATTAAATGAGATTATCTACATACTCAGCACAGTTCACTGTGCATAATGCACAGTAGATACCAAGTGCTTATATAAACTTCACTGCTTTATTATTATTGTTAATGCAATTATTATCCCCTAGTGATAGACTCTTGTCCCATATCCCAGATTCATAGTTACGAGTTTCATGTCCAGTTCCTTCTTTTTTGGTAGCTCAGTTTCCACTATGTCCAGCAGTCCTTCCGGCCCCATGAGACCTCAGTCCCCTGACTGATTTTCTGTCCTTAAGCCTCATGCCTGGATCCAAGTTCCTTCTGGACCTCCAATGATTGCTTGCTGTTTGAACTACAATCATGAACCCACATGCCCAGTTATTGCCACCCCAATATGGAAGGACAACTCAAAGCCTGATTTGTTTGAAGTTTAATTATGCTCAGACCAAATCAGTTTTTCTCACTATAGCTGATGTTGGAATTGTAACCAACTCTCAAATTCAAATTCACTTTTCCAAGTGCCTTTTTAACAACATCATTCTCTCATTTGTGCTGCCCAGCTGGTAACTGGTGTCTGGCCTTGGTTGTCTTCAATATAATTGACTATTCTGCTGCTTCTTTTTTTTTTTTTTTTTTTTTTTTTTTTGAGACAGAGTCTCACTCTGTCACCCATGCTGGAGTGCAGTGGTAGGATCTCAGCTCACTGCAACCTCCGTCTCCTGGGTTCAAGTGATTCTCCTGCCTCAGCCTCCCTAGTAACTGGGATTACAGGCACGCACTACCACGCCCAGCTAATTTTTGCATTCTAGTAGAGACGGGGTTTTGCCATGTTGGCCAGGCTGGTCTTAAACTCCTGACCTCAAGCAATCCACCTGACTCAGCCTCCCAAAGTGTTGGGATTACAGGCGTGAGCCACCGCACCCAGCCTGCTTCTTAAACCCAGGGTCAGAGTGGGACACATTAATATCGTAACACAACTGCTCTGTTACTTTATGAATTCCAGTGGTTTTCTTTCTAGCCTTGCAACTAACTTGAAACTTTAATGACAAGCTTTTTCAGATCTTGTTCCACCAATATGTTTTTTGACAAGGCACAGGAACTTTTTTCAAATCCTCTCCGAAAGACCACTGCCAATAATTGTGTCATACTTAAGTTACCAGGACTAATATAGCCACATTGGTGTGAAAGTTGATAAATGTTCTCCTCAAAAATTATATACAGTTGTGTAATATGTACTGCACATTTGATTGTATATACCATAATTTATATCTTGTCACCAAGGAAGAGATAACCTAAAAAGTCAAGTTGAGTAGCAAAGTTCTTCAGTAGCAAAATATGCCTGGAATCCAAATTTATACAGATTGCATAAGCAGCCATGAACGTGGTATTTAAGAAAAGCTGATCTGGAGTTAGCTTTATGTTTATTGGTACCCTGTCTCTGCCACTTACTAGCTATATGACCTTGGAAAAATTGTTTTATCTTTCTAAACCTCAGTTTTCTCACATGCGAAATGGGTATACATTCGTATGATTAAATGATAGCAGTAGTTATTATTATCTAAATCAAGTGTTCGTAAAATATTTGTAATGGGGCCCAGGAGAGATCACCTTCTCAGTAAAAGAGATGATAAACCTAAAGATTTTAATGGGGTTATCTAACCTCTCCTCATTTTCTGACATGTGGAGTACATTTTACTGAGAAATAAAAATGACGTGTTTAATCAGTGGCAAAACAGAAGAGGAATCTTTGTCTTTATATTGCAAAATTACAGTTAGGTTGTCTCCTGATTTTTGGAAATACAACCGTTACATCTAAAGACTCCTTAGTTCCATAAGAGACCTCTTTAGATGCAACAGCAGAGTTCAGATTCAAGGGCCTAAGAAACTTGCAGTTTTCTACCAGCCCTGAATGGTGAAGAATATGCATTTTAAGTCTGTAAAATAAGCAGATTTTGCAGAGTATTGCTCCAATGTTGTGAACATTTCATCAAATAATTGAGCCAAGTGTCAGAAAACCTTCGGCATGTCAATGATTGCTTCACTGTATGAAAAAGGGTGAAAACCAACTAGGGCAACCATATAAGTGTTCCACTCTCTAAGACTGCTACCCAGAACTCTCTCAGGTCAGGGTGGTCCATACACAGACTTGATCCAAATATACTCAGAACAGGTAGCATTGAGTTGAAGCATTGTAGACACCAGGAAAAATACTCTGAGACTTTAGGTGGCTTTGTGCTAACTTATAGTTCAATAGGACCATGTGACCAAGCTCTCAGAATCATTCATTTTGGCAAATCCAGGTAGTTTGCCAGGATTACATCATGATACCTCAGTGAATGGTGCAAATAGGCAGGCATAGTGAAAGAGAACTCCCATTTTATATCTTTTGTAAATCAGATCAAAAAGAAATATTTGAACATGATGCATCCTCTTAGAAGTTTAAAACTACGGCCACTCCCCAAACCCTAAAATAATTCAAGACTCCCTAGAATAACTCTAATCTATTGAAGATTCACTCTGTTTCAAGGACTGGGCTAGGTGTTTTAAATGTATCATTTTATTTTATCCCTACAACCACCTAATGAGTTAGGTATTAATTTGATCCCCATTTATAAAATTGGAAACACCTTAGTGCCAAGACAGTTAGTAAATGGTAGAGTTGGAACTCAAACTAAGGTTGTTAGACTACAGGGCCAGTGCAAATAGCTACCACTCTCTCCAATAGTAACACTCATGTAAGGAATATATGCAGATCATGTGTCATGCTGTGAGCTAATGATTAACATATTTGAGAGATTTGGATTTCTAATATTATCCAATAACACCACCAGGAATGTCACATCTGGGATTTGCAAACTCAGATGCTTGTGGGGGACCAACATTTAAAACAAGGAGGAAGTAGCATTTAAGCCCAAATATGAAAGACAAGTGAAATCTGGTGAGGATAAGGGGAAGGAAAAGAGATTGCAGAAGAGGAAAAATGATACTCCAGGCAGAAGGCATGCCATGCAGAAGTGCAAAATAGTTAATAATACGGATTACAACATAGCTAATAATTGGACAGAATTTTACACAGTAGTCTGCAACTTATCTGATCTCTGTGCCTGTGGTTACATATCCTTTATATTTCCCGATGTAACACATTTCTTGTCTCCTTTTCTTTATTAGTCAAGCTCTCTGTTTAAAAGTATTTTCATTAATTCCTTTAACTATGTTTTTCTGTTTCCAGTTACTAATATCTTTTTGAAACCTTACTCTGTGATCCTTTTATACCTTTTACTTTTCACTAGTTTTAGATTTTTATCTTAACCTTCCATTTATTTTATTTTTATGCATTTTTTTAAAAATTAAGTTTATGTTAGTGGTTTTGATCTTTTCATCTTTTATTCCAAATATGTGTTTATGTCAGTATTATTGTTAAATTTTTAGTTTCTATTAGGATTTTTATTAGGATATTTAAAAAATTCAACTGTATCCTTATTTCTTAGTTTTATCTTATGTTACTTCCATTTTCATTCATTCTAACAATCTGCCCTAATTTTAACATATATTCTCCTTCAATCATTCTTATTTACTATATTGCACCTTATTTTCAGTTATTTTTTATAATGGTTGCCAAGTATGTGGCCACAAAGAAAGCAGCAGAAGAGTCCAGACCTTTGACAGAAGTAGTTAAAGCCTGTCTCCAACCATTCTCACTCTCTGCCCCACCTCCAACTCCCCCTAAAGCCTCCCTTCTCTCAAATCCTTACCAATCCCTCAGCCCACTGAATGTTGGCTCTCAAACCCTTACGCACAGGAGTCCCAGAAAGCCCAGGGCTGGCTCTCTCAAAGGCTGTAACTCTTCCTGTAAGTGTATCACATTTATTTTACTAAATGGAAATTGCTTCCTAACATCTCACTTAAGGATCTGCCTGGTTTTCAAGTCTATGATCAGTTGAAATTTGGGCAAACAGACCTATCACTGTGCCATAAACCAAGAGGAAATGTGAATCAAACCTTGGAAAAGAACCAGACAGATACTCAGGGTGAAGTGATGGAGGTGGAGGGAGATTCATTAGAGGTTGAAGTTAAATAGCTATTCCTAAAAACCAACCTACTTTATTTTATTTCTGGGTTGGTGCACACTTTCAATTAGTAGGATTCTACTTCAAATAATATACGACTTCATATGTAGTATAAGGACCTTACGTGTATTTCTTCCTCCCTTTTTTGTGAACATTTGTTCATACGTTTTACTACTACATATAAGCTACTATTGTTTGCTTCTACGGTTATCTTCTAGAACAAGTAAAAGAAAAAAGAAATTTATTTTACTTGTATTTATTACAATTTCTCCACTTTTTGTTTCTTTATTTGAGGTACTGCCTGACATCATAGTCCTTCTGCCTAATTAATTTCTTTAACTTTTCTTTTTTCTTGTAGGCAAATCTGCTGGCAGTGAATTTTCTCAGTTTTTGTGTGAGAAAGTCTTTTTGTTTCTCCTTTCACTTCTTGAAAGATATTTTTGCTGAGTGTAGATTTCTGTGCTGACAACACTTTTTCTTTCAGCACTTTAAAGATGACACTCCTTTGTTTCCTGGCTTGCACAGTTTTTTAACAAGCAGTCTGCTTAAATTCTCATGTGATCCTCTATGTGGAATGTGTCATTTCCCACCACCCTCTGTCCCCAGTCACTTCTAAGACCTTTTTTTAATTGCCTTTGGGTTTCAGCTGCTTCTATGATATGAACCTAAGTTTTTTGTTTTGTTGTTTTGATCCCCCTTGATATTCTCTGAGCTTCTTGCACCTATCCTTTGATCCTTTGGTGTGTGTTGCAGGATGAATGACGGCCCCCAAAAATACATCCAGAACTGTAAGATAATAAATTTGTGTTGTTTTAAGTAATGAGTTTTCTGGTAATATGTTTCAGCGGAAATAAGAAATAAATATAGCATGTGTCATTAATTTTGCAAAATACTTGGCCATTATTTCTTCAAGTATATTCCTTCAAATATTTTTTCTGCTCTGTTTCTCACTCTCTGTTTTTCCTTCTTCTTCTTCTTCCTTCCTCTTCCTCTTCCTCTTCTCCTCCTCCTCCTCCTCCTCTTCTTCTTGGATTCTACTGACACATATATTAGATTACTTGATATTGTCCCGCAGGTCTTGAATGCTCTGTTCTGTTTTACTTTATTTTCTTCACTCTTTCTTCTCTGTGTTTGAATTTGAGAAATTTCAATTGACTTATGTTCAAGTTTGCAGAGTCCTTCAACTGTATTGAGTCTGCCAATGAGCCTATCAAAGACATTCTTCATCTCGGATCCTTTTTTATTTTTTTCTTTTTAACGTCTAGTATTTCTATTTGATTCTTTCTTGCAGTTTCCATTTCTTTGCTGAAACTCCCCACCAGGTCTTGCATGTTTCCCACCTTTAACAGTAAAGACTTTAAATTCAGTGATTTTAAAGTTATTTTAAATTAACTGATAGTTTCAACATCGGTGTCATATTTGTTATGGTTTTATCAAGTGCTTTGTCAGTGTGTTTTTTTTTTCTTGCTTTTTCATATGTCTTGTAAGTTTTGGTTTAAAACCAGACATTCTGTGCAGGTTATTAGAAACTGAAGTAAATACTTTTTATGTCTAAAAAGAAGCCCTCTTTTCTTGTGCTAGGTCTTTAATTTGGGGGATTTGTGTCAATCTGTTCAGAAATTAGGTAGGTTTAAAGTTTGCTGTTGCTATTGTTTCCCTGTCAGAGGCTTCAAATTCTTTAAATGATACCTCATCTTTTGGTGAAGGCTGGTATACCGGGGTTTCGGTCTGCTTTTGTGTTTGCTTTTATTTTTTTCAACTTGCTTAACCCTCAGATTTAAGTCATTCCTTTGCATAGCATTTTAATGAGAGTCTGTCTATGCTTTTGTAACTCTCCAATGGTATGCCACTGTTACTTTTTTTTTTAATTTTTATTTGTATTTTAAGTCCCAGGGTACTTGTGCAAGATGTGCAGGTTTGTTACATAGGTAAATGTGTGCCATCATGGTTTGCTGCCCCTATCAACCCATCGCCTAGGTATTAAGCCCAGCATGCATTAGCTATTTTTCCTAATGCTCTCCCTCCCCCAACCCCATTCCCCAACAGGCCCCAATGTGTGTTGTTCCCTTCCCTGTGTCCCTTGTGTCCATGTGTTCTCAGTGTTTAGCTCCCACTTGGAAGTGAGAACATGCAGTATTTGGTTTTCCGCATTAGTTTGCTGAGGATAATGGCTTCCAGCTCCATTCATGTCTCTGCAAAGGACACGATCTTGCTTTTTATGACTGCGTAGTATTCTATGGTGTATGTGTACCACATAAAGTCAAGAAAAAAGGCAAGAAAAAGCTGGCAAGGTTGCAGAAAAATAAGAATGCTTTTACACTGTTTGTGGGAATATAAATTAGTTCAACCATGTGGAAGACGGTGTGGTGATTCCTCAAATATCAAGAATCAGAAATACCATTTGACCCAGTAATCCCATTACTGGATATATACCCAAGGAATATAAATCATTCTATTACAAAGATACGTCCACGCATATGTTCATTGCAGCACTATTCACAATACCAAAGACATGGAATCAACCCAAATGCTACTGTTACTTTTTTTTTAATACTTTAAGTTCTGGGATACATGTGCAGAATGTGCAGGTTTGTTACATAGGTATACATGTGCCATGTTTGTTTGCTGCACCCATCAACCCGTCATCTATATTAGGTATTTCTCCTAATGCTACCCCTCCCCTAGCCCCACACCACCCCCAGCAGGCCCCGGTGTGTGATGTTCCCCTCCCTGTCTCCAGGTGTTCTCATTGTTCAACTCCCACTTATGAGATTTTTTACTCAACATTTATTAATCTAGTGGTAGGAAGCCTTCACTCTTGATTTGATTAAGCCTCAGTCTTAGGCTGTATTCATGAGTCTTGAAAGTATGGCCTTCTTCACACTCCTGTCCCTCTTCTATCTGTAGTTCTAGGCCCAGAACTTTATTCTCACTCCTCCCTTATGGGAGGAAGTTTTATTTTTTGCTGTTGTTTTGTTTTGTTTTATGTTCACATGTCTCTTAACTGCAATGGATTCTATTTCCTTAAGCATGTCAGTAGTTGCTATACTTCCTCCCACACACACATAATATGTAAGGCTTTCTTTTTCCAGTGAGAAGAAAAGATTTGGATGAGATTTTGTGTCTTTTCTGCAGAGATTGCTGTTTTCTGCCCCAGGCCTGTGCCATGAGGGACACTTTCTCAGGACTCTTGCCAATCTTTTCTGAGAGTACCTGGTGAGCTCTGTTGTGAATTGCCTGTAAGTAGATAAAAATTCCCTTTATATTATCCTCCCGAAAGGTTTGTATAATCTAGCCCACATTTTGCCATACTAATTTAGTAACTTTAGCTAGGTTCTTCTTACTAGTGATCAGCTGTGTCTGCCCCAAATCCCCAAATAAACAAGGGTTCATGTCTCATTTCTCCTTGAAGTCTCTGTGTGCTCAGTTCTCTGATGGATTAAGAAAAATTGTGAATTTGCAATTTGTCTAGTTTATTTGTTGTTTTTTGGTTGTATGAGTGCAGGACCTATGCTTTTTCCAGTTTTCTACATCCCAAGTACAAATGTAGGAAGTCCTCAGCATATTTTTTATTATAAAAACAATAGTATTTTATTACAGAAACCTGGGAAAATTTACAATAATATAAAGAGAAAATAAAAATCACTCAAAACCTCACTATGCAGACAGGAATACCTTGGCATAGTTCTCATATATAATATGTGTTTCATAAAGGACATTTCAGTCAGACTGTGCACACTACTTTAAAATCTACTTTTTTCCTACTTTTTATAAGTCCTTGACTCTATAGACAGCTGTTCACATGAGCTCAGTATAAATCCCAAGTGTATAGATGCTTTCATAGAGTATTAACCTTAATGCCACTATCAAGGTTGAAACTCTGGATTGCCAGAATTCAGCACAAACCCTTAGGATAAGAGCTGGTGTTGAGGTTTTCTTTCTTTCTCTTTCTCTCTTTCTTTCTTTCTTTCTTTCTTCTTTCTTTCTTCTTTCTTTCTTTCTCTTTCTTTTTTCTTTCTTTCTTTCTTTCTTTCTTTTTCTTTTCCTTCCTTCCTTCCTTCCTTTCTTTCCTTTTTTTAATTTGACACCCAGGGTTTCTGCTTTCTCTTAATTTTAAGGCTCTGACCATTCCTCTCTTTTGTACCAACTCAATAATATATTTTAAAAGATGATTTTTGATACTTTCATCAGAATTTTTTTGTTTCTTTGAGTAGGATCTTTTGGATTATCTCTTCTGCCATGTTGTTGGGAATAGAAGTGAAAAGTCAGTCTTACTGTTCTTCAATTCATACCATTTGGTTTTGCTACATAAAAATACCTGATTATATTGTTAGCCTTTAGATATGGATGTATTTTTCTGCAACTATATTTATAAATTCTTTGAAAGAAGGGGTAGCTCATGTTTTAGATTATTTAGTTTCTGAAGAATTTAGCACAAATTATTGCTTGTAAAAGGTACTTAATAAATAGGTTTTTAAAATGCATCATTGATGCAGGTATTATATTCTCTCTAGGCTAGAATGTGGGCCAATCAATATGAACAATCATACATGGTAGCCACACTCATGACAATGAACTTGTTATTTAAGCTGAGTAAAAAGGTATGTTACTGTCTCTTCTTTTTTTAACTTTTATTTTAGGTTCCAGGGTACATGTGCAGGTTTGTTACACAGGTAAATTGCATGTCCTGAGGATTTGCTATAGAGATTATTTTGTCACTCAGGTAATAAACGTAGTATCTGATTATTGTCTTATTGAATATAAAATTAATTTCCTACTTTGAAACATAAGCCCTAAAAATTTATCATAAGGTTGTCAGACAATATAATTTAATAAAAAGTTTATGATGTTGAAGTTGAACAGACTTGGATTTTGAATCCCAGCACTATAGGGAACTAGTTAAATGACCTCAGATAAAGTTATTCATTATTCAATCATTCATTCAACAATGTTTATTGAGGTTCTACCACATGCCAGACATTTGTGCTAGGCACTACACCATGGCAACCATGGTGTAATCATTTTCCTTCAATCTAAACAACTGGATTATAATTTCTTCTTAAGTAAAAGAAAGAAGGAAGAAGGAGGAGGAGGAATGTTCCCCTGTTACAAGGAGGGTATTGAAAACTCTCCTCACCCTAAGAGGACTGTGAAAAAATATTATCAAAAAGTGATTACTTCATAGTTATCACTGATAAGAAAAGAAAACTGGGGTAAAAAAAAACTCAAAATCATTGCAAATGATTTGCATTGCAAATCAAAATCAATAGCACAAATCCAGTTGCTGCTCAGTTTCTCTCCCTCTAGGACAAATTTGTTCTATAACCTGAACAAGTTATTTAACTTTTGGGCTCTAGAATCTCATTTTTGAAATTAAGAAATTGTATAAACTAATATTTAAGTTCCAAGAATCTACAATTTTCCAACTATTACCAAAATGATAGAATGACAATCTATGAAATAGAGACCCAGAAGTAATAAAATAAGTACACGAACCTAGTGCCTCTTTTTAGGAAGTTTTTATTGGATCCCAGCTATGAAGAATGGAAGCAATCTTCCAAGATGTACAAACATACAAAAGTGACATAACTAAATGAAAGTAGAGAAAATCCCAAAGACATCACTGTTCTCCACGTTAAAAACTAACTGGGCAGCTATCAAGCATATTGTTATTCTCTATTGCCAGAGGAATCCTATGCAGAAGCTTTTGGATCCAAATTAAATACATTCTCTAATCCCTGGGGATAGCTCAAGATTCTCCTTCCCACCAGCTCTATTGTCAAGAAGAAGAAGCTCTGATACATGTCAAGAACATTCCATTGTAAAGAGTAGAGCTTTGGGTAAAAGAAGTGAATAAATTATTTCCCCCTTGCATTATAATAACTTTGGCATGACTTATTTCTCTCTCTTCCCACCCATAGTGGGTTCTTTTGGTGCCCTGCAAGATCACCTTGCCTAGGTTAGTGTGTCCATGCCCTGGCTGCTGTGGGTTTTGGCTGCAAAAGGTACACAGTTGCCCTCTTCTCCAGGTAATTGCCCTTGACCAAACAGGACTAGGAGATTACCCTATTCCTTCTTAGGGGCAGCCCGTGGCCAAAGACTGACTTGATCTGAGGGTACAAAAGACCAGATCAGCCCTCTTGCCTCAAGTCAAGAACATCTCTGTGGTGTACGTTGTGCCCCAAGGCTTCCTCATGCAGCCAGACTGAAACTAGTTTCCAGGACAGACAACTTCCTTGGTTAGCATTCTTTACTGCCCTACCCTGCTTCTCTCACTTCTCTTCTTTGGAGAGTACTCCATCAATCAATTGCTTGACAATAATCCCTATCATAGGTTCTGTATGTAGGACCTAAGACATGCCTATGAGACTGGTGATGGGAGACAGAATTGAACCATCTCCTAGTTGGAAGTAGAGGCCTCCTTTCCTCAAAAATATGCTAAACCTGTGACTTTCAAGGAAGGGATGGCGAGGCTCATCCCTCTGAGGAAGATATCTGTTTCTGTTCACTTCTCATACCTCTTCTCATAATCAGAGTAAAAAGATCCAGAAGGCTGAGATCATGATAATGGACTCAAAGAAACGGGGCCAAGAAGTCCACTTTATCTTTAGATCTTATGTAGAAAAAGTTATTATGTTCAGCATAAAAGAAGACCACATACATATTCAAGGTTCAAATTATGGCTAATAGGAAGCAATGTTAATTTACCCAGAGGGTCTTTGAGTACTAACTTTCCCTATAATTATTGAACAGCAGGAGTGGCTGGTCAAAGAGTGTTTTATTCAGGCCAAATCTCCCTCTTTGCATCTAGAGATCAACTGATACAAAATACTGCCCAACACCAGGCAGTATATAATGTAACATGAATTTACACACGGGGTGCTCGAACCAGTACTCAGTGTTTTCCTCTGATTCATTGCCAAGCTTGTGATTGCCCTTATGAGATGAAACTGGTAGAAAAAAAAATCCCATGACTAGAATCCAGAGAGAAGCCTAGACCAGGAACAGATAGGGTTAATCTGTGTCCATCTGTTTTTTATTTTCTCCAACCCACTCTGTCAGCCACTACAAAATATTCCCATGTGTTCCTGGGTACTGTCAAATGAGACATCTGGAAACAAGCATTCTTGTTTTTAAACCATGATAACAATAGAGGAATTAGAAAAACTATGTTAAATGCTTCATTATTCTGATGGGAAAAATCTCTGGCAAGGAAAAGTATATTCAGGTCCATATTGGAAAGTGTTGCTCTCCAACATGGCTTGTCCCAGTATACGGGCCGGATTCTCGAGCTTTTGAAGGAGGTGCGGGGTGTGGTGCAAACAGGCAGGACTGATCAGGTGGCTGCTGGAATCAAAAAAGTCAAATCCAAAGCCAAGCAGTGTTTTAGGTTAAAAAAAAAAAAAGAATCAAGTCAGGGGTTAAGGACCCCCAGGCTGTCTCCAATAAATAGACAACACCAGTGGAATTTTTTTTAAGTACCAAAAACAGAACATTTGAACAAATAAGAGTCTATCAGAGTACACATGCATGTACTTAATTCTCTTAGTTTTAAGATATAATCATTCCCTAATCTCGGTTTAAACATAGTCATGAAGTCATAGAATTTAAACATGGGTAGGAATTTTGTGCTTATCGAGAATAACTGTCATTTTACACTGACACTCAGAATGGCTAAGGAATAGGAACACAGCTTCTGCTACCCAAGTTAATATACTTTGCACTATAGCATGTAATATGGCAACTCTAAACAAAATATGACAACCCCCAGAATTAGCTGTGGTCACCAATACTACCTATAAAATCTTAATTAAGCTACAATAACATAAATAAAGGTATTAACAATATTTCTTCTTAATAAAAATTAATGTATTAGGCACAGAGATGTTAGCTCTGCTTGTAACTATCATCTCTTCCTTACAAACCAAAAGGAACTATCATCTTTATCCATTGCATTTTTTGTAACAAAAACTCGTAACAAAAAAATGCAATGAAATTTAACAAAAATTAATTTTTATTGAATTAAAACAGTATCACGGTATTGTTAGTACCTTAGTATAAATTATCTTCAGGTTGAAGTCAAGATACCATGAGACTACCACAGCCTGTGTAGACAGGGCACAATTAAAGGGAGCCATAAACAAACTGACCAGTCTGACAATTCTGCCTTTATTCTGGCCAACACCAGAAGAGTAACTTAACACTGAACTCCTTGATCTTCACAGGCTTCAAACTGAGAAACAGAACTTGACTGGTGTGCCTCACCAACATTTTATAAGGATTCATGAGTTAGAATAACTGCTCCAAATAAAGGCCTATAGTGGAGTCAACCCATTTCAAATTTGTGCCAGCAGGATAAGTACCAAGCATAGAGATGAGGGTGAAATTAAAATTAAGCAAAATCCCAAAACTCCACTAGAGCATCATCAGCTTTCATTCTGACCCAACAAAGTGGAAGCCTTGAACTGCCCTCCTGACAGCAAATAAAAATGGATTAATTTGCACTTACTCAGGGTTGCCAGGTAACCATCCCTATTTCCTCATTCATTAAAAGCTCTCCAGATGTGTAAATTCCACCTTACATCTCTATTATTTCTGCGGCACGTTACAAGTCCCCTTGGTGGATTTTAATGGGGATAAAAAAACCAGGCTGCACCTGGGCAGAGCTAATCCTCAAAGTCAAGGCTTTGAGATTTTTCTAGACAGCCAGACACTCACAAGAAGAAAAACAGCAGATTCCATTTTCTTCTGCTTTGGAGTCTTGTTTCTGACAACTCTCACTGAAAAGGGTAATTTTCCCACAAGCTTGAATCAGCACGCCATCCTATGTAAGCATTATTCCTGGGGTCAAATAAAGGCTGGAATAGCCTTTGGGAAACTATGGGTGACATTCCCTCCCTCTGCACCTTCACTCTGCATGCCTTACCAAGCCACCTTAAGAAGGTGTTACATTTAAAGCCTAGCTGGGACTGTTCCTTACCCACTCAAGGCAGGCGGTATGTGCACATTAAGGAACTCCCACCCTGCTGGCACTGGAATGTGTCTTCCATTCATTCAATAAACACTGACAGTGTGCTTATGGTATGCCACACTGTGCTAGGTGCCAGGGATCAAGAGAAGAATCATAAAAACCATGACTACCCAGAGTTCTTCCTGCTGCAAGAATAACAGAGTCCAGTTGTCCTTCCCTAACTTTTATTTGTTCGTTTATTTCAGGTTGGGGCCTTGGAATAAGAACTATTCCACCTTTTTTCCAGCATATGCCTATATTTAGAAATTCCTGTCCCTTTTAGGGGCTTTATTATACCTGAATATTTCTGTGGTCATGACTAAAAATCTTCTTGATGCTGAACATCATCTGACTTGTCAGGCAAAGCAGGAGTTTGTTCCCTAAAAATCCTGTGAGGCCTATGGCTCTGATGGACAGTGGTGAGGGGGGAGGCAGCTGTGCTCCATGCAGTGCTCCAGGCAATGCTCCATGCACTAGAGCTTTCCTTAAGAAATCTCCTTGGATATCTGAAGTCACTTCACTAGATTAATACATGGTAAGATACTAATAAAATACAATCCTAAAAAGTTTGCATTTAAAAGTACCGTAGACTTCATCTATCACAGCATAGAGACACAGGGAGTTTTACAAGGCCACACTGACTGCAGAAAACCTTGGGATATTGGGGAGTGCTTGTGTCTAATAACATGCTCAGGCACTAACCCAAAGGAGGGCTGACTGGAGGACTCCAGAGGCCACACAGCCTGGCAAGCTGAACAAGAGAAACCTAGGAGAGGAGTATATTTTGGTGCTTCTAAGATTACACCAAACAAATGTTGCTCATTCTAGAAGCCCTGTCCCAGCAGGTGCTCTTGCTGGAATAACTTCTGTGGCATAATTCACACCTTCACCTGCCACAGAGAAAATGAAACAAGTGAATAATGGTCTGTGCTCTACTTCTGATGTGGTAGTCTCTTTAGGGTTTTCTAGAATTCCTTAAAAAGAAGGCATTTTTTATGCACAGAGAGTTTCAATAAATATATTTTTACAACATACAGAAGGAGAGACTAACAAAAATTTATTAATATCTTTATCTGCTACCATGTTTAACTTGATTTCGCTTCAAAGTCATATTTTTAAGTGCTGCCAGGATAAGGAAGTACAAGCAAGGATGGGGATGGGGCCACGAGAAAGTGAAGACTATAGGATCCTAAAAGAAATCAAGCTTCGGTTTAAAAGAAGCCAGGCGGTGGTAATAACAGAAATATAAAGTCTGCTCCTCTATTACATTTTTAAATCAACTCACCAGTCTTCATATAGTGTCCACTCTGTTCAAGTCACCATGAGAAATAAAAGGTATAGTCCCTATCTTCAGGAAGGAGAGGTAGAAGTGAGGAAAAGACACATAATTTTTTAAATTTCAGAGCAATATGCCGTAAGTGCCAAATGAATGATACAGATAATCAGTTACATCTCAAATATGTTCACGTCTTTATCTCCATTACTACCTCGCTAGTACCAGCCACCATCATCTCTTACCTTTAATAGGTGCAGAAACTTCCTAACTGGCTTTCTTTCATCTTCCCTTGCCTCCTGCAGTCTATCCTTCTCACAAGAGTCAAAGAGGTCTTTCATAAAATCCAAATATACTCTGTCACAGCCCTGCTTGATGTTAAAGGCCTCCCATTGATGTCAAGAAAAGTTCACCATTTTTAATACATTCTATTTAGCCCTGCATAATCCATCCCCACTCTTCCCCTTAACCTCATCTCTCTATGCTCTCTCCCTCACTTGCCTAACTCCAAATACATTGGGCTTTTCTCTGTTCCTGAAATGCTTTAAATTCTTACAAGTTTCAGGACACTCAGAGCCACACTGTTCCCTATAACTAGAACCTACTCCCTTCTTCCCCTCCTAATTCATCCTCTCCAACAATCAGGACATGAACTAAAAATCATTGTCTCAAGGAGACCTTCCACGGATCCCCCCTCTAGAATGGTCTCCCATTATCCTTTCCCACAGTATCTTCTACTTTTTCCTCATGTAACTTAACTCGGTTTACTATATGCTTAAAGAACTGTTGGTTTGTTTTTTCACTGCTTTATAACAAATACAACTTTCAATAAATATGTGATCAATAACTATTTTTCAAAGAATAATTAAACTAGAAGATCAGAGGAGGTACCAGAGCACTAGCAGTTGAGGTAGTGAGGGAAGACTTTACAAAGGAATTAGGGTTAGAGTTGAGTCTTCAATATTAAGTAAGAGGCTAATGGATGGAGAAAGATGGAAAGAAATGATAAGGCAAGCATTTACAGGGTGGCTTTGGTCATAGTTATAAGGCTGAACAAAATCCTGTGCCATTTTTCAGGTTGGTTCCATTTTTATCTGACTTTTTATACAGAAACACTTGATGAATAGCAAGTCAAGTTTTTAAAAATCAATCCAATTACTTTCTTAATAGTAATCCAAATCAATTTCATGACATTGCTGTCGTCACTTCATATGTTTAAGTTAATATTTAAACAGAAAACCAAGTAGATTTAAAGTGATTTCACCATGGACTCCTAAAGAGTTGATATGATAATGTTATCCACACATTAGCTGTTAAAAGTGGGAGGGAGAAAACAGATGAAATGGAGGTGAAAACAACATTAACATTGGCATATGTGAGCAAAGCCTATACAGTTGGTGTAGGCCAGAGTTGATGGAAAAACTTAAACATAATTTGAAATTGTCTGCCATGCAGTTTTAAAATAAAATTAATTTTAAATAATATTTAACTGATTGAAGTGAGTTGTAAAAAGATTTTATATAAGAGACCACACTCTTAAGAAATTGGAGGAAAATGTATTGATCACAGAGGGAGTCTTCTCAAAGCTGAGTCTTCTCGAAAGATAATTGTAATATCAAAACTTATGGAATGCAGCAAAAGCAGTTCTAAAGGAAAATTCATAGTAATAAATGTGTACATTAAGAAAACAGAAAGCCCTCAAACAATCGAATGCTACACTTCAAGGAACTAGCAAAAGAAGAAAAAACTAAGCCCAAGATTAGTAGAAGGAAGAAAATAATAAAGATCACAGCAAATATAAATAATATAGAGACTAGAAAAACAATAGAAAAGATCAACAAAACTAAGAGTTGGCTTTTTGAAAAGATAAAATTTGACAAACCTGGCCTGGCACAGTGGCTCACACCTGTAATCCCAGCACTTTGGGAAGCTGAGGCAGGTGGATCACTTGAGATCAGGAGTTCAAGACCAGCCTGGTCAACATGGTGAATCTCCATCTCTACTAAAAGTACAAAAATTAGCCAGACTTGGTAGCAGGTGCCTGTAATCCCAGATACTCAGGAGGCTGAGGCTAGAGAATTGCTTGAACCCAGGAGGCAGAGGTTGCCATGAGCTGAGGTGGCACCACTGCACTCCAGCCTGGGCAACAGAGTGAGGATCTGTCTTAAAAAAAATCGACAAACCTTTAGCTCAATTAACCAACAGAAAAAGAGTTCAAATAAATAAAATTATAAATGGAGGAGGATACCTTACAATTAATGCCACAGAAATACCAAGCATCGTAAGAGACTACAATGAATAATTATAGACCAGCACATTGGATAACCTAGAAGAAATGGATACATTTCTAGAAATACACAACCTACCAAGACTGAATCATGAATAAACAGAAAATCTGAACAAAACAATAATGAGTAAGGAGATTGAAGCAGTAATCAAAACCTCCCAACAAAGAAAAGCCCAAGGCAAGGTAGCTTCATGGTTGAATTCTTCTGAACATGTTGAGAAGAACGAATGCTTATCCTTCTCAAGCTCTCAAAAAATTGAAGAGGAGGGAACACTTTTTCTTTTTTAAAATTTTTATTTCCATAGGTTTTTGGGGAACAGTTGTTGTTTGATTACATGAGTAAGTTCTTTAGCAGTGATTTGTGAGGTTTTGGTGCACCCATCACCCAAAGAGTATACACTGTACCCAATTTGTAGTCTTTCATCCCTAACCCACCTCCCATTCTTTCTTCCCAAGTCCCCAAAGTTCATTGTATTATCCTTATGCCTTTGCATCCTCATAGCTTAGCTCCCAATTAAGAGTAAGAACATACGATGTTTGGTTTTCCATTCCTGAGTTACTTCACTTAGAATAACAGTCTCCAATTCCACCCAAGTTGCTGTAAATGCCATTATTTTATTCCTTTTTATGGCTGAATAGTATTCCATGGTATATATATATGCCACAATTACTTTATCCACTCAATGATTGATGGGCATTTTCACTCGTTCCATATTTTTGCAATTATGAATTGTGCAGCTATAAACATGTGCGTGCAATTATCTTTTTTGTATAATGACTTATTTTCCTCTGGGTAGATACCCGGTAGTGGGATTGCTGAATAAAATGGTAGTTCTATTTTTAGTTATTTAAGGAATCTTTACACTGTTTTCTATAGTGGCTGTACTAGTTTACATTCCCACCAGCAGTGTAAAGGTGTTCCCTTTTCACAATATCCACATCAACATCTATTTTTTTTATTTTTTGATTATGGCCATTCTTGCAGAAGATGGTATCACATTGTAGTTTGATTTGCATTTCCCTGATCATTAGCAATGTTGAGCATTTTTTCATATGCCTGTTGGCCATTTGTATATCTTCTTTTGTAAACTGTCTATTCATGTCCTTAGACCACTTTTTGATGGGTTTGTTTGTTTTATTCTTGCTGATTTGTTTAAGTTCCTTGTAGATTCTGGATATTAGTCCTTTGGCAGATGTATAGATTGTGAAGATTTTCTCTCACTTTGTGGGTGGTCTGTTTACTCTACTGATGATTTTTTTTTTGCTGTGCAGAAACTTTTTAGTTTAATTAAGTCCCATCTATTTATTTTTGTTTTTGCTGCATTTGCTTTTGGGTTCTTGGACATGAAGTCTTTGCCTAAGCCAGTGTCTAGAAGGGTTTTTCTGATGTTATCTTCTAGAAATTGTATGGTTTCAGGTCTTATATTTAAGTCATTAATCCATACTCAGTTGATTTTTGTATGAGGTGAGAGATGAGGATTCAGTTTCATTCTTCTACTGGATCCTGGCTTTCCAATTATCCCAGCACCATTTGTTGAATAGGGCATTCTTTCCCTACCTTATGTTTTGATTTGCTTTGTCAACATCAGTTGGCTGTATGTATTTGGCTTTATATCTGGGTTCTCTATTGTTTCATTTTGGTCTATTTGCATATTTTTATACCACTACAATGCTGTTTTGGTGACAATGGCCTTATAGTATAGTTTGATGTCAGGTAATGTGATGCCTCCAGATTTCTTCTCTTTGCTTAGTCTTGAGGAGGGAGTGCTTCTAAACTCATTTTATGAGGCCAGCATTACCCTCATACCAAAGTTAGACAAGAACATGAAATCAGGCCAATATCTCTGATGTGTATGGATGCAAAAAACTTCAACCAAATCCTAGCGAACCCAATTCAACAGCACAATAAAGAACCATTCAACGTGATTAAGTGGGACTTATCCTTGAGATGAAAAAGTGGTTCAACATATACAAATCAATAAACATGATACATCACATTAATATAATGAAAGATTAAAATCACATTATTATCTCAATAGATGCAGAGAAAGCATTTGACAAAATACAATATCTTTTTATAATTAAAAAAAGACACTTGTCAACCACTTAAGCACAAAAGAAAAGTACCTCAACATAATAAAGGCAATATAGGACAAACCCACAATGAACATCATACTTGCTAGTGAAAAGCTGAAAGCATTTCTCTAAGATCAGGAAAAAGACAAGGATGTCCATCCTTGCCACATCTATTAACTGCAACATTCAAGTCATAGCCAGAACAATTAGAGTAGCTAAAGGAATAAAAGGATCCAAATTGGAATGAAAGAAGTCAAATTATCTCTGTTTTCAGATGACATGATCTCATATGTAAAAATCCTAAAGATTCTATCAAAATTGTTAGAATTAATAAACTAATTTAGTAAAGTTGTAGGATACTAAACAAATACGTAAAATTAGTTGTGTTTCTGTACACTAACAACAAACTACCTGAAAAAGAGACATTAAGAAAAAAATCTCATTTATCATCAAAAAGAATAAAATACTTAGGAATAAATTTAACCAAGGAGGTGAAAGATATGTATACTAAACAATGAGACATTGATAAAAGAAATTGAAGAAGATAGAAATAAATGAAAAGACATCCCATGTTCATGGATTGAAAAAGTTAATATTGTTAAAATGTTCATACTATCCAAAGTTATCTACAGGTTTCAATGCAATTCTTATCAAAATTCCAATGTCACTCCTCACAGAATAGAAAAAAGCCACTACAATTTGTATGGGACCACAAAAGACCCCAAATGGCCAAAGCAATCTTCAATTAAAAAAAAAAAAAAAAAGCTGGAGGCATCACACTACCTGGTTTCAAAGTTCACTACAAAGCTATAGTAATCAAAACAGTATGGTACTGGCATAAAAACATTCACATAGGCCAATGGAACAGAAGAGATAGCCCAAAAATAAACTCACACATATGTGGTTGATAATCTTTGAAACAGAAACCAAGAATACACAACAGGGAAATGATAGGGTCTTCAATAAATGGTGCTAGGAAAATTGGATATCTTCAGGCAAATAAATGAATTTGGATCCTTATCTTACACTATACACAAAAATTACCTCAAAATGAATTGAAAATTTGAATAAATGTAAGACCTGAAACTGTAAAACTTCTAGAAGGAAACATAGAGAAAAAGTTCCTTGACATTGCTCCTGGCAATAATTTTTTTGTATATGATCCCCAAAGCACAGACAATGAAAACAGACACCAACAAGGGGACTATATCAACTAAAAATCTTCCACATAACAAAGAAAACAACCAATAAAATGAAAAGACAACTTAGAGAATGGGAGGAAACATTCACAAACGATACATCTGACAAGGGGTTAATATCCAAAATACGTAAAGAACATATACAACTCAATAGCAAAAAAACATATAACCCAATTTAAATATAAGCAATATACCTGAATAGAAATTTCTCAAAAGAGCACATATAAATGCCCAATAGGTATATGAAAAGGTGCTCAACACCACTAATCATCACAAAAATGCAAATCAAAACCACAATGAGATATCACCTCACACTTGTTAGGATGGCTATTATTTAAAAACACGAGATAGCAAGTGTTGGAAAAGATGTAGAATAATGTGAACCGTTGTACACTGTTAGTAGAAATATAAATTGGTACCATTTTCCATTATGGAAAACGGTAGGGAGGTTCCTTAAAAATTAAAAACAGAACTACCAAAAGGGTAAGTGAGAGCCCCTCAACAGTCCACATTTCTACTGTGGACTTCCACAATCCTAGCTATGAGAGAGCCCCTCAACCATCTTTGAGCCCTGAAATTAACATATGGAGCTGCCAGGATATTGTGTGATGGCACAGTTAGAGGGAGGGAGCCCATGCTAGGTCCCACACATTCCCTGAAACCTAAGCAGCTACAGCAAGAAGCCATTTTAGAGGCCTACCCATAACAGACTGCACACTGTCCTGGAGTCCAGCAGCACAAAGGCTGAGGAAAAAAAGAAGAACAACTAAGAACCCAAAAGCAAATGCAACAAAAGCAAAATAGATAAATGGGATGTAATTAAACTAAAAGGCTTCTGTGCAGCAGAAAAGATAATTAGCAGAGTAAACAGACAAACCATAGAGTGGGAGAAAATATTTGCAAACTATGCATCTGACAAAGAAATAATATCCAGAATCTACAAGGAACTCAACCAGATCAGCAAGAAAAAAAAAAACAATCCCATCAAAAAACTGGGCAAAGGACATGAATAGATAATCCACAAAAAAAGATATACAAACAACCTACAAACATATGAAAAAATGCTCACCGTCACTAATTATCAGAGAAATGCAAATTAAAATCACAATGAGATACCACCTTACTCTTGCAAGAATGGCCATAGTTAAAAATAAAAAAATAGTAGATGTTGGCATGGATATGTTGAAAAGGGAACACTTTTACACTACTAGTGGGAATGTAAACTAGTAAAACCACTATAGAAAACAGTACGGAGATTCCTTAAAGAATTAAAAGTAGAACTATCATCTGATCCAGCAATTCCACTACTGGGTATCTGCCCAAAGGAAAAGAAGTCATTATGTAAAAAAGACACATGCACATACATGTTTATAGGAGCACAATTCGTAATTGCAAATATATGGAACCAACCTAAATGCCCATCAACCGAGTGGATAAAGAAAATTCCATATACACCATGGAATACTACTCAGACATAAAATGGAAGAAAACAATGGCCTTTGCAGCAACTTGGATGGAGTTGGAGGCCATTATTCTAGGTGAAGTAACTCAGGAATGGAAAACCAAATATCATATATTAGTGGAGGCCGTGGTGAAGTTTTGCTGGGGACTGGAATGCCATGCAGGCCGGTCTTTTGGTCCCACTGGTGTCAATGGCAGGCTGAGCATCTCTGTCTTGGGGCCCTAGAGTGGTGTACACTGGTACTGGTATTAGCAGGTCCAGGCAGAAAATATCATAAATGGGAGCTAAACTATAAGGATGCAAAGGCATAAGAATGATATAATCGACTTTGGGGATTCAGGGGGAAGAACGGTGAGGGGGATAAGGGATAAAAGACTATATATTGGGTACAGTGTACATGGCTCAGGTGACAGATGCACCAAAATCTCAGAAATCATGACTAAAGAACTTATCCATGTAACCAAAAACCACCTGTTCCCCCAAAACTGTTGAATTAAAAAAAAACATACAAACAAGGCCAGCTTCACAGACATGCAACCTATGCACATGGCTTTGCGCTCAGAACTTAGTCTCTGCTGTTGCCATTTTGAAATTCTAAATAATTTTTGAACACGGAGACTTGTACTTTCATTTTGCACTGGGCCCTGCAAATTATATTGCTGATCCCACACATGTGTATGCATGCACACACGTGCACACACACACACACGCGTTTACAACTGTGAAATATTAAACCATATTCTTCAGCCTTATAATATTCCTAACATCCAACAATTCAGTGTTTCCAGGAATTAAAAGAAATCAAGGAGAAAAAAAAAGAGAAAAGCACAGACTGATGCCTCCAGGGTTCCATGAGCGACCATAGGCCACTGCAGCTGCGGCTAAGGCATGACTGAGGCAGGGTTACTAAAGCAGGGACTGAAGCATGAACACTACCAGAGCTGAGTCACAAGTGGTGTGTATGTTCCCCACCCATCAGCCTGCCCTCCCTAATAACAGGGCAGGATTGCAGCCACTGCCACCCTCGAGTTGAGCATTATTCAGATGGGCTGGGGATTACCCCACTTTTCCCTATTATGGCTGGCACCCACACACTTCATCGGAAGGCCTGAAGATAAGACCACCTGGCCTAGCTGTGCAAGTCCCCAACCCTCCACTGCCACCCCAAGCCAAAGCACACAGTTTGGATGCCAGGGATTTTCCCAACCTACTCCACCATTATTGGTACCTTAACACTCCCCCACAGGGCCCTGAAGTTAGGACTATCCACTGGGTCACCACATCCTCAGCTGGCACCTACTTGCATGTGCCACCTGCTGGCTTGGAGACTGAACCATCTAGCCCACTGTAGCCACTGCCTACACAAGCACACACAACTTTCAGGACACAGAGGGTCATCTTGCCCCTGCCAGTGCCCATGTCACACCAGCTGCCCAGGGACCTGAGAACCCACCCACCTGCCCAGCCCACTGCCGCCACTGCTGGCATCTGAGTATGCCACCTGAAGGCCCAAGAATTAGCCTGCCTGGACCTGCTAATACCAGTACCAGTGTACATCACCCTAGGGCCCCAAAACAGGCATGCTCATCCTGCCACTACCACCACTGGAACCAAAAGACTGGCCTACATGGCATTCCAGTCCCCAGCAAAACTTCAACACAGCCTCCACTAATAACTGCACCCTGAGACACTGAAAAAAATCAGATACCACTGGTGCTGTTTACAGCCAAAGAAATGATACAGAGATTACACTACTGCACACAGCAAGAATTACAGCCAAAGTGCCCTACCCCACCAGCACTATAGATTAATCATCTTCAGGAAAACATCTTCCCATATATAAACAAATTCACAAAGTAGAAAAGTAGAAGAAATGACTATTACACTAGATGCACAAATATCAATATAAGGACACAGGAAACATGAAAAAGCAAGGAAATATGATGCCTCCAAAGGAACACAATAATTCTCCAGCAACAGATCACAGTAAAAAAGAAAGTCATAAGATCCTGAAAAAAGAATTCAGATTATTGATTCAAAAGAAGCTCAGTGAGATACAGGAAAATTCTGAAAAAGAAATTTAAAAAAACAATTCAGAATATGAATGAGAAATTTACCAAAGAGACAGATATCATTAAAAAGACCCCAGAAATTCTGGAACTGAATAATTTATTGAATGAAATACAAGCTTCAACAATAGACTAAATCAAGAAGAAGAAAGAATCTGAGAACTTGAATCACATCATTTTAAATAACCCAGTAAGAAAAAAAGGAAAAAAAAATTAAAAGAATGAGTGAAGCCTTCCTGACATACAGAACACCATAAAGTGACCAAATATTCAAATTATCAGGGTACTAGAGGGTGAAGAGAGAATAAATGGTTTAGAAAACTTATTTGACAAAATAGTACATGAAAGCTTCCAAGTCCAGCAAGAGATTAGGACAGCCATATACAAGGAGCCTAGCAATCCCCAAATAGATACAATAAAAAAGCTCTTCTTCACAGCACATTTTAATCAAGATATCTAAAGTCAATGGCAAAGAAAGAATTCTAAAAACAGCAAGAGAAAAGTGTGTAGTCACCTATAAAGGAATCTTCATTAAATGAAAAATGGATTTCTCAGCAGAAACCTTACAGGCTAGGAGAGAATGGGATGATACATTTAAAGTGATGAAAGAAGAAAACTGCCAGTCAAAGATACTATATCTGGCATCATTATCCTTCATAAATGAAGGAGAAATAAAGTATTTCCCATACAAACAGAAGCTGAGAAAATTTATTACCACTGAACCAGCCCTACAAGAAATTCTCAAAGGAGTACTAAACCAGGAAGCAAAAGGATGATATTTACCATCATGAAAACACACAAAATTACAAAATACGCTAGTAAGGCAAGTACACAAATGAGGAAGAGAAAGGATTCAAATCATCACTACAGGAAACCACCAAACCATGATGACAAATGTAAGAGAAAAAGAAAGGATCAAAGAAGATAGGAAACAATCAGAAAATAGTTAACAATTTGACGACAGGAACAAAACCTCACATATCAATAATAACTTTGAATGTAAATGAATTAAATTCTTCACTCAAAATATACAGACTGGCCGAATAGAGTTTTTTTAAAAAATGGCTGGTTGCAGTGGCTCATGCCTGTAGTCTCAACGTTTTGCGAGGCCAAGGTGAGAGGATTTCTTGAGCCCAGGAGTTTAAGACCAACATGGGCAACACAGTGAGTCCCTATCTCTACAAAAAAATTGAATATTAAATATTAGCCAGGCATGGTGGCATGTGCCTGTAGTCCCAACTGCTTGGGAGGCTGAGGTGGGAGGATTGTTTGAGCATAGAAAGTCAAGGCTGCAGTGAGCCATAATTTTGCCACGGCACTCCAGCCTGAGTGACAAAGTGAGGCCCTGTCAAAAATAAAAAATAAGAAAGATCCAACTGTATGTGGCCTATAAGAAACACATTTTACCTATAGAAACACATATAGACTGAAACTGAAGAGATGGAAATAGATATTTCATGCAAATTAAAACCAAAAGCAAGCAGGAATAGCTATGCTGATATCATATAAAAGAGATTTTAAGTCAAAAACAGTTTTTAAAAAAGACAAAGAAGGTCATTACATAACAATAAAGGGATTGATCCAGGGAGAAGGATATACCAATTCTAAATATATATGCATCCAACATAGAGCAACCAGATTCATAAGGCAAATATTACTAGATATAAACAGAGAGATAGACTTTAATACAATAATAGCAGGGGATTTTTAACACCCACTGGACTTTAGACAAAATGGACCTAACACACATTTACAGAATATTTTATGCAACAACTGCAGAATACACATTCTTCTTATCAGCACATGAAACACTCTCCAGAAAAAAAACATATGTTAGACAACAAAAAAACTCAACAAATTTTTAAAAATCAAAATCATATCAAGTATCTTCTCAGACCACAATGGAATAAAACTTGAAATAAATATGAAAGGAACTTTGGAAAGCATACAAATACATAAAAATTAAATGACATGCTCCAGAACAACCATTAGGTCAATAAAGAAATCAAGATATAAACCAAACAATATCTTGAAACACATGAAAATGGATACACAACATACCAAAACCTGTGGGATACAGCAAAAGCAGTATTAAGAGGGAAGTTTATAGCAATAAACACCTAGATCAAAAAATAGGAAAGTCTCAAATAAGCAATCTAACAATGTGCCTCAAAGAACTAGAAAAGCAAGAATAAATCAAACTCAAAAGTAGCAGAAGAGAAATAATAAAGATTAAGGCAGAAGAAAATGAAATAGAGCTTAAAAATGAAAAGAATCAACAAAACAATAAGTTAGTTCTTCAAAAATATAAACAAAATCAATAAACCACCAGCTAGACTAACCATGAAAAGAAGGAAACCCAAATAAACAAAATCAGAAATGAAGAAGGAGACATTACAACTGATACCACAGAAATACAAAAGATTATCAGAGACTATTATGAACAACTATATGATAACAAACTGGAAAACCTAGAGGAAATGAATAAATTCCAGAAAACATAAAACCTACCAACACTGAATCAGGAAGAAATTAAAAACTTGAATAGACTAATAATGAGTAGCAATATTAAATCAATAATAAAAAGTCTCCCAAAAAGGAAAAGCCCAAGACTGAATAGATTCACTGCCAAATTTTACCAAACATAAAAAGAACTAATATCTATGCTCCTCTATCTATTCCAAACAATTGAAGGGAGAGAATTCTCCCTAACTCATTGTATGGCACCAGCATTAATCTGATACCAAAACCAGACAAGAACACACACACACACACACACACACACACACACACACACAAACTACAGGCCAATATCCCTGCTGAACATAAACACAAGAATCCTCAGCAAAATACTAGCAAACCGAGTTCAACGGCACATCAAAAAGATAATACACCATGATCAAGTGGAATTTATATCAGGGATGCAAGAATGTTTTAACATACAGAAATCAGTAAACATTATATATCCACATCAACAGGATGAAGGACAAAAACCATATAATCATCCCAATAGATACAGAAAAAATATTTGATATAATTGGACATCCTTTCATGAGAAAAACTCTCAACAAACTAGGTATAGAGGGATTACATCTCAAAATAATAAAGGACATATATGACAAATTCACAGCTAAGATTATACTGAGTGGGTTAAAATTGAGAGCCTTTCCTCTAAGAATTGAGACAAGACAAGGATACCCACTTTCACTACTCCTATTCAACATAGTACTGCATATTATTGCCAATGCAATCAAGCAAGAGAAAAAAATAAAAGGGATCCAAATTGGAAAAGAGGAATTCAAATTGTCCCTCTTTGTAGATGACATAATTTCTTTTTTCCAACTTTTATTTTAAGTTCTGGGGTACACATGCAGGATGTGCAAGTTTGTTACATAGGTAAATGTGTGCCATGGTGGTTTGGTCAACAGATCATCCCATCACCCAGGTATTAAACCCAGCATTTATTAGCTATGATGCTTTTTCTCCTCCCACCCCCAGCCCTCCCACAGGCCCTGGTGTGTGTTGTTTCCCATCGCCCATGTGTCCATGTGTTCTCATTATTCAGCTCCCACTTATGAGTGAGAACATGTGGTATTTGCTTTTCTGTTCCTGCGTTAGTTTACTAAGGATAATGGACTCCAGCTCAATCTATGTCCCTGCAAAGGACATGATCTTGTTCATTTAATGGCTGCATAGTATTCTGTGGTGTTTATGTAGCATGTTTTCTTTATCTAGTCTATCATTGATGTATTTGGAAAAACCAAAAGACTCCCTCCACCAAAAATCTCTTAGATCTGATAAGCAAATTCAGTAAAGTTGGAAGATGCAAAATCAATATACAAAAATCAGTAGTGTTTTGATATACCAATAATCAAATAGCCAGAAGAAATCAAGAAGGCAATCCATTTACAGCAGCTACAAAAAAAAATACCTAGGAGTAAATTTAAGGAGGTGAAATATCTCTACAAGGAAGACTACAAAACACTGATGAAAGAAGTTAAAGAGGACAAAAACAAACGGAAAGTCATCCCATACTCCTGGATCAAAAGAATTAATATCATTTAAATGGCCATATAACCCAAAGCAATATATAGGCTCAATGTACTCACTATCAAACACCACTGCCATTTTTCACAGAAATAGAAAAAAAAATCCTAAAATTCATATGGAAACAAACAAACAAAAAAAGCCAGAATAGCCAAAGTAATCCTGAGCAGAAAAAACAAAGCTGGAGGCTTCACACTTCCTAACTTCAAAATATATTATAAGAGTAAAGTAACCAAACCAGCATGCTATTGGTATAAAAGTAGACACATAGACCAATGGAACAGAATAGAGAATCCAGAAATGAATCTACATATTTACAGCCAACTAATTTTTGACAAGATGGCAAGAACATACACTGGGGAAAGGACACCATCTTCAATAAATGGTGCTGGGAAAACTGGGTATCCATAGGCAGAAGAATGAAACTGGACCTCTACCTCTCACTGTATACAAAAATCAACTCAAGATGGACTAAAGACTTACATGTAAGACCTGAAACTATAAAATTATTAGTAGAAAACATAGTGAAAACATTTCCAGACATTGGTTTAAACAAATATTTTATGGCTAAGACCTCAAAAGCACAGACAACTAAAACAAAAATAGATAAATTGAACTATATGCAACTAAGAGCCTTCTGAACATCAAACGAAACAGTTGACAGAGTGAAGAGACAACATGTTAAATGGGAGAAAATATCTGCAAACTATTCATCTGAGAAGGGACTAACATCTAGAATATACAATAATATACAAACAACTCAATAATAACAAGGCAAAACAAATATTTCATTAAAATGTGGAAAAATGACATGAATAGACAATTCTCAAAAGAAGACCTAAAAATGAACAGCAGATATATGAAAAAATGCTCACTATCACTAATCATCAGGGAAATGCAAATCAAAACCACGATAAGGTATCATTTTACCCCAATTAGAATGGCTATTATTAAAAAGACAAAAAATAAAACAGCTTTCTCTGCCATGCCTGCACCTCTCTCAACCATGCTGCTCCTCTTCCTCCTTCTCCATACTCAAGCCCCACTCATGGAAGTGCTCAAAAGTTATCTGGAGTTGCCTCAGGCACATCTCCCTGCAGATAACCTCATGCAGCCTTTTCTCTCCTCTTTGTCTGGCCAGGCTGGGCTACAAGTTGAGTGGAGGGTAATCCTACATGCACACAGCTGGGCCTGGCTGGGAGCTGAAAATGGTCACATAGCCATGGGAATGTCTTAACATATTCTTACAGGACAGGAAAGATGTTTCAAAAATATGTCATTGTGAGAAAGTTCTGAGGTTGATATGAGATAACCCAATATAAAGGATACTGAACAAAGTAAGGGATTAAGGTGAAACTTTGAAGAAGCTGAAGGAGATGGGCTCAGCCAAAGGATTTACACAGAAGAGCTAATGTTCTTGACTATGACATCTAATGAAAGATGCTGCCAGGAGGTCTTATTTAGAGTGGAGGAAACATGGTACATGCGACTATTTCCAGAAATGTTGAAACATAAGTAGACTTAAATGTTATCAGATCACCTACTGGTGTCAACAGCAGAAAGTGTCCTAGAATCCCAGATGTTTGGCTCATTTGCTATGCATAATATAGAATTCTCATCTGCTCCTTGGTTTAGAGGTGTGACACCATTTTACCTGCCCAGTTTTTAGGTCTGAGTTTAGATAAGTGTTTTAGAATAATAGAAGGCAAACACCATGTATTAGTCCATTCTCACACTACCATGAAGAAATACCCAAGACTGGGTAAGTTATAAAGAAATGAGATTTAATTGACTCACATTCCTGCAGGGATGAGGAGGCCTCAGGAATCTTACAACCATTGCAGAAAGAGAAGCAAACGTCCTTCTTCACATGGTGGCAGCAAAGAGAATGAGAACCAAGCAAAGGGGGAAGCCCCTTATAAAAACATCAAATCTTGTGAGAACTTACTATCATGAGAATAGCATGGGGGAACCACCCCCATGATTCAATTACTTCCCACTGGGTCTTTTCCATGACACATGGAGATTACGGGAACTACAATTCAAGATGAGATTTGGACGGGGACACAGCCAAACCATATCACACCACTTCTTAAGTGATATGTTTTTGCCCATTTTCTAAAATAATTTTTCTGGCTCTAAAAGTAAATACTTTCATTGTAGAATATTTGAAGAACATACAAAACTCATAAAGAATAAAATGAACTCACCAATAATTCCATCAATCAGAGATAAGCATAATTAACATTTTGATTCTGTAGTTGCAGTCCTTTTCTCTACACAAACATGTAAATTTCTTATTACAAAAGTGTGGTGATACCTCACATACTATTTTCTAACACAGTCTTCCACCTCAATTTATTGTGAACATTTTCCAAATTGTTAACAACTCCTCTAAAATAATCCTTAGTGGTTGCTTCAGATTCAATTATGTTTATACACCATAATCCATTAATCCAGTTCCCTATGGTCTAAGATTTAAGTTGTTTTCTATTTTTCGCTATTACCAAAAGCACAACTTTCTTTAAAAATAGTAAGGAATAAATTGCTATTGCCATTACCACTGAATTTTTTTTAGAACACTACACAAATACATTTAAGGGAGCGAAAAAGCCAGAAAGAAAAGATGACTTTGGTAGCAGTGTTGAGAATTTTTAGAGGCTGGTTTAAATAAAGGTTAAGATGACTTCAAGAAATAAGTTCTAATCACGAATGGGAGAGATAACTAGCATTTGAGCAAAGAGTATAAGAGAAAGCAGAACTACATACAGAAATGTTGAAAAGGAATGTGAGGAAAATTAAAAGAACAAGGCAATGTAGAGTGCAAAGCTGAGATCTTAAAATTATTGTTTAAGAAGCAATTTTGTTGACTTTAATGGCAAACCAGTCAGGTGCTAAAAGTGTCGAAGGTTCATAAAACAGTCTGATGCAGCAAGCTTGTAGACAAGGACTGTGTGGCCTCCTTGCTCACAGCTGTGTGCTGGGTTTTAGCATCGAGCCAGTCCAGTTAACATACTGACTGGTGGTAGTTACAGACATGAAATTGTACCTGCATATAATCTAAGTAAGATAAAAACAGTGCAAGTCTGCAAAATTCTATCCACATCCAAAGTGTCTCTGAGAAGTCGAGGCCCTGGTGATTTATTTGTCCTACACCACAAGTAACATCATTTTGAAATGATTTTTAAACCAAATTATTTTCTTCAACTTGAAATAGAAACATGTGAGGACATAAAGTAGAAAAAAAATTGAGTCAGAAAGTGTTTTTCTCCATATTCCCCAACATTCAGAATTACTTAGAGAGACCATGGATACTTTCAAAGAAAAAGTATGGTTATGATTCCCCAAGACTCTTCCCTTGTTCTAAGCACAACCCAAGCAATAGCCCATTAGGGAAAGCTCTGACTCTAACCTTCAATTTGTGTCATGAAAGATGGTGCCAAAATTTTTTCACCCTTTAGATCTTCTCAGAGAGGTATTCACAGTTGGGCAAATGAAAGGGTTTGTGACATTAAAAGGCAGCAGTGTGTCCTGGCCTACAGTTTGTATCACAAGTGACAGGTCTGAATTGCCTTCTACTCAGGCAAGCAAAAGAGAAAGTTAAAAAAGAAGTTCAAGGAGTAAGTTTCCATGTGTGTCTCCATTCCCAACAGATGGCCTCCACACGGACAAGCTTTACGCATTTGGTGATCTCCAGATGGGCAAATAAAATGCCATTTTGATCTTATTGTAAATATGGGAGGGAGGTTGTTACCATCTTTCAATCAAACAGAAAGGAAAATGAATTTTCTCCAGGCAGGGACCTTAAGATAAAAGAATAAACATTAAGGCAGTATAAGGATTCTACATGTAAATATATTAGTCTTTGCTGAAGCTTAAAGTTTAGTTTGTTGCAAGTTCAATTTGTTGTTTAATTTGTTGCAAGACTTAGAGAAATTGTTGAACCATTTTGATAGGTTATACATATGATAAATCAAGAAAAAACTTGTATTCAATTTTTGGTAAGTCCTATGAAATTCAACAGGCATTGGGAAAAAAACCCTATTGTAATAGTTTCATTGAATACTTAATTTTATAATTATCTTCCTATTTAAAGCACACATCCTTAAACTTACGTTTTTTTAAATCTCTACTAAGCAGTCAATTTTCTTCTAAATATATCCTTTCTTTTTCATTTTCACAACTGAAACCACATCCATATCATCTGGCGCCCCTTTGATTTATGCAACACTGCACACAGTTGATGTCTTGCCTTTGATTTGGTGTTTCATTCTACTTCCCCATCTGAGCCAGTCTATTCAATATTCTCAATTATGTGACACCCCCTCCATCATATGCGCGTGCACACACACACACACATGCCCACACACACACAAACACACATCCAAAAATATATAATTTCAGTAGCTACCCCATGACTGAAGTTAGGACCCTGACTACAGCAAGGACATTTAATTATCAATTTGGAAAAATCCTTGTCTGTGTAAACTTAATTCTGAAAAGCAATTGCTCTGCTTTGAAAATAGGACAATGATAATACACACATGGGTACAATGTAGTTACTCTAGTGATGGATACACTAAAAGCCCTGACTTCACCACTATAGACATCAATGTAACAAAATTACACTTGTATCCAATGTATTAATACCAATGGAAAAATTTCATCTGAATACACACAATTTTGATTCTGTAATTATGTTTAAATATCACAGACTTTGCATTTCACACTAGAATACCAAACTTAGCCAACACACTCATATGGAAATGTTTGATTAATGCCTGCATCTTTAATTAAAGCAAACAACCTACCCCAGTACTAAGCATATGGTCAACTCTTAGTTAATAATGATGGAAAGATTTTTTTAAATCTATGAATGTCTGAATTTTTAAAAAATCCAATAGCCTTTGATAGCTACAGTTTAGCGTATAGAAGTGAGGCACAGATACAATACTCACAGAATAGTGTAGTGAGGAGCAGCACCGCCTATTGGTCATCACCATAGGCCCTGAAGTTCAAAAGACCTGGGCCCTAATTCTGGGTTAGCTTTTACCCTGGGAAGTTACCTGCCCTTTCCAAGCTTTAGTTTCCACATAAATCAAGTAGGGAAAATAATAGTAGATACAACACAACAGGTTGTATGGAGATTAAATCTGATGGTACATGTAAAGCTCTCTGTGCATTTTAGCTATGTCTCCTCCACACAGCTATGACTATGTTCTGTATCAGTACACATTTTCTTGATAGACTCCTAGAAGAGAGAGCTCTGGCTGTGCCATTTTGGACAATTTTGAGCAAAACATCTCTTAGGTACTTTATTATGCCTTTGGTTTATTGTGATGACAAAAATTCTGTTGCCACATTCCCCCCCACCTTAATCCTCTATTTCAACTGCATTGAAAATCTTATCCTTCCAATAAATCCTGTTATTTTACACCTCCCTGATTTCACCCCATTCTCTCACCTATAACACCATTCTCTTTCCCAGAAGTTCGAGGAACTAGCAAGTCACCAAATGGTTTTCTAGTTAGCCGTGATGTATGTAAAGGTCAGCTGGCTTTGACACGTGTTCCCTTGCCCATCACCAGACTGATGTGGCTGCTTTTGATTGTCTGCATCTTTGTCTTCTTACTTTATCACCTGGCAGTACTCCTTTCCAGTAATCACACCTTCATCCAAAAAGGCCAACTGTTCCTGGAAGACAAGAATGACCCTTCACTCAAGAGTGTAGAAGAGACTATGGCCATAAGACCCTTGAATACAACTAAGAAAATAGCCTGGGATTTCACCCAGATGGGTGCCTACCACCTCAGCCATATTGTGATCCATGTCCTTGACACATGATTGGATCTGTAAACCCGGAAAAACTTCTAATGATTGGAATTTCTGCTCCAACCCACTGAGAATCCACTGTTCTAACTGCACGTGAGATTTATATTACTCCCTGCCTTACTTCCCCCACAGGCCTTTGCTTATCTGAATCTTTTCATTTGATCCTGCTTTAAAATACACTGGCAGCTCCTTGTGTAGTATTTCAATAGAAGAGGTGTCTGCCTGATCACCTGCTAGAAAAGGAGCTTTTTTTTTTTACTTTTAAAATACCTAGGCCAGTCATGGTGGCTCATACCTGTAATCCCAGCATTTTGGGAGGCCAAGGCAGGAAGATCACTTGAGCCTGGAAGTTGAAGACCAGCCTGGGCAAAATAGTGAGAACTTGTCTCTACAAAAAGGAAACAAAAATTAGCCAGGCATGGTGGTGCATGCCTGTAGTCCCAGCTATTTGGGAGGTTAAGGTGGGAGGATCGCTTCAGCCTGGGAGGTTGAGGCTGCAGCAAGCTGAGATTGAGTCTTTGCACTCCAGCCTGGGTGACAGAACAAGACCTTGTCTCAAATAAAATAAAATAAAATAAAATAAAATAAAATAAAATAAAATAAAATAAAATAAAATAAGGGGGAGGAGCCAAGATGGCCGAATAGGAACAGCTCCGGTCTACAGCTCCCAGCGTGAGCGACGCAGAAGACGGGTGATTTCTGCATTTCCATCTGAGGATCGCAGTTCCTCACCAGCAATGGAACAAACCTGGATGGATAATGACTTTGACGAGTTGAGAGAAGAAGGCTTCAGAAGATCAAACTATGAGCTACAGGAAGAAATTCAAACCAAAGGCAAAGAAGTTAAAAACTTTGAAAAAAATTTAGACGAATGTATAACTAGAATAACCAATAGAGAGAAGCGCTTAAAGGAGCTGATGGAGCTGAAAGCCAAAGCTCGAGAACTACGTGAAGAATGCAGAAGCCTCAGGAGCCGATGCAATCAACTGGAAGAAAGGGTATCAGCGATGGAAGACGAAATGAATGAAATAAAGTGAGAAGGGAAGTTTAGAGAAAAAAGAATAAAAAGAAACGAACAAAGCCTCCAAGAAATATGGGACTATGTGAAAAGTCCAAATTTATGTCTGACTGGGGTACCTGAAAGTGACGGGGAGAATGGAACCAAGTTGGAAAACACTCTGCAGGATATTATCCAGGAGAACTTCCCCAATCTAGCAAGGCAGGCCAACATTCAGATTCAGGAAACACAGAGAATGCCACAAAGATACTTCTCGAGAAGAGCAACTCCAAGACACATAATTGTCAGATTCACCAAAGTTGAAATGAAGGAAAAAATGTTAAGGGCAGCCAGAGAGAAAGGTCGGGTTACCCTCAAAGAGAAGCCCATCAGACTAACAGCGGATCTCTCGGCAGAAACTCTACAAGCCAGAAGAGAGTGGGGGCCAATATTCAACATTCTTAAAGAAAAGAATTTTCAACCCACAATTTCATATCCAGCCAAACTAAGCTTCATAAGTGAAGAAGAAATAAAATACTTTACAGACAAGCAAATGCTGAGAGATTTTGTCACCACCAGGCCTGCCCTAAAAGAGCTCCTGAAGGAAAGCACTAAACATGGAAAGGAACAACTGGTACCAGCCGCAGCAAAATCATGCCAAAATGTAAAGACCATCGAGACTAGGAAGAAACTGCATCAACTAACGAGCAAAATAACCGGCTAACATGATAATGACAGGTTCAAATTCACACATTACAATATTAACTTTAAATGTATACGGACTAAATGCTCCAATTAAAAGACACCGACTGGCAAATTGGATAAAGAGTCAAGACCCATCAGTGTGTCGTATTCAGGAAACCCATCTCACATGCAGAGACACACATAGACTCAAAATAAAAGGATGGAGGAAGATCTACCAAGCAAATGGAAACAAAAAAAGGCAGGGGTTGCAATCCTAGTCTCTGATAAAACAGACTTTAAACCAACAAAGATCAAAAGAGACAAAGAAGGCCATTACATAATGGTAAAGGGATCAATTCAACAAGAAGAGCTAACTATCCTAAATATATATGCACCCAATACAGGAGCACCCAGATTCATAAAACAAGTCCTGAGTGACCTATAAAGAGACTTAGACTCCCACACATTAATAATGGGAGACTTTAACACCCCACTGTCAACATTAGACAGATCAACAAGACAGAAAGTCAACAAGGATACCCAGGAATTGAACTCAGCTCTGCACCAAGTGGACCTAATAGACATCTACAGAACTCTCCACCCCAAATCAACAGAATATACATTTTTTTCAGCACCACACCACACCTATTCCAAAATTGACCACACACTTGGAAGTAAAGCACTCCTCAGCAAATGTACAAGAACAGAAATTATAACAAACTATCTCTCAGACCACAGTGCAATCAAACTAGAACTCAGGATTAAGAAACTCACTCAAAACCACTCAACTACGTGGAAACTGAACAACCTGCTCTTGAATGACTACTGGGTACATAACGAAATGAAGGCAGAAATAAAGATGTTCTTTGAAATCAATGAGAACAAAGACACAACATACCAGAATCTCTGGGACACATTCAAAGCAGTGTGTAGAGGGAAATTTATAGCACTAAATGCCCACAAGAGAAAGCAGGAAAGATCCAAAATTGACACCCTAACATCACAATTAAAAGAACTAGAAAAGCAAGAGCAAACACATTCAAAAGCTAGCAGAAGGCAAGAAATAACTAAAATCAGAGCAGAACTGAAGGAAATAGAGACACAAAAAACCCTTCAAAAAATTAATGAATCCAGGAGCTGGTTTTTTGAAAGGATCAACAAAATTGATAGACCGCTAGCAAGACTAATAAAGAAAAAAAGAGAGAAGAATCAAATAGACACTATAAAAAATGATAAAGGAGATATCACCACCGATCCCACAGAAATACAAACTACCATCAGAGAATACTACAAACACCTCTACGCAAATAAACTAGAAAATCTAGAAGAAATGGATAAATTCCTCGACACATACACCCTCCCAAGACTAAACCAGGAAGAAGTTGAATCTCTGAATAGACCAATAACGGGAGCTGAAATTGTGGCAATAATCAATAGCTTACCAACCAAAAAGAGTCCAGGACCAGATGGATTCACAGCCGAATTCCACCAGAGGTACAAGGAGGAACTGGTACCATTCCTTCTGAAACTATTCCAATCAGTAGAACAAGAGGGAATCCTCCCTAACTCATTTTATGAGGCCAGCATCATCCTGACACCAAAGCCGGGCAGAGACACAATCAAAAAAGAGAACTTTAGACCAATATCCTTGATGGGCATTGATGCAAAAATCCTCAATAAAATACTGGCAAATCGAATCCAGCAGCACATCAAAAAGCTTATCCACCATGATCAAGTGGGCTTCATCCCTGGGATGCAAGGCTGGTTCAATATTCGCAAATCAATAAATGTAATCCAGCATATAAACAGAACCAAAGACAAAAACCACATGATTATCTTAATAGATGCAGAAAAGGCCTTTGACAAAATTCAACAACCCTTCATGCTAAAAACTCTCAATAAATTAGGTATTGATGGGACATATCTCAAAATAATAAGAGCTATCTATGACAAACCTACAGCCAATATCATACTGAATGGGCAAAAACTGGAAGCATTCCCTTTGAAAACTGGCACAAGACAGGGATGCCCTCTCTCACCACTCCTATTCAACATAGTGTTGGAAGTTCTGGCCAGGGCAATTAGGCAGGAGAAGGAAATAAAGGGTATTCAATTAGGAAAAGAGGAAGTCAAATTGTCCCTGTTTGCAGACGACATGATTGTATATCTAGAAAACCCCATTGTCTCAGCCCAAAATCTCCTTAAGCTGATAAGCAACTTCAGCAAAGTCTCAGGATACAAAATCAATGTGCAAAAGTCACAAGCATTCTTATACACCAATAACAGACAAACAGAGAGCCAAATCATGAGTGAACTCATTCACAATTGCTGCAAAGAGAATAAAATACCTAGGAATCCACCTTACAAGGGATGTGAAGGACCTCTTCAAGGAGAACTACAAACCACTGCTCAACGAAATAAAAGAGGATACAAACAAATGGAAGAACATTTCATGCTCGTGGGTAGGAAAAATCAATATCGTGAAAATGGCCATACTGCCCAAGGTAATTTATAGATTCAATGCCATCCCCATCAAGCTACCAATGACTTTCTTCACAGAATTGGAAAGAACTACTTTAAAGTTCATATGGAACCAAAAAAGAGCCCACATCACCAAGTCAATCCTAAGCCAAAAGAACAAAGCTGGAGGCATCATGCTACCTGACTTCAAACTATACTACAGGGCTACAGTAACCAAAACAGAGATATAGATCAATGGAACAGAACAGAGCCCTCAGAAATAACGCTGCATATCTACAACTATCTGATATTTGACAAACCTGAGAAAAACAAGCAATGGGGAAAGGATTCCCTATTTAATCAATGGTGCTGGGAAAACTGGCTAGCCATATGTAGAAAGCTGAAACTGGATCCCTTCCTTACACCTTATACAAAAATCAATTCAAGATGGATTAAAGACTTAAACGTTAGACCTAAAGCCATAAAAACCCTAGAAGAAAAGCTAGGCAGTACCATTCAGGACATAGGCACGGGGAAGGACTTCATGTCTAAAACACCAAAAGCAATGGCAACAAAAGCCAAAATTGACAAATGGGATCTAATTAAACTAAAGAGCTTCTGCACAGCAAAAGAAACTACCATCAGAGTGAACAGGCAACCCACAAAATGGGAGAAAATTTTCGCAACCTACTCATCTGACAAAGGGCTAATATCCAGAATCTACAATGAACTCAAACAAATTTACAAGAAAAAAACAACCCCATCAAAGTGGATGAAGGACATGAACAGACACTTCTCAGAAGAAGACATTTATGCAGCCAAAAAACACATGAAAAAATGCTCACCATCACTGGCCATCAGAGAAATGCAAATCAAAACCACAATGAGATACCATCTCACACCAGTTAGAATGGCAATCATTAAAAAGTCAGGAAACAACAGGTGCTGGAGAGGATGTGGAGAAATAGGAACACTTTTACACTGTTGGTGGGACTGTAAACTAGTTCAACCATTGTGGAAGTCAGTGTGGTGATTCCTCAGGGATCTAGAACTAGAAATACCATTTGACCCAGCCATCCCATTACTGGGTATATACCCAAAGGACTATAAATCATGCTGCTATAAAGACACATGCACACGTATGTTTATTGCGGCATTATTCACAATAGCAAAGACTTGGAACCAACCCAAATGTCCAACAATGATAGACTGGATAAAGAAAATGTGGCCCATATACACCATGGAATACCATGCAGCCATAAAAAATGATGAGTTCATGTCCTTTGTAGGGACATGGATGAAATTGGAAATCATCATTCTCAGTAAACTATCACAAGAACAAAAAACCAAACACCGCATATTCTCACTCATAGGTGGGACTTGAACAATGAGAACACATGGACACAGGAAGGGGAACATCACACTCTGGGGACTGTTGTGGGGTGGGGGGAGGGGGGAGGGATAGCATTAGGAGATATACGTAATGCTAGATGACGAGTTAGTGGGTGCAGCGCACCAGCATGTCACATGTATACATATGTAACTAACCTGCACATTGTGCACATGTACCCTAAAACTTAAAGTATAATTAAAAAAAAAAAGATAAAATAAAATAAGTCTACTTGGGCATAAAAAATTAAAATTCACAAAACACTTAAAAACATACCTTCATTCATTGTCCATTCAGCATTTCAAAGACAATGTCTTTAAAATATTTGAAAAGAAATATAGTAAAGGAGTTTATGGCAGAAAGTAGTGAAAGAAGCACAAACTTGGAGTCAAACTGAGCTCTTATAAGCTATGTGAGCTCTTCAATCTGTTTCTTTGTCTGTTAAAAAAAGGTAAGCATATCTGCCTACCTACAGTGTAGAATTGTGATGTGGATGGAGTGAGATAATTCAAGAATGTAATACCTGTTGCAATATGTGAGTCATTAGTAAGGACCCAATTCTTTATCCATACCCTCCTTTCTGCCTGCTCTACCTCTCTTCTCTGAGGTAGAGGATAGCAGGTGAGAAGGCAGTTATGTATGCCTAGCATCTCCCTGGAATAGGCATTCTTGACTCACAGTTCAAATTTACTTGCAGAATGCAGAGATGATGACATTGTCAGCACTCAGAGGAAGCGTAATAATGGGTTCATTCTAGCAAATTCTAGCTAAGCCAAAACAATATGCCATGACTGTCTGATAGAGAAAGTTGCGTTTTTCTCCTTTGAGGGTCCGACCAATGAAAAAAAATTGAGAATTTTTTAAAGGTGAATTCAAAAAGACCTGTGAGGAATTGCAAGGAATTTCAAGCAGAGCATTGCAGTGTCAGAAGACAGAATAACTAAAGAACACTGCATGCCAAGAATGGTAGATGCAGCTGCTTCCAGAAGGGTCTAGGCTTCTTTCTTCTTTTCTCTTTGTGTTTTATTCTTCTCCCTCCAAGTTGCCTCCACATGGCCCTCACTTACTGAAAGCATATGACAGGTTTGAGTTCTAATTTTATGCATAGAGCCTGCCCCACACCTTGCTGGGTTTTTTTTTCCTCCAGTCATCACCTAAAATGGTTTCTTATTATTATTATTATTATTATTACTGTTCTTATGCCTCTCAAATCAGTTGATTATCTTACAATGAGCACTTTTTCCACAAAAGCTGAAGTCTCTAAATGCTGGATCTTAACAGTGTCAAAGCATCTTTCAACTCTGTACGTGGTTTAGTTTAGTGGTCAGAAGAGGTGAGTTTATGAAAGGCAAAGAGGCTTTTTGTATGAAAACTTGCAATGTGTTTCTCTCTGTTGTTGTCTCATTTTTCCCCAGTTATAGGTGCCCGCGATGGCCGACAATGATGCAAAATAGTACTTTGAGCAAAATTTGCTCCTGATTCTGTAGAAATCTCAGATGGACAAATAATCAACTTCTCATATATTTATCTGAACATTTTACCCTGTCACCTAGAATTTCTGTGAATTCTAGAATATTTAAATAAAAGTGGTTTCTTGTCAATGAAAGAAGTTTGCATTTAAAGCTCAAAATATTGCTGTCTAGATGTGTCCTCTACTTCTCCCTGATAATAACAGGTAAGACTCAAATAAATTTTCCTGTAAGTTTACTTTATTATGTTTAATATACTAAAATTTATAATGCAGATGTTTAGTTTTTGGAAGGAGAAAAATGACGATTCTTGGCAATTGTTATTTGTCTTTTTCTACAAATACAAATGACTGTGGAATCTTCTCTGGGTTCTCTGGTCTTAAAGACATAACATGTTAAGTTTATAATTTCATGATTTCTCCATAGAATGTATGCACTATTCTAGAACCTAGATCTGAATGGATGCCTCTGTGAATTAAAATGCCAAACTCTTCATCAGTTTTCACAATCAAGAGAAAACAAATCAATTATTTTGACATTTTAGCAATATATTAAAAGTGAAAGATTGATCTCATAAACTCTGTGGCCTGGTCCTGGCTGATGCAATTATGCCAGGAGTCCCCTGTAAAAGTAATTAGGGAAGCTGAAAAAGTGAGCACTCCCCAGATGTAATCTTACCAATGGCCTTAATATACGACATCAATGAGTTAAATGAGGAAACTACCAGAGGCCAAACATCTAGGTTTTAAGTTTCAGACAAGGTTTTTGCTTGTGTTCACCTCAGGAAATGAATACTGCATTCATAAATTGTTGTTCTTATCCAGGAGATGAACCATAGCAGTTTCATTTAGCCCTAGAGTATTAAATTTCTTTAACACTTTGTCACATTAGAATATGTTTTCCATCTGAATCTGATGATGCAATATTTGAAGGGAAAAATAGTTAGCCAAGTGACATTCCATAACAAGCCATAAAAGTTTATGATGCACATAGTAGGATAATTGGCACAACAGGAACTGAATACTTCCTTATGGATAATATTTGATAAGATATGGCATGTATAACAATCATAACATTTCAATCAACCAATGATGGCTACTTTAGAATGCATTTATTTTATTGTTTCCATAATGAATTTTACAGTGCCAATTGGTTCTACTCTACTAGAAAGATGAAAAAAAGAACTACATGTATTTTCCATTGGAATATTTTGCTTGTGCATTTTATTCTTTCCTCCCACCCCCTACTAGATTGTTTCACCACAAGCTGTTGACAAATGATTTGCTGAAACCCAAAGCTAGTGGACAGAAATGTATTTTTCTGGTTGAGTCAGCATTCTTTTTGGTAAAGTCCTTTTACAATATTAATTAAATCATTCATAGACAGTGTCTTCCTCCCAGTTTCCAGATTTTCTAAACCTTACACCTGTTTTTCTTTGGGTTTTGTGCTATATCAGCTTATAAATCACCCTATATTTCCCAGTATAGTTTCTTATGAAATAACACTTTTTCCCCCCAACCAAACTTTCACCCAACTGTTTTCAATAGTGGCAGTCAGGCCTGAAGTTGTCAATCAAAGAACAGCTTATCAGTCTGAGCTTTTTCTTTTTAAGCTTTTACTCAGTGACTTTTGAGACCTGTCAACACCCAGTTGATTTTAACCCTAACAATAAAGTCACACTCTATCTCCCACATAGAAGCTTTAAGATTAAATTCTGATGTCATATACGTCATATTTACATAGTTAAAACTCATAACAAGCAACCCACAGGCAATAGGATGTAATAACCATGCAACAGAGCCATTTCCTGTCCCCCTTTTTCTCTCACACTATGTTTTGTGCAGCTTATTGGATGTGAATGTTATGAAAATGAAAATCGTCTGGGAGAAACCTGCTGGCCAGGTCTGAGGTTTAGAAGAATTCGACTGGAGGAGTATATAGAGTTGTAAATGCTTGGCCACCTCCTACATTATAAAACAGGAACACTTTCAGCATTCCTTTCATTTCCAGAAAAAGGAAAAATGAGAGGCCACAATTACATGCACTAACAGCTGATTTTTAATATCTTTAATTCTTCTAGTATTAAAGGAAAATGACTAACTTGGAGTCAGAAAACTTGAAACCCCAAAAGTTTTACAGGTTTTGTTTTTCAACACAAAGCACCTATTTCAAATGCGTTGCAAGGTGAACTTTAACCACGGATGCGATTTGAGAGTCAAATCTACTGTGGCGCTTTAAACAGCCAATTTAGGGAGTTAAGTATTTTCTTCGCAATCACTTTAGAGCTGGAAATAATGTCATGTTAAAGGAAGAAAATGAAAACCACTGTCTGTGATTTAATTTGAAGTCTCCATCACATCAAAAGATTAGGCTTGAAGTAAAAATATTGACAAGAAAATAAGGCTCTAATGGAAGGATATTATACACCATGATGTGGACACTATTTTGTAGTTTCATTATTTAAAGGGAAGCAGAATGGAATCATTCTCTTCCATTTTTGGAAAACCTTCTGTGTACTTAAAGGCTAAAATACCATTGCAAAATAAGTTTTTATTTCTTCTGGAACTGATCTTTCTTACCGTTCAGGCTAAAAGATGTACACTTTATTTAACAACCAGATTTTATCCCAGTGTTAGAAAACATTTGCATTGCCTTTCTACAATATCTGAAAGGTACAGTCATATTCCTCATGTAAAATGACATTAAGAAAAAATCTATAGAATTAATATTTTTCATAGTTTTAGTTGTCTGAAAACAAAATAAAACAAATAGAAAGCCTATACTAGTTCTCTTCATGGAGTCTCAAATTCTGTAGCTTCCACACAAAAATAATGTTATTTCAATATTTTTTTATTATCTAAACTACGTAGGAAGCCAATTTTTGGACTCACTGATTTGTTCAAGCAAACAAAATCTGGCTCTCAGAAGTACATAAGCTTTCTTAAAATCCAAGCAATGAAAATCGTTTTATTTGTTAGCAAAGGATGCGATTATACATCCTCTTTCTCTCTCTCTCTCTCACTCTCACTCTGTCTCTCTCTCTCCGTGTGTGTGTGCGTGTGTGTGCATGTGTGTGTGCATGTGTGTGTGTGCATGTGTGCATGTGTGTTTGTGTGTGTGTGTGTTTGTGTGTGTGTGTGTTACATCACATACGTATGGAATTCAGAAAAGGACTTCTCCATCTGGACCTCCATGGTTTCTCCTCACTAGTCCACCACTAGGTCTTAGGGTCTACTAACAGAATTCATTCCTCCTTATTAGGTATTTTATCTCTAATAGTTCACAGTTCAAAAGAAAACAATCCTAACAACAGTTTGTGAACTATCCCCACTTTCCCACTATCATCCTTACAAGCTAACGCCCTTAACTTATATTGGCTATGAACAATATATTGAGAAATAATTTAAGAAATAATTATTTGCACATCCATGAGTTTTGGGGGTCACTGTTTTAGGTGCTGGGGAGAACATCAGGAGCACTAAATCTCCTACCTACTAGGAAATGGAAGAGACCAGTAGATCTCATTAAAGACAAGAAGAGAGAGAAAGGAGGGTTATAATAAAAGGAACTAAAGAGGAGTTGCCAAGATATAGAGAAGGGAATCAAAACAGAAAACCAGAAGATGGCAAAAGCGAAGTTCTTTGCAGTTTTTAGTAGCATAACCAATGACCCAAAACTTAGCAGCAATTTGTCATATCAACATTTCTCTAGCTTTCCTTTTTCAGAGGAAAGAGCTCTGTGGAATAAGCAAAATCAGTCATGCCAGTGAATAACTTTTAACTGCAAAAATATCTGACATTATAACCCAACCATTTGTCTATATGAGGAAAGAACTATTATTAAATATTCTATAGAGTTGCAAACTTTTTCATAACATTTTATGAAACTTTAGTTATTAATAAAATTGCTATGAAAACATAAAACCGAGACATACTTCCATATTAAAAAAAAGTTACCATCTTGTCTCTGCCTAATTATTTTACTTCTTTGCTAAAGTAAACTAAGGTTGAAGAAAGTTAAAATAGTTTCTCAGAACTTTAAATCCTGTTGAGTCTAAGCCACTTAGAAAAGGGTAATTCGTCAAAAATTATTGATCTCCATCAGCTGGTATCAAGTGTAAGACTAGATTCAACTCCTTGATTCTTTGATAGCAATTACAGATGAGATGCTTTGGAGTTTGTGTTTAATTCGAGCAATGTACGGTATATTGGACAGATCTCAATATGTTCATGAAATCACAAATGGAGTTGGAAATCTTAGGAAATAAGCTAAAGAGATCATCCTCTATGAGGTATAACTATAAAGTAATAGAATTAATTTTTAATCAACATTGAAGAATTTATACATGCAAATTGAATGTTGTCCCTTTAAAAACAATGATGTTGAAGACACTACACTCATCTAATTGTTGCTGTCAGAAACTGAAGCAAGGTCTTTCTTTGGAGATGGAAACACCTTTTCTTGGCCGGACGCAATGACTCACAGCTAGCTACTTGGGAGGTTGAGTTGGGAGGATCCCTTGAGCCCTGGAATTCAGGCAGTGAGCTATCATTATGCCACTGCATTCCAGCCTGGGTGACAGAACTGTCTTTATAAGTGGGAGCCAAACATTGGGCACACATGGACATAAACATAGGAACAATAGACACTGCAGACTAATCAAACGGGGAAGGAGGGAGGGGAGCATGGTTTGAAAAACTACCTATTGGGTACTATGTTCACTACATAGGTGATGGGATCCATACCCTAAACCATGGTATTGTACAGTATTCCCATGTTAACAAACCTGCACATGTACCCCTTATATCTAAAATAAAAATAGAAATTTTTAAATAAATAAATGTAAAAGAAAACCTCTTCTTTTGAGGATAAATCTGAAATTTTTAAATGAATGAAGTTGTACAGCCCCAATTCTGGTGACCAGAGTAAGTAAATTGAAGGGTAGAATGTTGGGCAAAATTCAATGGAACCATAAACAAATGAACTTTGTTAATAAAATTTGCATTGTTATACATAATAAAAATAGCTAACACAAAATCCTACTAAGTGCCACTGTTCTGAGCATTTGACAACCACAATTTCATGCAATGCTAATACAACACGATGATGCAGGTTGCATCATCACTATTTTGAAGTTAAAAAAACTGAGGCAAAGAGGAGGGAAAATACAGCTAGTGAGTGGCAAAACCAAGGATTTAAGCCTGGGAAGTCAGTCTCCAAAGTCCTTGCTTTTAACCGTAATCCTATATTAACTCTAAGACTGGTTTTAAAGAGAAGTCCTAGTCAAGTTTTGATGTAGTGCCATAGACTGTTAGATTTAACATTTTATTCACTATCAACTCTCAATCTTCACAATGTAATAATTTGCAATTATTCTAAGGCTTGGATTTTAATCTTTTTGGCTAGCTTGCAGAAGCCTATCGCATAACCAGTGACTGAGCCTTACTCACCACCTAGCCAGCCCATTGCAGTACAGCTTTGAGGCAATTGTGGAGAAGTTTATACCACAATGCCCTCTGAATTTGAGGATTCGAACATTCTCAACATACAGTGTCTGCAAATGTCAGAGTCTCTTGTAGGTACACAAAATTCCATCATGGCAACTTTCCATGGCAGCATTTATTGAGATATTACAAATTTAGGATGATTTGAAATACTCAAAAGAATGGGGGATCAGGGCAAGGGCAAGAGTACTTGTTATGTCCCTCAGGATTTGTGCCAGGCAAGTGCAGAACAGCACGATATGCCAGCAAAGGAACAGACTTCCTAATCAATCCAACCTAAAATCTTCCACTTATTAGACATGTGACTTTGGGTAACTTAGTTGATTTATCTGAGCCTTAGTTTCTTCATCTGTAAGACAAGGGTATCATCGTCACAGTGTGTGTGAGAATTCGGTAAAATATAATCTAATTTTGCGTGGCAAAATCTGTAGCAATACACCTTTCATAAATATGAGTTCTTTTCCTTTTTCAGCAATATCCTTGGATTCCCCAACTGAAAAATTATCCTCCAAATCATTGACTCAGCTTTCTAAGAGCAGTCAGGAGTGTAATTTTAATAGGTAATTTAGAGGCACAGAGGAAGGTTATTTTTACTGGTCTTGTTCATGATTCACCCCTGCTATTTTATTTGCCTGAAGTTTAGTGCCTGCAGCGGGCACCAATTCGGCTCCAACTGATAGAGACAGCACGTGGGAGGAGGTGTGGGGTCCGACAAAGGGCTTGCAGCTGTTGAGAGAGCAACTGGATGAGGCAGCCAAGACCAGAAGCATCTGGTAAAACCGACATTTTTTCAACAAACTGACATTTCTGTCATAAATGATAATTTCCAGGTTTCTTTTAACTACATTTTGGGGGAAAAACTATTTTTAGTGGGAAAATGAGAAGATAGTGGTAGCTCCCAATCTGATTATCCCTATCCATAGAGGAAGGGAGGGAGATCCTTTCTCTGGACACAATAAAGGCTAAGGAAGCTGAGCCTTTTCCAGCAGCACAGAGAAGGCATGAGAGGAGACATGAGAATTTTTTCTCTTCACGGGTCCAAGGAAGCTTGAAAAGTTCACCAGGGTGAATCTCAGGAAAAACAACAGAAATTTTATTGGTGAGAAGTGTGAATCAAGATTATTAATCAAATATCATTCATTGATCATCAGGTGTCATCAAACAGATGTCCTAAGATATCTCTGAGCTGGCAGTTTCAAACTTTGCCCAGTTGTCCTTTCCCTAAATGCAGACCAAGTATCATCTTGGCCTTGAGAGGTGATTCCAGATGGAGAGACATGGAAGGAAGTGGGATCTAGAACAACTCGGAGTCATTACCCTTCTAAATATATTTTAGGTGGCTGAGATGTTCACAGGAACAATGTGGTGATTTTGTTCACCCCAAATAATACTAAAATTTGACATCCAGGACAATCTGAAACCAAAACTTCCTGGCCCAGAATTTCTCTGACCTAATGATGATGCTCCCCTATCCAGACTGACCTACCACCACTCACAATCATTCTTTTAGTAAACATTTACTAAACAAACAGCTACTGTCTGCCAGGCATTGTTATTGCTGTTAGAAAGTTAAGAAGTAATTACAAAAACAAACAAATAACTCCGCCCAGCTGGAGCTTACATTCTGGTGATAGAATAAACAAGGTAAATTAATAAAATATATAGTATAGTATATGGTAATAAGTGCAGGAAAGGGGAATAGAGAGTGAAAGCAGAAGCTTCAACTTAAACCAGGAAGGTGAGAGAGAGAGCCTCACTGAGAAGAGTGGATTTGTTTCAGGCCAGGAAGGGAGTGAGGAAACCTGCAGGTAGCTGAGAGCAGCATATTCCAGGTAGAAGCATGTGCAGGTGCAGGGGCTGGGCCAAGGTGTCCAGGGAGGGTTTCAGGAACAGAAGTGAGGCCAAGGTGAAGCAAGCAACAGGGAAACTAATAGAAGAGGTCAGGGGTAATGAAAGTGGGGACACAGGTTATGAGGGCCTTTTGAGTTTTACTCTGAGTGAGATGGAAACAGAACATCTACCATATTCCAGACATCAAATGAAGTGCTTTTTTACAAATATTCTAATACTACCAAGCAGATAAAATTAGCTCCTTTATTAGACAAGGCAACTGCAACCAGAGCTCAGAATTAAAAACTTGCCAAAGACCATAGAGCTATGAAATGAAACATCCAAGGATGCACACCAATCCATGCTGGCCAGAGCTTTAACCCAAACATCCTGTGAGGCAGGTGAGAATCAGAAGCACTAGATAAAGTGTAACCTGCCCAGCTGTAGGTCTATTAGGCTGTTTTTGCACTGCTACAAAGAAATACCTGAGACTGGGTAATTTACAAAGAAAAGAGGTCTAATTGGCTCATGGCTCTGTAGGCTTTACAGGAAGCATGGTGTTGGCATTTGCTTGGCTTCTAGGGAGGCCTCAGGAAGCTTACAATCATAACAGAAGGTGAAGGGGGAGCAGGCACGTCAAATGGAGAAAGCAGGAGCAAGCAAGAAAGAGGGGGGCGGTGGTAAGGGAAGGTGTCACACACTTTTAGATGACTAGATCTTGTGTAAACTCAGATGGAGAGCTCACTTATCGCCAAGGTGATGACCCAAGCCATTCATGAGGGATCACTCCAATAATGTAAACACTTCCCACCAGGCCCCACTTTCAACACTGGGAATTATAATTCAACATGAGATTTGGGCAGAGACAAATAGTCAAACTATATCAGTGGCGCTGCTTAAAAGTAGTCTTTGTGTAAAACAGTTGCCATAAAGTGTTGCCAGAATTATGTCTCTCTTGGATCCCAAATCCCACCACTGTGGAGCACTCTAAATTCAAGTTTTGGAAACAGGTACGTATGTGAATCACTTGAAGAACTTTTTAAAATATAAATTTCAGAGCCCTACCCCAAGCAACTGAATCAGGAAATTATGGCTCCCAAATTTTATGATGATAAAACTGTTTTTTTACTGGACCCTCTCATAGAGATAAGTGTTAGGAAGAAGGCATTTTGGCAATGAAACCACCGCAGGTGTAAATCTCCAAAGAGTGGCCAGACTTTGATGCCAACGAGGGAAAGAACAAGATAAAAGCTTCCAGTGTGGTTTGCTTGGTTCAGTTAATTGATTTGTTTTATTATGTTTATTTACTTTTACATTTTTGGATCATAGCTATTGAGTGCTCAATAAATGTGCTTGGCTGACAGTTTTTGAAATAACCTTTTTTTGTGGTCCACTTTACTGCTTTTAATAAATGCAACACTTTACCTGTTAAAAATAAAAATTCAAAGCCAAGGAAAACAATTGATTTAAGCCACTAGAAAGTTTCTCCTACCCTCTACTGTCCCTGTATTTTCACCATGTTCATAAACAAGAAGTAAATTCTGCTTTCTCAAGAAGTAACGGAATAATCTCCGAAGGAACACCATGGATAGCAATTATTTTAAAAATCCTCACCAATGTGCATCTATATTTTTATCTTTTCTCATGATCATGAGATGGTTTTGCTTTCTGAATTACTGAAATGCTGTTTACTTTGGCTGGAATTATTTGCTTATGCTACCACATAAGCCACAGGTAAATTGTCATTATTGTTCAAATAGGGGAAAGGTAGAAACCAGAGCTTTGACCACTTGCTCTTTCCAGTCTCACTATGGAAGAACCCTCAGAACATGCATGCCCTGAAGCTGTCATAACCCTCACCCTGCCTCACCACTCATTCTGCTGCTCAATGGCCTAAGAATAAATGAACAGTCTCTAATATAAACCAAGTCCCACCACAAACTATGGCAGAATGAAAGAGCAGTTCTTTTGTTTTTGTTGTTTTTTTTTTCTTTGTTATACAGATTTGTAACTGTAAGATCATATTCTACTGCTTGAAACAGGGCAGAGCAAACATTACATAATCCCCGCTGATTGAAGAGCAACGACTATTTAGTTTTCAAAATCACTTCCAGATAACAACTCCCACTTAAATCATCTTAAGTATTTTAATATGTCTTAATCAGAAATGGCTGAGATAAAAGTGACACTTTTCTATTGGGGGGAGTTTTAGTTTGTAGAAATTATCTCAGTTAAATAGTCATAAAAGCTACAGTCTGAAAATAAACAGCCTACCAACAGTCTTAAGTATACATGGTGCAGATTTGTGACACAATACACAGTCCTCTTCCCCTTGCAGTTAGGCAGAGTATGTACTTAGGTCTGGTTGATGGGTTAGGAGTAAAAAAATTTACTTTTCCAGGAAAGTTCTTTAGCATTCTCTCCCCCTATGGCAGCAATCATAGCGCAGATTTCATGTTGAAGCCATAGAGCCCTGAGATGGAAATAGCTAGATTCCTGGGTGACCTCATGGAGGTCAGTTGTCCTGGAAGGCAATCAGACTTACAGTAGACTTTGCACAGATGAAAAATAAAATCTTGCTGTATCAAGCCACTGAAGTTTAGGCACTGTTTGTTATTGCACCACACCATAACCTAGCCTAGCCTGACAAATACAGTATGTACTAGAGAAAAATGCTTAATAATGCCAACATGCCAACATCACAATAACCTCCTTATACAGGATTCACCAACAGACATTCTGTCCATTTGGGACCTATCCGCTCTGTTTTTTGCATGACTTTTTCTGTTTTGTATCCATGTATTATGGCCAAGCATTTAAAATATGGTTTTTTATTCTCTTTGTCATATCTAAACAAAGTTCAGGTTCATTTTACAGATATTAGAGTTACAAAAATGTTCAATCCTTTTGGTCTCTTACCCCTTGATCCCTATATCACTACTAATCTTTTTTTTTTCTCTGTGCTCATATGACCATCTCTTTCCCCAGCATATTCAACAGTTAAGGATACAGGTTTTAGAATCAAGCAGACCCAGGTTTAAGGCACTCACTATTAGCTGTTTCTATGCTTCAGTTTCCTCAGTGCAGAACAACAATGACTGGAGAACCAACCTCATGACTTGCTGTTTTGTTTTGAAGATTAACCAGACTATTACACGTAAGGCATTTAGCCTAACACAGCATCTGAATAAATGTTTCTTCAAGTGAACTAAAGAGGAAGGGAACTAATATTTGCTGAGCAGAGCTTGACCCACTTAAAACTCACAGCAACCCTGCAAGGTAGGTTTCATCCCCATTTTATGAAATAACTCAGAGGGGTTAACAAATTTACTCAAGCTCACAAAAGCAGTTGGATGTAGAGCTGTGGGTGGAGCCATATCTGTTTGTTGCCAAGTCCGCTGCTCCTTTCTCTACACCAGGCTGTCTTCTCAGTGGCACATCAATTAAAAGGGAAATTTTCTGGGCACATGTGTTTAAAAAGTGCTAAAAAGCAAAAACTAAAAATTGTTATATCACTGACAGTGACTACACAGTAGTTTAAAACATGTATTTTGTATTAATATTTAAAATATATATTTTAATTATATTCAAAAATAAGTCAAGTTTACATAATCAAGTCGGGTTTATTGACATTTTTTTCTTTCTTTAATTTCTTAGCTCCCCAATCAAGTCTCCAATGACTTTTTGTTCATAAAATGGTTGGTTAGGTTAAAGGTGTGCAGAGAAATTTATTAAGTCAGTGGAACTGATATTTTTCTCTTTATGAATATCATTTTTAATATAATTAAATACAATTTAAAATTTTTCCAATGTCTTTTGCTGAAAACATGAAGAGAAATAAATATCTACATATCTATTAGTATTCTTTATTTATTTCTCTCTCTCTCCCTCCCTCCCTTCCTCTCTCCCTTGCTCCCTCTCTCCCTTCCTCCCTTCCTTTCCACAGGTGTTATATTTTGCTTTTATAGATTTCTTTCGAGACCCTTCCCATCACCTAAAGAATTTCTTTAATAATAAATTATAAACTTCAAAGTCCTCACTCAGAAGATCACCAGAAACCAAAGTATGAGAAAAATTAACCACGTATGGCAAGTACACTACTTATCTTCAAATTTTGAATGTGTTTGATTTTAAATGACCTCAACCTCTACTTGTGCACTTATTTTTCAGTGTAGTTGGTCATAGTGAATTATTTCTGAAATGGCAACACAAACAGCACCTCCATATATGTATGAAAACTGCAAATAAAGAGCTGCTAATTGTGATTTGAGGTAATTTTTTTAAATGGCCAGTCCTGGTGATTTTTTATGACTCCCAAATGGATTTCAGTCTGACAGGGCTTGGAAATCAAGGTGATAAACAATACATCTAATTGCTGTGTTAATATTTTACACACTCTTAAATTTGGGGTTTCATATAATTAAAATTATATCTTTAAATAAATAAATACTTGACCCCAAGGCAACTGCCAATGCAATGCCATCCCCTATGGGAAGAAAGGCATGGTACCCAGGCAGCTAGAGGAGCACCTTTCTCCACTTCCTCCAGCAGCCTGCTCCATTCCTTGAACCAGAGAAATAAAGAATGTACCTTATGCAACAAAGATTTACTTTGTTTCTTTCCATAAGTGGTACATATATTTTAGCTTTCAAAATAATCTCTCTTCTGGAACAAAAACAATCTTCCTTTTAAATTTATGACCTCTTTTAAAGGGCTTGATTGTCAAACTAAAAGTTAGTTAATGTCTTGGCTTCAGTAGAACTTGATTAAAGATGAAAGATATAAGAGTTACAAAATCAGAAGAAATACAAAAATGATATTGGATTTTTAACCTAAATCGCAGCAAGTATCTGGAAAGTAGGGTTTTCCAGAAAGAATCGAATGGCAGTTATTCTTTATGCAATATATTTAAAGTGTTTTATAATCACCGTGCACCAGCAGAAAAATTATTTTGAAGTTAAAAAAGGGCAAGAGGATATAGTATATGTACATTGTTGGTAAAAAACCTCATGGGATCATGTTTTGTAAAAAATATTCATTAAATAGACCACTTTAAACTGACCCTTAAAAACATTATAAATGTCTATACTTTACAAGTAAATACCATATTATCTTAAAAGGTAAAAGCTAAAATTTAATTGAGAACTAATTGAAGAGCTGAGACATTTGGGATGGGAGGAGATTTAATGAAGCTCTTTAAAGTTTAGAAAAATGCATCAAATTAAAAACAACCCTCAATTTAGACTGCAACACAAAACACCCACAGACCTCAGGAAATCACCAGCCTCATTCACCTTGACCTTTGGTCTCTCACACATTCTAACATTCAGCTTTCTTCCTTCTGTCCATCTGCTTGAACCATTAGTAAAGTTCTTTTGCAACAGCTCACACAAGTAAGCCAGCTGTCATCAGAGCATATTTAAACTCTGCCTCTTAGTTTCCACTGAATCATGTGTTTGCCCATAGGTCTCATTAAATACAGGGAAGGGCAGCAGTGCAGTTTCAAAATGCTCTGGGGGAACAAACCATCTATATAAAAGGGTGGTCCAAGGGCCTTGGACTAATTTGTTTACTTACTTTTTTTATTTTCAATCTACAGAGGAGTTTTCTATAGAGAAACAAGACAAATGGAAAATGTATGCAAGCTAAATCTATACCAAAAAAGATAATAGGTACCTTAACAAAAGAAGAAAGGAAATATTTTCTTTAACAATCAGTTCCTTTAAAAAATAGTTTAAAGACAAAAACAAACACTTTTGCTCATGCTGTCATTGCTTGATTTGATTTAGGAAACAAATAAATTGTTCATGATAATTTCCTGATCTTACCACCAAGAGCCCAGTAGAAGCAGAAATTCAAGAAAATGTTAGATGCAAAGTCAGGATTGTCAAACCTACTGTTCAGAGGTTAATTGAACTGTCTTTAGTGAAGCCAAAAAAAGAAAATGAAAATGCATCCACTTCCATACTGTGGAAAGAATTAAAACAATAGACTTCCAAGTGAAAAGGATATGAAATGTAAAGGTCCATTCTGAGAAGTAAGGCCAGGAAGCAATTAACACCAGGTAAACCAGGCAAATTAGAGTGGATATCAGGCATTTAGGGTTCCATTTTTCATAACCTCAATGTAGATATTTTGGCTGGTCTCCTAAATACCTTTCATTTTCACTGCCATGTGTCTGCTGAGACCAAGGTCAGACTGTAAAATCAATCACGATAAATATCAACCAGGGCACACTCTGCTAAAGCCAGCCCATCAACAGAATGATCAGAAACACAAATCAACTAGCAAGGCTAAGGAGTTTCACTTCTGTATCACTGGAACAGCCCTTATATTTGCATCTCAACCAAAGTAGTCTATTTCAAAGGCAAAATTAACAGGAGCACTTCCCAAATCTTTCTGAAGCATGCACAGCTCTGATGGAGCAAGTCAGATCTCTCAGGCTCTCTCTAGATTTTGGTCTCTCCTTCCCACTCTTTGTCAAGCACACCTGTGTACGTACTGCACCTTCCATCCAATCACCAGGTTGATACATGGGGATACAGGTTGATACATGGTGATACTGGTTGATACAAAATAACATGTCATTAGTATGTTTATAGGGAAAGTTATTTTGCATAGAAATCTCTGTGCTATGGGCACACTTTAATTTGAATTCAGTTTATGGTTCTTCATTTTTGTATGTTATTTTTCTTGATTACTTAGGGGACAAGTCCTCAATGAGAATTTTTAATAATTTTCAAGTGATGGGCAAAGGAGGGCTACCTATGACCGTTTCCTGACATTTATGCTTCTGCCCTTAAAACCTGCACCTTCTCTGGGAGTATGAGATAGCAGTAGAGAAAGGGCATTTACCCCCTTCTTCCTGGCCTTTCCCTACTTCTGGGAGTCTGAATATACAAACCAGCAATGCCCAGTCTATATGTAAAAATAGAACTCTGATTCACAACTTGCAGCAACCTGTCCAGGAAACCAACCCCTTTCTCTATAATGACAAACCAAGAAACCAGTCAGACTTGAAGGAGTCAGACTGCTATCTCTAGGAACACTTCAGGAAGCCAAATAATAACCTCTATAATAATTGGCCCAAAATGGCCATGATTTGATTAATAATTGACATATTCCCTCATTTTGTGCCTGATTCCAATTTTAAAACTTTAATGAAAGCTAAATATGCACCCCCACCCATCACAGAGGATGCCTTATTTCTAGCTGTCCATGCCTACAGCTTCCCCATACCAACAGCCTCCAAACAAGGCATACCTAAATATTCCCCTTTTTCCACTATAAGGCTTTCCCACTCCTCTGCATGCCTTTGAATCTCTGCAAAAGTTGAAGTGGTGGTGGCTGACTCCCTTGCAATGGCAAACTCTTCTTATTTGGTTGGTGTTTGTTTATTTCCTCATTTCCAAGGAGAAGGGGCAGCTAATCTGAGTATCTGATTGATGTCTTGGCTAAAACAGTTTTCTAGTCTTTTTGGTAGTAACTGGAGTCACACAAAAACTGATAAGATCTGCACTCATTTCCTTTTTTCCTGTGATTTCTGTGTATATCCTCCATCTGTCAAAATCCTAGAAAGGATGAGAAGGTTAGTTGCACCTTCTATCTCAACCCACTGACTTGCCAGGGAGTTCATTGGGTATAGGTGCAGGCACTAGCATTTTGGGGCCAGAATATCCAATAGAGAGATCAAAGCTCTTTCATTTAATATAAACACCTGTAGCACCACAGACTCAGTACCAAGCTTTATACAGTGGCTTCAACTGCTGGCTTTGACTCCTGTGGGCTGAAGGGGTTCGTATTGTCATCACAACTGATATTACAAGCTGCCACTAGATTAGGAAAATTTGAATGCTTGAAGGGGCTAGGGGATGCTTAATTCCACAAGAAGTTCAGGCCACCCATGTTTGAGATTTGGGAACTTTGAGTGGTCACTATCAAGTATTTCATATAAAGGTGGAATTTGGTGACTCTTATCCCACAACCTGTTATCCATAGGCTCCTGGGGTACTCAATGCCCCACTCCATTGTGTATTCTCGAACTGGGGTAAGGTTATTCATGACATAAAGACTAGTTTATATTTTAAAAGAAGCATTTGAGACAACCTTTTTAACTTCCTATTTCTCACCACAGATCTCATCAGACCAAATCTGGAGAAGCATATGAGAAAACCAGTGGCTGGAACCTAAAGAAAAGGAAGGTATCCTGATACATAAATACCTTTTGCCCTATATGTGGTAGTGAAGAAACAGAACTGTCTTAAGAAATGGTTTAAATTTCTTAAGCCTCTGCAGGGCCCACCTGAATGGAGGGAAATAGAACCCTGCAAAGCAAAGAAAGCAAGATGTTTCTGCTGACAATGAAAGAGAACAAGTTTCCCAACAACTTAAAAGGGGATGAAAAGCAAAATTTTGGAAAAAAACAACATGGCAAAGGGCATATTACCCCGCAATGGATACCTAAGGACACAGTGTTCAGAATTACTAATAGTGCTATCTCTAGGAACAATTCAGGAAGCCAAATTCAGGAAGTATGAGAATCTGATAGGCAAAAATTGTGAGAAGCCAATTCAGGAAGTGTGAGAATCTGATATGCAAAAACTGAGGCACCCTATGGAACATTTCTTAGAGACTAGGATTCTTGGGGCAAAGGTATTCCAGAGCATAAGGCTGTGGAAGCAGCCAACTAAAGCACAGAGAAAAGAAGTGTAAGACCCTGCAGAGGATGAAGAACACAGAGGAAATATCAGTGTATGTGGAGAAGCCAGACCTTTCTTTGACAATGCCCAGAGACCTGGTACCTGGTATACCATGGTCACAGGAATTGGTACTTGTGGTCACTAAACAGAAACTCTACTTGAGTCAACATTGATTTTTTTGGAACACTAAAGGAAAATAAAAATTGAGCGGCTTTAAATATGTAAATTAGTACTCAGAGGAAATAGAGTGCCTTGGGACTTGAATGTGGAGGATATCACCATTTTGTAGGAAGAGAGGTTGTCTCAAAGTCCTCTTTTTGATCAAAGATGCCAAAAGCACAAGGAAGCTTGTCTTCATGCATATGAAATGAATAGGGTCACACTTAACTTATTGGTGGGCACTTCTCCCAAATGAAGTTGAATTTTCAGGTCATCAACTCCCAGAAGACTAAAACCAACTGACTTATTGATCCCAATACGGCTGAAAGATTTTTTTTCTATTACTTTTTTCTTTTTGCTCTTGATTTTGTTTGGAAAATGCTCTTGCTGCAAGAATCACATTGGCTTTAAATTGTGTAGCTATGGGTTTGCTGCTATATGTGTTCCATTACTACTTTGGAACTTTGAAAAATCAAAAGTGGACAATGACAGAGTAGAATTAGTTCACCTCTAGAGATGCTGAAGGAGTGGCATCTATTATTCTACTGCCACCTATCTAATACATACTGTAAATGCCAGAGGAACCAGGCATCTGAATGGGACTCCTCTTCATTCATTCACACATTCAGCAAGCATTTATTGAACACATTCAAGGTGCCAGGAATTCTTCTAAATTCTGGAGAATAATGATGAGCAGAAACACAGTGCTTGGGGAGACTGACAATAGCTGAATAATCACCCAATGAATGTATGCTTTTCAATAGAAACAGGAGTTCTAAAGGGAAGAAACATTTGTAATGTGAGAGCTTTTACCAAAAGAACCTGCATCGGGGAAGGCTCTCCTGTGAAAATGCTATGAACTGCAATCTACAGGAAGAGTAGAATTTTAGTAGGGTTAAAGAGAGGAAGAGCTTTTGAGACAAAAACTGCCACAGAAAGGGCCTGATATGCTAAGAATATGAATTAAACCAGTGCAGGTGGAATGCAAAACATAAGGTTGAGATGGTAAGAGATGAAGCTGGAGAGAGAGGCATGGATAAAGTCATGTAGGACCTCAGAGGCCATATTATAGACTTTAGTTTTTATCTTAAGAGCATTACAAAGCCACTGGAAAATTTTAAACAATGAGGTGATGGGAACAGATTTGCTTCTGAAAAGTTTGCTCCAAAAACACAACAGGCTGAAGGTGCAAGAAGTTAAGAAGCTGAAGCATAAATTTAAAGTAACTATTGGAATAGTACAGATGAGAGATGAAAGAATCTTGAATTAGGGCATTAAATGAAGATAAATTGATGAATTTTAGACATTTTATTATAAAGAAGTAATAGTGGACAGGACTTGATTATACACTAGATATTAGACTATGGAAAGTATCCAAGATTGCTACTTGGTTTCTGACTTAAGTAATTAAATGGATGAGCGCCGGTGTAATTCACTGAGACAGGGAACACTGTAGGAAGCTTGGAGGGAGGATCATAAATTCAATCTGAGTTTGAGGAACTTTTGAGATGTCTAAGTAGATATGCCAAGCAATCACAATATATGAGCCAGCAGCTCAGATGAGAGGTTTCTGCTTGAGAAATAAATTTGCAACATTTGGTTGTATTATTCATAAGTCAGAAATCAAGCCATGGCTATGAATGATACTGAATAAGGAAAAATTATATAGTGAAAGAAGGGAGCATAGAACAGAGGCTCATGGAACTTGAACATTTAATGTCTAGATGGGTAAGGATGAATGTTCTTTCAAGGTGGCTGAGAAGGAGGGGCCAGAGAGGGAAGAGAAAAACCAAAGGAATATGGGCCCCTAACCTCTTAATGCTTGGTTTTGATGGTATGAAGGTGTTTCAAGTAAAGAGGATGTTTCTGATAAAAAGTTGACTCCAATTTCAAATGTTTCTGATGGATTGTGTGAGATGAGGATTGAAAACTGCCCTTTGGATTTAGTGATATGGAAGTCGATGGTGATTAGATAGAGAGGTTTTAATTTAAGAAGCCAGAAAGGAGTCAGTTGAGAGGTGAGAGGTGACATAATTAGACAATGAATTTAGACTACTTTTTCAAGAAATTTTAATACCAAGGGAAAGGGACAGATAATTTGGGAGCTGGAGAGGGTTGTGTGTGTGTATGCATGCATGTGTGCTAATAGGAAGCTTCTCATAATTTCACCTGTCCCCATGAAAAGAAACTGTTGACTATACATAAGAGAGCTATCTAAGGTTAACTAAGAATTCTTTCTCTGATCCATTTCAGAGGCTTTGAGACAACAGCTGAATTGCTCATCTCATTGTCTTAGAACATAGAAAGAGCAGAGCTTGTAGAAGTGAACAGTCTCATGTATATGGGCCAGGAGTTACCTCATAAACTGCTAACCTTCTTTTTAACAGGACATAGTTTATTTTGAGCTTGACTAGGGGAAAAAGGGATTTAGGCAGTGTATCAAACTGTTCTTGCATTGCTATAAAGAAATACCTGAAAGTGGGCAATTTATAAAAAGAGAGGTTTAGTTGGCTTACAGTACTGAAGGCTGTACAAGAAGCATAGCAGCATCTGCTTCTGGGGAGGCCTCAGGGGGCTTTTACTCATGGCAGAAGGCAAAGCAGGAGCAGACATTTCACATGGCAAAAGCAGGGGCAAGAAAAAGAGAGACAGTTGTGGGGAGGGGAGGTGCCACACACTTTTAAAAGACCGGATCTCACAAGAACTCACTATGGCAAAAAAGCAAAAAGAGGATGGTGCTAAACCATTTGATATGGTTTGGTTCTGTGTCCCCACCCAAATCTTGGGTCAAATTTTAATTCCTATTGCTGGGGGAGGGACCGAGTAGGAGGTGACTGGATCACACGGGCAGATTTTCCACTTGCTGTTCTCATGATAGTGAGTGAGTTCTCACGATATCAGGCTGTTTAAAAGTGTGTAGCACTTCCCCTTTCACTCTCTCTCTCCTGCCACCATGAGAAAATGAGCTTGCTTCCCTTTTGCCTTCCCCCATGATTGTAAGTTTCCTGAGACATCCCAGCCATGCTTCCTATACAGCCTGTGGAGTCAATTAAACCTCTTTTTTTTCATAAATCACCCAGTCTCAGGGAGTTCATTATAGCAGTGTGGGAACAGACTAATACACCATCATTCATGAGAGATCCACCCCCATGATCCAATCACCTTCCACCAGGCCCTGTCTCTAATATTGGAAATTACAATTCAGCGTGAGATTTGGGCAAGAACAAATATCCAAACTATATTAGGCAGAGTCAACAAACTGGGAAAATATTTATGATCGCCTTGTATTTCTGCCTCTGCTGATAGAGGAGAGGATTTCTATCTTCTCTTTCAAGGCAGGGAAGAGTTTGGGATGGGTTATTTTTATTCTCTGCACACTCACCTATACTCACTGCTGCCCAGGAAGAATGCCTTATCTTAGAGTTCCATGTCCACTGGGCCCCCTTTCAGTAGGTAGACTCCCTGCATATAACAGAAAAATGCACATTGTTCTCTCTCTTTCTCTTTATCAGCTTCCCTACCTACAGCTGGGGAGTAAGTCAGGAGGAGCTTGAACCAAAGATTCTTTAGTTTTTGGTTCAGCAGCAAGGTTATAGAATCCTCATTAGGCTTCCTGGGGTCTATCATAATTTTGTGTTGGAGTATTAAGCAATTGCTCATATTTATATAATTAATCATTTTCTCCCCCATTTGATTAATTATCTTAGTGAGTTCCACTAGTCAGTGCTCCAAAGTGGTGAACCTTTACAGTCTATACTAAGAAATTCAATGTTAATTTCTCAGAATAAAGATAAAAATACTGGAACTGGAAGGGATATTAGAAATCATCTAGTCCAAATTCCTCATTTCATGAGGAAATTGAGCCCGGGGAGATTACATGCTTTCCCAAGGCACAAAGTTAGTGAATGGCAAATATGAAATTAGTAGTCATTATATGAGGGATTTTACTTTTGGACATATCTGAGTTTGGAACATGTCTTCATGCCTTAGTAACTGCAGCATCTTGGCAAGTTGCTTAGCCTCTCTGACACTACTTTTCCTTTTTCTATAAAACAGGAATTAAAAACTTACCTGCTATGGTCTGCATGTTTGTGTCCCCCAGAATTTCACATGTTGAAATCCCAACCCTCAAGGTGGTGGTATTAGGAGGTGGGGCCTTTGGGAGGTGATTAGATCATAAGCATGAAACCTGCATGAGTGGGATTAGTGCCCTTATAAAAGAAACCAGATAGAGCTTCTTCACCCTAGATAGAGCTTCTTACTGTGACCACACAGTGAGAAGGCATCCTCTGTGAACTTGAAAGTAGGCCCTCATCCCACAATGAATCTGTTGGCATCTTGATCTTGAACTTTCCAGCTTTTAGGACAATGAAAAATTCCTGTTGTTTATAAGCTATCCAGTTTATGGTATTCTTTTATAGAACCCAAACAGACTAAAATACTACCTCACAATGTCACCACCATCTCCCAATTCTTACTGCTAATCCCATTCTACTGTACCATGTTGATTCACATGAGATTCACATGTCACTATAGTTTCAGAGGAAGGGGTCAGATGACACCGTCACCAAAGAGGGCAAAATTATTTTCTTTTCAAATTAATTTCTTTGAATTTTGACTTTTTGTTCCCACCTCTAAGAAATAAAAGGGAACTTAGATATAATATTGCACTATTTTTCTTTGGAATAGATAAGGAGAATTAATTTGAGTGACTTGTTCAAAGCCATTAAGGGTGATTAACTACAAAGCCAAAACTAAACTTCAAGTTCCCAAGCTAATACTTTTGCATTTTTTAACAATACATATTTTGTTTTAGAATAGTTTTAAATGTATAAAAATATTGTAATGACTGTGCAGAGAATTTCCATGTGTCACTTTCCCAGTTTCTCCTATTATTTCCATCTTACACTAGCATAGTACATTTGTCATAATTAATGAGCCAATATTACTACATTATTATTAATTAAAGTGCATACTTTATTCATATTTCCTTACTCTTTATCTAATATCCTTTTTCTGTCCCAGGATCCCATCTAAGATACCATGTTACATAGTCATCGTGTCTCCTTAGGCTCCTTTTCGCTGTGACAGTTTCTTAGACTTTCCTTGTTTTTGATAACCTTGATGGTTTTCAGGAGTCTGGTCAGGCATTTTGAGAAAATTCCTCAACTTAGATTTATTTGATATTTTTCTTACAATTTGACTAGGACTAGGTGTTTGAGAGAAAGGCCACAGCATTATTTTCATCACAGCATATCCAGGACACATACACACACACACACTATTGATATTAGCATTGATCATTTGGCTGGGGTGGTGTTTATTTTGTTTTCCACTGACAAGTTGCTCTTCCCCCTCACCTTTAATATTGTACTCTTTAGAAAGAAGTCACTGTGTGATTTAGAGGAAAATGACAGATTTTCCTCTAAAAGGAGCCAGGACTAACCTGCAGCTCCCACTCAGATGGACAGAGCAGTGTATGGAGATTCACATCATGGACTTTTGTTCCAAGAACTACCACAGGAACATACCAGGAAAGCAGAGAATCCATAGACCCTTTGAAGGAAGCAGATTGCTGCTCCAGTTTCCTGGAGACAGCCGAAAAACTGTGAGTGTCCAAAGTGTGAAAAGACGATCGTTGGCCCCTGAACACACATCCTCCCTGGGGAATCTGAGGGTCCAGATCAAGGGAAAAGGATTTGACCTTACCTGGAGCTGAGATTAACATAGCGAGCCAAGCAAAATACAGGAGTAGAGGAAGCAGCAGGAAGAACCCTGTGGGCTCTCTCCGTCCCTGGGGAGGCCATTTCTGACTTTGTCTCACAGGGGTCCTTGGGGAGAGCTGCCAGTGGAATTAGGAAAGACTACAAGGAAAAGGAAACTTCCAGCTGAACTTTGTAACAATTTCGACAAAACGTGGTTTCTTGGACAGAGCCCAAGGAAGGAGGCAAACCTGGAGTGCAGACACGGTACAGAAGCTGTGGCAGGCAAGGAGGTGAGAAACCTGAAAGCCCTGCTTGCTTTCTCAGCAGGGAGGCTTGTATTGTAGCTTGGGGCAAGTTCTCAGCCCTGCCCATCGCTGCCTGGAAATAAACTTGGTACTGCTGGGTGTGCACAGTGGGAGTGAGACTGGCCTTTTGGGGTGCATGGGAGTTGGGTGAGGCCTGTAACTGCCGGCTCTCCCCAGCTTCCCTGGTGACCTGCATGATGAAGCAGAGGCAGCCATAATTTCCTTGGGAACCTAGGTCCATTGGCCTGAGAATCCCACCCCCATCATCCACAGCAGCCACAGCAAGCCCTACCCAAAGACAGTGTCAGATCAGACACACCTAGCCCCACCCGATGGGTTTCCTTTACCTACCCTCGTAGCTGAAGACAAAGGACAAAGTCTGTTGGGAGCGCTATGGCCCTGCCCACTGTCTGAGAAACTTATCCAGGCAACTCTACGGCAAGCTTGTATCCTCCCTACACTACCGCAGTTTATGCTCTCTTGAAAGCGCCACCTCCTGACTGGAGGCCAACCAACACAAAATTGGTGTAATAAAAATACAACCAAAGGCCCTCACGTCACTCCCCTGGTATCTCCACTGCAGCAGGTACTGATATCCACGGCTGGGAGACCTTAAGATGGATCACATCACAGGACTCTTTGCAGACACTCTCCAATACCAGCATGGAGCCCAGTAGCTCTGCTGGGCAGCAAGATCCAACAGAGAAATAATAATCACTGCAGTCTGGCTCTCAGGAAGCCACATCCTTGAGCACCCACAACCAGGGAGCACCCCATGGGGCAGAAAACTCTGAACAGCAGTCCTTGAGCCCCAGATCTTCCCTCTGACATAGTCTATCCAAATGAGAAGGAACTAGAAAAACAATTCCGGTAATATGACAAAACAAGGATCTTTAACACCCCCCAAAATCACACTAGCTCACCAGCAAGAGATACAAACCAAGAAGAAATCTCTGAATTTCCAGAAAAAGAATTCAGAAGGTTAATTATTAGGCTACTCAAGGAGGTACCAGAGAAGGGTGAATATCAACTTAAACGAATCAAATAAATGTTACAAGATATTGATGGAAAAATCTCCTGAGAAATAGATACCATAAATAAAAAACAATCACAATTTCTGGAAATGAAGGACACACTTAGAGAAATGCACAATGCACTGGAAAGTCTCAGCAATAGAAATGAATAAGCAGAAAATAGGACTTCAGAATGTGAAGACAAGGCTTTTGCATTAACCCAATCCAAAAAAGACAAAAAGAAAAGAATTTTTAAAAATGAACAAAGCTGCCAAGAAGTTTGGGATTATGTTAAATGACCAAACCTAAGAATAATTGATATCCCAAGGAAGAATAAAAATCTAAAAGTTTGGAAAGAATATTTGAGGGAAAAATCAAGGAAAACTTCCTCAGCCTTGTTAGAGATCTAGATATCCAAATACAAGGAGCTCAAAGAACACCTGGGAAATTCACCACAAAAGGATCATCACGTAGGCATATAGTCATCAGATCATCTAAAGTAAAGACTAAGGAAAGAATCTTAAGAGCTGTAAGGCAAAAGCATCAGGTAACCTATAAAGGAAAGCTTATCAAATTAACCACAGATTTCTCAACAGAAACCCTACAAGCTAGAAGGTATTGGGGTCCTATCTTTAGCCTCCTTAAACAAAATGATTATCAGCCAAGAATTTTGTATCCAGAAAAACTAAGCATCATAAATGAAGAAAAGATACAGTCTTTTTCAGATGAACAGATGCTAAGAGAATTTGCCACTACTAAACAAGCACTACAAGAACTAGAGCTCTAAATCTTGAAATAAATCCTCAAAATACACCAAAACAGAACCTCCTTAAGGCATAAATCTCACAGGACTGATAAAATAATAACACAATGAAAAAAAAGCACAAGGTATTCAGGCAACAAACAGTATGATGAATAGAACAGTACCTCACATCTCAGTACTAACCTTGAATGTAAATGGCCAAAATGCTCCACTTAAAAGATACAGAATGGCAGAATGGGTAAGAATTCACCAACCAAGTATCTCTTCTTCAAGAGACTCGCCTAATACATAACGACTCACATAAACTTAAGGTAAAGATGTAGAAAAAGAAACTTCATACAAACAGACACCAAACACAAGCAGGAGTAGCTGTTCTTACATCAGACAAAACAAAGTTAAAAGCAAGAGCAGTTAAAAAAGACAAGGAGGAACATTCTATAATAATAGAAGACCTTGTCCAACAGGAAAATATCACAATTCTAAATACAGATGCACCTAACACCAATGCTCTCAAATGTATAAAACAGTTACTACTAGATCTAAGAGATGAGATAGACAGCAACACAATAATAGTGGGGGACTTCAATATTCCACTGAAAACACTAGACAGGCCATCAAGACAGAAAGTTTACAAAGAAACAATGGACTTAAACTTTCCCCTAGAAGAAATAGATGTAACAAATAATTACAGAACATTCTACCTAACAACTGCAGAATATACATTCTACTTAGCACATGGAGCATTCTCCAAGATAGACCATATCATAGGCTACAAAACAAGTCTGAATAAATTTAAGAAAATTGAAATTATATCAAGTACTCTCTCAGGCCACAGTGGAATAAAATTGGAAATCAACTCCAAAAGGAACCCTCAAAACCTTACAAATACATGGTAATTCAATAACCTGCTTCTGAATGATCACTGGGTTAACAATGAAATCAAAGGGGAAATTTAAAAATTCTTTGAACTGAACAATAATAATGACATAACATATCAAAACCTCTGGGACACAGCAAAAGTGGTGTAAGAGGAAAGTTTGTAGCATTAAATGCCTACATCAAAAAGTCTAAAAGAGCACAAACAGACAATCTAAGGTCACACCTCAAGGAACTAGACAGACAAGAACAAAGCAAACCCAAACCCAAGGGAAGAAAAGAAACAACCAAGATCACAGCAGCACTAAATTAAATTGAAACAAACAAAAACAATACAAAAGATAAATGAGACAAAAGGCTGGTTCTTTGAAAAGATAAATAAAATAGATAGACCATTAGTGAGATTAACCAAAAAAAGAAGAGATAAGATCAATAAGCTCAATTAGAAATGAAACAGAAGATATTACAAATGATACCACAGAAACACAAAAGATCATTCAAGGCTACTATGAAAACCTTTACACACATAAAGTAGAAAACCTAAAGGAGATGGATAAATTCCTGAAAATATACAACCCTCCTAGATTAGACCAGGAATAAATAGAAACTCTGAACAGACCAATAACAAGCAGCAAGACTGAAACTGTAATTTAAAAATTGCCAACCAATAAAAAAAATCCAGGACCAGAAGGATTTACAGCTGAATTCTGTCAAACATTCCAAGAATTGGTACCAATCCTTCTGACAAATATTCCAGAAGATACAGAAAGAAGGAATCCCCACTAAATCATTCTATGAAGCTAGTATCACCCTACTACCAAAAACAGGAAAGGACATAACAAAAAAAGAAAACTACAGACCAATATCCCTGATGAACATAGATGCCAAAATCCTCAACAAAATACTAGCTAACCAAATCCAACAGCATATGAAAAAGGTAAACCACCATGATCAAGTGGGTTTCATATCAGGGATGCAGGACTGGTTTAATATACACAAGTCAATAAATGTGATACACCACATAACTAGAATTAAAAACAAAAACCATACAATAATCTTTAAAAACATGGAGAAAACATCTGACAAAATTCAGCATCCCTTAATCATTAAAACCCTCAGCAAAATTGGCATAGAAGGGAAATACCTTAATGTAATAAAAGTCATCTATGACAAACCAACAACCAACATTATACTGAACGGGGAAAAGTTGAAAGCATTCCCCCTGAGAACTGGAATAAGACAAGGATGCCTACTTCTATTCAACCACTTCTATTTCTATTCACCACTTCTATTCCACATAGTACTAGAAGTCCTAGCCAGAGCAATCAGACAAGAGAAAGAAATCAAGGGCATCTAAATCAGTAAAGAGGAAGTCAAACTGTCACTGTTTGCTGATGATATGATCATATACCTAGAAAACTCTTAAGACTTATCCAAAAAGCTCCTAGAACTGATCAATGAATTCAGAAAAGTTTCAGAAAACAAAATTAATGTACACAAATAAGTAGTACTGCTATACACCAACAATGATCAAGCTGAGAATCAAATAAAGAACTCAACCCCATTTACAATAACTGCAAAAAAAAAATAAAAAATTTAAAAAATCAAAATAATTAGGAATATTCCTAACCAAGGAGGTGAAAGACCTCTACAAGGAAAACTACAAAACACTGCTAAAAGAAATCATAGGCCGGGCGCGGTGGCTCACGCCTGTAATCCCAGCACTTTGGGAGGCCGAGGCGGGCGGATCACGAGGTCAGGAGATCGAGACCATCCCAGCTAAAACGGTGAAACCCCGTCTCTACTAAAAATACAAAAAATTAGCCGGGTGTAGTGGCGGGCGCCTGTAGTCCCAGCTACTTGGGAGGCTGAGGCAGGAGAATGGCGTGAACCCGGGAGGCGGAGCTTGCAGTGAGCCGAGATCCCGCCACTGCACTCCAGCCTGGGCGACAGAGCGAGACTCCGTCTCAAAAAAAAAAAAAAAAAAAAAAAAAAAAAAAGAAATCATAAACCAACAAACTAATGGAAATACATCCCATGCTCATGGAGGAGTAGAATCAATGTTGTGAAAATGACCATACTTCCAAAAGTGATCTACAAATTTAATGCAATTCCCATCAAAATAGCACTATCATTATCCACAGAACTAGAAAAAAAATCCTAAAATTCATATTGAACCAAAAAAAGCCCACAGAGCCAAAGGAATACTAAGCAAAAAGAACAAATCTGGAGGCATCACATTACCCAACTTCAAACTATACTATAAAGCTATAGTCACCAAAACAGCATGGTACTCATATAAAAATAGGCACATCGACCAATGGAACAGAATAGAGAACCCCAAAATAAAGCCAAATACTTACAGCCAACTTATCTTTGACAAAGCAAACAAAAACATAAAGTGGGGAAAGGACACCCTTTTTAACAAATGGTGCTGGGATAATTGGCAAGCCACAAGTAGAATTAGAAACTGGATCCTCATCTCTCACCTTAAACAAAAATCAACTAAATATGGATCAAAGACTTAAATCTAAGACCTGAAAAACATAAAAATTCTAGAAGATAACATAGGAAAACCCCTCCTAGACATTGTCTTAGACAAAGATTTTATGACCAAGAACCCAAAAGCAAATGCAAGAAAAACAAAGATAAATAGATGGTACTTAATTAAACTAAAAGCTTCTGCACAGCAAGAGAAACAATCAGCAGAGTAAACAGACCACCTACAGAGTGGGAAAAAATCTTCACAATCTGTACATCTGACAAAGAACTAATATCCAGAATTTACAAGGAGCTCAAACAAATCAGCAAGAAAAAAAACAATCCCATCAAAAAGTGGGCTAAGGACATTAATAGGCAATTCTCAAAAGAAGATACACAAATGGCCAACAAACGTGAAAAAAAGTGTTCAACATCACTAATGATCACTGAAATGCAAATCAAAACCATGATGCAATACCACCTTACACCTGCAAGAGTGGCCATAATCAAAAAATAATAGATGTCGGTGTGGATATGGTGAAAAGGGAATACTTTTACACTACTGGTGGGAATGTAAACTAGTACAACCACTATGGAAAACAGTGTGGAGATTCCTTAAAGAACTAAAAGTAGATCTACCATTTGATCCAGCAACCCCACTGATGGCTATCTACCCAGAGGAATAGAATTCATTATACAAAAAACGTACTTGCACATGCATGTTTACAGCAGCACAATTCGCAATTGCAAAAATATGGAACCAGCCCAAATGCCCATCAATCAGTGAGTGGATAAAGAAAATGTTATATATATATATATGTATGTATACACGCACACACATATAGATATATAGATATATGGATAAAGAAAATGTTATATATATATAAAACATTTTATATATGTATATATACATATACACACACATATATATACACACGCACGTGTATATGTATATGTGTGTGTGTGTGTATGTATATACACACACACATACATGCATACACACACACCATGGAATACTACTCAGCCATAAAAAGGAATGAAATAATGGCCTGCACAGCAACCAGGATGGAATTGGAGACCATTATTTTAAGTGTATTAACTCAGGAATGGAAAACCAAACATCATATGTTCTCACTCATAAGTGGGAATGAAACTATGGAGATGCAAATGCATAAGAATGATACAATGAACTTTGGGGACTCAGGGGAAAGGGTGGTAGGGGGATGAGGAATAAAAGACTATTATATATTGGGTACAGTGTACACTGCTTGGGTGATGGGTGAACCAAAGTCTCAGAAATCACCACTAAAGAACTTATTTATGTAACCAAACACCACTTGTTCCCCAAAAACCTATTGAAATAAAAAATTTTAAAAAAGAAAAAAGTCACTGTGTATAGGCCACACGTCAAGATTGGGGAGTTATGTTTTATTTCCTTGAGAGAGGAATAGCTACATAAATTATTTAGAATTGTTTATTCTCCCCTATTTATTTACTTATTCAATCATTTCTGTATATCAGTATGGATGCATAGATATTTATTTTATACTTTGGGTATGATACTACTTTGTTTATTCTATTGCTCAAATTGCTTCAGCTTTAACCATTGGGAACTTTTTCAGTTGGTTCTTGTGTCCCTTTGACATAGCCCCATCGTTGCAGATTTTTTTTTTAACACATCCTTACTTTCTGGCATTACAAGATGCTCAAGTTCATCTTGTATATTCCCATGCTAATTTTTTTCTCACGTTTCCACAACACTAACACTGTATTTTGATATAATACTATATCCCAGCAGACTTCAAACAAGTTACCAAAATAATGCATTTGATCAAATTCCCAAGAACCGTTTAAGTTCACATCTGGTAACTAATAGAATAAATCGGAAACAACAAAATAACAGCAACAACAAAAACCATGATCATAGTCCAAAGACATGCCAAGAATTGCACAAATATCCAAAAAATATAAGACACTAGGGAGCATTCTTTCTGAAAAACAGATCTCGGAACTTCTGTTTCCAAATAGTCGATTAAAGATCCTGACAGACTTTTCTGCTAACAGTCATTTCTGCTAAAATGGAGGGTAATATTTAGAGTATCATTTTAAACATATCTATAACCTGTCAAAGAAGTAAGAAATTTTAAGATTCTAGTAACTAAGGGAAAGAGGGAATACAGAGCAATTAGCCAAACTAAGAGCAACTTACATTTTGAAGGCTGATTCTAGGTTAACTGGAACTTCAGTTTTCAAGGCCTAACAAGCTATAGAAGACAGGAGACAAAGACCAGGGCCCACCCACCATGTATATAGCTGGTGCCCTAAAGAGCTATATCATCTGTGTTATGGTGAGCTACAAATAAACACATCCTTCTCCTGTTCCCAAAGGGACAGCAAGGGAAATTATCTTCAATGTTGGTGCTGGGAAAAGGAGAAAAAAAATCTTCCTTGAAAACTGGTAACAACAAGTTGGTCCTGCATAGGTTATAGTCCAAATTCACTCTACTTTGTAGATATAAAGAACCACAAATTCAGAATTTTCTTTAAAGTGATCCCAAGTTGGTAATGTCTCCAGTTGATCAACAGAAAAAATGTAAATCATCTCTGGAGAAATACACCTTTAAACCAATCCTCAAAAACTTTACTCAGATAAAATTCTAAGGAATTGGAAATCATGATTTAATAAAATTCCCAACAGAAACAAGGAAATAAGGCAACATGAACAACCGCCCCTGCTCCCAAAAAACCATCAGCTATTGGTATTATGAGAAAAATTATAAATCAATGTATGTTTTACATGTTTAACAAAATAAAGAGGGCAATTTTAAACATATGATTGAAAAAAAGAGACGTTTTAAATGACCAGATATTTATAAAACAGTAGAACTTCAAGAAAATAAAAATATAATTATTAGAATTTAAAACTCAATAGAAGAGTTTAATAGAACTTAAGTGGAGATGAAGAATATTAATGAACAAAGAAATCTAAAGAAATGTCTATAACACAGCAAAGAATGACAGAGTCGAAACTATAAGAGAGAAGTGAAAGCCATGAAAGACAGTATGAGAAGCTCAAAGTTCTAAAATGGAAAATGAGTCAGAAGTACCTTTGAAGAGAATGGCTGAGAATTTTCCATAAATGAACTTATTCAACCTTCTTATCCAGGAGGCCTAACAGTACAAAACAGAATGAATATAAATAATTCCACACCTAGACACATTATGATGAAAGTACACAACACCAGAGGCAAAAACAAGTAGCCAAATAGAAAAGACAGCCACCTAAAATGAAATAACAATTAGACTATGAGATGACTTCCTCAAAGCAACAAGGCAAAAGACTGCGAAATTGTATGTTCAATGTGCAAAAAATTTAAAAAAAAAACATTCGCAGCTAGAGTTGTACACTCAGCAAAATACATATCAGGAGCAATATCTAAAGATCTTTGCAAACAAATATAAATTGAGACTTTGCTTCCAACTGACACTTAACAGGAAATTTCTGAGTGTTGTACCTCAGGTAGAAGGAAAGCAATCACAAATGGAAGATCTGAGATGCAAGGAAAAGGAGTAATGGGCAAAGAAAATGATAATGAGATGAGTAAATCATTGATTGTGTAATCATAGCTCTTGCAGAGACAGGGTGAAAAATAGACCTAAAAGACTAACCACTGACTGCTAATAGTCAGCAGGCAGGTGATTGGTGTTAGAGTGATTTAAGAACCTGATATTGTTTACAATGTTGATAAAGATATTAATTAAATGTAAACTTTGATAAGTTAGGTATACATGCTAAAATGATTAAGGTAACCAATCAGAATACCAGTATAACAGACAACCTTCCAACAAGTAGAAAATATGGAATAAGAAAAATATTTCACCTATCTAAAGAAAGGAAGAAAAGATTACAAAAGAAACATAGAAAAGGTGGGAGAAAAGAAAGGACAAAATCAGGTGATAGTAATAATCCAGATTTATCAGTAATAACAAGTGCAAAAAGGCTAAAAGAATGCAAAAATAATGTCTCTACTATTTCAGCTACATTTTTAAAAAAGATAATGCATAATATCATCAAAATATGTTACCTAGTAATAAATCTAGCAAAATTTAGGTAAGAGCTTTACAAAGATATTTATAAATTTATCAAAATACATAAAGACTGTAAATGAAGATATATGCCTTGTCATGGAAATTAATTGAGTGTATGTATATATGTATACAGACTCATATGTAATATATATACACACACTCAGTATAGCTGTTGTTGCTTTAAACTGCTATATAATGCTCCATGCTTATTTTTCCCTATATAATTTTTTCTTGCTATTTAGAATGTCATATTTTTAATATTTTATAGTGGGTTGTTTTTACAATATAATAAATATTATTCATTTGTATTTATTTTATGTCTGATCATTTTACTTAATATCCTTAATATTTCTAAGAGTTTTTCATTCATTTTTTGTTGTTACAAAGCATATAATCTTATGGTCTGAAATAATCACCTTTCTGGTTATCACATCTCATTTTATTTTTTATATCTTATTTTATTGTGATGTTATGATATATGTATACAATGTGGAATGACAAGCTAATCTCATATCCATCACCTCAAATACTTATGATTTTTTGTGGGGAGAACATTTGAAATTTGCTCTAAGCAACTTAGAAATATACAACACATTATTACTAATTATAGTCACCTGATTGTGACTCAAAAGATAATAGATCTCAAAAACTGTATTCCTGTGTTTAGCTGAAACTGTATCATTTGATCATCGTCTCTCCATTTCCACTACTCTCAGCCTCTGGTAACCATCATTCTACTCTTTGCTTCTATGAGTATGACTATTTTATTTACACATGTAAGTGAGATCAATCATACAGTATTTGTCTTTCTATGTCTGGCTTATTAATACTTAACATAATGTCCTCCAGGTCCATCATCCATGTTATCAAGAATGACAGATGCCCTCCTCTTTAAGGCTATATAGCCTCAAAATTCTAATGTGTGTATATATATAGTGGCAAATCAGTTCCCCTAAATTTCCCTACCCTAAATATTTTTAGTGTCTGAATATTTAACAGCTCAGAGTGGTAAATTTATTGCTAAACTTTTATAACTTGTTGTTAACCTAAGTTTACAAACAGGTATTAGTAAACCAATCTGAACTAGCCTATGGTCTCTCAGACAATTAATACTGCTGTTTACACACGACATTCATTAACTTTATACAACCTAGAGATCAACCAAACCATCAGATCTCATAAATCAACATTTTGGATTGTTGAAAAGCAATAACTAGAAATGTTGATAGTGAAACATGCAGAGGGAATTTAGGTATAATTTTTAAAATAGTCAAAATTCTTCACCAAGTAAGCCAAGTATATAATGTATCATACTTGAAATTATCGTCCTGTCACAAATTTCTCTGCCAGAAGCCACAGGTGGGCCAGAGCTAACAACCACAAACAGCTAACATTTAATAACTCCTTGCTGGGTGCCAGGCATCTCACTAAGCTCTATTTAACTGCAACACAATCTCTATGAGTAAGGTACTATTATTATAGGTGACGAGATTAAGGCTTAAGTTAATTAACTTATCTAAGGTCAGAAATGTTCTAAGTGATAGAATTCAGATTTGAGCCCAAATTTATTTTTCGATAATAATCATTGAGACCTACTATATGCCAAACCTTGTACTAGATATGGGGGATCCAGAGGTGACTAAGACAAAGAAGGCTATTTTCATGTGGTTTTTGTTATAACACAGGGAAATTGATATTAAGCAAGTAACAGATAACTGTTCATATGTATATATGCAAACACACATATATAAGTATTTCATAAGATGAGAAAGCTATTAATATTATCTTATTTCAGGATACTGAAATAGAACCAGACATACTCATCTAAAACACAGGGAATGAACAGGGATATATATCCTCAATTAAAATTAATTGATTTAAAAGAGTTCAAAGGAAAAGAGCCACTGAGAACAGAGATTTCATTGTTCAAAAAGAGAGATAACTTAACTAGAAATTCTTTAAAGTAGCAATATTGGTTTAAATCATCTCCTAGAAACTGTTAACACAGCTATTAAAGAAAACAAGAATAGTCTGTAGTCTGTTCTGCTCATCTGGGGCTACTTCCCCCTCCCCATCCCTGCTCCCTGTCTCTACACCCAATTCATCACTTCACAGTAGTCCATCCAAGAGACGATGAACACAAAGATGGTTCTGGCAGCCTTTCCTGGCAAGGTGAAGGTGGAAAAATAATTTAGCCATTGATGTCAAAGGAATACAGGAGTTCAGAATGATTCTGGTAAGAAGTAAAGGAACTTAAAATTTCCATCTCAGCCTCATAATTTGGAAGTAAACTTCCTCACTCCACGGTGCAGTCCTATTTCTTTCCAGTTATTATTAAAGTTCTTTCCTCTGTCAATCAACCTCACTTCAGTTGAATGTAAGCCATGTGGATTTCATCAGGACCTCTATTATAAACAGAATATCAAGGAAACTATTCTGTTAGGTTTTAAAATATAAACATTGTATGCTCTGGGGAAGAGTGACCCTGCTATAGTGTGTAAGAAGGGAAATTTGTTTTATGCTCTCTAGCACCTTTGTTGTTAAAAGCGAAATGGTACAATGGCAGTAATAAAGATTAGACTTGATGGTGAGATGATTCTGATGCGCCGTTTACATCACAATGCCAGAGGCCACTGTTGCCACTTCCCAGCAGGAAGAAGAGTGTGTTTGGTTTCCCTCCAGGTAGCTTAGTTTCTAGTAAGAAGTTACTGAGTTTTACCACATTTGGTTTTGAGATTCTGTTCTTGAAGTATGGAATGCCAAAATGCCTTCAGTCATTTTTTTCAGCAGCACAAAATCCCACTGAATATCTCCTAACAGAGAGCACCAGTTAGGCCTTCTATGATTCTTTGCATAACCCTAAGGAGACTCCCCATTCCTAATTTAAAGGAATTAGTGTTCACCCTAGATAAATCAATACTGACCAACAAATGTTAGCATAAACATACACTTATTTATTTATCTGCCCCCTATTTTCAAAAGTAATTTAAGGCAGCTTAAAATAAAAAGAACATAAAACATTGGTATCCTTTCAGTGCACTTTTATTCAATCCTCAATAATAAATTTCACAGTATAAACAGTTATTATTGTTGTTGGTTTTTCTGGGTGATGTCTTTTTTTTCTTCTTAAAATCAATTTACTTACCTAATTTATTAAATGTGTATTACCTTAGCATCTTTCAAAAATAAATTAAACAATAAGAGGTCATACAACTAAAAGTCTCTCTCCTGCTCCTGTTTCATATTCACCTAGTTTCCTCTTCCTAGTCTCAATTCATCCTAACAGGAAATTTCTTATTTATCCTCTGTGAGTTTCCTTATGCATAATAAATATATATGTAAACTAAATACATGTATGAGTATATATGTGTGTACATATACACATGCATACATATACACACATTAATATATAAAAACATTTTTACACCATGCACTTCATTTGACACATGCTTTTTTTCACATATGTATTTTGGAGGTTTTCCTTCCAGATAAGGGAGTGACATTATTCCATTTTACAATTGAATAGTATTACATTACATAGATGTACCTTAATTTATTTAACTAGTCCCTTTTAAAAAGACATTAGGTCACCAAGCAAATGTCCATAACTTTATATTTTCATGCATTTTATATAATTTATGCATGTAATTTTGGTAACTATTGCTGAGTTACTTTCCATAAATGTTTGCCAATTAACACACCAACAGGAGTAAACACACCTGTCTCCCCACATCCTCTCCCATAATGTAATATCAACCTTCTATTGGATTGTTGGTCTTTTTTTTAATTATTTCTAGGAACTCTTGATATATTAGGGACATTGGCTTTTTTTTTCACTGATAGGAATTGTGAGTGGTTTTTTTTTCCTATTGTGTTGTTCATCTTTTTACTTTACCTAAAGAATTTTATTTTGTTTTCACTATGCAGAATATCTTTTTTCTCTTGTATATAATCTAATTAATTTATCAATCTTTGTTTATGGCTTCTAGATCTTAAGTCACACAAAGGTCTTCCCTACTCTAACATTAAAAATGAATTCTGCTACATTTTCTTTTATTACACTTATGGTTTCAGTTTCACATTTAAATTGCTGATCCATTTTGAAGTTTATATGGTGTATGGCATGAAGTATGAATTCAATTTTACTTTTTTCTAGATGGTTACACAGATGCTCCAACAATATTTAATGAAAAATTATTATTGTCATTAATTTGAGATGTAACTTAGACTTTTTCATCTATTTTATTGATCCACCTACGTCTTCTTATGCCCTAATCACAGTTTAATTATTGAAGTTCTATTAATATACTATATTAGCTGGGATGTATAATCTACCCTTATTGTGTTGTTCTTTTAAAATTTTCCTAGCTCTTTTGTGTGTTTGTTTTGTTTTCATTTGAACATTAGAATTACTTTCAAAGTTTAAAAATTTGTGGGCTGGGTGCAGTGTCTCCCGCCTGTAGTCCAGCACTTTGGGAGGCTGAGGCGGGTGGATCACCTGAGGTCAGAAGTTCAAGACCAGCCTGGCCAACATGGTGAAACCCCATCTCTACTAAAAATACAAAATTAGCCAGGCATATGGTGGGTGCCTGTAATCCTAGCTACACGAGAGGCTGAGGCAGGAGAATCGCGTGAACCCGGAACCCGGGAGGCGGAGGTTGCAGTGAGCCAAGATCACGCCATTGCACTCCAGCCTGGGCAAAAAGGACAAAACTCTGTCTCAAAAAAAAAAAATTGTTGTATAATTTCAAGAACATGTTAAATCTATACACTAATTCAGTGTGCTTTGACATCTTGGTAACTATCAAGACTTCCTATCTAAAAACATAGTATACTTTTGTATACTATTTTTGTATTCATGTCTCTTTTGTGCCCTTCAGAAGTATGTTTAGGTTTTATTTATAAGCTGGGCTTGGTGGCTCACAACTGTAATCCCAGCACTTTGGGAGGCCAAGACAGGCTGACAGCTTGACCTCAGGAATTCAAGACCAACCTGGGCAACATGGAGAAACCACGCTACTACAGAAAAATTTTTAAAAACTAGCCAGGTGTGGTGACATGCACCTGTAGTCCCAGCAACTCTGGAGGCTGAGGTGGGAGGATTACTTGAGCCCATGAGGTGGAGGTTGCAGTGAGCTGAAATTGCACCACTGCACTCCAGCCTGAATGACAGAGTGAAACTGTGTCTTGAAAAAAAAAAGTGTTATTTATATATGTTTCCCATACTTGTTGGCATATTTACTCCCAGTTTTTTTTCTATTTGTTACTATAGAAAATGGAATCTTCTATTGTAGTGTCTGAATTTATTAATCACTTATTATATGTCAGGTACACTGGTGAACATTGAGTACATCACAGAACAAAATGGGAAAGATCTCTGCCCTCATGAAGCCTATAGTAGTGGTAGAACCATACAGTAAATAAATAATTATTTGATTATTGGATCAAATAATTACCAATAATCAAATAATTGCAATTATTTAATTATTGGATCAAATAATTACCAATAATCAAATAATTACAAATAAAGCTTGTGAGAAGAAGTAGTGTGACTGCTATAAATGAAAACATAATCTAGACTGAAAGGTCAGATAAAATCTCTCTGAGGACATTATCCTTTAAAGTCAAAAGACATGGTCCAACCTGTATAATTAGGAAAGCTGAATAACTTATTGGGATCTATTTGTGCTCAGCATGACACAATTTACTATGTGCCTTTATATATTTGAACATAAGTTCTTGAAATATCAACATGTTCAGAGAAGAAAAATCCTGGTTGCATTGTCAGTACTCTTCAATATGCCTAGTTCCAGAAATGATAGTCTTAAAGTGAAGTACCTCAATCCTTATTAGGGTTGCTAGATAAAGTACATACTTACACAAATAATTATATTTCATTTATATGAAATTCAAATTTAACTAGGTATCCTGTATTTTTTATTTCCTAAATCTGAGACTCTTAAGCCTTATCAATAAGACAGTAAAAATAAGCAAAAGCATATTTTGTATAAAATAAAACTAAATATATGTCATGCAAAACAGTGAAAATGCATGAATTTTAAGATAAAAATAGGAAAACTTAAGTACGGAGTTGTGGCTTTTTGCAAAATATCTCCTGACCCCTGAGTAGTAGTACCTGTTAATTGTTCTCTTAGGTTGCTAGAGATATTTATGAAGAAAATTTCAAGAATAGCTAACAACTTTGAAAAGGCATCCTTATGGTTTTATATTGTTTGTTTGTGTGTGTGTGTGTGTGTGTGTGTGTGTGTGTGTGTGTGTGTGTGTGTTTAAGCAACAAGATTGGGGAGAAATATACCATAAGAAAAGTGAAGAGAAATTTTAAAATAAATAAATACAGGCCAAATTTATAAATTTGCTTAAAACCGGTTATTCTGCATAGACACCTCAGTAATTGTATCCAGGCATCCAGGCTCATTAACAAGACTGGGACACACCTGTTTGAGATCAACATTCAGGGAAAGGCATGAGGGTGAGATGTTTTAAACTATTTCTATTAAGGGTATGGTTACTCCTTGATGCATACAGGGAAGCACTGAGATAGGTGTTCTGGAAAATAGAGCCGAGGGTTCAGAGCTTAATGGAAGATAATGTTGCATTTGTAAGGGAGGCCCATATAGAAGAGGTGAGACAGATAAACTGATCACAGTAGAGAATGAAGAGGTGAACAGAAGGGAACTAGATGCCAGCTGGTTGAGAAAGGAGGTCAGAAATCACGCCAGTCAACACAGAGATCCTGTGGGGTAGAGGATACTACACAAGTCTGCAGTATTTTCTACTGAGCTTTGAGTGGATCCTTAGGGGAAGGGCTAGGAAAGACAAATTCAGACAACCTGGGCTAAACCGACCTCAACTGAACTAGGTAACATTTTAACTGAAATGCAATGTTTATGGTCTCAGGTACAATCAATAACATGAATTTCTCTAAATGCATAAAATAATCTGCTCTCTTACACAGCATAATCTTGTTTATATGACTAATTTACCTAAATTCTTCAAAAACTAGGCAGAAATTCACCACATTCCAGCCTTGTCTAAATGATTATAGTTTGTGAGTGTAATGCAGTTAACACTTTTTTTTACTCCACTATCTGGCTCTCTTGCTCTCCCCTTCATTCTAAGAGGCAGCAATAGTCTATTTTGCTACTTCTAAGTCTACCATCCTCTTTTATAAATTCAAGTAGTTGTGTTGGGCTGCCCCAGGATACAGTTATACTGTATCATTTTCATTTTCATACTGTTTCATTTTCACAAATGAAGGAAAGTGATGTTTTATTGAACAAGAAGCCATGTCAGTCTGTGATGGTCAGGATTTATTAGACTCTCATGCTGGTTATCTCTTCCTGCATACTTGGAATTGAACTTGCATTTGGCTGTAAATGACTTCCCTTGATGTTATTCCTGCAGAATCCCTAAAGCCAGGTGCTCCTTTGATTCAGAAAGTTCAAGAAGTCAGTATTCTTGAGCCACCTTTCAGGAGGGGTAATCCCTGTTTGCCTCCTTCCATCCAGAATATGTGAAGCCAGGCAATGCTACTCAGGCAGATTAGAGACATGGGAGCCAAGGGCTAGCAAGTAAGAGGACTTTGGTATCCAGTCTCTGATAGGTAGTAGCTGTCTGAAGCATGCCACTGAGAAAGATTCCAAAGCACACCCAAATTGCATGGGAAGGTGCACCACAATGGATAAATTATGTCTGCCATGGACACTAAGGGGAGGTGGCAGGATGTGGGTCATTATGCACATTACAGGCCACAATTGCCCCACAAATTACCTTCTGGAAAATTCTTAATGAGCACCCCAGACTCTGTTGGCTGGAAAAAAATATTGGGACTCCTGCATTCACACAGAAACAGAAAATAGTAAGGCGCTACATCCTATTGAGAGGCTATCCGCCCACCTTGGAAGAGGGCCCTGACTTTGAGGGGAGAAACATATGCCTTGGCACATATCTAGAAAGGAATGCTTAATTAAAGCAGAAAATTATTTGTGTATAGATTCCTGGTAAGCCGGGGAATAAAACTAAGAGAAGGAGGATATTTTTATTGCTAAAATTAAGGAAGCTTGCAACAAGCCAAACCTTTTAAATCCTGTGGCAGTTTATGATAATTATGTGGAAAACTCCACAAGGAAGAAATAAAAGAATTCCCTAGTGTCATGTGGCACCTCCTTCTCTCCCTTGCCATCATTTGAAGAACATACATACGTTTGCTTATTGGATTTTCACCTTTGTGGTGTTTCAATTCCCTTTTAGTGCTGTTGTGTTTTAATGGAACTTATATTATTTAATTAAATAATGAATTAAAATATTGGGATTTTTAGAAACTGGCAAATTTTAACAAAGAATGGTACTTATCCATGAGGCACCAGGCTTTTAATTTAGTAATTGGGCCTCTACTTCTGAATGATTCTATTTATGTACTGCACCATTACCTCAACACAAAGTTGATGTATGGGTCCAGTTGGTACGGATTGAACTCCAACAACAACACCAAAGTCCCAGACACTTGGCCCAATGTTCCTACCATGTGGCATCAGTGGCAACAGGCAGTTCTCTTGGCCAATCAGGGTGACTAACACATCACCAAATCTTTCCATACATTTTGCCAAACAGTGCACTTAGAAATTGCATCCACTTCAACATACCGTGTTGCAAAAGGAACAAAAAAGTATATAGAGTGTATTTTTTCATTTTGAGTTCTCATTTGTTATTTTGCATTCTTTTAGAATTTCAACATATTTTGGAGTGTGCAGCAGGAGAGGGAAGGGAGAAAAAGACGCAGATACTTCCCGTAGATACTGGAGTCCATTATTCCTGAGTCAGCTGAATGATGCTGGGAGTCAGTCAAACCCATCCCCTTACAGTATGATCGAGCCAGGACTGAGTTTGAAGAACCTAGAAAGTGGTAACAGAAGACCCACTGCAGACCAGAAGGGCTTTTCTGAGATCCACAGAGTAGGCTTAAGAGAGAAAGATGGGAAACATTACAAGGTAAAAGAAAGGATAAACGCAAGATTGCGCACCAAATCCTGAAACACGTGCTTGTTTTACAGGAATGCTTCAAGTGTGTTGAGAGATTCCAGGAATTTAGGTTTGCTAATTATTTCTGAGGTTTTGCCTTTATCTTGCAATTTGAAAGCACAATAGAAAAAACCCGGGGTAAAATTTTTTTATATTTTTCTGAACCCTAGTGTCTTTAAGCTTCTAAATTAAATGTGGGCCCTGGAGTCTAATAGTATCAAATGCTGCTTCAAACCAAAAAAGTTGCAGGAGCTCTCCTAACATCTATCACACTTTCCGCAACCAAACCTCCCTGACATGTGTTTGAGTCACCAACCACACCCCAGATCTACATGCGTAACCCCAAACCAGGTATATAATCCTGAGCTTGACCTCACAAAACATAAAACATTTTGGCAGCTTTGAAGATTTACCAGGGATCTTATTCAGCCACTACTTTCAGGTTTTGCTTGCAAATTTAGAGAGTGCAAGGCATAACTCCCTTCCAAATCAAACCAAGTAGGGTAAGATGCCTATCATAGCGTCTGGCCCATAAAGAGATGCTAAATATGCTGGTTAAGTAGTAATTACCACAATGCTGACTATTTTATGAAAATGCCCATGTAGCTTGGTAAGTTACCAGTACATTCAGCTTTTTAATTTTAGACTGGAGGGGTTTTTTGCTGATTTGTTTTGTTTTGTTTTGTTTCTTAGCAGTCTGTCTTCTCATAGACATGACCAAACAATGAATATCAGCCTGCATGGTAGGCTGACCAATCCATTGCTATTCAACTTCAGCAATCTAAATTCATGCCAGGTTATATGTGATTGCCTGATTCTAGTGAACCAGAGTCAGGATTTGAAAGTGACCATAGATAATATCAGAGATAAGTGACCATATCCACTCCACCTACTGTGCCTCCCTTTTCTAACTAATTGTAAACTCAGGAAGACCAAATGAGAGCGAATAGCAATGGCGGGGGTGAAGGGGTCAGTGTATCTGAGGATAGTCCCCTTACAGGGAAGGAAACTTGCACATGAGCTGCCCTACAGTGAAGCCAAAAGGAAAAGGACAGAGGTGTCCTGGGTGAAGAGCCTGGATTAGGCTTTCTGAAGATGGGTGAATGTGTCCACTAAAAGAGTCGTTTCCATTCTAACTTAGTAACAACTTGTGGCTCAAGGAGACTTGCTTTGGAACTTCCAAATAAACACATAGACAGGAGCCTCTCCTATCTTAACATTCAGCAACCTTACAGAGCAGTAAGCAGGGTTTCTCACCCTGCAGTGGGGGATCCATTCAGCAAGGCCAAAGGCACCTCTGCCGGTAGATTTCAGGCTTAGCTCACATTTAGAGCAGCAGAGCCTCCTCTGGGCCATGGTCAATAATGTGGCAACAGACAGGGACAACCCAGACCAATTCTGGAGGCATTTAAGACACCTCTTGGGACTCTAGAAATGGTGTGGGGAAAGTTTGGAGAAGGCAAGTGTTCTCATTTAACAGGATCTTTTGGGTTGCAAGCAATAGAAACCCAAAAGGTTTAGGCAAAACAAATGTATTAGCCCATGAGAAATCAAATGGGATGGTGCTGGTGCTGACATGGAACATGGCTGGAGGCAGGGTTTCAATCAATATTATTGGGCTTGCTCTCTCTCTCTCTCTCTCTTTTTCCTCTCTGCTCTGCTGTTTATCAAGAAGTCTTTCTATGTCAGCAAAATATCCACAGGGCTCTCATATCATCTTTGTATCCAGTGTTCCCAAGGAAAAGAGTGCAACCTCCTACAGTCCATATCAATTTTTAGACAGACTCAGATATGACTGGACTCTGCAATTTGCCCGTCCCCAAATTGACCAATTTTTGTGGCCAAGAGTTTGAATTACTGATTTTCCAGCCTAATTCTTGGTGCCTACCCCACGGTTAGAGTAGGTTATGCCTATAGGTCGAGAGCGTCCAGGATGGGAAGGGCCATTTCCCAAAAGGAAGGAAAGTAAAAAAGAAAACCAAAAAGTTACAAATGGTCTCTACACCATATGGGTAGATCGGGGCTTGGGGCTAAACAATTCCAAGATTAATTACTAAAATAACATCAACAACAAATCTGAGTACAAATGAGATATATTGTACTGCTATTTTTGAGCCGTTTTTACTATTTCATTGCTGATTGTCATCCTAGATCAGTCTCCCAAGCAGTATCTGCTTGTGTTTCTTGCTGTTATCTCTAGATCCAAATATGTTTTTTCTAAAATTTATGGTTTTATCCAAGCACTCCTGGATTGAATATACACATCTACTTTCTTTTCCTTATTAGGAGTAGTAAGACATTAATCTGGTCTCCTTGCTGGTTCTTATCATGAAAAGCAGCTTCTGCCTGAGGGCCTTTGCACTGGCTGCTCCCTGAGCTGGAACTGCTCTTCCCCCTGCTATCCTTGTTGCTAACTCCCCCATCTTCTTTAAGTCTTTACTCATCTTGACCAACCAATTTAAAAGTCTAACTTGCCTCCTTCACCCTAGCCTAACCCTACACTTCTGCTCTACTTCCCCTATTTTTCTAAGGTATGAATCACTTTCTAAAACATTATGAAATGTACCTATTAATTATTTTTCTTGTGCATTGTTGATCCCTATTCAAATGCAAGCTCTAAAGGAGAGGGACCTCTGTTCGTTGTATTCCAGGTACCCAGAATGGTGCCTGGTACCCAGTAGATATCCAATAAATACCTGGTAAATTAATTCTTCCAAAGCACAAAAAGCACTAGCAGATGATATTTAATGTTTTTGAGATTTTAGCACAGTACAAATGACAATTTAAATTTAATATTAGATGTATGTTCTTACAAGTAATTGAGGAAAGAATGACTAAGCAATTCCTGGCCACAGGGAATTTCTCTTCTTAGACTCCCGTTTACTGATCTCTCTCTATATATATATATACTTATAGTTCTGGGGTACATGGCAGAAAGTGCAGGTTTGTTACATAGGTATACACGTGCCATGGTGGTTTGCCACACCCATCAACCCATCATCTACATTAGGTATTTCTCCTAATGCTATCCCTCCCCCAGCTTCCCACCCCATGACAGGCCCCAGTGTGTGAGGACCCTGCCCCTGTGTCCATGTGTTCTCATTGTTCAACTCCCACTGACCTCTTAATCGGCTTCTTTTCACAAGTCTTCTCTTCTATCTGTCCCTTCTCTTTACCATTTCAAGTAAGTTCTGGAAAACCATAGATTCTTCTCCTTATTAGGAAGAACAATTAAGTCATCTCTTTTCTCACGTACCTGACTATCATACACCCAGGAAACCTCATCTTTATCAACCAAAATGTCCATCAAGTATATCGCAGTGTTTCCCAATAAAAGAATCCCCTAGCTGTGAGATGACACCAAAATAGTAACTGCAATGTAGTAGACTTAATGGTGACTTGTGTTTTCTTCTTTTTGTTTATCTTATTTTCTATTTTTTTCTAAAATAAACATGTAGTACTTGTGAAATAAAGGGAAAATGTTTAAATTATTCTATTCTGTAATATGAGTTTTTATATCTAGCAAGTAAGCAACTAGACCTTGAAACATGTGAGTCATACTTAAAATAAAGCACAGGTGTGCTAAACATAGATAGGAAATAATGGAAGGAGCAAATGAGGCAACTGCCACTCCTAGTCAAGACAAGGTAACATGAAGTAACATGGATCTCCCTCTTTAAAAAAACCAGACATAATTATGAATTAATTGTTTTTAGGTAGGCAGCACAGGACAGTTATCCTTTGGAATAGGAAAGCAAATGTGAAAATAGCAAAAGACTTGAAAATAGCTTATGAAAAGAGTTGCTAAGTCACACAGCAGAGAGGGAGTCTCAAACAGAGACCATAGGTTTCCCTGAGTTGAAGATATAGATTTGAAAATTCAGAGACCAAAGCAGCTAGAATTCAGTGGGTAGAGTACTAGAAAGGAGATCATTTCATAAAGGAGAAAACTTCATGGAGAGGAGAGGGCTTCATGGAAAGGTGAGAACTACAAAGAGAAAGAGCTAGAGATCTGCACAGAGTTCCCCTGAGTTTTTAGTTGAATAGTGGTCAGTGCATGTATGAGGAAACTGCCTGTTGCTGGGAAAAGGACCACAGGAAAGAAACAGGCAGAACAATACTCAGAGTTCACACAAAGCTTGGCAGAGCTTGTGTTCCCACCAGCCACAGAAAAAAGATTCATAACACACAAAGAATGAGGTAAAGTACTCAGAAAGGGGTTGCCTCTGTAGTAGGTAAAAATTAGCCCTAGACTAAAAAATACACTAAATACTATTCTTTTCCCACCTAGCAAAGCTTAAAAGCATGCCTTGAGAGAATCAAACTATTTCAAAGTAATGTAACTGCATCCTAGACCAAAGCTGAAGAATATTTTTTAAAATAGAAAAACATCCAGCACCCAACAAGGTAACATTCACAATATCTGGTATTCAATAAGGAATTGCCAGGCAGGCAATGAAGTAAAAAGAATGTAACTCATAACGCCCCCCACCCCAAAAGTCAATCAATAGAAATAGATTCAGAAATTACATAGATGACAAAACCAGTAGGCAAGGACATTAAAATAATTAATATAAATATATTCCATATGTCAAAGAAGATAAAGGAAAATATAAGCATAATAAAAAGAGACATGGAATGTTTAAAAAGTTTTAAAGACCAAAATTGAACTTCCAGAGTTGAAAACAATGATGACTAGATAAAATTAACAGTAGATTAGACACAGTAGAAGAAAAACTGTTAAACTTGAAGATAGAGAAATAAAAATTATCCAAAACAAAACACACAGAGAAGAGAGACCTAAAAAAAGATGAATAGCACATCAGTGAACTGTGGGACAGTGACTTTGATTAGCCAAACATACATGTAATTGGAGTTCTTAAAGAAGAGGAGAGATAGGAGAAAACTGAAACATTTGCAAAAATAATTACTAAATATTTTCAAATTTTGTGAAATCTATAACTACACAGATCAAAAAAGTACAGTGAACCCGAAGTATAAGAACAGAGAAGAAAACTATACAAAGGCAAATAATCTAATTGCTTAACAAGTAATAAAAAAACAACGTAAAAGCATCCAGAGAAAAAGACATGTTATATACAGAAGAACAAGAATAACAGACAACTTATCAGAATCAATGCAAGCCAGAAGACAGTGGAGCAACATAAGAAAAAGTTGTCAACATAGAATTCTATATACAGCAAATATATCTTTCAGAAATCAAGGTAAAACAAAGACTTTTTCAGATATACAAAAGCTGATAGAATTCACCAGCAGACCTTAAACACTCTCCCCCTGCTCCACCCACACACACACATATTAAAGGAAGTCCTTTATACACCAGGAAATTGACAACAAATGGAAATATGAGTCCACACAAAGAAATGAAGAACATTGGCAGTGGTAAGCACTGGGGTGCTTTTCTTTTCCAATTTTTCTTAAAAGATAACTGACTCATGAAAAAAAAATAATGACAATGGATTGTGAGGCTTACAACATGTAGAAGTAAAATATATGATAATAGCACAAAAGCTGGTGGGGAAAATAAAAGTAAGTTGTTACAAGGTTTTCTTACTGTATATGAATGATGTAGCTTTATTTGAAGATAAGACACTGTTAACAAAAATAAAAATTCAAGTTGCACACTAGAAGAAAAATAACTGACAAAGGACTTATATTGAGAGTATTAAGAACTCTTATCACATAACATTAAGACAAGCAGCTTCGTAAAAATGGGCTAAATATTTAAATGCACATTTCATCAAAGAAGAAACACCAAAAACAAAAAAGCATATGACTAGATGCTCAGCAGAGATTAGGGAAATGAAAATTAAAACCACATTGAGATATCACACACACACTAGAAACATACAATTAAGAAAACTGGTTATAACAAGTGTTGGCAAGATATTTAGTAATGGTATTCTAACATGTGGCTGCTGGAGTACAGAATGGTACAACACTTGAGAAAACATTTACCAGTTTCTTAAAACATTAAAATTGCCTACGATATGATCTGACCATTTCATTTCTAAATATTTTCCCAAAAGAAATAAAGGACTTGTTCTAAAAAGTCAGGAGGAAGTCATACACAAATGTTCATAGCAGCTTTATTTGTAAAAGCCAAAAACTAGAAATGACCCAAATGTCCATTAACAAGTGAACTAATAAGCAAATTTTGGTACATCAATACAGTGGAATACTACTCCGCAATAAACAGGAGTGACCAATTAACACTCACAACAACAAGGATGAATCTTAAAATAATTATTTTTATTTTCAGAGACAGGGTCTCACTATGCCACCCAGACAAGTCTCAAAGATCGGCCTCAGGAAATCCTCCTGCCTTGGCTTCCTAAAGTGATGGGATTACTGGTATTAGCCACCATGCCAGGCCAAAATAATTATGTTGATTTAAATAAGCCAGGCAAGAGAAGGAGTACTTTCTGTATATTTCCTTTTTTAACATTTATTTTAAGTTCAGGGGTACATGCGCAGGATGTACAGGTTTGTTCCATGGGTAAATTTGTGTCATAAGGATTTGTGGTACAGGTTATTTCATCACCCAGTATTAAGCCTAGTACCCATTAGTTATTTTTCCTGATCTTCTCCCTCCTCCCACCCTCCCTCCTTTGACAGGCCCCAGTGTCTATTGTTCTCCTCTGTGTATCATGTGTTCTTGTCTTTAGTTCCCACTTACAAGTGAGAACATGCAATATTTGGTTTTTTGTTTCTACGTTAGTTTCCTAAGGATAATGGCCTGCAGCTCCATCCATGTCCCTGCAAAGAACATAATCTCATTCTTCTTTATGGCTGCATAGTATTTTGTGGTATATATGTATCATTTATTTAAAAATTATGTAAAATACTAACTAGTCTGTAATTAGAGAAAGCAGATTCCTGGCTGTCTGAGAATAGTGGTTGGGGAGGAGAGAAAGATAGATTACAAAAGGACACAAGAATACTTTGGGGGATAATGGATATGTTCATTATCTTGACTGGGATTATGGTTACATATTTATATCCAAACTAATTAAATTGTACATGTTAAATATGTGCAGTTTGTGTCAATTATATCTCAATAAAATTGTTTTTAAAAACAAATTTTTAAGAATAAAAACACTTATGAGATATCAAATATTTTTGGCAGTTTAGCATTCTTCAGTCAGCCATTATTGACCTCATTCTGCCGGAAACAAGGAGATTAAAGCTTTAGCTACTCAGCATCACTTTCTGGCCTGTGTACTGTTTCTTGCGTCTTTCCAATGGAGCAAGTGTATGTTGACCGCAGGCACCTTCTGTGTACTGAGCCCCTTGCTCACCTGCAATTCTGGTCCTCATAACCACACAGTCAGCAGGGAAGGCTGATGCCTTCCAGTAGGAAGACAAGATGTATGAACATTGAAGACTCCAGCATTCAGGCAACAAACTCCTTCCACCCAACTGGATGCTATTCTAGGTGTGTCAAGTCCCACCCACCCACGCCCACCCCCACCCCCACCACCACCACCCATCCCTTTCTCCTTGTTTCTCAATATGTTTTAAACTGATTCAATATATATTGTGCCATTTATGCATCTTAATTTGATTGTGAGTCATTCTGTGTCTGTTCTGTGAAGCTACTGTTAATATCAAGGAATTTCCCACTGCAACATGTTCATTTAGGGGGTGAGCATCATTGAAAGAGTAGGAGGTTTTCCCCTGTATCAATTCATTTTGCCCTCTGACCCACTGAGTATTAAAATCTAGCCAGGGTAGTCAACTTCTTTCCAAAGATAGTCTATCTCTTTTGTCAAATAAACTCCTCAATGGGAAGAATTTTTCTGTGTTTTACTGTTTCTTCATGAATATACCTGAATCATTGGCTTTGAAAACAGAGAATGCTAGGTTCAAATACTATCTATTCTCTTGCTCTGATTACTAAAGTTTTCTGAAACTCATTATTAGGAATCTATTAGAAATCTAGATTTCTCAGATGTAGCAATCTATGGAATGGAAATTAAAAACCCTCCTCTGTGGAGCTGTAATGATCAAATGCCTTAGCATTTATTTTGTTACCTGGTATGGAGCATTACACATGGTAAGGAACCAACAAATGTTCACCCTATTTGTCTTTTTTCTTTTCCCCTTACCTTTGCAGCATTTTTGCTGAGTAGCTATTTCCTCCCTTTAATTTCAACTCCAGAAGTAGGCACAGCATCTCGGGCCTGCACACCATCTGCATCATCTTGTGTCCAGTTAGCTCATTCCTTCTCTCTGGGGCTCTGCCCTCCCACAGCCTCTGCCCAGGCAGGAAGCTGTCTTCACAGCCCACACACTTGTTCACTAAGAGCACTGAGAAAACACCAAGGCCCATGCTCTCTGCTTTTCCAGGCTTCATTCTCATCCTCTTCTCCCTCTTCTCCTGAAAAAGTTACATTTACACTTTGCCTAAGACAGGAATCAAAAGTCAGCATCACTTTCTGGCCAAACCAAAGGAACAACTGTATGATAAAAAGTGAAAGTTGAGGACTCTACAGTCAGTTATTTCAACATCACTGTGAGATGATTTTCTTATAGACTTTCTAAATTTCAGTGCTTTAGCCACTGCCATCCAACTTCTATGCAAAGAAATGTCTTGGCTAGCTTCTACTTAAGTGAAAGACTTACAGGATCTACTATAATCCTATCCAGAGAGGAGATGGCTTACAGGAGGTAAGAGCCACCTGGTGATTCAGTGAACTCAAATTCAAGAAGGTTTTCACCATTTCCCTAATTGGGCTTCTTGCTTCTAGGATCTCTTTTGTCTTCTCTGTGTAACTAGCCCCATTCTTGCTCCCCCAGATAACTGCCTCCCATTTTTTAATTTTTTCTCCTACTTAGATGAGGGGAAAAGCTCATTTAAAACAATTTATTTTGGATCCTTTCATTTCTGTCATTGTATGTACACACTTGCTATTTGTGTTTCATCTTTTCTAGGCAACTAGATTCATGATGTGTGACTGTCAAAAGTGGGAGATAAATTGAAGAAGGAGAAGGAAGAGGAGGAGAAGGGGATGGGGGATAAGAAGGAAGAGGAAGAAAGAGGAAGAGAAGGAGGGAAGGAGGAGAAGAGGAAGGAACAGCAGCAGCAACAAAACAGGAAATATATATGAGGTAAACAACTTCCTTTGGAATAAGAAATGTATACTGTTAATTTTTTGCCTAAATTAAAAAAAATTCCCCAGCTTTCTTTGGAATACTTATACCCTAAGGCACTACTTGCCATTTCTTTATTGTTTATTTTCACCCTTCGGCCCCGACCAGCCATCCGAGCTTCTGGAGTCAAAGCAAAAGGTACCAGATATCCCAAATTTTACCAATCCAGTTCAGATTGTATATTAGAATATCTCTCGAACACACACACACACACACACACACACACACACTTTTCTAAATGGGAAATAACAGCTTAGGTTTCCTCAAACTGTCCAGTTTAGGATTAAAATCTTGAGTAAAATTTGAAGTATAAAAATTGATATAACCTCACCTATCTAAATGCCTCCCTGCTTAATATTAATTTAAATAAAAGCCAGAAAATAAAACAAAAATTATAAAAGAAGTCTAGAAAACCTGAGCTTGATATTTTAACTTGTAGGGAGTAAAGTGTTCTTGTTTAACTCACCCTGTCCTTCCAAATTAACTATGCAATATATTTGGCAATCAGTTCTCAGATTAGGAAACTTGTAAGCTGAATTTTTTACCTTTTTCTTCCTTCTTTCTTTTCAAATAAAACTGCATTCATGAGTCACACTTCAGGATGAACTAAGTTGCCTTTAAAGTGGGAGTTAGATGAGCTAGGAAACTCTTTAGACCTCATGAGATCTGCAGTAGATCTTCAATTTAGTATATTAATGAATACTCAGGTAAACAATGATCCTGGGCCCACTTAGAAAAAAAGTCACAGAGATTTTGCCCTTCTCTGTAATTCTTATATATCTATCCGTCTCTCTCCTTCCATCTTTTCAGGAACAGAGAAGAGGTAGGATTAAAGTATGAAAACAAAAAGGGGACAATGTGGGAGACTTCCCCCAATTGTCTTCACCCACACTAACAAAGACCCCAGAGTTTGAAAGCAAGACTACATATATTAGCTATAGAATGAATTGTTGTTTTGGCAAACTAAATGGTTTGAACTCCCACCACTGATTTCAGAGAGCCAAAGAATTCCAGGCCATTATGGTAATGATGACATTGTTATTAGTTTTGGCTTATTAGAACTGGTAGCTATATGTATTTTTTCAATAGGCAGAGCCTGAAATTTTGCAAATTATTAACTATTAGTACTCCTGACTTTTTTAAGTGAGGATACAGCATAATGAAAAGGTTAGGATATGAATGACAAATTAGTTTTGTGAGTGAATCCTTTGTTTGATAGTCATGCTAGAAGTCAATTGCTTTTCATCGTTTTTGATTTCTTTTTCCAAGGGAAAGTTTAGAGAAAGAACTGATTCATAAAGGTATTCTTGAGAATCACAAGAATTTTTTGCTTTCGTCTGTGTTATTAAAAGGAAAAAAAATTCCAGATTGAGAGAATAATAATTGTAACACAAAAACAAGATAGAGATTCTGTGTTACTTTCTACGTGGACTACATTTTCCCATTTTATATACTCAGAGCAGCTTTCTCTCAGCTTCCAACAATCAGAGGACAAATTGAGGGAGACAAGAATAGGTCTGGCAAATATGACAAAGGACATGGAAGTACTTAAAGGGAAAATTGTGAAATGACAAAAAACTATAACAAGCCTGCAAAAAAAAAGGTAATCCTTCAAATAAGATAATTCAAAGATTGAAACTTGCATGGCTCAGAGATCTCATTTTTTTCTTTTAAAGGACCTTTATTTTTCTTCATTCCCTTGATATTTGAATAAAATTTTCAAAGCTAAGAAAGACTTATTGGCCGAACCAGGAAAACCACTTGAAGCAAAAGCATTTTGGTTACTCAGAGGTATTTAACGGAAAGATTAAAAACATAAGTCTTTTTTCAACCCATTGATTTTTTTTATTTAGTATGTTTTTACATTACTTCTCAACACAAATAAAAGTACTATTCTTTTTTCTTTTATTTGAGAAAATTTACAGTGTTTAATACTTTAGGCTTGTATTTCAACGTATTTTAGAGTTTTAGAGGTTTTTACATTTTAAACCTTTTAAAGGTGTTCTTACAAACAATCTTTATGAGAAGAGTAATTTTCACAAAATGTAGTTAATTTCAGCCTTTCTTTCAGGCCTTGGAAGAAAAGCATATATTTGTCATAGGCCTGACAAAGTTTCGCTATTTCCAGCCACTTTAGGGTTTTATATGGCTGGGAGGACTGGTAGCATCCATTCTTTCTAAATTATTCCATTTCATACTAAATGAATTTTGATTTGGAATCCAAGACACATTTCCTAAGTAAAGGTATAGTTTTGGCTGACTTTTCCTCACCACACTACAACTCTCATCCCATAGCTTTCATCTCGCACTTTCCTGAATGAATTTTTTTGTATTGGAAGCCATGTCATCAAAGTTCTGATTAGCCTAAGGATGTCTTAAATCTCCTTCTTTTAAAGAAAACCTAAGCTTCCTCAAATGTAAAGCAAAGCCAAATTCAAGGGTCCAAATTCTACTGTATTATTTCATTTTAAGAGATAAAACATGGTCTTCCTTTTCTTTTAATAAGTTATTGAAAAAGTAAGCATGTAAGTGAAATGCAAGACAATTATTGATATTTTTTTAAAACTACACAATTATACTCACCAGAAATGTCAGCTAAACTTATGTTTGTGGGTAGAACTTCATTTTTTAACTTTGTTTTCCAAATTGTTTTTAATATGTTTGTATTGCTTTTATAAGAAAAACACCCATAAAATGTTCAAATAAATGTTGACATACTAACTGTTAAACTTCCTCCCGTTTTTACTGTAATCTCTTGTTCATAATTGAGATGCAGTAAAACATACCAATGTGTAGTAAGGAGAGTAAAATTCCCTGAAGACCTTTAAGGTGTTTTATTATCTAACTTTATTAATACTTTTTGTTTTTTTTTTTTTTTTTTGAAATGGAGTCTCGCTCTGTCGCCCAGGCTGGAGTGCAGTGGCGCGATCTCGGCTCACTGCAAGCTCCGCCTCCCGGGTTCACCCCATTCTCCTGCCTCAGTCTCCCGAGTAACTGGCACTACAGGCGCCTGCCACCACCCCCAGCTAATTAGTTTTTTGTATTTTTTAGTAGAGACGGGGTTTCACCGTGTTAGCCAGGATGGTCTCTATCTCCTGACCTCGTGATCCCCGCCTCGGCCTCCCAAAACTTCGTGAAGACTTTTAAGGATAAAAAGCTTATTTTCCATAAACAGGAATACTAGCTTCTTGAAGTCCTTGAGGAAAGGAATAACTTTGCTAGGAAGAAAATATTCACCGGCATCTGGAGTGCGAGACTGGATGCCCCAAACACCCACAGCTTCTGCAGGACACACGTTCTCCCAAGAGCATAGGCTGGATGGGGGTTGCTACAGGTCATCCCAGCTGCCTCTCGACCTGCCTATCACTGCTGGAAACATCTGAAGCCATCTAGGCATTTTTCCAAGTTCCAAGTCTGCTCTTAGAGGAGGAACACAGTATCCATCAAGATACCAGCTCCATGACCTCAGTATCCTCAATGACCAGAACAGAGCCTGCCATTAGTAGATATTCTATATGTATGTGTTAGATGAATGATATCGAAAAAATGTGCAGGATTTCATTCAGGGTTGTTTGTTTCTTATTTTGTTTTGTTTTTCCTTTAGTCCATGTGTGCCCATTACAAAGTAAACTCTCTTAGGGGTAAAAATACAATCTTCTCAGTATCTAGTACTCTACTGGTTCATAAGTAATTTTAAGTAATATCCAAAATTCTTAAATTTCAGGACAGTACTATAGAAATAGGTAATATGTTTAATTGCTGAAAGTTGGGACATAAACTGCCTAGTTTCCAATCCCAGCTCCACCTCATAAGTTGTATGACCTTTGGACAGGTAACTTAACTTAAAACAGAGGAAGTAACTGAACTTCCCTCATATGATAGTTGCAAGAATTAAATAACTTAAAACATGAAAAATGCTTAGAGCAAACCAAGGAAATAGTGTTTGCTTTATTATTATTAATTTATCCTAGGTTTGAAGTCTTCTAAGAAACTAGCTTCTAAGTTTTTTGTTTGTTTACTCTCAGAAAAGCACAACTTCCTGTTTCTAAGCGGGGGGAAGCTTTTTTAAAGTTATAAAAAGACTCAAAGTCTTCTTGGACATCAAATAGCTCTTACAAAACAACATTTTGATGAGTTAAGTGTAAAAGAATCAAAAACATACGGATTAAATTTCCTTTATAATACACATGGGTTTAAAGTGAAGAGAAAACTGCTTAGCAAAACATATTTTGGGTTTGCCAAACCCAAAACATTGAAAAAAGGTTCAAGACATTCTGCAGACCCAGAAGAGAACCAGGTTCCCCCACATAGTTATGTAAAATCTCCACTTATCTAGACCTCTGAACTCCAAACTGCTTCACAGCTGGTCATCTTTTGATCAATATTCTCAAAGGATCAGCTTCCTTCAATTTATGAGGAAGTATGCTGCACCTCAGAAGTAGTATATAAGCAGTTTATAATTTAAAAGACAAAGAGGTTATCATCTGCCTATGATTTTTATTTTAATATTTTATTGAAGATCTGTACCTATGCATTTGAATGCAATAATAAATGTTGCAATTAAGATGTAGGCAAATGTCTTATAATAAGTTGATATTATATTTTTCTGTTTGCAACACAACTGTGAGTAAGCAGCAACTTATACATTTAAAAGTATGATTCAGGGTAAAATTAATATTGTAAAAGTTGTTTTCTACATAAAAGTATTTTTCTAGTGTAATTTTCTTTATGAGGGTATTGATACAGCTCTGTCTGCACATGTTATCAGGATTGGAAAATATTTAATTGCCTCATCCAGATTCTCTTCACTCATGTATTAAGTCAATGAAATGTTCTGTAGCTCTATTTTAAGAAAACAAAAAAATTTCAAATTTTAGATTTCTTCTGAAACAAAAGATTTCCTAAAATGAACACCTTTACAGGTGTTTACAGAGGAGCAGGGGGGAAAAGCAGCCAGCAATACTAACTGATAGTCCAGAAAAACAGGCAGAAATCAAAAGTTCATGTTAGTGTTGATGACATGATCACATCGAGAGAAGCAGTTTTTTTAATGACAGAGGCAGATATATGGATGGCATGACCTACTTTTTTTCCTGCTAAGCCCTGCTTGAGTATTTCCTATAGTAACCTAGATCCAATATCATGAAACTTACCGTATTGGTTAATAAGTCTGTCTGTAAATAAAATATTAGGATAAAATAGAAAGAATTTAATGTTTTGGAGTATATTTTAAATTGAAATTGGAGGGTGGCAAAACTAGCTCAAAACACATTTCTCTATCTTGAAATGCATTACTTTTGAAAAATTTTTTCTTAGCCACCTAACTAAAAAGATACTAACTTTAAAGATATTGTTCCCTTTGTAACAGCAGCCTAAGGAATGTGGGTGGTCCCTTTCTTTAAAAACTGTCAGATTCTCTTTGAGTAGAAAGTTTACTGCTAAAAGAACCCTTTTAAGAATGAAGTGTTGATCTTATATGCATGCACACATATTGTCTCATTTTTATGACTACTTAAAAAATTTGAGGCCAGAGTGACAAATTGAAAAAATGGGAGCTAATTAAACTGAAGAGCTTCTGCACAGCAAAAGAAACTGTCAACAGAGTAAACAGATACCTACAGAATGGTAGAAAATTTTTTCAAATTATGCATCTGACAAAGGTCTAATATCCAGCATCTATAAGGAACTTAAATACATTTACAAGAAAAAAACAACCCCATTAAAAAGTGGGCAAAAGACATGAACAGACAATTTTCTAAAGAAGACATACATGCAGCCAACAAGCAAATGAAAAAAGCTCAACATCACTGATGACTAGAGAAATGCAAATCAAAATCACAGTGAGATACCATCTCACACAGGTCAGAATGGCTATTATTAAAAAGTCAAAAAATAACAGATGCTGGCAAGGTTGTGGAGAAAAAGGAACACTTATACACCATTGATGAGAGTTTTTAAATTAGTTCAACCATTGTGGAAAGCAGTGTGGCAATTCCTCAAAGAACTAAAAGCAGAACTACCATTTGACCCAGCAATCCCATTGCTGGGTATATATCCAAAAGAATGTAAATTGTTCTTTTATAAGGACACATGCACGTGTATGTTCGTTGCAGCACTATTCACAATAGCAAAGACATGAAATCAACCTAAATGCCCATCAGTGGAAGACTGGGTAAAGAGAATGTAGTGCCTATAGACCATGGAATACTACGCAGTCATAAAAAAAACAGGATCATATCCTTTGCAGGGATGTAGATGGAGCTGGAGGCTCCTTAGCAAACTAATGCAGTAACAGAAAACCAAATACTGCATGTTTTCACTTATAAGTGGAAGCTAACTGATGAAAACACATGGACAAATAGAGGGGAACAACAGACACTTGGGCCCATTGGAGGGTGGAGGGTGGGAGGAGGGAGAAGATCAAGAAAAATAACTAATGGATACTAGGCTTAATACTTGGGTGATGAAATAATCTGTACAACAAGCCCCTGAGACATGAGTTTACCTATATAACAAATCTGCACGTGTACCCCTGAACTTAAAATAAAAGTTAAAAAATAAAATAAAATAATTGATGAATATAGACACTGGTTTGCATTTTACTAGTTTTGTAGAAATGTCAATGAAGAACACAGTACAGAATCTATAATCTCCAGCAATCTCCATGGTAACCACTGTTCCTGTTTGCTCAAGAATTTTCTTTCTGATGAATTGAGGATCAGATCTTCTGCAGATATGTTATTTTGGCTCACAAGAGACTGGAGCCCCTTGATTAGTCCTGGAAAGTGTTTCGGTTATAAAAGAAAAATAACTATACTGAAAGTCAAAGTTTATGATGACCCATTCCACTTTATAGAAATTTTGATTTTTTTATGACAAAAAAGATAACCTACCCTTGATGCAACTTTTTTTGTTTTTCTAGTATAAGGGAGCTTATTTTTGGTTTTCGTTTGTTTGTTTAACTTTTATTTTAAGTTCAGTAATACAAGTGCAGGTTTGTTACATAGGTAAACTTGTGTCATGGGGGTTTGTTGTGAAGATTATTTTATCACCCAGGTATTAAACCTAGTACCCATTAGTCATTTTTCCTGATCCTCTCCCTTCTCCCATCCTCTACCCTCTGAAAGTCTCCAGTGTATTTTGTTCTCCTCTAGTAAAATATGATAACACTTTCAAAACTTTCAGTTCATAAACAGAAGGACCAGTTGAAATTAGAGAAAAGACTACATGATAGATTATTTTCATGGAAACACATTTGAATTAATTTAAATTGTCTAAAGTGACTCAAACTAATCTAGTAAAGCAGCAGATATCTTTTGGGGACGATACATCGGTGACTGGCTTGTCTGTATCAGTATTCACATATAAGTGAGAATTTCTGGAATAATTATCAAGTTTGCAAAATGTTTTGTAATACTATAAATATTTCCCAGAAATCTTAATTATGACATTAATCACTTAATAAAGAGTTGTTTAGCAAGGCAAAAACTCAATCCAGCCACTGTCTAAACCATCAAAAGTATCAAATAAATGAAAATCAGATTAATGAAGTTTTATCACAATTAACATTCTTTTGTACATTATTCAAAGGAAATGGCCACTAGTGCTCACTACTTGACCTATTTCATATCTCATGAATTAGACTGACTTTTAAAATCAATATCTATTAGAACATCTGTGGTCTCTGACTATTCATTATCACTCAGATATGCAAGCTTCATAGCTGTTTGATCTCATAGAGATATTTAAAGCATAAGATCCAAATTAACCTCCTTTCCCTAATAAGCTGATAAGAAGGACTCCAGGTTTACTCATTTATCAGAGATGTACTGAAGATCCAGTAGGAGCTAGCCACTAAAGAATCAGAGAACATATCATAGTTTAGCCAAAGGCTAATAAAAAAATAACTAATGGGTACTAGGCTTAATACCTGGGTGATGAAATGATCTGTACAACAAACCCCCATGACATAAGTTTACCTATGTAACAAACCTGCACTTGTACTCCTAAACTTAAAATAAAAGTAAAACAAACAAACAAACAAACAAAAAACAAAACTAAACCCCCTTATACAACAACTCTTTATTAAGTGATTTAAAATTAAGACTCAAAAACCTGAAAAATTACACAGTGAAAGGAGACCTCAGAGAACATCTAATGCAACTCTCATTTTATAGGAGAAAAATCTAAGCCAAGAACCGTCAAAAAGATTTGTTAAATTAAGTTTAAGTGTCATTTGGTGTGTATACAAGTTAGAAATGAGTGATGCATGATCTATGCTCTTTTGACATATATGAAGAATCTGTTGCATCGTTAATGTAGCTACCACCTATACTTTTATTGCTGCATAATTGTCTGTGTAGTGCTTTGGCTCAAAATATGTGTGTGTGTCGTTTGCTTTAAGCAAACCTCAGTCTGAACATTCAGTTTGTAATTGTGTTAATTAAATCAAGGTCCTGTGCTGTTTCTTGTTTGGATCACTTAATCTGGTTTTGTGCCACGGTCTTCAATTTGGCAAGGCATCTCACAAATACATTTGACGTGAACTAGGTAAGAGAGCACAGCTAAATAAAAGATAATTACTAAATATAAATTATTCCCTTTGCTAGAAAAACTACTCAGCCTAAATATCCTATGGAAAAATGAAGCTGCAGGCAGAACATGGGCCTTGTTGACAGCTAGGCTAAATTACTCAATGACCATTCAAGGATAATTCAGTTTTATTTTGTCTCCAGCCATCTCCACATCAGCTTGCCTTGCAGTAGCAGCTAAGGTGACATCCATTCTCTGCTCATGTTCAGATGAGTGTAACCATTTTGAAAAAGATATAAGTCATAGTAGTGACTAGAGGGCACTATTAGTAGGCCTTTACTTTTTTCCATAGAACCCCAATTTTATTCAGACATTTATCACTCAGAGAGGATGACCCTATAAACCGCTAAAAGATAAATATGCATTGGTTTAAACCAATCATGGTTTTCCCATTCTCTGGCCAATAATTAACTCGACCACAGCTGTGTCAGAGGAAGTCCATAGACACCTATCTGGGAAAGGTTTCTGTAGCTGAAATGGTCAGCTAACCCCCAAAGCTTAATTTTTCCCTTCCATAGTCTATCGTAGCTTCTGGAAAGCAGCTGTCCAGCCAGGTACTGTATTTCCCAATCCCCTTTTTCACACATAGGAACAATGAGTTCTGGCCAATGGAATGTGACCAGAAGGCCACATATGCAGCATGCCTTCTCCATGCTGCTGCAGCCTTGGATATCATGAAGACACCCTCATCAAGAAATTATCCAGTTTGAGGGAAGTTGCCCAGAAATATCTGTATTAGACTTTACACAAGTGATAAATTTTACTGTGTGAAGCTACTTCTCTAAATCCTACTTTCTTTTTCTTTTTTTGTTTTAATTGACAATAATTTTACTGTATATATGGGGTACAATGTGATATTTCAGTGCATGTATACCTTGTGGAATGATCAAATCAGGATAATTAGCATATCCATCACCTCAAATGTTTATCATTTCTTTGTGGTTAGAACATTTAAAATTCATCCTTTTTAGCTATTTTGAAATATACAAGATATTATTATTAACTATAGTCACGTTACACCTTTACTGTGCAAAAGAACATCAGAACACATTCCTCCTAGCTAACTGACACTTTGTACCCCTGTACCAATGTCCCCCTTTTCCCTGACCACCCCTCCTCCCTCCAACTTCCCACCCTAGCCTCTGGTAGCCACCATTCTACTCTCGACTTGAACGACTTTGATTTTTTTAGATTTCACATATAAGTGAAATCATATTGTAAGTATCTCTGTGCCTGGCTTATCTCACTTAATATAATGTCTCCTGGGTTCACCTATGCTGCCATAGAGACAGAATTTCCTGTGTTTTCTTAAGGTTGAATGGTATTCCATTGTATGTATATACCACATTTTTAAAATCCACTCCTCTGTTGATGGACAATAGTATATAGGTGTTTCCTCTCCTTCACATTCTTGCCAACACTTGCTTTCTTTCATCTTTTTGGTAATAGCCAATCTAACAGGAGTGAGATGATATCTCATCCTAGTTTTAATCTGCTTTTCTTTATGATTATACATGTTAAACTTTTTTTATATATCCTTTGGCCATTTGTATGTCTTCTTTTGAGAAATGTCTATTCAAGTCCTTTGCCCACTTTTTAATAAGATTATTTGTTTTCTTGTTACTGAGTAGTTTGAGTGCCTTGTATATTTTGATTAGCCCCTTATCCTATACATTATTTGCAAATATTTTCTCCCAATCCACGCATTATCTCTTCATTCTATTTACCTTTCTCGTGCAGAAGTTTCTTAATTTGATGCAATTCCATTTGTCTATTTGTGCTTTCATTGCCTGTGCTTTTAAGGTCATGTCCAAGAAATCTCTGCCCACACCAATGTCATGGAGATTTTCCCCTATGTTTTCTTCTAGTAGTTTTATAGTTTCAAGTTTTACATTTATATTTTTAATTGATTTTTAGCTGATTCTTATATAAAGGATAAGGGTCCATTTTCATTGTTTTGTATATGTATATTCAGTTTTCCCAATACCATTTATTGCAGCGACTTAAATAAATGGTGTTGGGAATGCTGAATATTTCCACATAGTGTCTTGTTGACACTTACATTGAAAACCAATTGACAATACATGTGTGGGTTTATTTCTGTCCTGTCTATCCTATTCCATTGGTCAATGTGTCTGTTTTTATGCCAGTATCATGCTCTTTTATTACTATAGTTTATTTATTACTATAGCTTTATTTATTACTATAGCTCTTTAATATATTTGAAATCTGGTAGTGTGATGCCTCTAGCTTGGTTCTTTTTGGTCAAATTGTTTTGGCCATTCAGGACTTTTTGTGGTTCCACAGAAATTTTATGATTGTTTTTTCTATTTCTGTTGAAAAAATGGCTTTGGAATATTGATAGTAATTGCACTGAATCTTTAGATCACTTGGGCACTATAGATATTTTAATAATATTAATTATTGCAATTCATGAATACAGGATATCTTCAATTTCTTTCATCAATGTTTCATAGTTTTTAGTATACAGTTCTTTCACTTCTTTGGTTAAATTTACTCCTAAGTATTTATTATGCTACTTTAAATGAGATTGTGTTCTTAATTTCCTTTTTCAGTAATTCGTTGTGAGTGGATAGAAACACACCTATTTTTAAATTTGATTTTGTATTCTGCAACTTTACTGAATTTGTTTATCAGATGGAGTCTTTGGGATTTTCTATGCAAAAGATTGGGTCATTCGCAGAGACAATTTTGTTTCTTGCTTTCCAACTTGGATGTCTTTTATTTCTTTCTCTTGTCTAATTGCCCTGGCTAGGACTTTCAGTACTATATTGAAAACAAGTGGGGAGAGTAGGCATCATTTTCCTGTTCTTGATCTTAGAGGAGAAGCTGTTTTCAACCTTTCATGGTCAAATATGATGTTTACTGTGGGTTTGTCAAATATGGCCTTTCTTATGTTGAAGTATATTTCTTCTATACTTAATTAGTTGAGAGTCTTTATCATGAAAGATTGTTGTGTTTTGTCAGATGCTTTTTCTACATCTATTGAGATGATCACATGACTCTTATCCTTCATTCTGTCAATGTAGTATATCTGTTTACTTACTTTTGTGATCCTTCTGGTTTAGTCCTCATTTCTAAAATAATTTTTTCTTTTATTGTCAACATTTTCATCAATTCTATCAAGTCATTCCTTAATTTTTCTACTTCTGATTTATGTTCTCTAGTAAACACTTCAATTTCTGGTGAGTTTTTTTTTATTGTTGTTGTTGAGACAGGGTCTCACTCTGTCAACTCAGGACAGAGTACAATGGTGCAATCACAGCTCATTGCAACCTAGAACTCCTGGGCTCCAGCAATCCTCCCACCTCAAACTCATGAGTAGCTAGGACTATAGACACACACCATCGTGCCCAGCTAATTATTATTATTTTTTTTTTAGGGATTGGGTCTCACTATGTTGCCCAGGCTGGTCTCAAACTCCTAGCCTCAAGTGATCCTCCTGCCTCAACCTCCCAAAGTGCTGGGATTACAGGCATGAACCACCATGCCCTAACACATACTTCTTACACCATCATTATCTTAATGTTTCTTAGCTAATTTTGAAATACTACAATTTCAACCTGTTTTTCAGCACGTTTCTGGAATGCTGTAATTATTTATACAACTGTGATTCTACTTCTTATTCTCTTTTTTCATACAATAACTTTGTATGGAATTTGATCTTAATAGTTTTCTGTTGTTTATTTTTAGGTGAATGTAGTTTTCCATAAATTTAGAAGGAGTCTTGGTCCAAATGTATTTTCTAACATTACAGAGCACACTGTTCTGTTGTTTTCATGTGGTATTTTAAGATATGGTAATTACTTTGTGTGATTTTCTGGCACTTTTCCCCTCCTGCACTTTAATTGAATCTTTCCTCTCCTTTTTCTTAGTTGTGCCTATCCTGCTCAATTTTTATGCCACTAACAGCAGTTTCTGCTCATTGTGAAGCCCTGCCCTAAAAAGAATCTAGGGATAGGTTGCACTCAACACTAATGGAGTGGGCAAAGTCCTGCCCAATTTCAGCTTCTCTTCTCAACTTGGCCTGAGAACGCCTTTTCCCCTTTTCTCAGTGTATTTATATTAGCCCATTCTCACACTGCTAGAAAGCACTACCTGAGACTGGGTAATTTATGAAGAAAAGAGGTTTAATTGACTCACAGTTCCATAGGCTGTACAGGAGGCATGGCTGGGGAAGCCTCAGGAAATTGACCATCATGGCAGAAGGCAAAGAGGAAGCCAGCACGTCTTACATGGCAGGAGCAGGAGGGAGAGAGCGTGAAGGGGAAAGTGCTACACACTTTCAAGCAACCAGCTCTCGTGAGAACCCACTATCACGAGAACAGCAATGGAGAAATACATCCCCATGATCCAATCACCTCCCACTAGGTCCCTCCCACAACATGAGGGATTACAATTCAACGTGAGATTTGGATGGGTACACAGAGACACACCATATCACTTGTTTGTTGGATGCCTTGTTGCATCTCTCTGGTTTCTCCCACGAAGATACTGATAAGACTCATATTTTGTGAGTGCTGGTGGTTTGTCTCCAGCTGCACATAGTTTGGTGTTTGCTACTATACCTTGCCTAGTGTGATGGTTAATACTGAGTATCAACTTGATTGGACTGAAGCATGTAACATATTGATCCTGGGTGTGTCTGTGAGGATGTTGCCAAAGGAGATTAACATTTGAGTCAGTGGGCTGGGGAAGGCAGACCCACCCTTAATCTGGGTGGGTACCATCTAATCAGCTTCCAGCGAATATAAAGCAGGCAGAAAAATGTGAAAGGTGAGGCTGGCCTAGACTCCCAGCCTGCATCTTTCTCCCATGCTGGATGCTTCCTGCCCTCAAGCATCAGACTCCAGTTCTTCAGTTTTGAAACTCAGACTGGCTCTCCTTGCTCCTCACTTGCAGGCAGCCTATTGTGGGACCTTGTGATCGTGTAAGTTAATACTTAATAAACTCCCCTTTAATATATATCTATCCTATTAGTTCTGTCCCTCTAGGGAACCCTGACTAATACACCAATTTTTTTTGAAATGTTTTTTATGAGTTTTCTGCTTTTGCTATCTGATCTCTCTCTGGTTTTATCTGGGGGTTTTGGAAGACCCAAAATGATGACTGGAATCAATTTTTCAGCATACTCATATATTTATTTAATTAGTACTAAATTTTCAACTAAAATTAAATTTAAACTAATTTTTTTAATTTAACAGAATTTAATTTGAGAAGGAATGATTCATGAATTGGGCAGTCTCCCGAGCCAGAGTAGGCTCAGAGCCATATGGTGGAAGAAGATTTATGGATAGAAACAAGGAAAGGAAAGGAAAGAAAATGGAAGTGACGTACAGAAACAAGTGACCAAAACTTAGGGCCTTAGTGCCACTCTCAGTTAATATCATTTGGGGTTTCTGGTCACAGCACATCATTTATAAATTGTGGTGTCCTAATGGCCACACATTTCTTCGAGCTCTTATCATTCCAGCTGGAGACCATAGAACAATCTAGAAATGGTTCCATGCAAACGCTTAAAACTTTTGAGATAATACAGCACAACAGGGAGACTACTATTATGACTATCAGGAGGATAATACCAAGAGTTTAGAATATGCTCCTTAGCCAGGGTCCCCATAAACCAAAGCAATTAAAATCAAATAGATGAAAGAATGAGCTTGATAAAGAGTCTACTTGCTTTAACCAAGCAGTCCCTTTGCTAATCCTCTACAACTGAGCCTCTATAATATCCAGTGTATTCCTCCATGAACAGTTAGAAGTATGAGCAACTGCACAGACACTTCTCCATTTAGTCAGTTAGTAATCTAGAGCAATTCCTTCATTTAGCACAATTTTAGGAAGAATGTAACTGTAGCTTTTGCAGTAGAATCTGCTATACAGCCTAGTATGAGTAAACTTCCAATCATTGCCTCATTTACTCCAATCCATGGATAAAGAGACCTAACAAATAGTGCCCATTCAGAAGAGTGAAGGCCTACTGGCAATGTTCTTTTTAACCTATGACATAAGCTAAGAGAGTGGGCCGGGCGTGGTGGCTCACGCCTGTAATCCCAGCACTTTGGGAGGCCAAGGCAGGCAGATCACGAGGTCAGGAGATCGAGACCATCATGCCTAACAAGGTGAAACCCTGTCTCTACTAAAAATACAAAAAAATTTAGCCGGGCGTGGTGGCGGGCACCTGTAGGCCCAGCTACTCGGGAGGCTGAGGCAGGAGAATGGCGTGAACCCGGGAGGCGGAGCTTGCAGGGATCCAAGATAGCGCCACTGCAGTCCCGCCTGGGCAAAAGAGCGAGACTCCATCTCAAAACAAAAAAAGAAAAAAGTTAAGAGGAGTGAACCAATATTTTGTTTCTGACTGCTTATGAAGCAACAAAGGTACCAGTAAAATTTCTTGCCCGGTTTGGCCCTTCGTCTGAAAAGAATGGAAATATATTCCAGTTAATAAGAATGGAGTTTGAAGGATAGAACATTAGACAGTGACTTGCCCTGCAAGTAGTTGAACTGAAAGTGATTTCAGGAAGCAGGGAGCACAGGAACAGGGATCGTAAAATGAAAAGAAGAAAAACCAATACAAGAATGTGTTATGGAGATGGCTAGATTACAGGCAACTACCTGAGGCTGTGACTTTTCACAGAGCTTTATGAAAAGTCTCCCAGAACTGTCCACCTGAATTATGTAAGAACAACAAAGTATTTCTATAACTATTCCATCCCCCATTGACCAAGGCGACCCCATAATGTAAGTCTCCCACACTTCTGGGCTGTGCGTATGTAAATGCACAGTGGATTCCCCTGGGCATTACAAGCCAGGTGTCAGATAAACCTCAAGACAGAAAGAAAGATACCCTCTTGCCAATGCTAGACACTGTTGATTACCCATGAAAAGCTGGACAAAATCTGTGTAGAACCAATTGGTACAGCACTGAATGACGTAAAATAAAATCATGAGGATTTTGATAGTGTCTCAAGGAGTGTTTATGAAGGTTGGGTAAAAGTTTAGTAAAATATCTAAAAACAAACTCTTCTGGATTAATAAATAAAATAAGGAAATTTCAGAGGAAATATTTAAAGTACTTAGGAGTAGAATTCAGGTAATGAGACTTACGTAATCTTTTATGTAATCAATCCTGCTAATCTAATCATATTTTGAAGTATTAATTGCAAATTATTCCCATATGAACATTAGCTTAAGTTCCTAGAGGCTGTTTATGGAGTAATCTCATAGAAATTTAGGTTCAGATACTATCTCTTATGGTGAGCTATCATAGAATATATAGCTATGTATAATCATATGAGATGCATATCATTGACCATTTCTATTATCTGGATAATGTCTGAACAAAATTATATATATAAATAGATATTATATAAGATATATAATAGATATAACAGATATCTGTTAGATATAATAGATATTTTACTCTATATACATATCACTAACCAAGTCATTTTATAAAAATGATTTTAAATGATTTAAAAATCAGGCATTTTTGTATTTGACTTCCTGTTCTAGGAAAAAAAATGTCCAGTATTATAAGTTTCTTGAATAATCATAATGACGTACTTGGCATGTTCTACTTCATTAGCTTGTCTTATAAAATAAGATCACATTTATTTTTAGTTTCAATTATAATGACTTTTAAGCACCCATCTACCCAGACTACTTCAGCTTCTCCAGCAAACATAGGTCCTAGTACCCCGTGATTATTTGCACAGGTCAGTAAGAGACTCTTTGTCCCCACTGGCTTCATACAGGGAAAGTGAGCATAGCCTTCAAGGCCAGTACCACAACCTCCTACCTGAAGGAAGCCCTGCAATGAACCTACTTTGTCTTTAGTACTCCTTTTGAGTTTTCTTTAGTTATCCTTTTGAGTTTAGGATGACTGGTGTGGATGGTAAAATCAATATACTAAAAAGCCATTTCTAAGGCCATGTTTGGAGCTGTTCATCCTTCAATAGTTCCTCAGGGTTCATGCAAGAAGAGTGCTCTTTCTGACAGCATAATCTTAGGTATAGGTGTTACAATCCAAAGAGGGTTCAGGCTCCCAGTGTCATGGCTTCCAGTTGATAACATGTAGCTTTTTCCACAAAACACATATCATCATTGTACCTAGAAGCAATCCTCCCCACAACTCTTAGTTTATGTGTAGATATCAGTTCTGCCTCCTCTTGCCAATATTGCAGCAAAGATAGCTGATATACTGATGTCCTAGCTAACACACTATGATGCCTGTAGAAATTTAGAAACAATTGCTCCTATCCCTGTCATTTTACTGATGAAGAAGTCAAAGCCTGGAGTTTAAAAAGCCAGAGTAAAACATCTAAGTATTTGGGTATCGATTTAAGAGTAGATACCTTTACTCTTCTTTTTGTGCTACATATTACTTCTGGCCCCTGAATAAAAGGAAGGATTTAGAATCAATAACAGGAGGAATCATTAAAAATTATCAAATATATGGAAATTAATAATATGTTCCTGAACAACTATTGGGTCAAAGAAGAAATTAAAGGACAAATTTTAAAATATATTGAGACAAGTGAAAAAGGAAACATAGCATACTACAACTTATGGGATGCAGCAAAAGTGGTTCTAAGAGGGAAGTTTATAGCAATAAATGCCTAAATCAAAAAATAAGATCTCAAATAAACAACCTAATGTTATACCTCAAGTAATTTTTTTTAAAAAAGAAGAACAAACTAAACTTAAAGTTAACAGAAAGAATAAAATAACAAAGATCAGGGCAGAAATAAATGAAATAAAGTCTAGAAAAACAATTAAAAAAATCAACAAAACTGAGTTGGTTTTCTGAAAAGATAAGCAAAATTGACAAATCATTAGCTAGACCAATTTAGAATAAAAATAAGAAAATAATCAAATAAAATTTAAAAATGACACAGAAATACAAAGGATATTGAGACTATTATAAATAATCATATGCCAAAAAATCGGACAATTTAGAAGAATGAGATGTTAAGAGACTGGTATAAATAATCATGTCTAAAAAAACTGGACAACTTAGAAGAATGAGATAAATTTCTAGAAACATAGAACTTAGTGAGACTGAACCAAAAAGAAATTGGAAATCTAAACAGACCAATAAGGAACAAAGAGATTAAATTCGTAATTAAAAGAAAATCCCATCAAAGAATAGCACAGAATCAGATGGATTTATAATTGCATTCTACCCAACATTTAAATAAGAACTAATACCAAGCCTTCTTAAACTCCTAAACTCTCCTGAAAAAATAAAAAGGAGCAAATACTTCCAAATTTGTTTTACAAGTCCAGATACCAGAGCCAGACAAAGACACTCCAAGAAAATAAAACTGCAGGTCAATATCACTGCTGAACATAAATGTAAAAGTCCTCAAAAAATACTAGCAAACCATATTCAACAATACATTAAAAGGATCATTTATTATAATCAAGTGGGATTTATCACTGAGATGCAAAGTTGGCTCAACATATGCAAACCAATAAATGTGATTCACCATATTGATAGACTGAAGTGCAAAAACCATATGATCATCTCAATAGATGCAGAAAAATCATTGGACAAAATTCAACATCCATTGATGATAAAAATGCTCAACAAATTAGGTATAGAAGGATGTTCCTCAACAGAATAAAAGCCATATATGACAAGTTCACAGCTAACATCACACTCAACAGTAAAGAGGTGAGTTGAATCAATGGTGCAAATTTTAACCAAGGAAGTAAAAGATTTGTGTACTGAAAACTCTATAATATTGATGAAAGAGATGAAGAAAAAGCAAATAAATGGAAAAATATGCTATGTTCACAGATTGGAAGAATTAATATTGGTAAATTGTTCATACCATAAAAAGCAATCTACAGATTCAATGCAATGCCTATCAAAATTCTAATGACATTTTGCATGGAAATAGAAAATGAATTTTAAATTAATATGGAGCCTCAAAGACTTCAAATAGCCAAAACAATCTTGAGCAAGCAGAACAAAGCTGGAGTCATTTCATTGACTCATTTCAAATATATATTACAAAGCTGTAGTAATTCAAGCAGTATGGTACTGGCATAAAAATAGACATAAAGACAAATGGAACAAAATAGTCCAGAAATAAATCTACACATTTATGGCCAATTGATCTTTGACAAAGATACCAAGAACAGACAATGGGGAAAGAATTGTTAGTTCAATAAATAATGTGAGGAAAACTGGCTATTCACATGCAGAAGAATGATATTGAACAGTTTTCTCACATCATATGCAAAAATCAACTCAAAATGGACCGAAGACTTAGTCATAAGACCTAAAACTGTAAATTTATTGGAAGAAAACGTAGAGGAAAAACTTCTTGACATTGGTCTGTGCAATAATTTTTTGGATATGACCTCAAAAACACAGGCAACAAAAACAAAAATAGAAAAACTAGATTAAATCAAATCCAAAAGCTTCTGCACAGCGAAAGAAACAATCAACAGAGTAAGAGATGACCTATGGAAAGAGATAAAATATTTGCAAACTATATATCTGATAAGGCATTAATATTCAAAATGTATAAGGAACTCAACTCAATAGCAAGAAAACAAATAACCTGATTTCAAAAATGAGCGATGTACTTGAATAGACATTTCTCAAAGAAAGACATAAAAATGTACAACAGGTATATGAAAGAATGTTCAATATTACCAATCATCAGGAAAATGCAAATCAAAACCACAATGGAATATGACCTTATACCTGTTAGGATGGCTATTATCAAAAAGATAAAAGTTTTGGTGAGGGTATGGAGAAAAAGGAACTGTTATTTATACACTGTTGGTGGGAATGTAAATTCATACAGCAATTATGAAAAGCAGTACATAAGTTCCTTAAAAATTAAAAATAGAAATACCATATGATCCAAAAATCCCACTTCTCGGTACATACCCAAAGGAAATGATATCAGTATCTCAAAGAGATATCTGCATTCCCATTTCATTGCAGCATTATTAACAATAGCCAAGACATGAAAACAACCTAGGCATCCATTGATGGATGCATGGGTAAAGAAATATGTGGATGTGTGCACAATGGAATATTATTCTTGCAACAACAAGGTCAAACATGGAGAACATTATGCTAAGAGAAATAAGCCAGTCACAGAATAACAAATACTGTATGACCACACTTCTGTGGAATCTAAAAAAGTCAAATTCATAGAAGGAGAGAAGAGAATCATGGTTCTCAGGGGCTTGGGTGTAGGAAATGGGGAGATGTTGGTCAAAGGGTACACAGTTTCAGTTATGTAAGAAGTAAGTTCTGAAGATCAGCAAGTATAGCAAGGTGACTATAGTTAACAATAATGTATTGTATACCTGACATTTGCTAAAAGAGAGTAAGTCTTAAGTATTCTCACCACAAATAAACCACCATCATTAAGTGAGATGATGAATTTTGTTAATTTCATTGATTGTGGTAATCATTTTACAGTGTATATGGATATCAAAACATTACATTGTACACCTTAAATATATATCATTTTTATTTGTCATTTATACATCAATAAATCTGGGAGTGGGAAGCAAATAAACACAACAAAAAATGCCTTAAGAAAAGTAAGAAGAAAACTTTCTAAAATTGAGAGTAAATGAAGGGCGTGAGGATTAAAGAGCTATTGTTTAATAGGTACAGAGTTTCAGTTTGGGATGATGAAAAGGTTCTGGAAAATGATAGTGTTCACAGTTGCACACACTAAATGTATTTAATGTAAATGTACTTAATGTAAATGAGTTGTCCAATTAAAAATGGTTACATGGTATGCTATATGATATGTATATTTTACCTCAATAAAAAGTAAATAAAGAGATTAAAAGTGAAAAGGAAAAAAGAAAGTAACTAATGAAAATTTCTGAAAGAAAAAAGCAAAACAAGAAAATGAACAAATACAAACACTATAATTTAAGAAAACTTTCCTAAAATTAAAACAACATCTTAGAAGAACATATGTACCTGAGACTGTTTACCCAGACAACTAATAACTATACATAATTTATTAAAACTAATGAACTTTCTGTAAACAGTAAAAAATCCTTTTTTTAATCTATGCAAAAATAGCACATGATTTGTATGTAAACAAAGAGGCTATTATCAGGTGTTTAAATTTTTTAATTGACAAATAAAAATGTATATATTATGATTATGACATAATATTTGATTTATGTATATATTGTCAAATGACTAAATCAAATTAATTAACATATCCATTACCTAGCTATTATCAACATACTTTTTTGTGATGTGATCATTTAAAATTTATGTTTTAACAATTTTCAAATATATAATACATTGTTACATTGTTACACTAGGATCATCATGTTGTACAATAGGTCTACTGAACTTACTTTTCCTATCTAACTAAAATCTGGTGTCCATTAACCAACATCTTCTCAATCTCTCCTCTAACTCCCACCCCCACCAGTCCCTGGAAACCATCCTATCCTCTGCTTCTGTGAATTTTGTTTCTTTAGACTCCACATATAAGTCAGATCATGCAGTATTTGCCTTTCTGTGCCTTACTTATTCCACTTAGCCTAATGTCCTCCAGGTTCATTCATGCTGTCACAAATGGCAGGATATCCTTCTTTTTTGATAGCTGCACATTATGCCAGAAAAAAACATGATTTAACATATTTAAGACACTGAAGCAAAGAAAATAAAAACTATATAAAGGCCATAGATAAACTGTTATCGACATGCAGGAACTGAGGCAGTATCATTCCCATTGAATCTTCCTTTGGAATTTACTAGAGAAGGAGCTTCAGACAGCTAAAAGACTTGAGAGACATTGATACAGCAACTGGGGTCAACACTGTTATTCACAGAACTAAGATTTAAGGAGAAAGGCACGACAGTTTATAATGACTTTATAATATGACGATATATATATTGTTCATTTTTTTAAGGATAAGGGAAGAATAAAGAGAACATATAAAAACAAATTTAATTGCTTTCAGTAACCATAATCGCGATCTTAGTTTTGTTATTCAGAGGCTGTCATATTGGTAACGTAGAATAAAGAAAGTCAGACTGGGCATGATGGCTCATGCCTGTAATCCCAGCACTTTGGGAGGACAAGGTGGGAGGATCATGAGGTCAAGAGATTGAGCCCATCCTGGGCAAGATGGTGAAACCCCATCTCTACTAAAAATAGAAAAATTAGCTGAGCATGGTGGCATGTGCCTGTAGTCCCAGCTACTCGGGAGGCTGAGGCAGGAGAATCACTTGAACCCAGGAGGTGGAGGTTGCAGTAAGCTGAGATTGTGCCACTGCACTCCAGCCTGGCAAGAGAGTGAGACTCCAAAAATACAATACAATACAATACAATACAATACAATACAATACAATACAATACAATAAGTATTCTGGAACATTTTCATTCTATCGTTCCCTAAATTCTTGAGAAGGAAGAAGACTGATGGTTTGGCTGTGTGTGCCCACCCAAATCTCATCTTGTAACTCCCATAGTTCCCATGTGTTATGGGAGGGACCTGGTGGGAGATGATTGAATCATGTGAGTGGGTCTTTCCCGTGCTGTTCTTATAATAGTAAATGGGTCTCATGAGATCTGATGGTTTTAAAAATAGGAATTTTCCTGCACAAGCTCTCTCTTTGTCTGCGACCATCCATGTAAGATGTGACTTACTCCTCCTTGCCTTCTGCCATGATAGTGAGGCCTCCCCAGCCATGTGTAACTGTAAGTCTCATAAACTTCCTTTTTTTGTAAATTGCCCAGTCTTGGGTATGTCTTTATCAGCAGTGTGAAAATGAACTAACACAGTAAATTGGTACCAGGAGTGGGGTGCTGCAGGAAAGATACCCAAAAATATGGAAGCAACTTTGGAACTGGGTAATAGGCAGAGGTTAGAACAGTTTGGAAGGTTCAGAAAAAGGCAGTAAAATGTGGGAAAGTTTGGAACTCCCTAAAGATGTGTTGAATGGCTTTGACCAAAATGCTGATAATGATATGGACAATGAAATCCAGGCTGAGGTGGTCTCAGATGCAGATGAGGAACTTATTGGGAAATGGAGTTAAGGTGACTCTTATGTTTTAGCAAAGAGACTGGTGGCATTTTGCCCCTGCCCTAGAGATTTCTGGAACTTTGAACTAGAGAGAGATGATTTTGGGTATCTGGTGGAAGAAATTCCTAAGCAGCAAAGCATTCAAGAGGTGACTTGCTGTTAAAGGCATTCAGTTTTGAAAGGAAAACAGAAAATAAAAATTTGGAAAATTTGCAGCCTGACAATGCAATAGAAAAGAAAATCCTGGCCAGGCGCGGTGGCTCATGCCTGTAATCCCAGCACTTTGGGAGGCTGAGGTGGGCAGATCACAAGGTCAGGATATCGAGACCATCCTGGCTAATACAGTGAAACCCTGTCTCTACTAAAAATACAAAAAAATTAGCCGGGCGCGGTGGCAGGCACCTGTAGTCCCAGCTATTCGGGAGGCTGACGCAGGAAAATGGTGTGGACCCGGGAGGCGGAGCTTGCAGTGAGCAGACATCGCGCCACTGCACTCCAGCCTGGGCGACAGAGCCAGACTCCGTCTCAAAAAAAAAAAAAAAAGAAAAGAAAAGAAAAAGAAAATCCCATTTTCTGAGGAGAAATTCAAGCCAGCTGCATAAATTTGCATAAGAAATGAGCAGCCAAATGCTAATCACCAAGACAATGGGGAAAATGTCTCCAGGGCATGTCAGAGACTTTTGCAGCAGCCCCTCCCATCACAGGCATGGAGGCCTAGGAAGAAAAAGTTGTTTTGTGGGCCAGGTCCAGGGTCTCTGTGATGGGCACAGCCTAAAGACTTGGTGCCTTGCATCTCAGCTGCTTCAGCCATGGTGAAAGGGGCCAATGTAGAGCTCGGGCCATGGTTTCACAGGGTGCAAGCCTCAAGCCTTGGCAGCTTCCACGTGGTGTTGAGCCTGTGAGTGCATAGAAGTCATGAATTGAGGTTTGGGAACTTCTGCCTAGATTTCAGAAGATGTAGGGAAACTCCTGGATGCCCAGGCAGAAGTTTGCTGTAGGGGCAGGGTCCTCAGGGAGAACCTCTGCTAGAGCAGTGTAGAAAGGAAATATGGGGAGGGAGCCCCCACACAGAGTCCCTACTGGGGCATCACCTAGTGGAGCTGTGAGAAGTGGGCCACCATCTTCCAGACCACCGAATGGTAGATAAACTGACAGCTTGCACCATGCGCCTGGAAAAGCTGCAGACACTCAATGCCAGCCCATGAAAGGAACCAAAAGGACAGCTGTACCCTGAAAAGCCGCAGGGGCAGAGCTGCCCAAGGATATGGGAATGTACCTTTTGTATCAGTGTGACTTAAATGTGAGACATGACTTAAATGAGAGCTCATTTTGGAGCTTTAAGATTTGACTGCCCTGCTGGATTTTGGACTTACCTGGGGCCTGTACCCCCTTTGTTTTGGCCAATTTCTCCCATTTAGAATGGCTGTATTTACCCAATGCCTGTACTGCCATTGGTATCTAGGAAGTAACTAACTTGCTTTTGATTTTACAGGCTCATAGGTGGAAGGGACTTGCCTTGTCTCAGATGAGACTTTGGTCTGTGGGGTTTTGAGTTAATGCTGAAATGAATTGAGACTTTGCGGGAACTGTTTGTTGCGAAGGCATGATTGGTTTTGAAATGTGAAGATATGAGATTTGGGAGGGGCCAGGGGCAGAATAATATGGTTTGGCTATGTGTCCCCACCCAAATCTCACCCTGTAGCTCCCATAATTCTCATGTGTTGTGAGAGGGACCTGGTGGGAGATGATCAAATCATGGGGGTGGGTCTTTCCTGTGTTGTTCTCATGATAGTTAATGGATCTCATGAGATCTGATGGTTTCAAAAATGGGAGTTTTTCTGCACAAGCTCTCTCTTTGCCTACTGCCATCCATGTAAGATGTGACTTACTTCTCCTTGTCTTCCACCATGATTGTGAGGCCTTCCCAGCCATGTGGAAGTGTAAGTCCAATAAACCTCTTTCTTTCATAAGTTGCCCAGTCTCAGGTATGTCTTTATCAACAGCTTGAAAACGGACTAATACAAAGATGTAATATAGAAAGGTAAAGCCAAAGTCCCATAGTCATACATTTGAATTAAGAAAGTTAGAATAAATTTGCTGATAAAAACCTAGAAACAATGACAAACCCAAGTCCACTGAGTAATCCTGGAGCTAGATTATGTCTTGATATACCATTTGTATTAGAAGATGCAAGCTTCTTCAAGAAATGGCTGATTCCAGGTCTGGTGCAAGAAATGTACAAGATGATCTAAAATATCTTGCAATACCACAAAAGAAGGAAAGATCATTTTATAATATCAAAAGAATTTATAGTCAAACTGAAAGAAGCTCTGATTGGCCAAAGATAACACAATGAAAGTATCAGGAAGGACAGATTTAACAATCAATTGGAACCTGAATATATTTAAAATTTTGTAATGATATTTAAAATAAAGCAAATTGGTCATCTTTTGAGGATGACAGAGAACCACTTTATTATCTTTAAAACTGAATTTAAAAAAATAATTGAGCATTTACACTGCCTCTCCTTTAGGAACTGTGCTACTGGGTAATAATAGATGAGAGGAAACATCACCTTATAAAGTTATACCTGCTAACAAACGAAAAATAAGCCACGCAATTATGCTACCTTGTTGGAAGCCCCAGTAAATTACTGTATCTAAGTTTAGCTTTGAACATCAACTACTTTAAATAAATTACTGTTTCTAAGTTTAGCTTTGAACATGAACTGCTCTAAACATTAACAAAGAATGAAAATCAGACATTGTGTGCCTTCTAATGAAAACTTATCATTTTGCCGAAGGGACTGAACTTGAATCCTAAGTACGGATTCAGCTACTAATCTGCAGGAAATACAGAGGACAGTGGAAAATGTCAAACTGCACCATGAGTATACAGTCAACAAAATCCAAATTGTTGACTCTGGTAGGTCAAATGTTCTAGGTTCTTCATAGACATATTGTAAGAAAAAGAAACAAATGGTTGTGAAAACTGTAGATTAAAAGAGGCACAAATATATAGCAAGTTTCTTTAAATGGACAAGACTGAACTATATCATATCTAGGGACGCTCATTCGGGTAGTAAAATCACAAGGAAATGTAAGGAAGCACTTCCTATACATGTCCAGATTGTGCTTCAGGAAGTGGAGGGGAAGTGCTGTGATGGAGATGGGTCTATGGGGGTATTTCTGGAGAGGCTGCCAACATTCTACTTCTTAAAATGAATGGTGGTTACAAAGCTGTTCACCTTATAATAATTTGCTAAGCTATATATTTACTTTGTGTGGTTTTCTGAAGCTGCATTTTATTTTAAAATAAAAGGTAATAAAATAAGCAAAATATAAGCATATGTCAAATATAATGTATATGTCTACATGAAAGATATATTTTGTAGGTAGAAATATTTTTTAAATGAATCAACCTGCTGCACAGAGTCCAAGGGTCTTAATACAACAGATAAAATATTATTAATATCGGAAAACATAGATAGTATATTAACATTTTTCGTTATCCCATTTGCCTAACATAATGGTAAGAATATAATAATTACCATTTATCGAAAGTTCATCATATGGTGAACACTGTGCCAATTGCTTTACATGAATTATCTGATTTAATCCTCCCAACAACGTTCCAAATACTGACTGTAATTATCTTAACGGAATATTTGACATAAGGAGACTGAAGCTTAGAAAGAGTAAGTCTCATGCCTGACGTCCCCCAACTCCAAGGGACACAGCTGGAATTTGAATCCTGGCAGTCTAACTCCAGAGAAAGTTCGACCTCCAAAGCAGATGTTCAACAACTGCTATCTAATAGAGATTTTAAAAGAGGAATACAGGCCGGGCACGAAGGCTCACACCTGTAATCCCAGCACTTTGGGAGGCTGAGGTGGGCAGATCACTCAAGGTCAGGAGTTTGAGACCAGCCTGTCCAGCATGGTGAAACCTCGTCTCTACTAAAAATACAAACATCAGTTGGGCATGGTGGCACGTGCCTGTATTCCCAGCTACTCGAGAGGCTGAGACAGGAGAATCACTTGAACCCAGGAAACAGAGGTTGCAGTGAGCCAAGTTCATGCCACTGCACTATAGCCTGGATGACAGAGCAAGACTCTGTCTCAAAACAATAAAAAATAAATAAATAAATAAACAATACATTTTGCCTTCCTATTTTCTCTTCATTGCGTTATTCTAGGCATACAATATCAAATAATTATATTTGTGTTTGAGTTGAATACATTATATCAAAATAATATAAATAATACATATCACATTAGTCAAACACAATATATCAAACCAATATTTGGTAATTTTTTTTTCTTTTGAGATGGAATTTTGCTCTTCTTGCCCAGGCTGGAGTGCAATGGAGCAATCTCGGCTCACTGCAACCTCTGCCTCCTAGGTTCAAGCGATTCTCTTGCCTCAGCCTCCCGTGTAGCTGGGATTACAGGTACCCTCCACCACACCTAGCTAAGTTTTTGCATTTTTAGTAGAGATGGGGTTTCACTGTGTTGGCCAGGCTGGTCTCAATCTCCTGACCTCAGGCGATCCACCTGCCTCAGCCTCCCAAAGTGCTGGGATTACAGGCATAAGCCATCACTCCCGGCCTTGGTAATTTTTAAGTCATCATAATCCCATGTTCAGTGAGTGTTTAAGAGAAAAGGAGAAAGAAAGAGAGAGGGAGAGAGAGAAAGAGGAAGGATGGAAGGAAGGGAGGAAGGAAGGAAGGAAGGAAAGAAGGAAGGGAGAAAGGAGGGAGGGAGGGAGAGGAGGGGAAGGGAGGGGAGGGGAGGGGAGGAAAGATAAGCCCATCCCCAGATTTACAAACCTTAGGGAAGTCACTTACTCTCCCAAAGCCTGTTTCCTCTTCAGCTTCCTTCAGTTGCCCAGTGATTCTTTTAATTAGTACTAAATCAACAAAATGAAATTAACTCAAAGGGCACGTGGACGAATCAATGGTCAAGCTGATTATTTTTAAATTTTCTAAACTGCTTAAAACATTAAAAATACAATATTGTTCTCTTTTGGCCATATTGTATACACTGTTTTAATGTCAATATGAATCTTCAACAGGCAATTTTCATAGTTCTAACTGACTATTGAGGTATATACAGAAAGTCAATATTACAAAGAAAAATAATGTAACTATTTTTATCCAATTAATAAACATGAAACTTTTGAATGGGAGCATCTTAAAAAGTTGTTCTATTCAAATAGCATTTATTTTATCCAATTTAACCTTAGGTGTTAGGTTTACATTGGAATTATGAGTTCACCTTATAATATCTGAATTTCAGTATAATATATGATTTTAATAAAATTGTGCATGGAACACTATATTCCAAAACCTCAATACTTTTAAGGACACAGTTGCATTATGCAATTAAACTTTAGAATTCACATAAATATCAAATAGTCTTTACTTCACAATGAAGTGGTTATGGTTACATTATATATTTGCTATTACAATTACTACTAACTTCATTAGAAACAAATCAGTTTTTGTTGTTATTTTTTGTACTGGGTTATGCCCAGTAATGTTCTGTGTGAATTATGCTACAGACATTTCCAGAATTCTGGATAAGTTTAAAAATTAAGTTGCCCAGTTATATCAATGCACCACTCTGTGACACCTTCTTCTTTGTTCCTCCTTTCTTTTTTCCTCCCTTGGTTTTCCTTCTTTCATCCACTGAACAAATAATTATCGGCTGCCTACAACATACCAAAGCCTATGTTAAACAAACACAACACCATCCTGTTCTCATGTTGCTTAACCTAGAGGCATATATAAACAGATACACAGGAGAATATTATAAAATGTAATCTTTGCAAAATAGAAATAAGCCCTGTATGGTTTGGGATCATAAGGAAGAAGCCCTGAGCTCAGACTGGTAGGAGAGGTGCAGAATGACACTTTTTTGAACATCAGCACCATCAACAATAAGGGAAATTGTTCCAAAGCTAGTAGATAGAACAAAATCCTTTCCCATAGGATTGTCTGCAACCAGACCCCTCTCCTTCCACAGTCTCTCCTATTTAAAGCACCACTTTTAAAATGTTGCCCTTAAAAGACAAAGATCAGGAAACTGACAGCTTGCAAAGCAGTCTGCTGGCACCAGCGCTCAAAGGAACAGGCCCTAAAATGCAGAGGCTCTACTCGTTAGCCCAAACACAACTTGTTATAATCCCTTCTGCCTTCTGTGCTTATATAATACAGACCTTCTTCGATTACAAGACACTTTGAAGATCTCACCTTCTCCCATTACTTGTCTTCTACATAAAATGCCCACAGATGTGAGACTGTTAGAATGTGGGAGAACTGCACTTGATAATTTATAAACCAATACTTCCTATGGTTTGAAATTTGTTAGGATTCAGTGGCGTTGAAAGAGGGCATGTCGCTCCAGGAGCACCCCCTACTGACCACAAGGAGAGGTGTTGTAACACTAGGGGTGAAGCTGACAGGCCTGGAAATAATGATCAACACTTACTATCAAATACCAGTATATATTGAGTGATATTCTGTGGTACAAGAGGACTAACATTATACGTTCAAGTGGCCAAAGCAATTATCTTATATTTTTAAATTTTTAAAACCAATATATTTAATAATTTGACACCTTCTAGAATAACATCACAAAAGGCACTTGTGGTTTGGCTTCATTTGAGCATCTTGGAGATGTTTTGATTTTGCTTCTGTTTGTTGTTGTTGTTGTTGTTTCTTCCTAAATTGTATTCAAATCCTATTATGTACCAACTAAGCAAGAAGGGAATGATGCAAAGGAAGACCTAAAGATACCATGCTCTTGCATGGAGGGATTCAATTGATGAAATTTCCAGTTGTCCTAGATACCTCCTAAATTCGGTATAATCTTAATCAGAACATAAATGGGATGCCTTAATAAATGTAACATATTGATTCTAAAGCTCATCTCTAAAAGAATAGGCAAAATATTTTTGATTTGCTTTTCCAAATATCAGAACACAATACAAAACTGCAGTAATGAAAACATTGTGGTACTGGCAAAGTCAATGCACCAGAAACAGATTCAGGTGTTTATGGTAATCTCAAACTTGATAAAGGTACCTACTAAATTAATTAGAAGAGGATTACATGTAAAATATTGAGATGGTTAAACATAATGCCTATTTTAAGACATATACAAAAATAAATTATAGCTGATCAACAATCTAAACAAAAGAAATCATAAAAGCAATACAAGAATAAGTAGGATGACATTTTTATCATACTAGAAGGTAGGCTTTCCCAAAACAGACATAAAGTGAGTGATAGTTTTAAGCTCCATAAAATATATATTATCTTACAATTTTATTTAACATATGCATAGTTTACATTTCTTCCTATCCAGTTCTGATCTCTTTATACTTACTCTTTTTGCTTAGTTTTATTTATTTTAGGGAAAGAGTCTCACTATGTTGACCAGCCTGGCCTTGAACTCCTGGGCTCAAACGACCCTTCTGCCTTGGCCTCCCAAGTAGCTGGAACTACATAAGCATGCCACCACAACTTGCTTCTAAACTTACTCTTCACACATGTTTTGCTATTGTTATTTATTTAACACCTTTTTCTCTGTCTTCCTTCCTTCCTTTCTTTCTTTCCTTCTTTCTTTCTCTTTTTCTATTTCTTTCTTTCAGAGAGAAATGAGCCATAAGGAAATGAAGTTGCTTGGCTAACAAGTTTGGAACCATGAACATTATTTCAGGAGTTCAGAGTCGTTAACTCCTTTCAAATAATTAGACTTCCTCAAACTAATTCAAAACTCACAGATACTAGCTGGAGCATCTAGGTGTCTGGGGCTTGGTTTAAATACTCCTATTTTTCCCCCAAAATGAATGCCCCAGTACAGAAAACTAACAAAGACAACAACAAATTACGAGAAGGAATGGGGACTAAATCCTTTTCAATTCTAGAGAGAGAACAGGTGAGAGGTAAAGAGCTTCAGCTGCAAGAAAGCTCACTTTAAAGCTAATGTGAATAGGCACATTAATGACCATACTAATCTGTGGAAGAAGACCACTTAAAACACCCCTGTCGGAACCGGGTAAGGAATCTGTTGAAGAAGCCACTACTCGCAATTTAATGTTCCAGTAATCGCTCCATAAAAGGACCCTTGAGCCGCTGTGTGAAGGAAATGGTCTAGACAGCCATGCTCCAAGAATGTGCCATTGTGTGTGTGTAGCAGATTGAGTTTACCCTCTGCTCCTGATTCACAAAGAGGAGCGAGTGTGCCAGTGGGCCACCAGCCAGGATGTGGGTGGTTAAATAAGTGCTCTTGGAGGGGAGTGGTGTTCTTCTGGCAACTGCATCAGCACGCCAGCTGATCAACAAATGCAGAAGTTTTGAATGAAGTTAGACAGAAGATAAATTGGACATGCGTTTTCCACTATGTGAAGGTGGGGCATCCACCAAATTTCAAACTATTCCCGGACCGTCAAATTTCCAGGCAATTCTAAGTAACTATCAATGTTTTTCTGCAAGATTCATATGAGGAAGACTTGTCTATACCAATTATATATAGGAATTTTGTGACTACACACACACTACTATATTTTCATAACTACCTACATGATTTGATTGCCCTTGCATAACTGTCACTGCATTCCACTTAGACAGAAGAAGGGAAGAAAATGAGGAACAGAAAAAAGAATCTAGATTTTTCTAGTAGATTTGCAATGCATTAGAGAAAAAGAGGCTCTTGCCAAAACATTTCTTTCTTAATTCATTACAAAAGTACCTTAAATCCCACCTCTTTCATGAGGAATTTTATTGCTTCATGAAAGAATTGGTAATTTCTCCCACACCCCAAGTTGTTCAGATTTATTTCCCATGATTATCTGTTGACTTAAAGGAATGTATTATTTGCCTTGAGTAATATAAATGCTTTCTGTTTAAAGTGTTTAAATCTCATAATATCCCTGATATTTTTCATATTGCAACCATATTGCAATTTCATATTGTATATCTAAATTGCATATTTCTTTATTTTCTTTAAAGAAGAAAATGGTTAAAATGTTTATATGAAAATTTCCCTACAACTGACCTTTTTCCGCCTTTGACAGCAATAATTCTGCCATCACAGGCTTTACTAATGCAAAGTTATTTTCCCCATCAGGACAAACAAAGGATTAAATGAAAGATGGTGACTTTGCAGCTTGCCTGTTGCTGGGACTAAAAGAGGAGAGAACAAAGCAGACCTCATCTTTTTTGACTATCCTTTTGTCTTCTAGCCATTGCCCCTCATTTTCTTCTTTTTTACATATTTCTCTCTTACCTTTCTTGTGGTAGACATTACTACAATTCATCACTATTGGATGCTCCTTTATATCCACCAACACAAAGGATAATACTTCTCACACTTCCTGCCTTCTCAAAATTAGGCACAACCATGTGACTAGTTTCAGCCGATGCTATAAGAACCGAAGTAACAAGAGAGGAAAAGGGAGAGATAGTCACTGCAGCTAAAATGATTCCAAACACAGACCTTGTACGACGCTAGCTCTAACCCCATGATGACATTGGTGTATTTTCCTTACACCTACAGCTACCTAAGGTTGAATTGTATACTGTATAAGTCAGGGTTCAACCAGAAAGGTAAAACATCTAGGGATCGATAGGTAGATTATAGATAGATGATAGATAGATAGATAGATGATAGATAGATAGTGACAGATAGATGCATAGGTAGATGGACATAGAGAGGGAATCAGACTTAAGCAACTCTGGGAGCCAACTAAGCAGTCTTTGAAAAGCTGTTGTCTCTGCATCTGATGCTGGATCTTGAGGTCCACAGGATAGGTAGTCAGGAAGGGGAGATGGATATAAAGTGAAAAAGAACGGGAACAAACTGGAGCCCACAAACACTAGCTAGAACTCCACAAAGATGACTGAAACCCATGTCAGTTCTTGTTGCCTCTGACCTTGATAATAAGGATATTGTGGTAGGCAGAATAAGGGCCCCCTAAAGGTATTCACATCCTAATCCCTAGAACCAGTGAATATATTCTTTATGTAGCAGAGGGGAGTTAGGCTTTCAGATGAAATTGAGGTTGCTCATCAGCTGACTTAAGATAAGGAGCTTATCCTGGGTTATCTGGGTAGCCCCAATGTAATGACAAGGCTCCTTAAAAGAGGAAGAGGGAGGAAAAAAAAGAGTCAGTGTCAGAGCAATGAAATGCGAGAAAGACTTGACCAGCTGTTGCAGGTTTTGAAGATAGAGGAAGAGAACAATGAGCCAAATAATGTGGGCAGCTTCTACAAGCTGGAAAAGGCAAAGAAATGGATTCATTTCTAGAAAGCCTCTAAAACTGAATGTAGTCCTGCAGACATCTTGATTTTTTCCCAGTGAGGTGTCCGTCAAACATCTAACCTGCAGGACTGTGAGATAATAAGTAGTTTTAAGCCACCATGTTTGTGGTAATTTGTTACATCAGCAATAGAAAACTAATACAAGTTTCCTACAGAAACCAGAGCCCTTCATCACAAAGCTAAACATACACATCAGACCAATGAGTTGGAGAAGGGTGGCTCACTCCTGAAATCCCAGCACTTTGGGAGGCCAAGACAGGAAGATTCCTTGAGACAGAGTTTGAGACTGCAGTGATCTATGATTGCACCACTGCACTCCAAACTGGGTGACAGAGCAAGACACTGACTCACAAAAAAACAGAGACAGAGAAAAAGGAGTCTGAAAGGCCAAAGGAGGATCAAGGAGAAGACAAAGTCCTTGCAGGCCCAACTGCTGCTTCATGCCAAGAAGATGGGATGGCAGATGAGCAATCCTACATGTGAGTCACTAAGCAGCTGCTGCTTCCATTCCACCTTCCCAAGAATCTGCCCTATGGCCCACACCATAGAAGAAAGGGGATTCTGGGAAATTTAGCTCAGCCTAGCCAAATTGATATATTACAAAGCCATTATATAGGTTTCCATGCCATCAACTTCACCTTTGATTGATTTTCTTCCCTTTCTTCTTGAGGAAATTAATATCAAATTGATTGACTTTGAAATTTAATTTAATATTAAAATGTTCACATATATTCAGGGTATTGTCTTTAGAACATATGTACAAAGTAAGCAAAAAATGTTTCTCATGACTCTAAAGCACCATGCATAAGTATTAATATATGTTAATATTTATGCATAGTACTTTGCAAATTTACTTGTTCAATTACTTAGAAAGGTAAGCTATGCCTAAACAAACAACAGGCTCCTAATTGGGATTCATGCAGTTTCATAATGAACATTTTATGAAAATACGTGGTTTTCTACAAATTATCACTATCATTAAACAAAACTTACCCAAAGGTGCAATACACCTGTATTATAACATGGAAAAATGAATAAAGTTCTAACAGGCAGAAAGTACATTTATATTCTAGCATCCTCTCCACTCTGTCTGACCTAGGTGGGATCGAAAAAAAAAATCACCTTATTTCTCTGAAATGTTATTGCCTCATCTATAAAACAAGAATGATCTTTTCAGCTACTTTCAATTTCATGAGCTTATAACTGAATTACCTATGAATTTCAGAAGTCAAAAGGAATATAATAGAACAATTAGTATGAGGTGGTTGTTCTGAACAGGTTTCTTAACTGCTTGAAATAATCAACTTCTATCTATGAATAAAACAGCCACAAGAGTGACTGGATAGATAGTAGCCATCGAGACATATTTTCTAAGAACTTAACTGAGAAGAAAGTAAAATTCCTGAACATGCTAAGGTCATAGAGCCTCTATTTGAGGCAATTATTAACCTTCGAAATACATAGAAAGGAAACTGACCTTACCTTACCCTGAAGAATGCCTCATACTAAAAATAACATAGTAATATTAAAAGAACCACAGGTATTTAGTACATCAAGAGAATAAATCCTTTGAATCTTCATTGTTTTTACAATAAGCTGTAGCGACCTCAATCAGGTATGTGTTTTGCTGGTCCATGCTCTGAAAAAGCAAATTTTGACTGTAAACTGTATTAAGAATGTAATGTATTTTCCATATGTGTTATCTGAAAGAAAGAAAAAAACCTGCTGTGGAAACATTTTTCTAAAAAGGTTTAACCACATTAAAAGAGTAAGGCACAAAAGGACAAAAGGATAATGATTTTTTTTCTCTCTAAACTCCTGGCCTGAACATAAGTACTCCAAAAGTCCCCCTTCCCAGATGGCTAACCCAGCCGAGGGAAAACAGCCAACTTGATTTCAAATGTGAGAATGATTTTTTATTTAAATGAAAGATAGAAACTGTCTCAACTTCATTATATCTAAGAGGGGAGCTCAAGTGTTCAGCACGTGGGTCTGGTTTGAGTAAAAGTTTGTCTTTTTTGAATGGAAATCATATGTAATCCCAGGCAGTGGCCTGAACCATTTGCTAATACTAATTGTTGTCGGTTGAAAGTGGAGTAGGAGATTGTTAAAGTCTTCCCTGGCAGAAACCTGATCTGTGGAAATGTACTTCACAGGGACTGTGATGAGGTTTGCAGCTGGCAGGAGAGTATGAAAATGTGGCTGCGTACATCTCCACCTTCCCTTTGGCAAGGAGATGGAGACTCACATGAAACTACTCTGGAAGTGAGTTGAAGGACTGAAATGCAGATTTGGCATTCTTTTCCTCCCCACCCCCATCGTGTCCATGATTTCACAACAAAAACTGAAGCGGGTGTATGTACCATTTCTAAGAATGTATATTTTTCAAAAATGATTATTTAATGATGTGGCTATTTTGAACTATGATTAATATAAGTACATTTAAGTTGTAACATTGGCAAGTTAGAAAACCACCAAGTAAGGCCAGATGTATAAACGGACTTGATGTTTTAATTTAAAACACCAGCATCACATTGAGAAGTGTGTTATAGTATGAACAAAATCACAGAGAATTTACACACAAATTAAGTTTACCTGGAATCCCTAGTACCTAGAAATATTTGCCTTTTTCAATTATTATGAACTAATCTATGCATGATCAAGATAAGTGGATTTTGTTGGTTAAAACATTAAATTATAAAAGTGAACTCTGGATCTTATGTTAGTCATGACAATATTTGAGAATCCTGTTATATTCTATAAGTTTTAATATAAATTATTTTGTTTTAGTTGTTGTGGGGCATGTAAAATTGTTGTTAAATTACTGTGAAATTCTTTTCTAGTATAGCTTTTGTTCACTTATACAAAGAAACCACTCCCAAGCCCCCATCAACACTGTAGAAACTATGTATGAATCTGTCATTTCCATTTTATTGGGCATTACCATGGCTTCTTCCAGATCATGGGAAAAGTACGCGAGAAAAGTTCATTTAGGAGAATCAACACAAAACATTAAGTAGATAATCTATAGGTACTTTAGAGAATAAAGAATGACACATGTCCTCACTACTTGTACACTTATTAAGCATTTATTTAATAAGTATAAAAGCCCACACATGGTTCTTTCTTATTTTTTAGAAGTAACCCTCCTAGTACCCTAGCCTTTCAATCAAATATTTACTATCACCATTTCACAGACAAGGAAACTCATGCCAAGATACTGAGCAGAGCTGGGATTCAGCACTCATGCTCTTCTCAAGACATTTAACCATCAGATAAAGAGACAACATGGTCGGGCGCGGTGGCTCACACCTGTAATCCCAGGACTCTGGGAAGCTAAGACGGGCAGATCGCCTGAGGTCAGGAGTTCGAGACCAGCCTGTCCAACATGGTGAAACCCTGTCTCTACTAAAAATACCAAAAAAATATTAGCTGGGCATGGTGGCACACGCCTGTGAACTACTTAGGAGGCTGAGGCAGGAGAACTGCTTGAACCTGGGAGGCAGAGATTGCAGTGAACTGAGATCATGCCACTCCACTCCAGCCTGGGCAACAGAGCAAGACTGTCTCAACAACAACAAAAAAAAGAAATGAGAGACGTCACAATTACAGATCCTCATCTGGGAAAGGTCTAGAGTAGTCCAGTCCATGAAAGAAATGTAAAATAAAGAAATAATCAGTAATGGTTCATTAGGCATTTATCAGATATCAGTGAAAATATCTTAATATCTTTGTAATATTACAGATTATAACACCATGGAAATGTCACCACTGGCTTATAAAATAAAACTTTGTCCTACTGCCTGGCTAGAGCTCTTTAGCTCTAAACATTTCAAACTAAAGTATTCTGTTTTTCCAAGTTGGTATTCTTTTTTGTAACCACATAAACAAAATATATCATATAAGTTTTATCTAGAAGTATATATTGTTTTTAAGAAATTTTATGAAAAAGGCCCCTTGGTTTGCCTTGAAAAAAAAAAAAAAAAAGTCCTTGGTAGAGGCTGGAGTTGACAGACAAAAGTAATGGTCTACTATACATAAGCATGGAAACCAGTTCTCCTGGCTTCTAATCCCGCCAAACATCAGTGAGTCCTTCTAGATTTATGGCTCAATTTCACTAACTACAGAACATGACTTTTACCAAATATTTACCATGTTGTCCCTCCTCCTCCTTTAATTGACATACATTTGAACCAAGTTCCACACTCAGTCTACACGTCTTGTCGCAGGAAACTCACCCAAACCATTGTTGCCCTCACCATCTCTCCCTTCTCAAACCCCACTAGGCTCACCCCTCTTTTAGAGTGATATACTTGAAGGCAGGACCTGTGTCTTAGCCCCCAGGACCAAGCACAGTGTCTGGCACGTGATTTAAATGAATTGAGCTGATTAATTGGAACTTGCTGTTTCCATGCACCAGGTAATCCTACCTAATAGACTAGTACTTCTCAAACTGGGTTTTGAATTGGAATCACTTGGGAAGCTTTAAAAAATGTTTATGCCTGCGTCCCATCTGTGGAGATTTCTGATTTAATTGGTCTGGCATATGGCCTGGGCATCCGAACACTTCAAAGTTTTCCAGGCAATTCTAATGAGCAGCCATGGTTGAAAACCACTCTAATGGCCAGGGCTTCACAAATTGAGAAATGTTCCAAATAATCCCACATTTAAAGAGTAACTGCAATGTCTTGGGTTATATGGTACAGATAGTTACTTACCCTTCCTCTATAGTCCCATTCCCTGCTTTCTTGGAATAAGTAAAGTGACTGATTTTTAAATGTTGTTCACTAAAAAAAAATATTTAAATCACTACAACATGGAATACCCCCAAACTTTCAATGATGCACTTAGATTTTACTTTAAGTTGATTTTGAGCAACTTTTTATCTAGGAAAAAAAATAAATAATTTTACAAGCCTAAAGGACACAGAAAACATAATGTGCAACTCTCTTTTATTGCCTCTGATATATAGAGGACTTCCATGACACTAATCTGAAAAATGTTTGTACTCCCTAGAAAACATCACACATGCACATATGGGAATTCTAAATAAATTGTGGTAATATAATTCAATAGAGTAAGACCACACAGAGATGTTTTGGAAAGCCATTTATACAAATAAATTAGCATGATTCTTGAGTCAGTAGGTAATATACCTCTGAGCTTCCTGGGCTTGTGCACCAGAATGAAATTAGCTCCTGTAGAAGTCATCTATATGATAACAGCCAAGCCCCTTAACATGGTTTAGAAGATCCTTTGTGTTGTGGCTCCTGCCTACCCCTGGTTCCTAACCAGCCTCCTCACTTGCCCCATCTACTCTCACCCTCCACTCTCAGTTCTCCCTAATCCAAGACACCAATGTGGCCAATGCTGCCCTCATCCCAACGTGCCATTACTTATTTATATTCCTGTCTCCATCACTAGACCTTAAGCTTCTTGGGGGATGATCCCATGTCTTATACATTTTCTTATCTCTATCGTCTGGAACATAGTAGAGCCTTAGAAGACCTTTGACCTGTTGAAGTGATTAGACTCCAAAATCCAGGCTCTTTCTATAAAATAGGACCTTTTCTGAGGTCAGTCAGGGAAGGTTGGAATGACGATAACTGTCTTAATCATCCTCAGCTAAGGGTGTGACTCAAATATCCAGACCCTGAGTAAATTTGTTAAATAAAGCAAAGAAAGAAAGGAACATCATAAAAAGTGACCAGTTATGTCTTCAGACAGCACTGGTATGTTAAAGTAGCTGAAGTTAATTTATATCATTAAATTTGGCATTTTTAAAACATTTTCTTGGTGGAGGAAATTTAAAGAATCATTATGCTTTAATCTACTTTGAAAACTGTTTAGTATTAGTCCGTTTCATCTCTTTCATTTCTTCCAGAGAAGAAGAACTAGGGTATATGTACAGGTTTACCCCAAAACACTCAGGCCCTATCTTATTTTGAATATTCTAGTATTCATTTAGCTTGACTTGTTTATCTTAAATCATAGTCAGGATGGTTTTTTAACTTATAATTACTCACTTGCAAACAGCTTGTAACAACAAGCACCTACGTAGCACCTCTACTCCCATCCATGGCAAAGACTGCTAGCTGACCACCAAAACTATTTCTTCTTCCTCCTAGGAAAGCAACAAGACTATACTTTCTAATCCTTTGCAGTTTGATGCGCTCACATGACACTAGCCAATAATCTATGAGTAGAAGTGATATGAGCCCCTTCTAGGTTTGACCAATGAAAATCTCCCACACACAATCCTACAATGGTACTTTTTCTTTTCTCTTCCACCAGCTTGATGCCAAGCAGTGAAGCCAGCCAGAGCCACATGATGAAAAAAGTCTCCATCACCCAAACACCTTTAAAAGAAAACAAGAAAGCTCCTTTCTTCACATGAGTGTGAGCAAGCACTAAACCTCTACAGTGCCAAGCAACTGAGATTTAGGTACAATGCCAGTACCCAATCCCATTCTCGTTCTCTTTCTGATCGAGCTTCCCACAATGTTGATGCAGAAATGGATGGTGAAGTTGCCACTGTTATCCAGGAGAATCAGCACTACTGAGCCCTCACTACTCCGACTCCGGGAACTGGTTGCTCACCACGGAAGCATCCTCCACCTAGGCTCTCCCTGATTCCTGAACCCTTGCCCTGCCCATCAGCAAACTGATCACCGCAGGAACTCTGTCTACGCACTCCTCATTAGGGTTTGGTGGTGGGCAAGTGCAGAAGAGGATAAAGAGAACATTTTTGAGCATCCATTATGTGTGTAGTATGCCATATGCTCCTTATACATCCTCTCATCTTGAACATCACCAAACCCCATCAGGAAAATATCAGTATCCTCACTCTGCGTAAGTGGAAACTTAACACTCACATAGTTTACCAGCTGGTAAGTGGCAGAATCTAGATTCAAACTCACTCTACTGACTATAAACCCAGTGATGGTTCAACTCACCGCAAAGTCCTCCTGCACTGACACACACCCATCCTACCTCCCTGCTGTCATCTTAGGATCTCCCTTGGAGTGAGGCTTCTGGAGAGGACAGTGTGGGAGCCTCTCTTTGGAAGCCAAGTCTTTTCACTGAGACCAGAGTGGGTGGAGGATGTGTAACTGGCCTCTACATTTAAAATTTGGAACACATTTTTTCCATGGGAAAAATATGCAAAGATGTTCCATTTTTCAAAATGTATGCAAAACCACTTTGTAAACCATCAAGAGGTACATAATATGCCTATAAGGAATTACTATTCTGCAGTACATTAGCACTATAATTCCAACACGTTGTGGATTAAATAACCTTTTGTGAAGTAGTTGGAGAATTTAACCACTGAGTGTTACATTGTCTCAAAGGAAAAATACATTCCAATAGCTAAACAACTGACTTACAACAGATTTTTGGAACCCAATCCGTTCATAAACTGGGAACTGCCTGGATTAGCATGAAGAGGACACATCATCACCATCTTCATCAAGTATTATTTATTAAGGGCAGAGCATGGGGTGAGGGCTTCAGGGTAAAAGAAAAAAAGAAGGGAAGTGTTAATCTAATTTTTTAAATGGCTACAATTCCACATCCCTGGTTGTGAATGAACTCAAGCTGTTCCAAAACAACCCTCTCATCTTTCTCCTTACTTCCTTCCCCATTTCACTTATCTTTTGCTCTCTTTTCTATTTTCCTCTTACCATTGTATATGTTTTTGTCCATATTCCACATTTATTCTCGTGTTAAATAAACTCATTTCACCACATCCTTGCCAGCATTTGTTTTTGCCTGTTTAATCAGTAATAACTGTACATTTTAAAATAACTTGAAGAGTACAATTGGATCATTTGCAACTCAATGGATAAATGATCGAGGGGACGGATACCCCCATTCTTCTTGATGTGTTTATTTCACATTGCATGCCTGTACATAACATCTCATGTACCTACAAAAATTAAAAATTTTAAAAATTTAAAAATAAAATATATTTAAAAATAAAAAACAAACTCTTTTCAAGGACTATGTTCTCAGGCTCTGCAATAGAGTCTAGAAATACCAAGATGAACAAAATATAGTCCTCAGTGAACTCTTAGACCAGTAGAAGAGGTGAGCCTGAAAACAAACAAAATTTCCTCAGGTGTGATAAGAACAAGCATCTATGTAGGGAGTTAAGAGAGTGTAGTATGGGCAGATACCAAAGGAGAAATTCCAGTTTCCTTTTTGCTCATCTCACACTTTCATGTCCTCTCCCTCCCTTTCCTCCTGCCACACCAGTTTAAATCTTCATTACTTCTCAACCACCCTAAAATCATTCCCTAGCTTTTGTCACTCCCTACTGTAATCCAGTGAATATACTGTCACCAGATCAATGTTTCTTTGGGACAATGTATCGTGCCCACTACATATCCCACTGACACTTTTTGGTCACAGAATTTTATAATTCCTCACATTGCATTTGGAGGCCCTACAAGGCCTCTATAGCCCATCCCTACACAAAACCCTCTTGCTTGTATCCTGTTAGTTAGTCAAATTGAACTGCATGTCATTCCCCCAAACAAGCTTCTTTCCTTAAGCCTTTGCTGTTCTGTCTTTCTCTACAGTGTCCTTCAAATTATTAGTGTGAAATTCTGTGCATCCTTCAATACTCCACTCATAGGCCACTTATTTGCAAACATTCCCTTATACCCTCAGCTATGGGTCCTTTATTGCCTTTCTGGGGGAAGGAACCAATGTTTGCTGAACACCTTTTATACATTAGGCACAGTGCTGGGCATTTTCTATGTGGTATCCTATTTAGTGTTCAAAACACCCCTGTGAAATGACTGCAAATTTTCCCACTTCTCAGATAATGAAATAAAAAGGTAAAGAATGTGTCTAAGTAAGGAAGTAGCAGAGTCAGAATTTGAGCCCATGTCTACCTGGACTGCAGAGCCCGTGTTTGCTTCTGTCCACCGAGCCCATTTATTATCTCCCTCACTTTTCCCTCAGAGCATCAAATTTGAAATGTGGTATATGTATTCATCAGTATCTCTATAATGTTATGGATACTTTCAGGTCAGAAACTTGGTCTCAAATATCTTTGCATCCCAGAGTAGCTGCTGCCATATCTTGAATAGTAGAAACATACATAATGTGATATTAATATGAAAGTGCTCCATCAGGCATGACTCACAAACTTCTATCTTGTTTCCAGATGCAACTTAACTCATCAGTGAACAGCCATGGAATCATGTATCCACACACACATTAATGTAAAGAACCAGATATAAAATTCTCACCAGTGTAATTCTCTAAAGAAATTCTGAGCAGAGCAGAAACTAAAGAAATTGGCCTTTGGTGTTTGCATCTGGCAACATTTGAGAAGGATAGGATACTGAGTGTCAGCAAATTCTGAAAATGCTTTGTTTATTTGTTTAGATATTCAAAGTGAGCCATTTGCCAAGTTTGCAGACCCAAGTACAAGACTAAGACAAAAACAAGTGTTTCTTCTCAGCCAATAACAGCATCTAATACCATCTGGAAACCTACACCAGTTAAGAAAGAAACAAATATGCCTTTTTTCTTTCCTTCTAAGTCCTCAAAGCTTGTAAATCTGGGATCTGTTGGGTAGAGAAAAGAGAGTTCCAAAAATGGGGACCCTCCATAAAACTCAACCCCCCTGGCAAACAAGATTTCAGATCATGGAGACAAACAGAGATCATGTTTATTCTCATCTCAGTGGCTCAGGAATAAAATAAAGGTTGCTTCTATCTCTGTCCACATTGAAAGAACTCCATTGTGAGCCAATTTAGTGTCCAGTTCAACCCTGTAAATTACCATGATATTTTTATTGATACCATGAAAAAATACCCTTGCTTCTCTATTGTCACAAAAGCATGTTGTTAAAACACTTAAAATGCCTTGGCACACTTTAAAAGTGCTTTATACAAAAGAGACATGAAATTAATGGCCCATTTCAGTCAACACGTCCCTCACAATGCTTTCTTTCCCCTTCCTCAAAGCCACAGAATAAACCAAAGTGGGTCCAAATAAGACCTCTGAACATTTCTCTGATGGTAATAACATCTGGGTAGTAAGGAATGGGAATCAGTGTTACAATCTCCCTTCATACTCTAATGTACACATGAACAGCATTAAGCTAGGTTTACCATGAGATTTCACTTTTCACTGAAGTTTTAATTGCCAACCCTTACTATGTCATTTCTGTGAGGGAGTTTGGTAGTTTACTCCACATTTTCTTGCTTCCCAAATCTTTCTCTTGGTGTGCTCCTACCTACTTCTTTCCCTGCCTCCTCTTTTCATGCCTCCATTCAGAAAGCTTCAGATCCAGGGTAACTGCTCACCATTCCATCAGCATCATTTTTTTAACCTATATTATCCTAACCACACAGCAGTTTCCAGCCATCAAGCATATAATCTTAGTTGCACATTAGCCTGGAAATGGACTTTCCCCCACTCTGGTTATCTTATCCACAACATGTGCAAATATTACCTCATTCATCCTTGTGCTGGTTCCAGAGATTAGCCCCAAAACTGTCATGATAAATGTACAATTTTAAAAATAGTCAGTTTCCTCAAACTTCGTCAGTCGTTTTAAATTTTATTCCCTATGATGACGTGGCCACTAGAGCTTGTCATTTTTCTACCGTTTCATTTCCAAACATTGAGGCCAAATACGATGTCATATGTTCTAGTAGCATAGCACTTATCTAAAGGAAAAAGCTTACCCAGGGCTTTTAAGAATGTTTTTATTTGTTATAATAACACACAGACTGCAAGTTGAAAAACATATTTTTAAGGAAACCAATGAGACAGGCTTTAACCTTTAACCATGAAAAAGACTCCTTAAATATTTCAAAAGAAAGATAAATTTTATTCATCAGACAGATTAAGCATTGATTGGCAGAGGTTTTTTCATCAGTATTCAATACTGACAAAATCATTTCATCTATTAGTCAAGCAGCAATTTTGTCACTTTGTTAGAAGCATCATGCTGGTATTATGAAAAGTGTTAAAAAGTAAAAAATTTTGTTCCTATCCAAATAAATTTAACATTTATTCTTTTTTTAAAAAAGAATATAAATAACATTAAGTGTCTCCTATTTTCTAACACCAGTGATGTCATATTTAAATAGCATAAATGGAAGATGATATAATGGATTTGAAAATAGAAGACCAGAGCATGGACTTAGTGAAGTGACACAGGGCAAATCTCTAATTTTTCCTAATTTGTTAGAAGTAATCTGCTCTCCCTCAAAGTGCCTGGGGACCATCAAACAAAAAATTCATCTGAAAATGCATTGAAACCATAAAGTACTATACAAATGTATGTTATCATCTCTGCCAGTTTTTAGTCCCCACTCTTAATTTTCAAAATCATCAGGGTTAGTGCTCTGTACTCCATTGGCACACATTACATCCTTGTTTTCCAGCATTGACCACATTGCATTATAATTATATCTATATGACTATTCCTTCTATAATATACTTTGGATGTGTGTCCCCACCCAAAACTCATGTTGAAATGTAATCCCCATTGTTGGAAGTGGGGCTTGGTGGGAGCTAATTGGATCATGGGGGCAGAGTTCTCATGAATAATTTAGCACCATCCACATGTTATTGTTCTCACCATAGTGAGTTCTTCCGAGATCTGGTTGTTTTAAAGTGTGTGGCGTCTTCCCCTTGGCTGTCTTGCTCCCGCTCTGACTATGTGATGTGCCTGTTGCCACTTCACCCTCCACCATGATTGTAAGTTTCCTGAGGCCTCCCCAGAAGCTGAGCAGATGCCAACATCATGCTTTCTGTACAGCCTGCAGAACTGTGAGCCAACTAAACCTATTTTCTTTATAAATTACCCAGTCTCAGGTATTTCTTTATAGTAATGTAAAAATGGCCTAATACATATTAGTACCCTGCAAGCTTCTGCAATTCAATTGATCTGTATATCACCAGAGCCTAAGATGTCCTGGTATGCATGTCTCTTGAGTGATTTACTTGCTAAGTGAATATTGATATAAGGTCCCTATTTTTCATTAAATGATTTTCCATTTTCATTTCTGCCATTAAATACGAAAGTTTGTCTTTGTTTCATGACTATACTGTCTACAATGAATGATGTTAATTTTAGTACTGCTTCCCAAAACTTCCACTACTGTTACTTTACTGTGGAATTTCCAAAGAGAGACTAAGTTGGTCAGTAAAAAAGCCAACACAAGCAAGAAATTTCTTTGAAGTCTTAGGAATTAATCTTTAAAATTTATGTAAATTGTGAGTGAAAAAATCTATAACATACCTGAATTTGTCTTAATAAAACTAACATTTTCTTCTACATATTTGAGTAGAATTCATGCCCCAGGAAAATGGACCACATTTGTCCATACAAAGACCCAATAGTTCTCAATATTGGTTGCACAAAAGTCACATTTAAAAATCTATATTAAGAGTTTTAGTTCAAGACTAGCCTAGGCAACATAGTGAGACCCCGTTGTCTACCAAAAAAAAAGAAAAATTAGCCAGACATGGTGGCACTTGCCGGTAGTTACTAGTTACTCAGAAGGCTGAGGCAAGAGGATTGGATTGCTTGAGCCCAGGAGTTCAAGGTAGTAGTGAGCTATGATTGTGCCACTGCATTCCATCCTGGGTGACAGAGCAATACCCCATCTCTAAAAATAATAATAATAGAGAGTTTCATTAAAATTAAGGAGGAAATTTAACTTCACAAGTAAAGGTAACTTAACTGTATATTGTCAGCACACCATTACCACCAACTAAATTAATTAAAAAGTTTAGAGAATGTCCTAATTATGTATAGATATTAAGGGGCATAATATGTAGTAGAGTAAGCTTGTTCTTATTTTTAAAACACCTAAGGAGATTTTTTTTTTTTACTATAGAGTCCATTCCCACTCTTGCATTCTCACTTAATTGGTCTATTGTTAGGCCTCATAACAATATTTTTTTAACCTCCCAAGATGCTTCTACTGTGCAGCCAGGGTTGAGAATTTCTGAAGTACATTCACGATTGAGCAGCACAGCAGGTAGTGTAACTGAAGAACTTGAGAATGAGGAACAAATATGTTCTAGAAATTAAACTACAAAAGAGGAATTCAAAGATGGACCTAAGTTTGGTATCAGAATTCAGATACCTGACTTAGAGAGATAGAATTGCTTTCAGACGTTGCTGTAACCCAATTATGGATATTTGATATTGTCAAATACAGGGTATTTCTGTCAGAAGGAGAGTGCACATCACCAGTGGAAGTATGGGAAAGAGAATAAGACAGAAAGATCAATATTGACAGGATGATTATATCACTGTTCAAGAAAGAGGTACTCTGTCCTCCAAATACACCCTCTAGAGGAGGAGGCATCACCCTTGGGTAATAGAGTGTGAAGCACATGAGTCTTAGATTCAAAATGACCTCTGGCTAAATCCTGGCTCTATCACCTATCAGCTGTGTGATTTATACAGTCACTTAAACTCCTCGATCTTTATATCATCATCTGCAAATAGTTTTATCATATATAAATGTAAATCATGTAATTTGCAAAATGGCTGGCATGTAGTAAGAGCTCAATACTGTTGGCTATTATTATTATTAACTACTATAGGTTTATGACACAGTTATTGAAATCATTTAGCCCTCCTTCCTTTGTTTTCATGCTTACCAAGCAACTTTCTAATTATAATTTTGCTTCTATAAAGTCTTGTCTGTAGGGAAAGAATATAATGATCAGTGACCGGAAGTAGCTGGTCTACTAAATAGCAGTTTCTCATCACAAATTAATTCATTGGAATTATTGTTCTTATACATCAGACTTTTATGAATCTGATTATTTATTTCCTTGGAATAACAATACCTATACTTATCTTAACATAAAATGTTTGGTTCTAATGTTGAAAATCAATCCCTGGGATATAGAAACCCTACCAAGGTCAATACCATTTGGCCTGTCCCAGGCAGTGACCCTTCTCCTTCTATTGCCTAAATCTCCAAATAGCAACACAAGGGCTTGAAGAAAAAGAAATGCGATTGTTCTTTCCTTTGTTTAAAAAAAAAAAAAGAACCTTGGGTTTCTCATTGAGAAGATGAGAATAACAAATAAATGTTTGGCAGAAAGTGAAATATCTCATGTCCTCACTTACAAGTGGGAGCTAAATAATGTGTACAAATGGACACAGATAGTGGAATAATAACACCAAAGACTTGTAAGGGTAAGAGGTTGGGAGCAGGGTGAGGAATGAGAAATTACCTAATGGGCACAATGTACACTATTCCAGTGATGGTTACACTAAAAGTACAGATTTCACCACTACGCAGTATATCCATACAACAAAAATGCACTCGTACCCCCGAAATTCCTTTTCAAAAATTTAAAATAAATTTAAAAAAAAATAAGGATTTGGGATGGATTAATTAAAGCAGCAAATATGAAAATACTTTATAAACTACAAAGCATTGTTATGTGTTGTTTATTTATTCAATATATTTAGTAACTATTTTAGGTGCCTACTACATGCTCTGCATTGAGCAGTAAAGAAAAACAGAGTCCTTGCTCTCATTCTGATAGGAAGAGACAAATAATAAACAAATACATAGATTATTGTAATGTGATGATAAAAGTACTGTGAATAAATAGGAAGCAAGTTAAGGGAGATATAGAATGATGATGTGGGAAGGCCAACTGATGAGATAATTTTATCAGAGGCCTGAAAAAGTGAGGCAGCCAAGCAGATAAACATAGAGGCTAAGAAAACAACACAAGCCATGTCACTGGGAGGGAGGGTTCAGCATGCTTGTTAACTAAGGGTCTTTTGTACACATGTACCCTAGAACTTAAAGTATAATAAAAAATAATAATAATAATAAATAAATATTAACAAAAGAAAAGATTGAAGCAAGATTTGCCTATATTCAAGAGAAAAACCATCTCATGCTGAGCATGTTATGACAGTGGGGCCCTTAAGAGAAAAGCAAGTAAAAGACTGAGATGGTAACAGGGGACTCAGAAGCTGGAATGTAACTGATGATACTTGGGAAGCAGCCACGGTTGGAGAAGCAATGGCACACATGGCAAGGCAACAAGGTTGTACTTACATCCTTTTCTCCCCTTCCTCATGTCAATGCCACCTCTGTCCCAGGGAACCACAGGACACTCATCCTGGGGAGGCAAAAAACGTGAAATGTCAAGAGAGTGGTGGTGCAAATGGTGCCAAGCAGCAGGGAAGGAAGACAGGAAGGGCACAAGAGGAAGGAAATGCCAACAGTCACAAGGAGAAAAGAGAATTCTTGGCTCATGGCTGCAGCGAACGCCTCCTGAAAGGATGCTCATTTAAAAAACTTTGCATAGAAGTTGCAGCCTGTCTGAATTATTATTTTTGAGAGTTTTTCTGAAGATTTTGGTAGGGGAATGGTTCTTACAAATTAATCTTTAATTCTAATTTGTATTTTTATATCCATCCTAAAGAGCACAAACAGTATTTATTCTTCCAATGTGAAGAACCACTTAGAATGTGATTTAATTTTGCAAACTGCAGTAGCTATTTATGAATGATATGTGAGTCATTTGAATTTTTTCTAGAAATGTTACTGAATATGTCTCATTTCTAGTTAAGAAACAGCTGGAGAATTCTATCCATCCTACACACTTATTTTGTGTATTATTCTCAGAATTTTATTCTCAGAATTTGTGTATTATTCTCAGAATTTAACCTTTGCACAATAAAAGGAAGTGGACATCTCCATTTTAATACACAACACCGTTTGCATGCAAAAAGAATAACATACTCTATGAGGAAAATATTCTTTTTAAAAAGGGAGCTTTCCTTTTTTTTAATTGTTGTGCTTCTGTTTGCATCATCTTTAATTCTGTCTGAGAGAAAGAAGGTAACGCTAAAAGAACTATGCATCTCTCAGTCATCTTTTTTTGGGGAGTCATAGGTCCTTCGCAGACTCTGATGAATGCTGTGGTCTGTGCTACAGTTAACAGACATAAAATTTTGCATTCACTTTCAAGGGTTTATGGATCCAACAAATTCTATCTTTTTGCTGCAGACTTAAAGTTAAAAACTTCTGCTCCAAAAGACTTCAGAATTTGGCCATGGTGGGCTGATGACCCTCTATCACAATGGAGCCAGATTCACATGACTTATTTGTGTTTGCTGGATTCAATTTGTAAATGAAGTTACATTAATCTCTACTTTGTAAATCAAAGAAGGTTAGTCACTCAATAAATGAGATGATTTCTTCTAAGAAGGACAGCAGGGGCACAAATCTTATAGTGCCCATAAACTTGGAAAACAATGCAAACTAGAAGGGGCCATATTGGTAATGTGTACATTTGTATTCACAAATCAATAAGACTAGTGGCTCTAAATGTGTATTTTATTATGTTTGCTTATTATAAACCCCCCAAAGTGGTAGGAAGCCCCACAATACAAAAATATTATGGTTACATAAGTGATTGGTGAAATTTTATTTCTGTAAGACTAGAACATTGAGAGGTTGGAATATGTTGCCTTTTCTCTTTAACCTACTGCTGTAGAAACAGTGGGATGTTTTCTGCACTGGTCTCTACTTGTTGCCTCTTACAAGTAGTTAGGTCCAAAGAGATATAGTTAGAACTAAAGAGAAGAATATTTCTGGGAGTATGGATTTTTACTTCCTGCCAAAAATTCTATTCTCATACACTCTTGTGACCTTATGGAAATGGGAATCATGAAAATATTTTCTGGGTTGGGGGTCAATCTGTAGTTCACTTTCTCCAATGTGCTTCACCAAAGACCAGATGGGATTCTAAAATGAACTAGGTTCTAACTACAAAGCACCCTTGTAGCCTGAGGCAGGAGAAGGCATTACAAATATGTGTGCTATGTGGAAATCCCAGCGGGATTTCCATAAAGAGCCTGTCTAAAGGCGCATGTCCACTCTGGGAAGCAAGCCGCTCTGAAATTCTCAATCCTCTCTCGGCATTGACCTTGCAGCATGGGTAAGACGGCCAATTTGAACCATGTGTACAGGCTACAGTTCAGGGCAGACTGCACCGCCCTTGCCACACTGCCTTATGCTTCTTGTCCCAGAGCCTTCCCAGCACCATGCTTATAGGACATGTTCTCTAAAGTCATTGACTTGGCCTTCTAGCAAAAGTAGACCTATTGTGATAGGGAAAACATGAGCTTCAGCATCACTCAGTCCTGGATTAAATTCTGGCTCTACCTAGCTGTATGACTTTGGGGAAGTTACTGAATTTCTGAGCTTCCAGTATTCTCATATATAAAAGGGAATAATTATGCTTATCTTGCAGGGTATTACAGATATTCAGTAAGATAATAGAATAGTATAGAGAAGCAATTTAGTCCAATGGTTAGGAGTTCTACATCCTGTCAGCTCCAGTTTCCTCATCTATAAAATGAAAATAACAAAATACCTAATAGGGTCCTGTGAGAATTCAGTGAGGTAATACGTGTGAAGGGCTTCAGCCAGCGTTTGACACATAGCAAATGTTAATAAATGTTCATATTATCGGATAGTGCATATAAATTATTTAGCAGAATGCTATGATAATGTAGGAGTTCCAAATAGCAATATTATCCTTTTATTTTCTCCCTAAACATAGTATGAACAGAAAATTGTAATGTTTATTTCTATTGTCCTATGGACAAATTAAGAACATGTAGTGCCCTCAAAACCATCTCTTCTTAAATGCCTTAAAACTTCTTACACCATGTCCGGATTATCTCTACCAAACTCAGTCTGTGTCAATTCTCCAAATTTTCTACGAATATGAAACATGGGCTAAGTTAAACTGATTCAGTGAAAGCTAAAGAAAACACGCAAGGAGAGAATTTCAGTCTGGGATCAAAGATTTGCAGAAGAAAAATTTGGCAGTCTCTGGCAAAAATATCCTGGTACTTCTTGAAAATCTCAACAAGAAAAAAAAATGTTTTTCTAGTCACCACACCAAATGAAAGATTTGCATAGTATTTTACTCAAAAATAGCAATTTTCATCCTGCAGCCAGGATACTTTAAAAAGGAGAAAGCCCAATTGTACATACTACCAGGAAAATGATTCCAGGTGCAAGTAGCCCTCAAGATTTATATAAATCAGCTTTTAATTTATTTCCTTTAATCCATACGACTTTTCCTACCTTCTCAGTTGCCAGCCACATGTTTCTCGATAAAGATTGTGGTGGCACCAAACTTCCAAATTAGAGGCTGTGAGTGTGTTTCCTGAGTACCCAACATAAAAAGTAGTTGTTTCTAATAATCATTTTTCTGATGATATTTCTGTAGAGAAAAAAGTAAGTGTTTGTCGCCAAACTTTGGGGTTCTGCATGAAAACTGCTCAATGTGCGCAGAGTTATTAGAAAGCTGGATTTTCAAACTCTGTTGTTAATTTTCCTTAACAGTGTTTCAGACCACAGCAAGGAGCAGACCTGGATTGATAGGCAGCTATCTCATAATTGTAATGCATGGAGCACAGTGAGAAGGCAGCTGATTAAAATAAAAATCTAGTGCAATCTCAACATAAAAGCATTATTTGAAAAAAAAATTATAAGCATATTACCCAATGAGCAATATGCTTTTATTATCTACGTAATGAAGAAAAACAATATGGGTCTGTATAGATAACCACACGAAAAAGGTCTATAATTTAACAAGTTTTAGTGAACAAAACCCAAACTCAGCTGTTAACAATCAATCTTTTGATAGATAGAAATAAGCTTTTTATCTATCAGAGTTCTATTTTTACACCTGCCTGCTTGTACTTCTTTACATGCAAAAATGATTTTGTGCAATCAATGAAGCAAAAAAGATGGCTATACAAACACATAGAAAAATCTCTATTACAATTGTTTTAACTGATACCTACAAAAAAATTAAGTATGTAAAAGTACAACCAAATGAACACTATTAGCTCTTCCCTCCAGGAGGTATGAGTAAGAATTCATTAGATTGGAAAGGTAATATGTGAGGTTTTTTTTTTTGTAAAAAACAATGACATAAATTTTCCCTTTTAATATTAAGCACTAATTTAAAACATCCCCCCTTAACATAGCAAATATATTATACACCATCAGTTCCCACTGAAAATTCCAGAAAAAAAAGCCACTTTTTGCCTTTTTCTTGATGTTTTAGAGCCTTTGGAAAATAAGCAGCAGTCATTTCTCATTGTGCAATCTGTGATGATAATTTATTTTTTGGGATAGAACATCCATCTGAGCAACGTTTCACATACAATGTATGTGGTGCTCATGTCAACATCACACGGAACAAACATGGCTAATGGGCGGAGGTTAAATGATAGATAAATCATTTCATGAGCAACATATGTAAAACGCTCTATTCTTCATGTGTATTAGTGCCTTAGTATTATCTTTATCTTTGCTATAGCTTAGAGGAATTTTTTTCTTTCTTTTTAATATGATTCCCAGAATTTTCATGTCATATGTTTTGCCTTATTCAGCCATTTGGAGTACAGGTGTGCTATTGTGTTTTTGATGGAGTGTTGCCATTCCAGAAAGCTCCATTCAAAAACACAATGCCACACATGTAACCCAAACTCGAAGATGAGTCAACCATTGCATCTTTGCTCTGGTACTTAAGAGTACTGCTTACGTAACTCTACAGAATATAGAATTAGTAATCCACACAATAGTTAAAGAATAGTCTTGAACTTTAAAAGACTTCAAGCTTACCCTAGGAATATTCAAGGAAGAATTTTTTTAATTCTGTGTGCATCCTACTAGAGCTACAATTAACGTTGTCATATTGCAAAAGTCTTTCCTTGTAAATAAACCATCTTACTTGTGCCTTACTTTATATCACCTCTAAAGTGGGACCATTTCATAATACTGGTTAAATAATTTTTTTAGGTCAGAACAAGAAGCTTGAGAGAATTTCTTGCAATGGAAGTATTTCCTAAGTACTGGTCAAGATTCTATTGATCCTGACAAACATGATGAAATTCTTATTTCTTTGAATATGTTTCAGGTTTTTATCACATGAGGGAAATGACCGCTTTCAAAAAGCCTGCAACTACAAAGGGAATAGCCTGGTTTGTAATCTTAATCTGGGTATTATTTTCAAGACACATTTTAGAGAGTCTTTGAGGGCTCAGTCAGAGACGTGTTTATTTCTTAAATTGACAGAGTTAAGAAGTGATTAGCAAAAACGATGCTGAAAGAAAGGGAATAAATGGAATGACAGGTGTCATATCCTTTGTGCTCTCATTTAGAGCTTGCACAGCCAATTCCATGGCGGCAAATTTGGCACCATGTGGGTGGCTGCCTGACTTCAAATGCTCAGCTGCTCTGGCTCCCAGGGCACTGACAGACTGTCTCCTCCACTTCGGAATCTTCAGATGATGAGTCTCTGACCCTTTAAACAAAAAGCCTGAGCACCAGATGGCAATTTAAAAAGTGCTATCTAAAGGCTATGAAGACTTTATGAAGAGCATTTGTACTTCACTCTATTGCATGGGGTCAGTTTCTTTTATTGTTCTTGATGTTAGAAACCACCTTCCAGTCTGTATTCTTTAATAGAACAGCCACAGAGTAATCAAAGTTTAAAGCTAGGAGGAGCTTATAAACCATCCAGCCCAAACTCTTCAGAGGATCAAAATGATAACATGTGTGAATATCCTTTGTAAACTCAAAATCTCCCTAAAAGTAGTGTGTTTTATTTTGAAGATGGGGAAACCAATGACTAGAAAGTTATCATTTTTCTTTTTTTTTTCTTTTCCTTGAAAGTTATTATTTTTCTAATGTGCTTTGGGTTCATAGATAACTGCATAATCAATTTTAACACTTTCATGCAGTTTTATCTAGAACGTTCATGTAATGTTTAGAGTTAGCTCATGCCTTCCATGATTTCTACTTTGAGTGTATATTTTGAATAGGCACTCAAGACTTCTCAGTGAAAATAGTCTACTTTACAAGTAATACATGATACTTTAGACAGAGTTGCCAGCCACAGCCAGAACACTTCTGTGCAGAAGATCACAGAATCTGGCCTGATAGAAGTGGAAGTTAGCAGTGAATATTATATATTTCACAAGACAGACACATTTTGTCAATGTATTTTCTTTGGGTAACAGTGAGAGCATGATATAAAACATCGTGTAATATTTTAATACTAGAACTTTCCCAATGCCTTTGTCTAAGAGTATCTGTGATCCAAAATTCAGAAAGGTATAGATGCCTAGAGAGGAGCTATCGGATTTCTGTGTCTGACTCCAGGAATCTCTAAACTGACAGAACCACAGTGGCACTGAGATGCAAATACCGGGTCCCCTTCTCATATGCACCACACAGGGAGGCACAGGAAAGAGACAAAATCACCAAACCCAGTTGGTTTAGACTAGTTGCTCAATGCCATCATGTCAGGGACGCCAGGAAGTGTCTCTACCTCTACACTTTGGGCCCATCATTGGCTCTCTTTTGGGTTTGAAGGAGTGCACATGAAACAATTGTTCATTTACGGCTGGATGTCTCACAGCATTCACAACTGTCACAGAACTCGGAACTGCACATAAAAAACCCACTTACGCCACAGAGAACAGCTGAAAGAGGGCTGGCTGACAAGAGGGATCTGGGAGAGTCACGGGACCTGCTGGGGTGTTGGGTGAGCCCACCACACTGTCTCACTCCTCCTCTTCTTTGCCTGGAATGACTCCTAGCCCTCTGAACAATCTGTAGGATTCCCTGGCCCAAGCCCATTCCAGTTCCTACACTAAAACTCTCTCCAGCATCTGATACAGCACCTCTCAGCTGTTCATGACATGTTAAAGAAGAATCATGGTGTTGATAAGTGAAAAGAGAAGTTGAGAAACAGAAAAAAGAGGAAATTTAGCAGGGCTGATTTTACTTGTATCTAAAAAATAAATTAAATGCCTTACCGTAATTTGACTCTTTGTAGCTTTTCTGCAGTTTTAACCACGGACATTGGCACTATTAGGAGGAAATGGATAAGAGTTTGGAGTGATTTTTCAAGTTACCAAATGAATGTGAGATGTAAGGCAATTATCCCATTTTAAAAAGTGAAACTAAACTGCAGGGTATTTCAGTGACTTCTAATGCACAGGAGATGCCAGATGTCCACTATCTTGTATTTCAGTGCCCAGCCCCCTGTTATTTGTTTTCTTTTGCAGTGTGGCGATGCTGGGGATGCATAACGTCACTTATTCAAGCTCTGTGGAAAGCTATTGATGACAACTGTCAGCACATCAGCCACCCCCACTTTTCTGGTCAGACTCTGCCTGGCATTCACCAAGCTAAAATCTGGCAAACTGATTCCAGGAAACCAAGTGGCAGAAGTGGAACAGACTTTATTTCTTAACTCTACTTGGAGGCAGGACTTCTACCCACCCTCTTACTCCCATGATGCACTTCCATTTTAATAACTGAAGAAAAAGGCTGCATTAAATTATAACTTTGGTATCATATTTTGAAGTTTAAAACAAATATCCATTTTTATAACTTAAATGTTGTTCTCATTTACCTTCTAAGTTCATAAGAGGGATGAGAACTGGTTAATATTGAGCACAAACGTTACTAGAGAGTGACTATCTCTCTCAGTGTGGTGCTTAGGATAAACATACATTCACATACTGTTTATTATACTTCAAAAATTTTTTAAAAAGTTTAGCGTGGGGAAAATTTTTCTAGCTGTATTTAGAGAGTGACCTGAGATGTGGGAAAGTTGTCTATTGCTTATGTTATTTTTTTCACCCACTTTTGAATTCTTTGAGGCTCCATTTCCCCTGAGTTAAGCAGAGATTGCCACCCACCTTGGCTCTTCCTGCCTCTGCTCCAACAGAACCTCTTTGTTGTTTTATCTAATCAGATTCAGAGGCCCTGCTATGGTTGGCCCACTTGGATTTTTCAAGGAGGTTATATTTCTTATTTCCCAGGCTTCAGAGAACTAAAAATAGCTGGGTGAAAATCTGAAAGGCAAAACTGCTCTATCTGCCAGCATTATAAGGAGATAGGATCAGGTTTAACCAAAAGACAGTCTATTTCTGTTCTTCTGTGACAATTAAAGCAAATCATAATGACACCAGTTCAGTAGCTAGAGCCTCTGGTTGGTTTCATGTCCACATTTAACACATTTATTTTTTTCTTATTTTTTCATTAAAAATATCCATATTAACACCTACGCTTCCATGACTATCCTAAAAATAAAACTGCTCTTGAGTCATGGTGGCTTTCACCTTTGTGTGTCTAATAATTTTTTAATAGTAAATGTTTAAATGGCACCGATAGAACATGGTCTATCTGAATGTCCAATATCACCATTTGTCTACTTATAGCCACTTTCTATATTTTAGTCCTATGCTAATTGTTTTACCACTCAGTGTAGAATCTCATCCAGAAACTTGAATAATATGTGACCCTAAAACTCATTATGAAGGATTTGCTAATCAAGACAAACAGCCTTCTTTTCATGAAGCTTTGCTGGCAGAAACATCCACCTCCATGTTTCCTAAAGACAGATTATGCCCATGAAACATGGGTGAGGGAACATCTGTCAGACATGAAAGATAAAATATATCTGGCTTTGCTTTTTCACGTTTTATTTTTTAGAGCCATAAAAAATTAAGAGACTGAGTCAAGGGAAAAAGTTCAAAAAAGGAGTTTGTACATTAACTCTGCTGCTAGAGCATCAGAGGAGATATAGGATTTCAGCTCTGGACTTACAAATATGTGAAACTAGAGATTATGAAAATAAATATTTAGCCATATTCTTTAGTTGTCTTTTTGTAAAGGTTAACAGTTTCATACTGAATTAAAAGCAAACAAACAGTGGTGAATTAAGAACTTTGTTCAAACTGCTTTCTTTGTCGTGTTCACAGTGATAATCCCATTTTACAAAACTAAGCAATTGAAAAACAGGCAACTCTCCAGGATAATACTAAAAACACCACTGTTATTGGAAAGCATTTGCATGCAACACGGAAATTGTAATGATAAGTAAGTCAATTTAAGTATAAAATACAAATATAGATCGCTGAATTCAGTCATCAGGTTCACTAGACAAACTGCTTCATACACAGTATCTAAGCTAAGTTGCAATCAATAAATCAGAATAATAAAATTGACTTCTTATGTGGAAGGTGGGAGAGCAATGAGTAACACTGTCAGCACACAGGAACAGGAAGAGTATTGTTTCCACTGTATTTCGAGCTTCCCACACTGGACCACAAACTCACTGGAATAGATTTTGTGTTCTCTATGAGGAAAAATTTGTCCAATTCTGACCATTTTTAACCTCCACCAGGGGAAGGACCATCTCTATCCATAGTTCTCCTCCAGGACCTGTCAGTTGCTGGCACATAATAGGTGCTCACGAAATATTTACTGAATAAATGAATGAAAGAATGAATGTATAAACAGCCTGAGTAGAGATGATCTCATTTCCAGTGATATTTTAAGTGAGAAATATCAGAAAAATGCAAAATGTTTGTGAGCATTGATAACATTTTACTTTCCCTCTCACTCTGAAATACTTTTCCAATCTAAAACTTTGCAAACAATGAAATAGAAATTTTAAGCCTTTATGTGCAAAACTGAAACCTTCTGTTACTAAATAGTTATTCCAGGCAAAGCTTTGTTTAAGAGAAAGCAAGGATGAATGGATTAGCAAGGAGGAGGAAATCTCTTTGAGGAACATTCTGTGTCTGATATAAAGTGGGATAAAGAGAAGAGCATATGGTACAAATAGGCCACAAGCAACTGACAACATTTTTAAAAATGAAAATGATCAACATCTCCATTATTTTTGCCTTATTCAATAGCTCTAGTGCTTATTTTCATTCCAATAGCTTGTTTTGCTGAAAAATGCTTATAAAGCATAAAAGTTGGTTGCAGCCATGCTAGGTGTTTGGGAACAAAAGGCACAAATGCTTTTGCAAATATTCCCCTAGGTCTGCTCTTGCTGACAGATTGATAGTTGGGAATATTTTGAAAATATTTTATTCAGTTTAAGTCATTTTTAAGTGGGATCTTGCACACACAAAAAAGTTGTTAATGTTTTATCTCCATAATAAACAGAAGTGTTACTCAAACATATTAAATGATTTCACATATTCAAAATCTTTCTCTTCTGTGTATCTACACATACTCATATTTCTGCTGAAATGCACATGTACACATTTACAGAAGGAGTAGATTTTGAATGTAAAAGACAAAGTCACTTCAGAAAGCATATGCTGAGTAGACTCATTTCAAATATTTAGGAAAATGATCAGATCCATTTTCTTAATTATTTGCCAAGAATACTTAGCAACAATTACTAGTGCCAAGTACATTAGGGACACCATCTTATATCTTATCAATCCTGATAGATAAGTATTATTGTTATTCCCATATTACTGATAAAGAAATTGATGCTTCAAGAGGTGAAGTAACTTAAAATCCAAGCCACTCCACTATAAATAACGTAAGATTTTGACCTTGTTCTGGTTACAAGACGTTGTTCTTTCCGCTACGGCCAGTGGTCTTTAAGCTGTATTCCATGTGTATCAGGGCACTTTTGGCTGGATACTGATAGTTTGGATATCCCCTGCATCCACTCCCTCCCTATATACACATAGACTCATGCATACACATACCCACATAGCACACTTTTACAAACATATAGGTTTGACTCCACTTATTTGCTTTTGTTTTATATCAGTGTGAGGGCCAGTAAAATAAAGTATAGAGGGAAGGGGTAGTATGATATCCTTTCCCATGTGGATCTGTAGACTGGATTTATTTAAAGGGCAATGACCATAGGCAGATGGAAATGTTCAAATGTATTTTGGGCTGTACAGAAAAGTATGTAAGAGCATGGGAGAGAAAGCCCTAATGCCCATCTGTGTTGGGCACTCAGATGTTCTGGTATCCCTTATTAGGGAACTTTTAAAGTACCCTGAGATAGCACCTTTGCTGTGGACAGTGGAGTTTTCATTTTGGACATTGACAGCTGTGTACCTCCTTCATATGGCTTTGCAGTCAGCTACCAGAGATAAACCAAAGCCAGGGCAGGGCAGCAGATGAGGAACAAGGCAGTCCCATTTGTGAGCACAGGTAAGGAACTGGGGGACACTTTGGAGGGAGGCTGTGTATATTCACTAGATAGATAGATAGATAGATAGATAGATAGATAGATAGATAGACATGTATATTACACCTGGACACTTAGGATTCTCAGGAGGGTATTTTGATAACTGAGTGGGAGGCTTAGGAGTTATTCTCTGAACCTTCATGCCTGTTTCACTCAGATCCCCTCTAAATTCAAATGTTTTATAATTTGGGGATCCATGCAACATGTCATTTGAAGAAAATATTCTGTGGCCTGAAAAGTGAAACTTAGAAAACTAAACAATAGTACCTCTTTTTCCCCAATTCAAATTGAGTTTGAATACCCTTTAACAAGTTATCCAAAAAAAAAAAAAACTAGTAATGGATGAAAGAAGTTTTAGAGTAGCTTTAAGAGTGGTTGCTGTTGATAAATCTGGAGGATTTTTTTTTAGGAAGCCATTTATCTATCTACAATTCTCAAAGGTATCTCATCCACTCAGACTGCCTAAGAGGCACTCCATACCATTTCATCCCTCACTTCTCTGCTCAAATTCAGCTGTGTGTATGTACCTGCCTAGTGGACATATTCAACAGCACCTTAAATTCAGTAACTCAATGTATCCAAAACCTCTTTAGCTTACTTGGTCAACAGCTCCAACACCCATCCGTTTATTCATCCAAGCTAGAAACTTCAAAGCTATCATCAATTTCTCCCTCTACCCCAGCTCCTAGGTTACCCAGATCAATTCATTTTGCTTCTGGACAATCTCTCAAATCTTTTTCTCTCTCTCTTCCTCGTGGCCCGTTTCTTTTAAAGCCCTTGTTTTCTTTTGCCTGACCACCACAATAGTCTCCTATCTGAACTCCTTGTCATCTTTCTCTCCTCCTTACCAATCTCTACACAGATAACAGAATTTTTAACGCAATATGATTATATCATCTCTCTCTTTGGAATCCTTCAGTCAAAAAAATATTAGGCATGGCATATACTACTTTTCACATTCTACCTTAACCTTTCCAGCTCAAACATGAACATTGACCTAGATATGACTGTCAGTAGCAAGAAGTGTGGCTGAAAAGGCAGAAATAAATTTATGATAGGGTATACTGAGTAGTTCACAGAAATCTTTCAAAGGTTGGAAAACTGAACTCAGAAAAGGCAGAAAGAAAGAAAAGCAGCCGGGTGCAGTGACTCACGCCTCTAATCCCAGCACTTTGGGAGGCCAAGGTGGGTGGATCACAAGGTCAGGAGTTCAAGACTTGCCTGGCCAAAATGGTGAAACCCTGTCTCCTCCAAAAATACAAAAATTAGCTGGGTGCGGTGCCAGGTGCCTATAATCCCAGCTACTCGGGAAGCTGAGGCAGAGAATTGCTGGAACCCGGGAGGTGGAGTTTGTGGTGAGCCGAGATCACACCACTGCACTCCAGCTTGGACGACAGAGCAAGACTTCATCTCAAGAAAAAAAAAAAGAAAGAAGAAAGAAAGAAAGAAAGAAAGAAATAAAGAAAGAAAGAAAGAAAAAAAGAAAAGCTAGGCAGAAGAACGACAGCCAATAGCCAACTACAGAACCAAGCTAGTTAAATCTACCATCACTGTCACTGTACAATAATGGTCCTATGCTTTAATACCACCACTGTTCTGTCTTGACACTGTCTCTGGATGCTAGAGATGACAGTGGTCCTACAGCTGTTACTCTCCCTGGAAATTGCAATCTCAGTGATGCAGTGAACACCGGAAGAATTCGCCACTCAATATTTTTTCTACTTCCCTTTCCCCATCAAACTGACCCAGCTGAAGTTAGAGGTCCACTTCCAGCCCAGAAATGGGGAGGTGATAGGGGCTGAAAAAACAAAAGGTGGACCTTTTAGCTTCATAAAGAGAGGCCGTAATAAAAAGTGAAAGTAGATGCTGGACACCATAAAGCAATAGGAGTGTGGTCTATGCTTCAGCTATTCAGGCTATGCAAGATGCTCCAAAGAGGAGCATGCTGTGTTTGCCTCTTCAAACACATTGTTTTCTACATTTGAAAAGATCTTCATTATTTTCTAATAAGGGGGCATCTATCTTTCCCTGGTCTAATGCCACCTGGCTGGCACCTCTAGGCAGAACTGGTGCCTCTTTGGTTTGTTTGTTTGTTTTGTGTAGTCATAACAGTTTATTGTAGCATTTCTCACAGTGTGTTGCGGTTATTATTGTGTCATTTCACAATTCTGTTTCCCATCTCAACAGTAAGTTTCTCTTGGCAGGGACTATGTCTTTTATCTCTGTGCCTTCAGAGTCAAGCATTGTGCCAGGGACAAAATGTGTCTCCAATAAAGTTTGTTGAATAATTTTTGTGGCTCCCCTTGGAAGAATGTGTTAAAGTCTATGGGAGACTCCTAGAAGACACTGGCCTCAACTGTCATTAGCAGAAGCACCTTCCTTCTCTTGCCCAGTGACAGGAACAGATACTCCCAGAACTTCACAAGACAATTGCAAACTGGAAGACATTCCTGGCGTGAACATTGGCCATCAGGCTTATAGTCAGCACCTCCCAACTCCATTCTCAGTTCTAACCTGCATTATGATGTGACCTTTAGCATTCTGCTAAGGTTACGTCTATACCAAGGCTTATGTGCAGTTGTTTTACTGCCTGAACTAGTTATGAACTGGGTACTGTAGCAATCTTGTGAAAAGTTTTCCATTATTTCACAGGTGACGGTTAAAGCAATTTCAAGAGTATTTAAATTCTATAGAATAGTACTCATACACACAAAATCAACATTGTCCTCTTTGTGCTATGAAGACAGTAAAGAGCCCATTGTCTCTACATAGCTTTCACAGATTGCAAATGAGACAAAATTCTTGAAACTCTTTAAAATAATGTTGGACAATATGTCAGTATAACAATATAAAGATAGGATTATCTTCAGCGTGTATTATAGATATTACAATCTAAAGATAATAAATTACATGTCAAGATTGAATTTTTTATCAATAATAGAAGATAACATACAATATACATTACTAACATTAACTAGAAGTCACAGCATTTGTGAATAATGTTCATTGGTTTTAGAGATTTTTAAAGCAATATGATTCTTCAACAAACACGATTATCATTGTCATCTAGATGCCCCTGGAGACACATAGAGCTATTATTCCTTTGACATGAGAGATAGTGGACACGGCAATTATTCTGCCAACATGAGCCAAACTTGCTAAAAGGAAATTAAACTGAAATAGGTAACTTTGGAAAGGTAAATGACACAATAGTTGAAACGGTAAAATTGTGTGAGGAATAATTATACATAAATTCAAGGGAAAATGTCATTGTTCTATTCATGTAAGAGTTGGTGATATATTGTTTTTACACACACTTAAACTCACTGTTTCATTCTCCAAGTTACAGTTTTCATCAGTGTTCCTGGGACTCTTTGGAACTCCAGGAGTTCTCAGAAATTTATTTTGATAAAATTTTTTAATTTGGACTTTTGAAAAACTTTAAATTCCATCTAGTCTTGTTTGGGTTCTGTCATAACATGTTCTGCTAGCTCGTATGTGAACAGTATTTTTATGAAACTATTAAAATGTATTATTGTCTTGAGTACATTGATGATTAACTCCTTTCCCCACTTCTTTCTTTAAATTGCATTCTCATTCTCACCGTGGGTCCTTGCATTTGGTTCAGTACACCCAAAAATCTAATAATATATGTTTCCAGCTTTAGGAACAAGATTTGGATTCAGTTAATAAATAACAAAGAAAAGAAGAAATATGTTACAAGTCTCAATCTGCATCTCTGACATTCCTATTTTGATATTTATTTTATTATTAGAGCATTATTATTTTAGACCTCTTTCACAACATAAAATCTTTATTACAAACATAAAATAACTTCCTTTGTTTTCACTTAAACTATAAATATTCTTGTAAGTTTACTTATTATTCCATATTCTGAATTTTTTAAATAGAAAACTCTCACATAAGAACTATTCTTAGGGTAGACATAAACATGTAAAATGCAATTATGTTGACAATAACTTCTCAGAAAATTAAAGATTTTATTGCTTTTTTCTGATTATAAATGAATTTTAAAACAGAAATAGAATATAAAACTTTTATCTTGAATAATTTATTTCTTCAAAAGTAAATCTCAAGAAAAAATAACAAATTGCAAGCAAGGATGGTGCAGACTTTGGTGTTTTATATATATTAGTCTTTTTACTTTTTTTTTCAAACTTCAGAAAAGACTACATGTTCAATAGAAATAACTAGAAAATATAATAAAGTGTAATATAAAGAAAATAAAATAAATCAAATTTGGTCCCCCCAATCCATCTTTGATGTATATCCTATGCATTTTTCTATGTGCTTATATATAAATATTTTATAAAATTTGAATTACAATTTTAAATCTGATCTTTGAAATTCTATCATATCCAAAGATTTCATCTGAAAAGACCAGGGAACTTTTCAAAAAAAGAAAAGAAAATAGCCTTTTGTTCTTGAAGAGTTGCCAGAACTAAAAACGTAAAACAAACTCAAATTAGCAGTATATTCTGGTTGTGTTATCCAGACCTTAAAAGGCTGTTGATCTGACCCAAGAGTATACAATTCTCTTCCAATGTTCAGATGCTACTGTTCTCAGTTGCCTGTTCCTAAATGGTTTCATTTCCTGTTAGTCCCTGCCAACACTGCCTCCCCACCCATGTGATTCGCCAGGCTGTGGCTGCACTGCAGGGAGGCCTGGGAGTTCTCAGACCTTTCAACTTAATCCTCCATGATGGTAGACATCTCTGGTTGCCTGTCTACCACATTCCCAGTATCAGAACAAATCCACTAGATGTTTTGGTTCAAACAAGTTATATTCATGATAGTGACGTTTCCAAGCTCTATAAAATAAGATTCACCTCCACAGTTAAGCCGCAGCTGAGACTACCTCATGAGAGCCCTTCATCTTAAATCAGCCTATGACCTCTTCTTAGATTTACACAAAAAAACATGTTTTTAAAACCCCAAGTTAAAGTTAGTAATGTTAATACATGACTTTATTTCTTCTTTATTGCTTGCAGTATCCCTATTATATATTTTTAAACAAAAGATTCAATTTCAACTAAAATTAGATGAAATTTATCTCCTTTAGAAGAGTATTAAGATTCAGAAACAACCTTAGGATATGGAGGTCAGATTCTCATGGGTTTTATTCTTGTTTTTTAAAAAAATAATACATACAGACACAAAGATAGAACAATAGACACCAGGTCCTACCTGAGGGTAAGAGAGTGGAGGGTGGGAGGAAGGTGAGGGTCAAAAAACTACTTATTGAGTACCATGCTTATTACCTGGGTAACAAAATAGTCTGTACACCAAGCACCCACAATATGTGATTCACCTATACAACAAACCTGCACATGTACCCCCAAAACTAAAAGTGTTTAAAAAAAAAGAAAGAAAGAAAGAAAGAAGGAAAGAAAGAAAGAAAGAAAGAAAGAAAGAAAGAAAAGAAAGAAAGAAAGAAAGAAAGAGAAAGAAAGAAAGAAAGAAAGAAAGAAAGAAAGAAAGAAAGAAAGAAAGAAAGAAAGAAAAAGAAAGAAACAAAGAAAGGAAGAAAAATAAATCATTAACATCTCTCTTCCTTGCAGGAAGAAGAAGAGAGGAGCATAAACCTACATCTTTACCTATATATTGCAAATAGCTTTCAGAGTAGGCAAAAAGTCTAAATGTGTTTTTTGCATAAGAGGAAGGAAATGAAACTGCTAAAGAAAGTCATTTTTAAGGTTATATTAACTTATGAGAAAAATGTGGTAAAAATAGCAAGGCTTCCTCCAGCTTCCCAAAGACAGAAGGACAGGTCCCTAACCCAAAGGTCATCACCAATGCTCATTCTCTCTCTGAGGAACCCTATTCTGCAGCAGTAGGCAATTAGTCAAGATATTTTATTCATTCCAAGCCCTTCAGAATGGAGAGCCAAAATGAAAGAATGTTCCCATTAAGGCAATATTTATCCAAATTAAAAGAATTAACTTATTCATCAATTTACTAGACCCTGGGAGGCAAGAAAACATACAGGTGAACTCTGAGTAACTGTTGAGCTGGTGGAGGAGATGCCACAGCTTCCCACATCTCTCACTGTACTACCTTAGACATTTGTCATCATTGCTATCATTGAAATTAGATAGAGCAATAGAAGATCACCTTATATCTATTGGAATTGGACTCCTGCCTGGAAATAATGTGCTTGCTCCTGCTCGGACCAAAGAACAATTTCTCTAACCTAATACATTCAGGTAGGTTAGAAGGTGGCAGTGGGGATTGAGAGGGAGAGAAGCATCACCCCATACACATGACATTCATTCAAGATGTGTTAAACATTCAAGATGTCTTAAGTTTTGACTTAAATCATTAGATAATAAATTGGACCAATAGGCAATAGAGCCAATAGTTTTGACAACCACACATTGGTATAATACAAAAATTAATAACACTACACCCAACCTGAAAGACTTTATGATTGGGTAAGAAAAAGAGAAAGAGCATACATTAAATAAATAAATATATAAAATTTTAAAAGAAAAACTAAGAAAAACTGTTGTTTCCAACTTAAAATATTAGGTCACTGAAGACTTGGGTGTGAGCATAAAATAAACCTGAATTGGATGGTTCTTTTGCTCCTTCTGAAGTTTTTGTAAAGTTGAATAGGTTTCTTTAATAAGGCAGTAGTGTTACAGAACTAATGCTACTCTCAATATTCTTATTATTACATGTGGAATAATGCAGGTGGTGGATTATTCAGGATTTTCTTTCCTTTGGCTTTCACCCTTAGAAGCAGTCCCTTGCTCATTAAAACCTCCTGCAGAGGGCAAACAAGGGAGGGGATGGGGCTGAAATTCATTTTGGAACTTGTTGGAAGCATTGGTGAAAGGTTTGGTAGAATTGTAGAAACAGTCTCTTTATATTTTCTTTTTCTTTCAAAGAAACTTTGTTTTTCATCAGTGAGATTTATATGGTGACTAGAAAATGTATGTGTGTTTTGACTTTCTGGATAAAGGAGTTCTTCAAAGAAAGACTTTATGAAAAAATTAAAATTTTCTCCCATTTCATATCAAATATTAATTTATATTTTTCCTGTTAAGATTGATACATAACTAAAAACAAAAAATTGAGTGAAATCATTTTCAACACACAGAACACTTTTTTTTGCACAAGTAGCAAGTTTTGCATAGGTAGTGAATCTATTTTCATGTCTAAATGCTATGTTTTATGTTAAAATTGATGAACCCCAAATACACTAATGAATCAAGCAAGACTGAACAACAAAAGTACAAAACTATTTTTAATACCTAAACAATTAATTTAGAATAGTTACTAGAATCCATAAAGGAGCATTAATTAAAATAACAAAGTCTCTGGTGAAAATTTCTCAAACTCCAGATCCTGATAGGTGCTCATCCAACTTCTTGCCAACCCCGCCTCTTTACCATGGTCCCTGCAGGTAAAGGGAATGCTATCAGATAGCAGCAGGCTGCACCTAGTAGCCTCATGGAGGCTTCTTAAACGTGAGAGCCACAGGAAGATTAGAGAGTAAACCAAGAAAGATAGAACTGACTCAAAAAAGAAGACAGAACTGAGGGGAGGGACAATTGCATGGACTTTTGTGAAGACTAGGGTTTGGCTGTTTAAACAAATAGTCCATAAAAATAGATTCCTCTACTTAGTCATGGAGTTATGTTTTTATTATTTTTAAGACTTTCTGATAGTTTTGATAACCCTTTCCCGGGGCACTACGAGACAAATGAAAAACATCTTTCTATACTCTATGCTGGAAGAAAAGTACACATAATAATGGCCATAATAATAATAGGTATCAAATCATTGTTTGCTACGTATGCCATAGGATGTGCTTCACAAAGAACAATATAAGAACAGCTAACGTGTATTAAGCATTATTATGTACAAGGCACCATTCAATATTTAGCTCTCACAATGCTATGGTATAATGTAAAAGCTATTGTTGTACCTATTGAATGAATGAGGAATTTGGGATGGATGGTGCCACATTTCAGTATAAACTCGTTGTATAAATCAAATATAATTTCTCTAAACCAGGCCTCAGCCCTGCAGGGGTTCCTTTTGCCCACTGGTGGCTCCTTTGGCTGGCCAGACCCAGTGTCGTCAAGAGGCAGCAGAGGCAGACCACAAATGCTGGTAACGTTGCACTCCAACTTTAGTGGAGAGGATTTTGATTGTTTAATGTCAACTCATGGGTCACAGTATTTTTTATCCCTGTTTCTTTTAATTATGGCAAAATACATATAGAATAACATAAAATTTACCATCTTAATCATTTAAGTATACAGTTACTAATGTTAAGTACATTCACATTGCTGTGCAACAAATCTCCAGAAATCTTGCAAAACTGAAACTCTACACTCATTAAATAATAACTCCCCATTCTCTCCTATCCCCAGCCCCTGGCAAACACTATTTTACTTTCTGTCTCTATAAATTTGACTACTCTTGGTACCTCATATAAGTGCAATCAGTTAATATTAGTCTTTTTCTGACTCACTCATTTCATGTGCTACAGTATTTTTCAAAACATAGACTATGTTAATGCAAAACATCAACTTTTGCTAATGCAAAACATCATTTTATAAGGAGGTTTTAAATATATACAGAAAGGAGCAATGGCAACTGATGACTTTGTGTTTCTAAAACCCAAATGTAAATTATTTTAACTTACTGGTTTTTTGCAGGTCTAATAATTTATCTAGAGCAAAAGAAGTTTTAAATCAATACATGCTACCTATGACTTAGCCAAAATACATATTAATAGTAGATATTTTAAATGTAGTTTATTATTATTGATAAGATAACAGATACATTTTGCATCATCAGGCTCTCAGATGTAAATTTATGAAGTCCACGCTATGTCACTAACAAATATATTGCAAGGCACTTCTACGTTTTCATTTAACTTAGTTTCTTTCCTTTTTTAAAAAATAGAATACTTGCCCTCTCCCTCTCCCTGTCCCTGTCCCTGTCCCTCTTTCCACGGTCTCCCTCTGAACTGTCCTGCTGCCATCTCGGCTCACTGCAACCTCCCTGCCTGATTCTCCTGCCTCAGCCTGCCGAGTGCCTGCGATTGCAGGCGCGCGCCGCCACGCCTGACGGGTTTTCGTATTTTTTTGGTGGAGACGGGGTTTCGCTGTGTTGGCCGGGCTGGTCTCCAGCTCCTAACCGCGAGTGATCCGCCAGCCTCGGCCTCCCGAGGTGCCGGGATTGCAGACGGAGTCTCGTTAACTCAGTGCTCAATGGTGCCCAGGCTGGAGTGCAGTGGCGTGATCTCGGCTACAACCTCCACCTCCCAGCCGCCTGCCTTGGCCCCCCAAAGTGCCGAGATTGCAGCCTCTGCCCGGCCGCTACCCCGTCTGGGAAGTGAGGTGCGTCTCTGTCTGGCCGCCCATCGTCTGGGATGTGAGGAGCCCCTCTGCCTGGCTGCCCAGTCTGGAAAGTGAGGAGCGTCTCTGCCCGGCCGCCATCCCACCTAGGAAGTGAGGAGCGTCTCTGCCCAGCCGCCCATCGTCTGAGATGTGGGGAGCGCCTCTGCCCCGCCGCCCCGTCTGGGAGGTGAGGAGCGTCTCTGCCCGGCTGCCCCGTCTGAGAAGTGAGGAGACCCTCCGCCTGGCAACCGCCCCATCTGAGAAGTGAGGAGCCCCTCCGCCCAGCTGCCACCCCGTCTGGGAACTGAGGAGCGTCTCCGCCCGGCAGCCACCCCGTCCGGAAGGGAGGTGGGGGGTCAGCCCCCCACCCGGCCAGCCACCCCGTCAGGGAGGTGAGGGGCGCCTCTGCCCGGCCGCCCCTACTGGGAAGTGAGGAGCCCCTCTGCCCCGCCAGCTGCCCCGTCCGGGAGGGAGGGGGGGGAGTCAGCCCCCGGCCGGCCAGCCGCCCCGTCTGGGAGGGAGGTGGGGGGGTCAGCCCCCCGCCAGGCGAGACGCCCCATCCGGGAGGGAGGTGGGGGGTCAGCCCCCTGCCCGGCCAGCCGCCCCGTCCGGGAGGTGAGTGGCGCCTCTGCCCGGCCACCCTTACTGGGAAGTGAGGAGCCCCTCTGCCCGGCCAGCCGCCCCATCCGGGAGGGAGGTGGGGGAGTCAGCCCCCCGCCCGGCCAGCCGCCCCGTCCGGGAGGGAGGTGGGGGGGTCAGCCCCCCGCCCGGCCAGCCACCCCGTCCAGGAGGGAGGTGGGAGGGTCAGCCCCCCGCCGGCCAGCCGCCCCGTCCGGGAGGTGAGGGGCGCCTCTGCCCGGCCGCCCCTACTGGGAACTGAGGAGCCCCTCTGCCCGGCCACCACCCCGTCTGGGAGGTGTACCCAACAGCTCATTGAGAAGGGGCCATGATGACATTGGCGGTTTTGTGGAATAGAAAAGGGGGAAAGGTGGGGAAAAGATTGAGAAATCGGATGGTTGCTGTGTCTGTGTAGAAAGAAGTAGACATGGGAGACTTTTCATTTTGTTCTGTACTAAGAAAAATTCTTCTGCCTTGGGATCCTGTTGATCTATGACCTTACCCCCAACCCTGTGCTCTCTGAAACATGTGCTGTGTCCACTCAGGGTTAAATGGATTAAGGGCGGTGCAAGATGTGCTTTGTTAAACAGATGCTTGAAGGCAGCATGCTCGTTAAGAGTCATCACCATTCCCTAATCTCAAGTACCCAGGGACACACACACTCTGCCTAGGAAAACCAGAGACCTTTGTTCACTTGTTTATCTGCTGACCTTCCCTCCACTATTGTCCTATGACCCTGCCAAATCCCCCTCTGCGAGAAACACCCAGAATGATCAATAAAAAAAAAATAAATTAAAAAAAAAATAGAATACTTTTATCAATTATAGACCCCACAAACCCAACTGAAATTAAATGTTATATTTATATTTGAAAGACAAGTAGTCAACAATACTTTGCACTTTAAAATTGCTCTTAAAATATAAATTGAGAGCACTAAAGTCAATAATTAGCCGGATGTCCTTGGAATCCACCAGATAATTTTATTCTTAAAAATTATTTTTCTTAATTTATAAATGGCATTAAGTAGATTGTGACTTCTTTTTTAAAAAGGCCTTGTAAGAATAAGTTTCAGTTTAAATTTCAAACTTAAATTTATTTTCAACAAAGCTCACATTTTCTGCTCTAAACTGTCCTTTCATGACCTCTGATGGTGAAAATGTAAACTGACATTACAAATACTATCAGAAATAATGCCACAAATTCCATTTACCTTATTATTGAAGAACTTTCTCCTTTTCATATTTATTTACCTTGAGAACATAATAGCATCAATTATTCAACAATATGGAAGTAATGTTGGACAATTTCATACTACTCCAAAGTGTTTTTTTAAAAGCCCTCTTATTCACAGCTTGTAAGTCTCTGATAATGTGTGCAATTTACATAGTAGAATGAACATTTTAGTGATATAGCAGCTTACTATGACTACCTGCTCTCAAATGTAAATTGAATAAATAATAGAGTTTAGATAAGTTGAAACAAATATTTTAATTTACAAAATCATTACTCTTCCTAAGTCTCGGTAGTTATGAGTAAGAAAGCAGACTTGCATATTAAAACCTCAATTCTTTATATTATTTTATTGTTTCAACTTAGTTAATAAGATTGTTCTCTAGGCCTGAGTTTCTTCCAAAAAGGCTTGCTCACAAGGAATTTATCTGGGAACATGGACCCGGAGAGCAGCTCTATGATTGGGGGAATAAAAACAGGGAAAATGAGAAAGCTGAAACAAGAATTCATTGTCAAATGACTGCAGCTATGGCTAACCTGTGCTGGATTCAAAGATCTTTTGAGAAGCCCTAATTAAATGCATGAAGAAAAGAGTATCATTTCTCCATGGGCTTCCACTCTCCATGAGTGAAGGTGGCTCCTGGGACTTTGACTACCACATAACCACTTGCAACTTGTGTATGTGTGGCATTTCAATGAACATTTCACACTTCAATGTCAGAAAAGTTCCAAGGAAGGGAGAAGCTCAGACCTTGGCTAAAAGTGAGGCAGTCTTCAGCTGCACCTGCAGGAAGCTGGTCAAAGTCTACAAGAATTGGTTGTTGAAACAAGGACTGCAGTAAGATATGGCACCAAGAAGATTTGAAGTGATGCTCACAGTGTTATCTGATGCAGTAGATCCTTTGCACTACTCAAATCTATCTTTTCACTTCCTTAAGTTCAATCTATCTCAGAGTCCCCTTTAAGGAGCTGGCCAGCCACAATCTCTGCAGGAGGGTTTCTGGAACTAGCTACAACCCCTGCTACAGCTGGTCCCCAGACTTTATTGAAAGGCATCATCTCTGTCTTCCATTACCAATGCTAGATTTCTCTTGCCCTTGGCCATCATCTCATCTGATTTAAGGTTTCTTGCCTGGCAGAGTAACCCAGACCTTTTTCTCAAGGCTTGCTTTTCCTTTATCACATCATAGATGCCATAACCACCCACTCACCATTATTACCTGGCATGAAAACACCAGCAGATGCATCAGTCAAGTCACTGGATAGTCCTCTCTGCCTCCAGTTACAATGGCTCTTTACATATGTAAGGATAGACTAGACTTTCAACTATATTAATTTTCTTTCGCCTGCTGATCCAGGAATGAGGAGTCCAATCACTGGAATGAAGAGCCCAAAGAGATAGTCAGCAAGAGATAGTCCATTTCTGTGGCACTCTTACCTGGCAGAAGTGCTCTGCCTCCTGGGAACCAGGACCTCTAATCCAGCAAAGCCTAAGATTTCAAACCTTACAAATAAGTCACCTGGGAGTAATGGTGAAAGAGACAAATTGTACTTCCAACCCTTGGTTCTTGAATCCATGTATTCTAGCTTAAAGGACACAGCACCATATATCAGCCACTGATATAATACATACATGTATCTCATCCTGTCCCAACCTGGAACTTCAGATGAGTCTTCCACAGGCTATTTTACCATAGATCATCAGCTTCCAGGTGATGAGGTATTTAGTAATCCCAGTGGATTCTATCATCATGCACCCATTGCTGAACCACCTTTGCCATAAAATGAGCTACTTGGGCAGAAACAATGTTGTGAGACATGCCATGTCAATAGGTAACACTTTCTGCAAGCCCTTAGTTGGTGGTGATGGTGGAGGCTTTACTGGCAGGGAGTGCAAATCCATTACTATAGTAGGTTTTAATTCCAGCAAGGATGAATTTTTGCCATCTCCATGGTGGAAAGGATCTAATAAAATTAATCTGATATGAAATGACTGGCTGGACTCTGACAATTTCATATTGAGGTTTCACCACCAGCCTCTACTACTGACAAGTTGGGCATTCAGCAGGGGGCAGTAGTTAGATCATCATTAGGGAGCTGTGCCCATTAATAGCCTCTTTTCCAGCTGTGGTGGCAAATTTGTTCACAAACCAAGTATCCAAGCAGTGAGATATGTAAAAGCGAAACAGAGTACAGCTCACACCCACAGAGAAACCTAACCTGTGTTATTTGTTGTCAAGTACCTCTTATTTAGAGTGCTCATTAGTGAGCATTAACATGAGGCATAGCAATGCTGTACTAGTCCATTTTCACGCTGCTGATAAAGACATACCCAAGACTGGGAAATTTTCAAAAGAAAAAGGTTTAATGGACTTACAGTTCCATGTGGCTGGGGAGGCCTCACAATCATGATGGAAAGTGAAAGGCGCATCTCACATGGTGGCAGGCAATAGAAGAGAGCTTGTGTAAGGAAACTCCTCTTTTTATAACCATCAGATCTCACAAAACTCATCCACCATCACGAAACTAGCACGGGAAAGACCTGCCCCATGATTCAACACCTCCCACCAGGTGCCCCCCACAACATGGCAGTTCAAAATGAGATTTGGGTGGGGACACAGCCAAACTATATCAAATGTGCATGCTATGTACCTACTTCCATAAATCCATCCATATGCCTCTTTCCCCAGATACACTTGTCTTTGATCTTTTGATCTTGTTTTTATCAAGGCCCCTGAACAAGAAGCAAAGCCATTTGTCACTACCCAGTAGTCTATGTATATGCTATAGATAATACCTCAGGCCATGTCTATCTCCATGTAAGTAACTGAAAATGTGCTCTGCTTAGAGCTCTTTGCACTGGTAGAATTTCTCTGTATTACATTTCTTTAGGGATACCTGTGAGTGTAGCAGTAGACTGACAACAGTCTATTTGTGGTTGGCATCAATAAATCACCCTTATTCATGTATGAACCAGGCCAGGGTATTTTCTCCTTCATTCGTTGGTCATAGGATATACCCATGAGGTAACAGGAAGAGGAATTCCTGTGTGAATCAGGAAGCAGCATAGTGTGAAAGGGGTAGTTATGGGAGTCTTGTTCATCCATTCAGGTAAAGTACATTACTTCTATGTTCTGTACCTGCTCAGGCCTTGTACCATTTCCACAACAGAGTGGATTTTCTGCTGTGCCTATTTGATGTTAGACTTGATAAAGTTGATAATTCTCAGTTCGATATGGCTCTAGTCACATAATCACTTTGCCATTTGATTTTTTCTTTTTTTTTCTTTTGGCTTTATATTTCTTTATTTCAGGAAAGTTTTCTTCTATTATACCCTTAAATGCTTTAAATATATATTTCTAAATTGTGATAAAAATACATAAAATTGCCATCTTATCCAGTTTTAAGTATACAGTTTAGTGCCACTAAGTACTTTTCATATTACATCTTTTACCACCATCCATTTCCAGAACCTTTTCATCTTCCCAGACTGAAACTTCATACCCATTTACCAATAATTCTGCATTCCTCCCTCCCCCAAGTCCCTGGCCACCACCATTCTACTTTTTGTCTCTATTAATTTGATGACTCTACGTACCCTATATAAGTGGAATCATATAATATTTATCTTTTTATGACTGATTTATTTAATGTAGCATAATATTTTCAAGGTTCATTCATGTTGTATGAATTTCCTTCCTTTTTTTCCACATTTTTAAAATTATACTGTAAGTTCTGGGATACATGTGCAGAATGTGCACATTTGTTACATAGGTATACACGTGCCATGGTGGTTTGCTGCACCCATGAACCTGTCATTTACATTAGGTATTTCTCCTAATGCTATCCCTCCCCTAGCGCCTAACCCCCAAAAGGAGCCAGTGTGGGATGTTCCCTTCCCTGTGCCCATGTGTTCTCATTATTCAACTCCCACTTATGAGTGAGAACATGTGGTGTTTGGTTTTCTGTTCCTGTGCTAGTTTGCTGAGAATGATGGTTTCCAGCTTCATCCATGTCCCTGCAAAGGACATGAACTCTTCCTTTTTTATGGCTGCCTAGTATTCCATGGTGTATATGTGCCACATTTTCTTTATCCAGTCTATCACTGATGGGCATTTGGGTTGGTTCCAAGTCTTTGCTATTGTGAATAGTGCCTCAATAAACATATGTGTGCATGTGTCTTTATAGTAGAATGATTTATAATCCTTTGGGTATATACCCAGTAATGGGAATGCCAGGTCAATGATATTTCTGGTTCTAGATCCTTTAGGAATCACCACACTGTCTTCCACAATGGTTGAACTAATTTACACTCCCACCAACAGTGTAAAAGCATTCCTATTTCTGAACATCCTCTCCAGCATCTGTTGTTTCCTGACTTTTTACTGATCACCATTCTAACTGGTGTGAGATGGTATCTCATTGTGGTTTTGATTTATATTTCTCTAATGACCAGTGATGATGAGCTTTTTTCATATATTTGTTGGCCGCATAAATGTCTTCTTTTGAGAAGTGTCTGTTCATATCTTTTGTCCGCTTTTTGATGGGGTTGTTTTTTCTTGTAAATTTAAGTTCTTTGTAGATTCTGGATATTAGCCCTTTGTCAGATGAGTAGGTTGTGAAAATTTTCTCCCATTCTGTAGGTTGCCTGTTCACTCTGATGATAGTTTCTTTTGCTGTGCAGAAGTTCTTTAATTAGATCCCATTTGTCAATTTTGGCTTTTGTTGCCATTGCTTTTGGTGTTTTAGTCATGAAGTCTTTGCCCATGCCTATGTCCTAAATGGTATTGCCTAGGTTTTCTTCTAGGGTTTTCATGGTTTTAGGTGTTACCTTTGAGTCTTTAAGCCATCTTGAGTTAATTTTTGTATAAGGTGTAAGGAAGGATCCAGTTTCAGTTTTCTGCATATGGCTAGCCAGTTTTCCCAGCACCATTTATTAAATAAGGAATCCTTTCCCCATCGCTTGATTTTGTCAGGTTTGTCAAAGATCAGATGGTTGTAGATGTGTAGCATTATTTCTGAGGCCTCTGTTCTGTTCCATTGGTCTATATATCTGTTTTGCTACCAGTACCGTGCTGTTTTGGTTACTGTAGCCTTGTAGTATAGTTTGAAGTCAGGTAGCGTGATGCCTCCACCTTTGTTCTTTTTGCTTAGTATTGTCTTGGCTATGCGGGCTCTTTTTTGGTTTCATATGGAATTGAAAGTAGTTTTTTTCTGGTTCTGTGAAGAAAGTCAATGGTAGTTTGATGGAGATAGCATTGAATCTATAAGTTACTTTGGGCAGTATGGCCATTTTCATGATATTGATTCTTCCTATCCATGAGCATGGAATGTTTTTCCATTTGTTTGTGTCCTCTCTTATTTCCTTGAGCATGGTTTGTAGTTCTCCTTGAAGAGGTCCTTCACATCCCTTGTAAGTTGGAATCCTAGGTATTTTATTCTCTTTGTAGCAATTGTAAATGGGAGTTCACTCATGATTTGGCTCTCTCTTTGTCTGTTATTGGTGTGTAGGAATGCTTGTGATTTTTGTATATTGATTTTGTATCCTGAGGCTTTGCTGAAGTTGCTTATCAGCTTAAGGAGATTTTGGGCTGAGACAATGGAGTTTTCTAAATATACAATCATGTCATCTGCAAACAAGACAATTTGACTTCCTCTCTTCCTATTTGAATACCCTTTATTTCTTTCTCTTGCCTGGCAGAACTTCCAATACTATGTTGAGTAGGACTGGTGAGAGAGGGCATCCTTGTCTTTTGCTGGTTTTCAAAGGGAATTCTTCCAGCTTTTGCCCATTCAGTATGATATTGGCTGTGGGTTTGTCATAAATAGTTCGTATTATTTTGAGATATGTTCCATCAATACCTAGTTTATTGAGAGTTTTTAGCATGAAGTGGTGTTGAATTTTGTTGAAGGCCTTTTCTGCATCTATTGAGATAATCATGTGATTTTTGTCATCGGTTCTGTTTATGTGATGGATTACATTTATTGTTTTGCATATGTTGAACCAGCCTTGCATCCCAGGGATGACGCCAACTTGATCATGGTGGATAAGCTTTTTGATGTGCTGCTGGATTCGGTTTGCCAGTATTTTACTGAGGATTTTTGCACTGATGTTCATCAGGGATATTTGCCTGAAATTTTCTTTTTTTGTTGTGTCTCTGCCAGGTTTTGGTATCAGGGTGATGCTGGCCTCACAAAATGAGTTAGGGAGGATTCCCTCTTTTTCTATTGTTTGGAATAGTCTCAGAAGGAATGGTACCAGCTCCTCTTTGTACCTTTGGTTGATTTTGGCTGTGAATCCGTCTGGTCCTGGACTTGTTTTGGTTGGTAGGCTATTAATTACTGCCTCAATTTCAGAACTTGTTATTTGTCTATTCAGGGATTTTACTTCTTCCTGGTTTAGTCTTGGGAGGGTGTAAGGGTCCAGGAGTTATCCATTTCTTCTAGATTTTCTAGTTTATTTGTGTAGGGGTGTTTATAGTATTCTCTGATGGTAGTTTGTATTTCTGTGGGATCAGTGGTGATATCCCCTTTATTATTTTTTATTGTGTCTATTTGATTCTTCCCTCTTTTCTTCTTTATTAGTCTGGCTAGTGGTCTATTTTGTAAATCTTTTCAAAAAACCACGTCCTGGTTTCATTGATTTTTTGAAGGGATTTTTGTGTCTCTATCTCCTTCAGTTCTGCTCTGATCTTAGTTATTTCTTGTCTTCTGCTAGCTTTTGAAATTGTTTGCACTTGCTTCACTAGTTCTTATAAATTTCCCTCTAAACACTGCTTTAGCTGTGTCCCAGAGATTCTGGTACATTGTGTCTTTGTTCTCATGGGTTTCAAAGAACTTCTTTATTTCTGCCTTCATTTCATTATTTACCCAGTAGTCATCTAGGAGCAGGTTGTTCAGTTTCCATGAAGTTGTGAGGTTTTGAGTGAATTTCTTAATACTGAGTTCTAATTTTATTGCACTGTGGTTTTAAAACACTAATGGTCAAGCACTCAGCCTCTACCAGGACCATGTAACACACTAAAAACTTTTCAAATTGGCAAGTAGCTTTCAAGAGCAGAAAACATGATCTTCTTCACTATCTACTGATCTGTCTTCTGACTATGCAATTGAGGCTTAGGGAATGTTTAACACACCCCTATTTACCATGGATATTGCTAGCCACCATCAGATTTTCTGGGTCATGTGGACCAAGCTTCCAGCGTGCTTACACTACAACCTGGACCTGTTACAGACCGTTCTATTGCTCTGGGTAACACTAAAGTCCAATAAATGGGTTAGTACAATACTCGCAAATGCAGTACATGCTGCTTTTAAAATCTACAAGGGCCCATGAAGCACTATGTCTTTTTCTGGGTGGGAGGTTCCAATGTGTAACAATTTGTTTTTTATCTTTATCTTTTATAATCATCTAAAATTTCAAAAATATGGCAGTAGTCTAAAATTTTGTAGGGTTCATATCCCACCCTCTGGTGTTCATGTGCCTAATTAGGGCATCTAGAATAATTGCCACTTCTTCCTTATCTAGTGCAATTAACATGATGCCATTCAGTAGACTATCATGATGTTGTGAAATGACAAGCCAATTAAGTTTCCTACAGGCTACATTGTGATACAGAACAGCAGAGTTAATACAGCTATGGGGGGAAATAGTGAATGTAAACTATTATCCTAGCCAAGTGCATACCAACTGCTTTTGATGTTTTTTCCAAAGGTGATTTAAAAGACAATATTTTCCAGATACATAGAGGTGCTAGTCTCTGCCATCCCTCCCATGAAGAGGTCTTGATTCTGATTTACTCACTTGGATGTTGGTGGCATGTTTTCAGAGACTTCCACTTAGTACTTCCTACCATAACGGCTCCACAGATCCTGGAATCAACATAAGGCTCCTTTCAGTTACATACTTGGAAATTTTATAAATTATTTATTTATGGACTGGGGAAAGAATCAAAGAGTGAGCCACAGACCCATTGTAACCTCTGTGAGACATACTTGGGCTAGGACTCTTTTACCTTTCCTCATATGCCCTCATGCTAACTGGAAGGCCATGATAGCATTTCAGGTTCCCTGGCATCAGTATTAGCTCATACCTTTTATCCAACAATCCTTGAAAAGTCTAACTATTCTTATTTCCAGTTTTCATCTAGCCTCCAAACACCCCCACTCTAACTAGAGACCCATGGAAGCTTTTCTGGCTCTCTAAAGCAGTTAGCATTAGGGTCAGCTCATACTCCCTATTCAACAGTCTTCAAAAAACTAACTATAATTATTTCCTCAGTGCAGTGTTACCCTAGTAAATGGTCATAGGTCCCTTTGTGGAAAGATAGGGAGAATGTTTATAATTATTCATGTGACAATGCAGGGTCTTTCCTTAAGGGCACTCGCCCTGCCTTTTAACCAATGAGATCTAGGTCTACAAAATTACATAAATCTAGAAGCTGGATGAAGGACCTAGATTTTCCATTGTGATAGCTGATGCTCATATTCTTCTTATATTCTGATGGAGCACATCACATGAAGATATTTTGGTTGTTGTTGTTGCATACACACACACACACACACACACACACACAAATTGCCCAGTCAGCTATCCATGTACCTCATCCCTCAAACTGCAATTTATTAGCCATTGCCACAGATTCCTGCAGGTCAAGACAGCCAGACTGCTACTATAGACTTCTGTCAATTTCAGTAATTGCAACCATCTTGCCTCTGACAGTTTAGTATCACCACATATACTTTTCACTGAGAAATCCCATACCTTCACTGATACTAGGGAGACTAGTTTCAAGCAGCATCTCCTGTTACTAACCCTGACATGGGGAGGATAGACATCACCAGGTTTTTCAGATTCTGATGTTCCCCTCACCAGCCAATTGTTTTCTGTCTTATTGAAGGGTATATCCTCTGGATCCTCTCAGGGAACAAAGTCAGGTGACAGATGCTAGAGATCATATAAAGAATCCACACTAACATTCCTATCTTCATGAGCCTTCTCAAATCTTCCTTAATACCAGCCAAAGCAATTTCAGCATTTCTGTCTCATTTTCCTATTTGCCATCATCACATGCAGACTTCAAGGAAACTTCCCAGAAGAATATTAAGACCAGCTCCAGATGTCCTTACTAGGAAATTGAGCCCCAATTCAGGAGTGAGTGCTCTCATGTCAATAAAATCTTCCCTGTTCAGCCTTATTTTATTTCCCCCACCAGTCAACACTCTCAAAATTCACCCCTACATGTATTTCCCTGGTTTCTTTTAGTACATATAATCTAGGACCTGCAATTCCTATAAACCATTTCTTCCTGGAGAAAGAACTATATTTCCCAGCTCAGGTGTTTTGAGACCTGACCCAAGCTACTAGCAGGGGGACAATGAATGGTGACCAGACAGATCTTGAGGAGGACAAGCATCATCTTGTGAGTTTCCTCCCTCACATAAGGGTCTTTAGGTCTTTTCAAGGTCTCTAGGCAGGAAGAGGATGTTCTGCTCTAGTAAGGAGAATGGGAGTGCTTCTGCCATTATTGAGGGTTCAGGGAAATCTGAGAGTTCAAGACTCCCAGACTTATCCACCCAAATGTCCATATTCCAAGTTCAGTGTTCCACTATTTGCTATCAGAACCCTGACTCAGAAGACCCAGAAAGGTTGTGGCTTCAATTCCCTTTGCAACTGTGCCACTCTTACAATTTGATCTTGGGCATGACTTTCACCACCTACTCTACTGCAGCTGCAGGAAAGGATGATTTCCTCAAATGCTGATATAAGCCCTTGACTTTTATAATGCACATTGATTGTGGCTGACCTGAGCCATTAATTGTCTTTATTTCAAGGCATCCAAAGCAATTAGTAAAATCCAGTCATTCTACAATATTAATAATTACCTTTGCCATCATACTATATGAATAACCCCTCACATTCCACCTGTACCTCTGCCTAACCAATCTCATGTGAGAATCTTAGCAATTGCATTCCACTGGTTATCACCACTCCATCTCTTTCAGCAATGGGGTCTTCATTGCCATCTTACTGATGAGTTCTTCAGTTCCCAAATCCTATCCTAATGGTCTGCTTTCTAGGGATAACTCTAATACTATCTGTCTTTCCCAGGGTTCCCCTGAAAGGATAACATTAAACATAGACTTGAATGAAAGTAATGTATTTGGAAATGAGTTGTCAAGTAGTAGAAGTGATGAATAAGGACAGTGACGGGGGAGAGAGAGAGAGAGAGAGAGAGAGAGAGAGAGAGAGAGAGAGCGAGCGAGCCAATACAAGAATGTATCATCAAACCATTGCTGTGAACAACTGGTTCCAAATCACAGCAGACATTCTGAAAAGTCTTATGAAATGTGTATCAATACTGTCTACCCTAGGGTGAAAAGCAGAAGGCATTTATTCATCGGTTCCTCCCCACACTGGTCAAGGGTTAGCCCACAGAAGTTAAGTCCCTTACACTTCCGATGTGCAAGCTTTGAGTGCTGAATGGGTTCCCTCAAGTATCAGAGAAACCCCAGGGAGTGGAAAGCAAGAGGTTCACATGCAGGCTTAAGGCAGGCACACTTTTGACTTAATCTGTGAAGCTAGTCAAGCCTGAGCGAAACTGGTCCCAGCAGCAGTGACAAGAGTAAAAGACGAGGCCATGAACATGTGAATGTGACATATAAGACAGTCCAATGGAGCACACAGAAAAGTAGAGTATCAACCATCAAAATTGGAACTAATAAAGGACCATCGGTTAGAAAATGACTCTATATGGCCTATTTATGCTTAAGACTACAGATTGTGACTGGAAAAATACTTGTTTCTGGCTAAAAGATATTATAATCATTTTCTTCATTAGGTTTCTTAATACAACAAAATAGTGATATTTGTAATCCAAAACATTTAGCTTAAGAAATAATAAGCACAACTTCAAATTTCTACCTTATCGACATATTTTAATAAAGTAATTCTGTGTTCTAAGAGTTCCATTCAGTAAATCAGTAATGTTCCATATAGCCCTGTCAGTAAAACTATTTGGAGGCAAACACACTCACTTTATGAATATTTATTTATAAATTAATATATTTATAGCAATTAGTCCGCAATATTAGTCAAACTTTAATTTATTAAGTTTGAGATAAAAATAAATTGAAAATAAATTCTAATATTTTCTTCTTATATCCAATCACCTCCCCATCATCTAAGGTATGTGAATACAAAAAAACTTAATTTTAGACTAACATTATCACATAGACCCAGTCTAATAATTTGTCAATAATCAGATGAGCTTAATCCATATTTTAGATGTGCTAAAAATCACAATTTTGTATATATGCGTAAAACACATATTTATACTTATTTCTCTAACTTGCTGGGGAATTCATGTATGTATTACATTGATTATATATTAATAGATGTAGAAATTTTGTGATTATCTGGGTTACGGAATTATAATCTAAAATATCAGTTTTAGACAGCACTCTGGAGCTCAAGGGAGGTCCCTTCAAGACCAATAAAAAAGCATAGAAAGAGAGCTCAAAACCATCCTTCACCTGCCTCCCAACCATTGCAACTCTGCTTTGTTTTATACATTGTGCTTCTCACAAGATTTTCCTAGAAGAAAGGATTCTGAAACATATATATATAACCTATGATCTTATTCTATCTAGTAACGGATTGACAGAAAGTTGGGGAAAATGGGACAGGCGTCATTTAGATTTCACCAATTTTATATGCACTCACTTGTATATGTGTGGTGTGTGTGTGCATTTGTATGCAATCTTATCAACATGTAGCTTGTTATAACTGCTACTGTATCAGGATACAGAACAATTCCATCACTACAAAGATTTCCTATGCTACCTCTTCATATCTACACTCACCCAGTTGATAGTTCATTGTGGTTCTAATTTGCATTTCCCTAATGATGTGGAATATCTTGGTGATGCTGAGCATCTTTTCATGTGCTTATTCACCATTTTCATATACCTTTCTCATGTCCCCTTTGGTGAAATGTCCACTCGTGTCTTTTGTCCATTTTCTAATTGTGTATTTTGCTTTTGCTATTTTGCTAGTGTTCTTTATATGTTCTAGATAGCAGCCCTTTGTCAGATATGTGGTTTGCAAATATTTCATCCTAGTCTTTAGTTTGTCTTTTCCTCCTCACAGGGTCTTCATAGGCTGAGTTTTTCCTTGATTCGTCAATTTTTGTGTTTTTACATTTCCATAATAATTATAAAACCATGTTGATAACTGTATTATTTAGAAGCATAGCCAAATTGCTGACATCCTCAGTGGCCATTTACTGGATTATTAAAGAATTATTTTAAAAACAATTTCATGACCTAAATCACCATCCATGAGTTCATGATATAATTGTAAATGGGCAGCTCTGCATACCCTAGGGAAAGAGCATCTGCCTGTATTTTAGAAACATTTAAATACTTGTAAATATGACTGTACAATTTCTCAATATTCTACTATGAATTATTATTCTTTTTCTTGGGAACAACTTATAACAATAGCTTAAACTTTGACTACTACATTTCATATACAAAACAATTAAGAAAAATTTTAAGTAGTCAAAAGCAGTCAGATGTGGACAAATGAGCAGAAGTCAACAATGACTTTGACAAACAAAATAACGATGGCAATAACAAAAAAACCATTAATTTTCTTATGACTAGAATGATACGATTCCTTCAGTGTCTTCCTCATTATCCACATAAGTGAAGAGAATACCCACTTCTGAAAATTAGAGGTAAAGAAGCAAGCAACTGGAACTATTATGTAACTGTATCTGATTCAGTTCTTCTCCTTAATCCACTCCCACAATGTGCTAAGTTTACACCCCATTACCGTTGCAGGTCTTGGCTACAACTATACTGTCAGTGTTGACCGAGTTCTCACACTGTACTGTTTGCTACGAGAAAAGGCAATATAAGGCTTGAGGTACAGTCTCCCCCTCTAGAACCTCACTAGAGAGCTGGATAAACACCAAATATAAATCAAATTTCATATCATTCTAGGAAACACAAAAAGAAACACATAATGATTGAGAAACCTGTAACAATTATGGAGAATCTAAAAGTAGGAAACTTTGATGCTACCCAGAGTGATTTAACTACTAAAGTAGCCATTTCATTGACATTTTAGATATATATTTATGATGAGAGCTAGTATTAAATGGTGTTTTAAATTATGGGTCATGAGGTCAATTCATTTTATAAAAATGAATACAATAGTATACAGCACAGTGTAAACTCTCAAAAAATATTAATCATTCTTTTAATGACTATTATTTTGAAAAATGTATAACAATTCAATTCAGTACCAAAAATTTAGTGACATCCCTTCCACAATTCAGCATAACAAACTCTTGGATCCTATAAGCATAAGTTTTGTAGGTTTACGCATAGAGACAAAATGATTATTCACTCTTTAGACACAGTAACATTCATCTTCCACTCCTTATACCAAAGCTCCAATTCTAACCTCAATAGGACTGAACTCTGTACCAGAGCTGCAAATAATTCTGCATGCCTTGGTGAGTGGGGGTGAGAGGAGGCTGTAGAAGAGAATAGTGCCGACCATACCATGCAAGTCCTTGTAGATATTTGGATTTTAGTACAAATACAGAGAGAAATCATTGTAGGATTTTCAGCAATGGAGTAACCTGATTTACATTTTCAAATTATCACATTTTCTATTGTGTAGACAATGGGTTAGACGAGGATAGGAGTAGAAATAGAGAAACTTGTTAGAAGGCTAATGAAGCAGCTCAGACAAGAGGAAAAGATGCCTCTATCATTAGTAATTAAGATGTAAAATGAACAGAATAGAGACACATTTTGGAGGTAGCACCAACAAGTCTTGACGAATAAAATATGGGAGAGAGGGAACTCCCAGATTTCTGTCTTGAATGAGTAGGTGTATGGAAGTACCATGAAGTGTGACAGAATAAGAGTCCAGAAATAAGCCCTAAGAAATTCTAACATTGGCCAGGCGCGGTGGCTCACACCTGTAATCCCAACACTTTGGGAGGCCAAGGTGGGCAGATCAGGAGTTCAAGACTAGCCTGACTAACATGGTGAAACTCTGTCTCTACTAAAAACACAAAATTAGCCAGGTGTGGTGGTGGGCACCTGTAATCCCAGTTACTCGGGAGGCTGAGGCAGGAGAATCAGTTGAACCCAGGAGGTGGAGGTTGCAGTGAGCCGAGATCGCACTATTGTACTCCAGCCTGGGTGACAGAGCAAGACTCCGTCTCAAAAAAATAGAAATTAAAAAAAAAGAAAGAAAGAAAAGAAAAAAAGAAAAAGAAGAAAAGAAAAGAAATTCTAACATTTAGAGGTCAGCTAGGATAGACAGAGACAGTGAAAACCCTTGAGGGGAGGCTATAAATGTGAAAGAAAAACCAAGAAAGAGAGGAGACAAGTGTATCAAATAGTATTGGGAGATCAAATAAAGCGCTGTCATATATGTACACTTACACACACAGAGACAGGATTAAAAGGTCTGACAAAAGGGAGGTAAAGTGGAAATAATTCCTCAGAAAAGATTGGCAAGTAAGGTGAGGAGACAGATCATTTCAACCACTGGGAAATAATAGCATGAAGAGAATGTGTCAGAAGTGATGTTTTAGGTGGGGATCTCAAGGCATGTTCAAATGCTGTTAGGAAAAATCCCACAGCCAGCCAGAAGTCGAAGATACAGGATTAAGGGAAATGACCAGTGGAACAAGATCAGTGAGAAGAAGAATGGGTAAAGGCTCTAGATCATATGTGGGAAGGTAAGTCTTTGATAGAAGGTGGCAGGAAGTCAACTTCTCAATAAATGGTAGCTTAAGATATTTCTTTTATTATTCATATTTGCATCATAGTCCACAGCTCCTGGTTTGTACATATTTGTATTGCAAGAAAGACTTGATGAATAAACAGTTCTAGCTAAAGATGAGGTCCTGAACTAAGTCTACCATCAGCAAAACCTGCAGCTGTTGTAGATTTTACTTACACTATGCTAAATGTTGTCCTCTGAAACTCCAGCTAATGTTGCATGCTTTGAAAAAAAGAAAAGAAATAGAAAACAAAATCCAAGTCAGTAATTGTGAAATGCCAGTAAAGAATGCAGTTTTGAAAAGTAGGGGTAGCGGGAGGAGCAATAACTTAATAAGAATCTTGCTGTTTGCGTATTTTCGATTTCTTGCCCACTAGGTGGTGGAACAGAGTCCCCATCTAAACGACAGTTTTTTTCCTCACAGGTTTGTGTTTCTCTCACAATGCCTACACAGGTCTTTGCAGGCCAAAGAAATCCAAGAAATTCAATCTCTTCAAAATTGCCCCTTGGAAAAACAGAGCGCTCGAATGACAAGTGTGGGGAAGGCGGGAGGCGACGATGCGGAGTGCGGAAACACAAGGACCAGGGGAGCTAAACTACATTTCCCAGAAAGCCACGGGCTGGCCTACAACCACCGCGCCCTCCAAGCCTGCTGGAAGCCTCCGTCTCGCTTCTCCAGTAACCGGTTTGCCGCTGTCCCCTTTTCTAAGGAACGTAGAGAAAGCCAGGGAAGGAAAGGCATTTTACTGCAGCAGCGAAGGTTTAGCCACTAGAGTGTCTTTCTCAGCCGTGGTTATTCCGACCTTCGCTTGTAAAGGCATTGGGAAACCCACGGCCCACGTGACCAGCCCGGGTCATGTGACTCCAGAACCCGGCAGCTGAAGTCTGTTACCCTGACAACTGGTGGACCCGCACAGACCTTCCGGGAAAGCGCGGAATTCAGAGGCAGAGGTAGGTGGTAAGGTGTGAACGCTGGTTTCCCACCCAAATCGCCCTGGTCGAGGCCGTGCTTCATACTCGAGCGAAGGGCTTTAATTTTCCAGGTCATTCCCCTTCTCCGCCCGGAGCCCACGGCAAATGCGTCTTTGTCTTCCCTCCAATTCCCGAACCCGCGCTTCTGGGGACGGGGTCGCAGCCAGGCTTGAGAAGCTTTTAGTGGAGCTCACCCCTGACCAAGCTATTCAGGCCAAGACCTTAACCGCACTTACCCTGAACTGATCGAAAGTGCAAATGAGGGGAAGAGGTGTTACTCTGCACGATGGGGAGGGTATTGTCCGGGTCTGCAAGCCCTCTTCCCCTCCCCCATCTCTACAGAAGAAAGCTGGGATTTGAGCTGCTCTAGGGAGTTCAGGAGCTGGGGGTCGACCCAAGGTTGGGTTCATTAGGTGTCTAGGGGAACGCTTTCCGTTGCAAATCACTGGATTCTGCTTGTGTTCAGCACATAATTTTTGTCGGTCTTCCCTCGCTTCAAAAGAAACATAGTACTGATTTGTGTACTCCATTAACTTTAAGTATTCTTTAAGTATTTTGACTAAATTACTAATTCTTACTAAATTCTATTTGTGTATATTTTGAAACATCCCCGTATCTGGATACAGTCTGCTTTACGAAACTATGCAGTCTGCTTTACGAAACTATTACTATGGATTGGTAAAATAACGAGCCGAGTGATAAGGCAGCACAAACTGTCGTGTGCTTTGCAAGAAAGAAACAGTCCTTTGGATTTGCTAACTTACAGTTTTTAAGATTCCCTGTGAGGACCTGGTTTGTGTTTGAGAGGTACTAATTAACACATGCACACAAACATAGGTTTGGGAAATATTGTAGAGACCACTCTTTAACAATTGGATGTTAACAGATGAAAACATAATTCTGAACGTTGAGTACAAGACATCCTGTCAAAGCTGCTTTTCCAAATCAGTTTGCTTAATGAATTAGGAATCTCTTGACCAGCTCTTACTGGTTAAAAAAAATTGTGCATATATACTGAATCATAACAAATGTCCGAAGTTTAAGTCTGGTCGTGTTCATGATCTGATGGATTTCCTCAAAAGATGTTTATGTCTCTTGTCATTTAGTGTTTCCAATGTTTGAGGTACTTTAGAATGTTTACTTTGGGAGGTCAAAATTGTTGACTATGGCTAACTGTTCCCAAGAAGAGCTAGATGAAGAGTTTGAACAGTTTATGAAAGAGGTAAGTTTATATTTTTAAAAGCTATATTGTCAAATTTGTCTCAAAAGACTCATCCTTCAATTCTGTCATCTCGAAGATACAGTTAGTCCATCACCAAACTCTGAATTCCCATCATCCCTCTAGCCCTGTCCCTTTTCTGCCACTGCTAGTTCAGTGCCATCATCTCAACTGGGCTATGGCAGCAGTTCTCAACTCATGGTCCAGCATTCCTTTCACCACACTGCAGTCAGACTCTGTTCCTCCCCAGTAAAAGACTCTATTGGTCTCCCATCACATGTAGAAAAAAAAAAACAAACAACTCCTCCTTACCATGGTTTTAAAGCCTTTCATGATTTCACTCTTACATATCTCACTGCCTTCATATCCCTCTTTCACCCACTTTATTTATTCCACAGTGGCCTTTTTTCTTTCCCAGACATTGCAAGCTCATTTCACCTTAGGAGCTTTGCACTCACTGTTCCCTCTGCCAATAATGCTCCTCCCTTACTCTTTACCTGGCTGGTGAAAATCTTAACTTAAATATCACCACTTCAGAGAGGCTTCTTCTGTTTATCCAGTAAAAGGTAAACACAAAGTCACTTCTTAATCTGGTATGTATTTAATTCTTTTTATAGCACTTAGCACATTAATTATTTTTCTTGTATGGGTCTGTTTTCTGCTTCCCATTATAAGAATGTATGGTCTGTAATGTGATGACTCTACGTTCATTGCTATTATATATCAACATGTTCACTACTATGTCTACAGTACCTAATAAATACTTAATAAATATTTGAATGAGTATATTAAATGGTTATACCACGTTCTGTGTACAGTCATGCACCTCATAAAGATGGTTTGGTCAGCAACAGACCACATATACAACAATGGTTCCGTAAGATTATAATGGGGCTGCCCTATAAAGGTGTATCTTTTTAATCTTTTGTACCATATGTTTACTTTTCTATGTTTAGATACAGAAATGCTTGCCATTGTGTTACAGTTGCCTGCAGGATTCAGTACAGTACATGCTGAACAGCTTTGTAACCTAGGAGCAATAAGCTATACCATATAGCCTAGGTGTGGAGTAGGCTATACCATGGAGCCATCTAGGTTTGTGTAAATATACTCTATGATGCTCCTATGATGAAATCCCATTTCTCAGAACATATCCCCATAATTAAGCGATGCATAAAACTCTATTTATATAAATGGAGGGGCCTTGTAGAGCATTCAAGAGAGTCACATTTTAAGCTATTATACGTTATACATTCTTGTTAAAAAAGGGAGTTTAATGTAGTACAAAAAAACTTCATTATCCGTCTCATGGAAAAATAATGCCTTCTTTGTAGAATTGTTTTAAGGATTTAAAAAAGCATCTACCAATTGTCAAGATGTAATAGGCACTTGGAATAAGTTTCATTTACCATTTGAAAAGTTGATTTTTTAAAATTTCAAATACAGACACATTTTGAAAATTAAATTTATAGGAATGATTTTTATTGTAAAAGATAGCAGAACAGGCCTTTTAGAAGATGTTTTTATTCTTCCCTCATTTACCACCCTTCCAGCACACACATTCTCCAACACTCTCCTTCCCCCACCCTTCTGTCTGTGTCTCTCTTCCTCTTATATCCATCCTCAGTTGCAATGTGTCATTTTTTTTTTACTGTGAAAGTCATGATTTTAGAGTCATGCTAACTTTTCTCACTTTGATAAATTATTGTTCAAACAATTTATTCAAAGACATAGTTTATATATCTTTATTTTTTAGGACAGTAGTGGTAACCAGCTTTTTAAAAATAGCTTTATTGAGACATAATTCACATACCATTTAATTCACCCATTTTAAATGTGCAGTTCTGTGGTTTCAGAGTTATGTAACCATCACCACAATCAATTATAGGAATTTTTATCACCCCAGAAAGAAATCCCATATCTGTTAGCAGTTACTCCATCTCCTTGTTCCCCCTTCCCTAGCCTTAGGCAACTACTAAGCTGACTTCTGTCTCTAAATGTTTGCCTGTTACAGACATTTCATAGAAATTGTATTATATATTATGGGGCCCTTTGGGTCTGGTTTCTTGTACTTAGCATGATGTTTTCAAGGTTCATCCATGTCGTAGTATGTATTAACACTTCATTTCTTTTTATGGATAAGTAATATTTCATTGTGTAGATGTACCACATTTTGTTTTTCCACCTGTCAGTTGACGGACATCTGGGTTCTTTCCACTTTTTGGCAGTTACAAACAATGCTGCCATGAACAATCATGTACAAGTTTTTGTGTGGATGTGTTTTTGTTCCTCTTGTGTATATGCCAAAGAGTGAAATTGCTGTATCATATGGTAGCTGTGTGTTTGCCTATTTTCTAAAATGACTGTGTTATTTTACATTTCCACTAGTAGTGTATTAGTTTATCAGAGTTCCAATTTCTTTTTTTTTTTTCTTGAGACTGAGTCTTGCTCTGTTGCCCAGGCTGGAGTGCTGTGGTGCAATCTTGGCTGACTGCAACTCTGCCTTCTGGGCTTAAGCAATTCCTATGCCTCAGCCTCCTAAATTGCTGAGATTACAGGCGCCTGCCACCACGCCCAGCTAATTTTTATGCTTTTAGTAGAAATGGGGTTTCACCATGTTGGCCAGTCTGGTCCGAAACACCTGACCTCAAGTGATCCGCCTGCCTCGGCCTCTCAAAGTGCTGGGATTACAGGTGTGAGCCACCACACCCAGCCTAGAGTTCCAGTTTCTCCATATCCTTGCCAACAACTGTTGTATCTGAGAATCAGCCTTTTTGTTGTTTTATTTCTATTTATTTTATTTTTATTTTTATTTATTTATTTATTTATTTATTTATTTTTGAGATAGAGCCTTGCTCTGTCACCCAGGCTGGAGTGCAGTGACGCAATCTTGGCTCACTGCAACCTCTGCCTCCCGGGTTCAAGTGATTCTCCTGCGTCAGCCTCCTGAGTAGCTGGGATTACAGGCATGCGCCACCACGCCCAGCTAATTTTTGTATTTTTAGTAGAGACATGGTTTCACCATGTTGGTCAGGCTGGTCTCAAACTCCTGACCTCGTGATCCGCCCACCTCGGCTTCCCAAAGTGCTGGGATTACAGGTGTGAGCCACCACGCCCGGCCTGTTTTGTTTTATTTTTAATGAATCATATTCATTAAAAATAATTAATGAAAGTGCTGGGAAGCACTGTGGAAGGTTGTTTAAAGTAAGAACACTTATCATGTATTAGAAGTCTTCATTTCTTTTTTTCTTCTTTGTCATGGCCCTACAAGGTCAGTAGTACCATGCCTATGTTACAGATAAATTGAAAAAATGGGAGGAAAGAGAAATGGAACACCTCAAGGTGATACTGAAGTTTAGAGAGTAAGTAAAAAGTGATGCAGCTAACTAATTTCAGAAATTCAGATGGTTTAAGGAATATTTTTTCTTCCCTCCTCCTGTCTTCCTACCTGTTTGTTAGTGAAGACAGTTAAGTTCTTCTTGAACATTTTTAAATTGACATTCTTCAAGTCACTGAGGTAGAGTTTTTTGTTTGGCAAGTGGAAGATTGTGTGTGTGTGTGTGTGTGCACGCGCGTGTGCGCCCTGTCATTTTAGAAGTTTAAAAGGTCACTCAGATAACAATATTCTAGTTGGGGAACTACATAGTATAGTGGAAAGTGGACAGGAGTTAGTCAGACATGGGTTTAAATGTGACTTTGTAACACTTACTAACAGTAGCAACTTAAGCAAGTTGCTTAGCCTCTTAGAGCTTCAGTTTCACCATGAGTAAATTTCTGCAGGGTAGTTTAAAGATTAAGTGAGTTAACCTGAGTGTAGATCCTGACATAGAGCAGGCATGTAGTAAATGTTGGTTTCTTTTCCAGAAAAAGTAATGTAGAATGAGATTGAAAAAGGATCAAGAGCAGAGTCCTGGAAAAGTCTGTTAAATAAATGGGCAAAAAGCCAAAGCTATTAAAATAGATGGAGGGGAGTAGCCACAGATCTGAAGAATAACCCGGAGGAAGTGATGCTACTAAAGTCAAGGTAGAGAGTTTCAAGAAGTAAGAGTTTAAGAGTTGATCACCAGTAGCAAATTCCATGATGTGATCAGGGAGGATAACTGACAGTGGTACTTTATTTGTGGCATTTCGGAGGCCTTTGGTGCCTGGAGGAGAGCTGTTTTGGTTGGGAACCAGATTATAAGGGGTTAAGTGAACTCAAGGAGTTGGTATATCAAGGAAATGTGATAGAGTAAAAGGGACGTAGGGATAAGGAATTTTTTTGTTTTGTTCTACTTTTTTTTTTTCAAAGTTGAGTAGAATGCTCATTTTTTCATTCCGCAATTGTGCCTGGTACTATGCTAGGCACTGGAGATGCAGTGCTGAGCAGGTGTATAATCAGAGGGAAGGGCGGGGAGTAGAGAGAGAAGGGAGTGAAGATACAGATATCAAATGGGATAACCAAGGAAGGAAGAACCTAGAGAAGTTCTGCTTGGAGTGGAGGAAAGAATTGTGTTGTCTGAGAGACGAAAGAAGTGCCTTCACAAGTAAGTTTAGTAGTGGAGTGAGGTGGGTGGTGTTTGAAGGTTTTTATTTCTCAGAGAAAAGGGTGACCAAGTTATTGGCTAAGGTGGTGGGGGGTGATACTGAGGTTAGAGCATGGGATTTAGGATTGTAGTAAAAATTGGATTGGAAGAGTAGAAAAAAGCAAATAAGTGTTTATCAATCACTGAAAAAAAATGCTGATTTTTCTTGGTCAATTTCATCCTCCTCTTTACACCCTGAAACTCAGTTCTTCCTTATATTGAAATTCTGTTTCTAGAGTGGTGCTATGCAATTTTGTTCAGCCATTATTTATTCTTAAACCCTAGAGAATGTCTAGAAGACAGGACTGTATCCTCCCGTTTTTTCTTTGCTGAAAAAAATTCTTGATCAAGTTTTACGTCTTTGTTGTTATTCTCCTGGTTTACTTAATTATGAAATTGATGCTCAGAGATGTGTGTCTGATTTTTAAGTTATTTTGGCCAAATATGTTTGTAGCTGTGAAATTATACGTTATTGATGAGAATGTTATTTATCTATGTGATAGCTGAACTGTGAGCGAACTAATAGAAACATGCTTAATGATGAATCTGAGATTCTTGAATTTACACTGTATTTTCAAATTGAATGTCTTATATCTAATTCAGCTTTCAGATGATTCTTTTGAAAATTCAGACAAAACAGCTAGACAATCTAAAAAAGAGATGAAGAAGAAAGATACAGTGCCTTGGTGGATAACTGAAGATGATTTTAAAGATGATGGTAAATGTTGCTGATTTTTAGTTTCAAATTATTTGACCACAAGGGGTCAGTCAAGACTTCTGGATTTTGTTACTTCACTATAAATATATACAGAAAATAATACTAATAGTGTGGATTTTTGAAGTTTGAATTGATTTTCATATAACCAGTACTTTATTATGTATTTATTATGTAATTGAGAATCTGCGTTATAACATTATCAGCTTATTTTACATGGAGATAATTTATATTTACTCAAATTAAGGTGACAATTCAGGTATATTTATTATCATGTTTAATGATAAATTGATTTAAGGTGATTTAATAAGATATTCTGGCAGTATATTAATGTCATTGCATTGGGAAGAGTTTAACAAACCTATAGACCTTGGTATCACAGTTTGTTAATGACAGTAGTAAAAAAAAATTTACTGCCATATGTATATATGTCTCTCATATATATGTATATGATATGCCCAGGCTGAAGGGCAGTAACACAATCATAGCTCATTGTAACTTCAAACTCCTGGACTCAAGCAATCTTCCCACCTCGGCTTTCTGAGTAGCTGGGACTACAGGTACATGCCAACATGCCTGGCTAATTTTTTTTATTTCTTGTAGAGATAGGGTCTCTCACTGTGTTGCCAGGCTGATCTCGAACTTGCCTCAAGCAGTCCTCCCACCTTGGCCTCCCAAAACGCAGAGATTACAAGCCTAAGCCACCACTCCTGGCCTGATAGGTTTACTATACATGATACTGCCACATCTGTAAACAACCCCGACTGCTTCTATTTCAGTACCTACATTCACACCATTTGTGGATCAGTGTTAAGCACAATTTTGTAAAATGATAGAATTTCTGTATCTCTAGGGAAAAAATATACATATGGGCTTTTGGTTTCCCCCCCTCCCCATGAAAATTGAGCCTGAATTCATGTCATAATTAAGACTCTGCATGATCTGACTGGAACCCTGCCTTCTCGTGTACTGTAGCCATAGGTAATCATTCCTCATCTCCTGGAAACACCATAGGCCTCCCTGCCTCTGTGCATTATCTCATGCTTCCTTGCCATTAGAATGCCTTTCCTCTCATCCTTCTTGCCCAATAAAGCCTAGCATCACCACTTTTTGCAGTCCTTCACTCTATCTTCTAGCTCTCTTGTCACAATTAGTTTCTCCTTCATTTTGATGTCAGAACACCATAGTAACACTTACACATTGTGTTGATAGTTGTAACCTATAGGACAACTCCTGCGGTTGGGAGCTTTGCGAGGGTAGGAAACACTTCTTTGTCCTTGTATCCCCTGACCCTCAACATTAAATGATAAATTTGTTTAATAAATGCATGTTAAAGTAGATTTGACAGTTACTTCTCTGTTCTTTTTAATACTGTAATTTAAAGAAATTCCTTATTGAAAAATTCAGTGCATTTTTTATAAATTCTTATGCAACATGCTGAACTTTGTAGTGAAGAATTATGTTTTAGACTCTCTCCCTGCTTTTAATGCTTGAAAAGGATATTATAAGATGAAGTACTGTTGGAATTGTTGACAAAGATTTGGGACACAAAGCCTTTTGTCTAGAAGATAATGAATCAGAGCAGATATATACAACCTAATCCTACAGGAAAAGAATAGCTCCTAGACCAAAAATACTCACATGTAACCTGATTGATGGTATTAATAATTTTTTTAAATGTATCAGAAATAGATTTGATTAGTAAAAGAAGTAAAGAAGGATAGTCAAGAAGCAAACTTTGACAATGTCAGCTTAAACAGCGGGAGGTTTCCCTGCCCACGGGAATAACCTGGTCCCTGATTCAAGCAAACGGTTACTGAGTTTGTATTATGTTCTAAATACTAGGCATTATTATGAAAAGGCAAGACGTGATTCCTGTATCAAGAGTGTAGAACCTTCTGAGGGAGAATTCAACACTCCTCTTGAGAAGAGGAATGCATTATTAATCTTAAGACAGGTACCATTAAACATTAACAGTGAGCGGCTTTTACATTATAATTTTGCTTGTTTCCCAGTTGCCATAGGAATAAAATGTTCGGCTTAGAAGGTGAAACTATCTCATCCTCTTGCTGATTGTATTCTTTATTGTAAATAACTAAACTGGATCTTCGTTTCTGTTATATTAATCTCTTGTGAACTTGGTTAGTGTGAGCTACAACCTCAAGTCGTGCTTTAGAGCCAGGGTGAGACCCTGGACATGTTGCCACTACAGCACACCAACCTTGGCATATACTTTTTCATTTGAAGCATCTATGAATCTCTCTCTTGATTTTTTACAACTTATGGAGGTTATTATTTGATCCAGTAAAACCATTATTCACAGAAAGGCATAAAATAAATTGATTCTTAGCCTTTTCCAAGAGGACACAAATTAGGAACTTGAAGTCAAAATTCGTGACTTCTTAATAAGGCTTCCTCCTACCAAAAGTGATATTTTTTCTAATCTTCATATTTATAGCACACATTTTCAGTCTTCTGGTTTTTGAAGAAAACAAAGAACAAAAGAATATTAAAAAGCAAAAAACAAAAATAAAACATTACTCATAATTATTTACCTTTTCCATATATCAGTTTTTTACAACAAACATATACTATTAAAATAAGGAAATTTTGATACTGTATAGCTTTACCAGTTTTTTCTAGTGCTCTTGGAATACAGAGCAAGACCCTCTGCTGGCCTATGAGGACGAGCACGGTCCAACCATTGACTTCCTGCTCTGGGCTTATTTCCTCTTAGGCTTACGCTCACCATCTGGGTCCAGCCTCACTGGCCTTTTTGCATCTGCAAATGTGGCCTGCCCCTCCCATTGTCATGCTTCTGTACCTACTGTGTCCCCTGCCTGTTCTGGTCTCCCTGGCCTAGTTCACCTAATTATTTCCTGGTCTTTCTTCACATCTTAGCAGAAATGTTACTTCCTCATGGAAATATTCTTGGATTTTCCTGTCTTGGTATACCCCCCCAATTAATCTTATATAATTCCTTCAAAGCAGAGTTGTAATTCACATTTAACTTTGCTCTGTGAATACTGCTGCTTCTCTGGTAACCTCCAATGGTTACTGTTTTCTTTGCCACGTCTCTTGTTCCATTAGACTTGGAAAAGGAGTAGGTTATTGTTCATTGCTGTTTCTAGACCGTTCTTCCAATCTCCTTATGAACCTTGCTATCAGACCACCTATCTACTGTGTCTCTTTGTTGCAGTTATCTACTGAACTCCGGGTTATTCCTCCTCATTCCTCAAAGATTTTAGCTGCTGTTTCACTGTGAGTCTCCAATTCTCTTGTCTAATTATTGGTGACTACATTAACTACATAGCTAATGCCTCTAATAACCTGACTTCCGAGTTCCTTAAACTTGTTTACACCAAAAAATCTTGCCTGCCACATCATAGCCACCTCTTCCCTCTAATAGCTTCTCATTTCACTTGTTATAAAAGCTAATGACCTTTAAGCTACCACCCATGCCAGTCCTGCACCCTGACGTTTTTGGCCTCCCAACTTAGACTACCTTTCTCTTGCTTATGCCCGTATCACTACACTGGCCTCCTTTCTATTCACACATGCCTGGGCATTTTCCTGGCTTAGAGGCTGTACACTGCTTTCCTCCTCCTTAAACACTCTTCCCCCATGTATTCATGTGGATTGGTCCCTCACCCCCACCAAGCCATAGCTCACGTGTTAACTTCTCAGTGAAAGCCTTCCTGACCATCCTATTTAAAGTTGTAGTACCCTCCATTCCTGCATTCTCTGTTCCTCTTTCTTGTTTTATTTTTCATCTTGGCACTTAACTGTTTTCTAATGTACTATTTAATTGCAATGTGCTTACTTATTTTACTTATTGCCTGCCTCAAATCACATGAATAAGCAGGGATTTTTGTTTTTTTTTATTCACTGATAAAGCCCCAGCATTTAGAACAATGCCTGGTGTGTAGTAGGCACCCATAAATATTTGCTGTTGATTGTCTCCTCCTGTTAGATTTTAACCTTCGTGATGGTAAAGGACTTCATTGTATAGCTGGCACTAACAATGTTCTAGGTACATAGTTTGTCAAAAAATTTGAATAAAATAAGTAATACTCAGAACCTTTGCTACATAAACATAAGTTATACTTTTTTACCCAGGATTCATAGAACATTTTTGAAACTTTTTATTATAAAAAAATTCAAACATATACATAAGTACCACATACTCCCATGTACCCATTGCCTAGCTGCAACAGTTGTTATTAACTCATGGTCAATCATTTTTCATCAATATTCTCTCTTGTTCTCCACTTTCTGACACTCAGGATTATACTGAAACAAATCTCCAACAGCATATCAATTCTCTCCACATATATTTCAAAGTATCTCTTAAAATAAATACTCTCTTTTTAAAATATAACCATAATAATGTCTAAGAAATATCTATAATAATTTCTTAGTATCATCAAATATCTAATCAGTCATAAAAAACTTTTAATATGCTTAATATATATTAGCCTTAGAGAAAATTTCAAATTCCTGAATGCTGTGAGAGACTATAATACCCTCCCGTCCCCAACAGTATGCACATAACCTGGCATGAGAACCTCTCCTGCAGTGAGCCACTGATTCCATTGTTTTAGAAATAATGACTTTGAAAGAGCTTTTACTATTTCCATCTATTTTTTGAAATGATATTTACACTAACGAAGGCTTCTGTCTAACCTAGTAGGTTTTTAATTGTACCTACTTTGCCACCTTGTATTTTGTTATAGTAATTCATGCCACCCACAGTCTATTTCCAATAGTGTTAAGAGTTCAGCACCAAAAACTCTCTGAGAAATGTAAAGAACAGAGGGAATAAGGCAGAAGATACTCTTTGAAGTGTCATGGTATACTGTATTAAGTACTTGTAATTACTTCAAAGTAATTTTAAAAAATTTTGTCTCATGGTGCAACTCTTTGAAGTATTCTATTTAATATGATACAGTGCCACCAAATAGAATTATAATCTTTCTTTTGTGAGTGTTAGGTCTGATGGATTTTTATTTAATAGAGCAGATTTATTTTATAGCTACTGTGCACAAAATTAGCATAACATTATTATTGTGTTGTCATAGTGGCCAAAACAATTCTTTGAACATAAATCTTCATCTGTATTAAATTGTGTACCTAGGACTTCTTGGAACAAATGTGAGCTATTTGAAAACAAAGAAGACTTCTCAGCCTGTTATGGAAATAGAAGAGGAGTCTGCTGAAAAGATTCAATTTCTTAAGAGCAGTGGAACCTCTCTCTTAAGTACTGATAGCTTAGAAACAAATGGTAAGAAATGCAAGGGATATGAGTTGGTAAATTATTAATTGTTATGCTTATATTCAGAATTACAAAAATTATCTTGAAGCCTCCTTTACTGAAGCATGTAGACAGATTTAATATCTTCCTAGAGGTTTAGAATTATTCTAGAGAAGCTTTAAACCTTACGTATTATTAATATGAATTCATATTTGGTGAGTGAGAGTAAATATTTGTAAAATTTTTAAAATTTACTACATAATGTCAATAAATGCATCATTCAAATCAATGTTTTCAAAATTCTGTATATTACTAAAATATATTTGTGCTTTCCATTTAGAACTAGTAGTTTCTGAGCTCAACCATAGTAGTCTCGGAGTGGGATTGGACACATTAGAAGAACAAGAGGAGAAAGAACAATTTTTTGCCAGGCTTGAGAAAGGCTTGACATCTTCCATTGATTATTCGAGATTAAATAAGGAATTGGATTCTAATGACTCTACACATTTTAAAGCTTTACATAGGTAAAGTACAGTGTAAACTATTAATGATTTTTATGATTTCTATGTTTTTGGAAGGCTGATATATGTGTGATTTTAAATAGGTAAACATTATAACAGGCAAACTTAAATCTTATTTTTTAAATCTATTATCTGTTCATTTTATAGTTAGGGTTTTTCTTATGTGTGAGTAGAATATGTTTCTTGGTATTTGAGAGCCCATGCTGCCTCCACAATCTGAAATTTCATGCTATTGAGACTAATAGTACATTGCCAAGAAGTCCTTACTAGGAAAGTCATTTATTAATTCATTTTCCACAGACAAATAAAGAGAGTCCAGGTTACCATTATAAACTCAGGAAAAAAAATAACAGAAAGGGAAGTGGGAACCAAGGAGCAAAGACAAGTTTGATCTGTGTCTTAACCTCTGTATGGTTGGCCCTGATGGTTATCGGGAAACCTCATTTATTCTAGAAATCCCACTAGTTCACTGAACTGGTCCTCTCTTTATTACACTAGACCATTGCCATTCTCAAGACCTTTGAAACCTGAGGTCTTTAATGCCCTTATTTAGTTATCCATGTAATTCTTAAAATTATGAATGGAAAGAAGATCATAATTTTATTTAGGATTTTGAGATCACAAAGGTATAATTAAGGGTCAGGAGAATCATAATCTCTGATTATTAGAGTGCCTAGGCTCTGCAGGATGGTTAGTTTTTTATAGACAGTGGATAAAGAAATGCATTTACCTTCATGAACTTTGCGGGGTCTGAGATTTTTACCCTACTTGGCAAGCTAACAAGCTAGCCTTCCGGTTTTATGATGTTGACAATAGACAGAAGATTCCTGGATCAGAATTAAAGAACAAAGGCAGTACCTGAGTGTCGCATTTGTTCGCATTGGTTCCCCATGCCCTATGATTATGCTGAGGGCAAGTCAAAGGATCCATAATGGATGTATTCACACACAATGGGCTGTGTTACAGAAGAGGAACACTGAGCTTGGAAAATGTATTACTTTTTTTTGAGACGGAGTCTCGCTCTGTCGCCCAGGCTGGAGTGCAGTGGCACGATCTTGGCTCACTGCAAGCTCCACCTCCCGGGATCACACCATTCTCCTGCCTCAGCCTCCCGAGTAGCTGGGACTACAGGCGCCTGCCACCACGCCTGGCTAATTTTTTGTATTTTTTAGTAGAGAAGGGGTTTCACTGTGTTAGCCAGGATGGTCTCGATCTCCTGACCTTGTGATCCACCTGTCTCAGCCTCCCAAAGTGCTGGGATTACAGGCATGAGCCACCGCGCCCAGCGAAAATGTATTACTTTTATAGTAAGTGGAAACAAGCCTGCTCTTTGTTTGGTCGGAAATGTTACCCAAATGGCATGGTGAAAAATGATCAGCATCTTGTACTCTTGGCATATTCAGCAAGAATGTGCAGGGACACTCAGGGCCTATGGTCATTGCCTCTCCCAACGTTGTCAATACAGATTAAGCATGCGCGGGTTTGTGGGCCACAACTTTTTGCCACTTTGCTACATTTTTTAACTTTTTTCTTATTTCTTAACAGTATTCTTATCTATTGATATTTCTGCTGTAGAACAGGCCGGTCAAAGTACAGAATAGCATTGAACATGCAATATTAGGTGTTTGTAGCTCTCATCATTATTATATAGTCTTATAGTTTCTCTAACGATCTCACTAAATAGGGTTGATAGACTGAAAAGGTAGAACTGATTCTTGGTTTGAGAGAAAGCAGTATATGAACTAATACATCCAATATAATTAAATCATACTCAAGCTCCTTTGTCCCCTTGCTTAGGTTTTGTTTTAAGGCTCCTATTCAGCTTCTGTTTCAGGATTAAATTGCTTATTAGCATGTAAGTGCTGACCTTAGCATTTTTTTTCTGGCTTTCATATGGACTTCACTGGTTCTCATAGCTTGTGGTCAGTTTCTAATCTTTAGTGTAGAAGGGATATCTAGGGTTGTAAGATAATATTTGTACATGTAAATGCACATAGTAATAAAATTGTGTATATTTAAGAAATAGGGCATCTTTTTCCTTTGTATTACTTTTAAACTGCAATTAATCAAATGCTTCGAAGATGCTTTATTTTCAAAACGTTTTCCTTAAAGTTCCCAAATTTTTAGCTTTTGATAGAACAAAAGGACTTGAGAGAGGACATGTATAATTTTAGGGATTTTTTAAAACGGTATACAGAAAGAGTTGCATGAGAATATGTTTTTAACATGTAATGCTAAATTAAATAAATATTTTTTCCAGTAATCAAGCCAACGCAGAACTAACTGATGACGAACATGAGAATGAATCGAAACATGAAGAACTGGCAGGTAATTTCATTGGTTCTTAAATTTATAATATTTGAAAAGATAATATAGCTTTTAATAAAGACATTAATAAGAAAAATAATTAAAAGGAAAATCATATTGTCTCAGAGCTTTGAATAGAGTGGGTTTGCCTGTGTTATAAACTGAGCTGCTAAGAAATTGTTGAAAGTGAACTGCCTTAAAAAGGTTTTTTTCATAGACTGCATATAGCTGGTTTTAGCATTTTTGTTCAATCTGACAGTCTCTGCCTTTTAATTGATGTGTTTTTACCCTTTACAGCAGTGTATTTATTGATATAGTTGTTTACGGTTTTGCCATTTGTTTTCTTTTCATCTTCTTGTTTTTGTTGCTTTTGTCCTTCCTTCTATTGTATTACTTATAGTATTCCATTTTATTCTTATTTTGGCTTTTTAGCTATTCTTCTTTGTTGTATTTTTTTCTTAGTTGCCCTATGAGTCACAATATATGTCTACCTTATCACAATCTACTTTCAAATAATGTTATATCACTGTATTTATATGAACTCTAACAACAATAAACTCTCCTCAACCATTTTGCTATTTTTGTCAACGTTTTTCTTCTACATGTCTTAAAAACACCACAGTGCATTATTATTATTGTTGTTAAAGCAATCAATTATCATTTAAAAGTACTTTTAAGGAATATAATAGATATTTATGTAAAAATGTGTATTTATCCATATATTTACCATTCCCAGTGCTTTGTATTCCATTGTGTAGATTTGAATTTATCTCAAATTATTTTTCTTCACCACGAAGAGCCTCCTTTCACATTTCTTGTAGTGCAGGTTACTGCTAGGAACAAGTTCTCTCAGCTTTTGTTTGTCTGAAAATATACTCTGCCTTTGTTTTTGAGGAATACTTTTACTTGATACAGAATTTTATGTAGTGTTTTTTTTTCCTTCGGGCAGTTTAATGATTTTATTCTATTGTCTTTTGACCTTATTTCTCATGAGAAGTTTCCGGTAATTCCTATTATTGTGATTTTGTATATATCATGTATTTTTTTTCTCTATTTTCAAGGTTTTATCCTTTTTTTTTTTTGGCAATTTGACTATGGTGTATCATGGTATGCTTTTCTTATATTTATTCTGTTCAGAGTTGGTTGAGCATCATTGATCTATGGATTTATAGTTTCCATCAAAATAAAAAATATTTTGGCCATAAATTCTTAAAATATTAATAATAATGCTGCTTTCCGCTTCCTGCCCTCTGACCCTAATTATGTTAGAATGCTAAGCTTTGTTTTATGGGTCACTAAGACTATTCCATTTTTTAAAAACTTTTTTTCTTTCTGTGCTTCACTGTTCACAATAGAACAGTTCCTATCACTGTTCTTTTGCTTCAAGTTACTGGTTTTTTTCCTTTCTTTAATCTGCTATTAATCTCTTTTTTTTTTTTTTTTTTTTTTTTGAGATAGAATCTTGCTCTGTCAGCCAGGCTGGAGTGCAGTGATACCATCTCGGCTAACTGCAAGCTCCGCCTCCCGGGCTCATGCCATTCTGCTGCCTCAGCCTCCTGAGTAGCTGGGATACAGGCACCCACCACCACACCTGGCTAATCTTTTGTATTTTTAGTAGAGACGGGGTTTCACTGTGTTAACCAGGATGGTCTTGATCTCCTGACCTCATGATCTGCCTGCCTTGACCTCCCAAAGTGCTGGGATTACAGGCATGAGCCACCATGCCTGGCCCAATCCCATCCTTTTTTTTTTTCTTTCACTCTAACAGTTCATTTTGGATCTTTGTTTTAAAATTCTTTAGCATTTTTCTTCATTATGTTCATTTTTTTCAAGTCCTTAATATTAAACATATTTTACAGATCTCAGTATTTGTTCATTTCTGTGTGTCTTTTCTGTTGGCTATTTAGTTTCGTGACACTTTTTCCTGCCTCTTAGAAGTCTAGTAATTTTTTATTGGATATTGGGTATTGTGAATTTTATGTTATTCAGTGTCTGGATTTTATTTTCTTCTTTTAAAGAGTATTATTGAGCCTTGTCTGGTAAGTAGTTGATCCTACCACTTGATTTTTTTCAAGGCTTTTCTTATGCTTTGTTAGCAGAAGTCTAGAGTAGCTCTAGTAACCTCTAACCCTACTGCTAAGGCACATCCCAATGCCCCTAGTGATCAATGAGGTCTCTCCACTTAAGCAGATTAGAGTTCAAAAGTCTCCCTGTCTTGTATGAACTGTGAGAATTGTCTAACTTACAGCATCCCACTTGTTCTTGGCTCATTTTATGCATTAACAGCTTAGTATTCAGCAAAGACTCAAGGGCACCCTATGCAGATTTCTGGGGCTTTGTTTTCACTTAGGCACCTCCTCTCTTGATTACTGTCTTATATTTTATAAATTGCCTCAGCCTTTCTGAACTTATCTCGCTCTCCTCTACTCAGTGATACTGTCCCAATCTCCCCGCCCCTGCTCACTACTTCAGAACATATGTGCCTTCAGGTAATTGTAGGCTAGCTCACTTGTTTTCTTAGGAATCACATTTTTTTGCTGCCAGTTGTCTAATATCTGAAAATAGTTGTTTTATATATTGTGTTGTTTACAAAGAAAGTACAATCCCTTTAACTCCAACATGGCAGAGGAGAAAGTCCTCTAGATTGGCAAAAAATTAAAAATTTGCAGCTAAGTTTGCCAACAAAAGATGAAAAATGTCTTCCAAAAGGTTCTTTTACAATTCATATGGTTTATCTGAGCTTTAAGAACATTTTTATTTCTCAAAATAACATTTTTGAAGTTACAAGGATAGAGAATCATAGAAACCCAGTAACTTGAATATGTAACATCTACCTGCGAAAAAGGTCAGAGTGGTACAAGTAAATATTCTGATTGTTTTCCGAACAATGTGGAAGAGTCTAGATATTATCTCTGATGTTTCTCATATAAGAATCACCCTCTCAAATTTGTTTTACTCTTTCATTTTTATATAAACTTAATTTGCCTTGATGTTTGTTCCTGAAATCTCTGACATGTGCTGTTTTCCTTTTCTTTGTTTCTCGTCTCTCATTTGTCTCTGTGTCTACTAATGACACTTCCTTCTTACTTCAGACGTACTTTATTCATGACAGGTTTCTGGGGAGGAAGTCAGTCATTCATGTACTGGATGCTAGTATTTGCCTGTAGGCTGCTTAGTTACTAAATGAAAATAATAAAATGTAGTTTTGATGAATGCTTATTAGATTGGCACTTTTCCCAATCAGAAATCATACTTGGCTGTATTAACTTTTGATTTAGATTAAGTACAGCAGTAGCTATAATAGGCCGGGTGTGGTGGCTTACACCTGTGATCCCAGCACTTTGTGAGGCCAAGGCGGGTGGATCACCTGACATCAGGAGTTTGAGATCAGCCTGGCCAACATGGTGAAATCTGTCTCTACTAAAAATACAAAAAATTAGCCGGGCGTGGTGGCGGGCACCTGTAATCCCAGCTACTCAGGAGGCTGAGGCAGGAGAATTGCTTGGACCCAGGAGGCAGAGGTTGCAGTGAGCCGAGATCGTGCCATCGCACTCCAGCCTGGGCAACAAGAGCAAAACTCCGTCTCAAGAAAAAAAAAAAAAAAGTAGCTATAATAATATTAACAGCAATAATTACTATAAACATTATAGCTAACACTTATATACAGTGCATATTACATATCAACCACCGTTCTGAACACTTTAACTCTTAATCATCTCATTAATCTTTTGAGAAAAGTACTATTATCCCCAATTTACAGATGGAAAAAGTGAAGCAAAGGGAGTTTGTGGCCTGCCAGTGGTTCTACAGCTGAAAGTAGTGGAACCGGGAATTGAATTTAGGCCTTCTGGCTCCAGGTCATGCTCTTAAGCACTATGCCATACTGCCTGAACTGTTTCTAACACTTTCTTTATGCAGTCACACACACACACCACAGCGCCTCCTATTAGTTCCCAAATCCTAAGTAGTTGTCCAAGTTCAGTGTCATATTCTCCCATATCTCCTCTTTCCTTGTTCATCATCTTTTCTTAAGCAAGTCTAATCTCGAGGGTCACTTAAAATTCGGTGGTTCCCACCTAGACTACTAAAGTCTTAATCAACTTGTATTGTTCACAGCACTTAGAAGTGTGCCTAATACAAAGTAATTACTTATAACTATCTTGTGATTTTAACTATATGTCTACTGATATTAGAAAATCCCAAGCAGTGTTCTTTCTCATGTGGAAGAGAAACAAAAGTGAACTTCTCAGCCTCAGAATACAAATATTGACATAGTTAACCAACTAACCTAGTTTATCTACCTAAGTTACAATACACATGCTGTTCCAAGCTCATATTTCTTATGAACTAAAATGTAGATGTTTCTGTAGCCAGATCTCACTGGAAGCATCCCTGTTTCACTCCCAAACCCTCTCAAATTCATTTCTTCACTTCCAGTATTAATTACACACAAGTTGTCGTCTTCGTCTTCATTCTAACAAAAGAGTAAAAAACAGCCATTCCAGAAGTAGACTCTAGTACCTTATGTAGTCTTTTTCCCATCAAGCCATCCTGTTTCTCAGTGTGATGCAGTTTTTTGAAATACAAATTAGATCATGTTTGTTTCCAAAATGATCAGTTCCACTCTGAAAAGGTGTTCCCCTTTTATAGCTACAGATCTAAATTAATACTGTGAGCAAGTTAAAAATTGAGGAAGAGATCCTGGCCAAATAATTCCTGTCCAACCTTCCCCATAAGTAGACTGAATGCCTCAGTTAACATGGAGACACTTTTTCCTTCTGCACAAAGTCATTGAGATATAATTTGGAGGCTTCAGATAAGAAGCACTCAGGATTGGGAAAACAGCAAAGGTTGTATAAGGCCAGTATTTACCTAAGGGAAGGGTCAGAGATCTTTCATAAGTACTAGTTAAGACTTACAGTAGAGATACCTGTAGAGACAAAAAAAAAAAAAAAAAATCAATCAACCTGAAAAACAAAATCCAACCTTTTTAAAAGTGGCAAGATTTCACAAAGGTCCTTCCTTTTATAAGTAAGCAATTGGTCATGTTTGTCTTTTAAAAATAAATATTAAAGTCTTATTTTAAAGGTAATTCAAGATTCTTTGGGCAGCTCTAGAAATTTTTATTTGGTTAATAATATAAAAGACTAAAAATATAAAACTCAGAGAACTATTTGAAAGTACCATAATGACAGAAACCAAAGATAGTCTTATAAATTGAACTCTCATTAAATGTTTGCAAAAGAAAAAGTTCTTTTTTTTTTATACTTTAAGTTCTAGGGTACATGTGCACAACGTGCAGGTTTGTTACATATGTATACATGTGCCATGTTGGTGTGCTGCACCCGTTAACTCGTCATTTACATTAGGTATATCTCCGAATACTGTCCTTCCCCCCTCCCCCCGCCCCATGACAGTCCTCAGTGTGTGATGTTCCCCACCCTGTGTCCAAGTGTTCTCATTGTTCAATCCCCACCTATAAGTGAGAACATGCGGTGTTTCGTTTTCTGTCCTTGCGACAGTTTGCTCAGAATGATGGTTTCTAGCTTCATCCATGTCCCTACAAAGGACATGAACTCATCCTTTTTATGGCTGCATAGTATTCCATGGTGTATATTTGCCACATTTTCTTAATCCAGTCTATCATTGATGGACATTTGGGTTGACTCCAAGTCTTTGCTATTGTGAACAGTGCCACAATAAACATACATGTGCATATGTCTTTATAGTAGCATAATTTATAATCCTTTGGGTATATACCCAGTAATGGGATCGCTGGGTCAAATGGTATTTCTAGTTCTAGATCCTTGAGGAATTGCCACACTGTCTTCCACAATTGAACTAGTTTACACTTCTACCAACAGTGTAAAAGCGTTCCTGTTTCTCCACATCCTCTCCAGCACCTGTTGTTTCCTGACTTTTTAATGATTGCCATTCTAACTGGTGTGAGATGGTATCTCATTGTGGTTTTGATTTGCATTTCTCTGATGACCAGTGATGATGAGCATTTTTTCACATGTCTGTTGTCTGCATAAATGTCTTCTTTTGAGAAGTATCTATTCATATCCTTTGCCCACTTTTTGGTGGGGTTGTTTGATTTTTTCTTATAAATTTGTTTGAGTTCTTTGTAGATTCTGGATATTAGCCCTTTGTCAGAGGAGTAGGTTGTGAAAATTTTCTCCCATTCTGTAGGTGGCCTGTTCACTCTGATGGTAGTTTCTTTTGCTGTGCAGAAGCTCTTTGGTTTAATTAGATCCCATTTGTCAATTTTGGCTTTTGTTGCCATTGCTTTTGGTGTTTTAGACATGAAGTCCTTGCCCATGCCTATGTCCTGAATGGTATTGCCTAGGTTTTCTTTTAGGGTTTTTATGGTTTTAGGTTTAACATTTAAGTCTTTAATCCATCTTGAATTAATTTTTGTGTAAGGTGTAAGGAAAGGATCCAGTTTCAGCTTTCTACATATGGCTAGGCAGTTTTCCCAGCACCATTTATTAAATAAGGAATCCTTTCCTCATTTCTTATTTTTGTCAGGTTTGTCAAAGATCAGATAGTTGTAGATGTGTGGTATTATTTCTGAGGGCTCTGTTCTGTTCCATTGGTCTACATCTCTGTTTTGGTACCAGTACCATGCTGTTCTGCTTACTGTAGCCTTGTAGTGTAGTTTGAAGTCAGGTAGCATGATGCCTCCAGCTTTGTTCTTTCTGCTTAGGATTGTCTTGGTAATGCAGGCTCTTTTTTGGTTCCATATGAACTTTAAAGTAGTTTTTTCCAATTCTGTGAAGAAAGTCATTGGTAGCTTGATGGGGATGGCACTGTATCTGTAAATTACCTTGGGCAGTATGGCCATTTTCACGATATTGATTCTTCCTATCCATGAGCATGGAATGTTCTTCCATTTGTTTGTGTCCTCTTTTATTTCGTTGAGCAGGGGTTTGTAGTTCTCCTTGAAGAGGTCCTTCACATCCCTTGTAAGTTGGATTCCTAGGTATTTTATTCTCTTTGAAGCAATTGTGAATGGGAGTTCACTCATGTTTGGCTCTCTGTTTGTCTGTTATTGGTGTATAGGAATGTTTGTGATTTTTGCACATTGATTTTGTATCCTGAGACTTTGCTGAAGTTGCTTATCAGCTTAAGGAGATTTTGGGCTGAGACAGTGGGGTATTCTAAATATACAATCATGTCATCTGCAAACAGGGACAATTTGACTTCCTCTTTTCCTAATTGAATACCCTTTATTTCCTTCTCCTGCCTGATTGCCCTGGCCAGAACTTCCAACACTATGTTGAATAGGAGTGGTGAGAGAGGGCATCCCTGTCTTGTGCCAGTTTTCAAAGGGAATGCTTCCAGCTTTTGCCCATTCAGTATGATATTGGCTGTGGGTTTGTCATAAATAGCTCTTGTTATTTTGAGATACTTCCCATGAATACCTAGTTTATTAAGAGTTTTTAGCATGAAGGGCTGTTGAATTTTGTCAAAGGCCTTTTCTGAATCTATTGAGATAATCATGTGGTTTTTGTTTTTGGCTCTGTTTATATGCTGGATTATGTTTATTAATTTGCATATGTTGAACCATCCTTGCATCCCAGGGATGAAGCCAACTTGATCGTGGTGGATAAGCTTTTTGATGTGCTGCTAGATTCGGTTTGCCAGTATTTTATTTTGCATCCATGTTCATCAGGGATATTGGTCTAAAATTCTCTTTTTTTGTTGTTGTGTCTCTGCCAGGCTTTGGTATCAGGATGATGCTGGCCTCATAAAATGAGTTAGGGAGGATTCCCTCTTTTTCTGTTGATTGGAATAGTTTCAGAAGAAATGGTACCAGCTCCTCTTTGTACCTCTGGTAGAATTTGGCTGTGAATCCGTCTGGTCCTGGACTTTTTTTGGTTGGTAGGCTATTAATTATTGCCTCAATTTCAGATCCTGTTATTGGTCTATTCAGGGATTCAGCTTCTTCCTGGTTTAGTCTTGGGAGGGTGTATGTGTCCAGGATTTATCCGTTTCTTCTAGATTTTCTAGTTTATTTGCTTAGGGGGTGTTTATAGTATTCTCCGATGGTGGTTTGTATTTCTGTGGGATCGGTGGTGATATCCCCTTTACCATTTTTTATTGCATCTGTTTGATTCTTCTCTCTTCTTTATTAGTCTTGCTAGCAGTCTATCAATTTTGTTGATCTTTTCAAAAAACCAGCTCCTGGATTCATTGATTTTTTGAAGCGTTTTTTGTGTTTGTATCTCCTTCAATTCTGCTCTGATCTTAGTTATTTCTTGCCTTCTGCTAGCTTTTGAATGTGTTTGCTCATGCTTCTCTAGTTCTTTTAATTGTGATGTTAGGGTGTCGATTTTAGATCTTTCCTGCTTTTTCTTGTGGGCATTTAGTGCTATAAATTTCCCTCTACACACTGCTTTAAATGTGTCCCAGAGATTCTGGTATGTTGTGTCTTTGTTCTCATTGGTTTCAAAGAACATCTTTATTTCTGCCTTCATTTCATTATTTACCCAGTAGTCATTCAGGAGCAGCTTGTTCAGTTTCCATGTAGTTGTGCGGTTTTGAGTGAGTTTCTCAATCCTGAGTTCTAATTTGATTGCACTGTGGTCTGAGAGACAGTTTGTTATCATTTATATTCTTTTACATTTGCCGAGGAGTGCTTTACTTGCAACTATGTGGTCAATTTTGGAATAAGTGTGATGTGATGCTGAGAAGAATGTATATCCTGTTGATTTGGGCTGGAGAGTTCTGTAGATTCTCTAAAGACATCTTTATGTTACTATTTCAATAAACTATTCTTATACAGACTTCTTCCTTTCGAAATCAACAGCCTTTTCCTGGAATTTGACTTTTTTAACAATGTGGTCTTTGTACTTTTAAAAATTACTTTCTTCAGAAAATTACAGTGATGATTTTGAAGATGAGTATGTTGGTGCACCGTTGACTACTAAAGATGAAGAGATGCCTTCCAAAGAGAATTCCAAATCAGAAAAAATAAGTGTGCCCAAACAGGTATATATATCAATTATATATTTGACAGTTTTGCAACTTTTTTCTCAACCTGGCTGCCTATTGCTATATGAAGAGCTCAAAAAATGGAGTTCTTCATAATCTTGCTTATTGTTGTAAACTTACAGGTCTCCTAATACTCAGTTAAACATTTTCTTAACTCAAGATATTAAATTAATGTAAATCTTAATGAAAAAAATTACGACAATTAATGATTTTATGAGAGATTTTTGGCCAGGCACAGTGGTTCATGCCTGTAATTTCAGCACTTTGGGAGGCTGAGGCAGGAGGACTGTTCGAGCCCACGAGCTCAAGGACAACCTGGACAACATAGTGGGATCTCATCTCTCCAAAAATTAAATTTTTAAAAAATTAGCAAAGTATGGTGGCACATGCCTGTAGTCCCAGCTACTTAGGAGACTGAGGTGGGAGGATCACTTGAGCCAGGGAGGTCAAGGCTGCGGTGAGCTGTGATCATGTCACTGCACTCCAGCCTGGTTGATGAGTGAGACCCTGTCTCAAACAAACAAAAAAAGATTTATTTTGGCAAATAAGTTAAGCTTAAGTTAAGCTTTAGAAATTGAAAGCTTAATTAAAATTTCAAAACTAATTTTTAAACAAGTATGTTAACTTATACTTTTTCTTTGGTATGACTTGCCTTTATGAAGTATAGTAAATGTCCTTCCCTAATAATTATGCTAGTCACAACATTAACGTCTGAAACTTACTTGGCTAAGATAAGGAACTACATGATTCCATTCACATTCAGTGGTGCTTCATACTCTAATTCTCACATTTCCCAGTTCTTACCAAGAATTGTTCAGGGCTACTACTTCATATTGCCTACCTTATAGAACTTATCTTTGAAGCTATCTAATAGTAGCTAGTAGAACAATTAATATTGTTGTTTTGTTATGTGTTATTACTATTTATTATTTTGGTCTCTATCTGGGCACAGTCTCTTTGGTACTGTGTGTTAGGACTAGATGTTTTTAACATGAATGAAAACGTGGACTCAAAAGAAACACTTTTCAGGTGTCTATAAATCTTCTTATTTTCAAGTTTACTTAGTATTTGGTCCTGGGGTGTCTACATGTCACTCAGTTTTGAGGAAAAAATGAGATGACCTTAGAAATAACATAGAAATTAATGTGATTGATGAATATCCTTAGAAATTTAATGAGATTTATACTTGGAATATGGCAATTACAATATTTTATTGAAAAATGAATAGGTCACCAGCCTGGCCAACATGATGAAACCCCTTCTCTACTAAAAATACAAAAAATTAGCCGGGCATGGTTGGCACATGCCTGTAGTCCCAGCTGCTCGGGAGGCTGAGGCAGGAGAATTGCTCGAACCCCAGGGGCAGAGGTTGCAGTGAGCCAAGATTGAGCCACTGCACTCCAGCCTGGGCAACAGAGCGCAACCCTGTCTCAAAAAAAAAAAAAAAAAAAAAAAAAAAGAAAGAAAGAAAAGAAAAGAAAAATGAATAGGTCAGTACAAGGCATAATAGTGTGGTATATTTAGAAAGTGTACCATATGCATAAAAAGGTATCAGCCTAACTGTGGAAGCTTCAGAGCACTGTCTGGGTAAGAATCAAAATAGGAAGGGATTAAAGCTCTGTTATTGGAAGGTCCCACAAACTGCCTACCCAAGTAGGAGGTATAGGTGATATTAATAGGAAAAGTTATTCTAAGGGAACCTCTAATATTGAAGAACTTCAGCTGTCTAGCTGTTTGGTGGCCTGTCTTTCTGAAAGTTGTATCTTTTGAAACATAGATGAAATAATGAGTACAAGATTTAGTCATTAATTTTGAACAGTAAGGGAAAATAGACTGGTAATGCTATAATTGCAGAACTCTTGTGTGAAATAGCTCTGTTATCTTGACATTCAAAAAAACCAGAGAATTCTTGAGCAAGGTAGATGAGCAAATGGAACTTAAATACTTTAAGCAAGAATTTTTAAGGTCTAAATTAATTTTGGTAATTGCCAAGTTTTAGAAGAGAATTTTAGACATTCTGTCAGAGCTAGTCTTGAAGAATTATTGATAAATGAGAGTCAGTGGTGAAAGAAGCCTAGAAAACACAGTTCCTGATCGTTTCAATGTGGAATAAAAAGCCCTGGATTTCAGATTTTGCTATTATTTGCATTGTGGTAATTTTACATAATTTTGGTTTCAAAACATATCATCATTTTCCTTTTTTAATTTAGGAAGAAGAAAAAACTGGCATGCTTGCTAATGGTAAATATTATTTATATTCATGTTTTAGTTGGCAAAAAATTAGTCTGTTCAGAATTTCATCTCAGTAATTCTGAATGAGTCACTATCTGTGTTTGTTTTTAAATATTTCTAAGGCATTGAAGTTCCTAGCTTTTCTCAATAATGTGTTTCTATCTTGAATCCATTCTGTTATATTTAAGATTTTTTTTGTTATTTTTCTTATGCCCTTTGCCTTCCATGTGTACATGTATACTAGGCTGTTCATAAGCATAGATATGTATGTTGATGTTAGCCTACTGTCTTCTACATCGGAAGAAGATCATATTTGTTATATACATACACACACACACACATAGATAAAACATGCTTGTAACATATATACATATATAAGTTTATAGATTCTTTGTATATAAGCATTTATCTTTGTTTTAATATGCATTGCATTTTGTTTGTTTGTTTGTTTGTTTGTTTGTTGTTTGTGAGACAGACTCTCGCTCTGTTGCCCAGGCTGGAGTGCAATGGTGTAATCTTGGCTCACTGCAAGCTCCACCTCCCAGGTTCTCACTATTCTCCTGCCTCAGCTTCCTGAGTAGCTGGAACTACAGGCGCCTGCCACCACGCCTGGCTAATTTTTTGTATTTTTAATAGAGACGGGGTTTCACCGTGTTAGCCAGGATGGTCTCGATCTCCTGACCTCGTGATCTGCCCGCCTTGGCCTCCCAAAGTGCTGGGATTACAGGCGTGAGCCACCGCGCCCGGCCTGCATTGCATATGTTTAAAATAATTGTATTAGATCAACAGAACCACTGAGTTTATCTACATTCCTTATATTTTTCTTTTATATTCTTCCAGTTGTGCTGCTTGATTCATTAGACTCTGTTGCAGAGGTCAATCTTGATGAACAAGATAAAATAACACCTAAGCCAAGGTGCCTACCAGAAATGACTGAGAATGAAATGACAGGAACAGGTAAAAATGTTTAGAAACCTGACTGTTCTCTAAATATGGAATGCTTTATGACTAATATGACTACATTTCTAAGGAAATATATATATAATAACTATATTGATAATGAAAACTTTAAATCTGACATTTTTCTACCATAATAATAATTTAAATAATTGGAACTTGCTGATGGTGACACAATGCTAGTAGGCCAAGTAAAGTGAGGTTTTAAATAAATATTTGTTAATAAATGAATAAATGCTGTTGATAATAGTGTAGCACTGTAGGTGAACGTTAACTAATTTTCTATGCCTCTCCAGAGTATTCAGTTAAATCTGCCATGTGTAGGAGAAATGGGACTTTGGTCTTATTGTGCTTTTCCATAGTTCTTTCTCTAGGAAAAAGCTACACCCCATCCCCAAATTCTGAAATACCTGAGACCAACTAGACTTTCCTAAAGCTTATAAAGGTCTTTGAGATAATGCCTTTTCAAAATTTTTTAAAGCAGTGGAATGCACATCTTCAGTTGAAATCTATTTTTTTGTTTTGTTTTGTTTTGTTTTGAGATGGAGTCTTGCTCTGTCACCCTGGCTGGAGTGCAGTGGCGCTACCTTGGCTCACTGCCAGCTCCATCTCCCAGGTTCATGCAATTCTGTCTCAGCCTCCCAAGTAGCTGGGACTACAGGCGCTTGCCACCACACCAGGCTAATTTTTTTGTATTTTTTTAGTAGAGACAAGGTTTCACCGTGTTAGCCAGGATGATCTCAATCTCCTGATCTTGTGATCCGCCCGCCTCAGCCTCCCAAAGTGCTGGGATTGCAGGCGTGAGCCACCACACCCGGCCCAGTTGAAATCTTATGTAGAACTCTCTCATAGGTAAAAATGATACTTTATCAGGATAAATATTTAAACTTATGTTTGTTACATTTGTTCATAAAATAGATGAGGACAGTAATGGTCTTTTGGAATTTTTGAAATTAGAAACTATTGAGATTTGTTATGGTCTCATATCACCATCAGCCGTCCAATGTGTTTGTGTTTTTTGTTTTTGTTGAATAGTATAAAAATATTCTTATTTTATCACATAAATAGCTGCAAATGGGAACTTTTTAATCAGCTTGCTTTGCAGTCTATGGATACTGGTTAACTAAACCAATTCAGACACTTGATAAAAAAGAGTAATAGAAATCGCTAACCAACTCAGAAATCACTAACCGTCAGCAGCTTGCATTTCATTCTTTTTTTTTTTTTTTTGCTTTTTACTTTTTAATTGATATATAGTATACCTATAGAAAAGTCTGTGGTATCACAATAGTGCAACTCAATGAATTTTGAAATACTGAGCACACCCATGTAATCAGCAACCAGATAAAAAACAAGAGGACCTAAACCACAATGTCCATCACATCTCTTATTTCTAGTCACTGTCTTTCCAAGAGTCACCACTATTTTGACTTGTTACATCCACTTTCATTTTAAAATATAAAGGTAAAAAAATTACAACTATAAGACATAATTTTCCCATCGAGACACATTACTCACTTGTTGCCCAACTGAGTATTCTACCATGATGTAAGCATGTGCTGAGTGCATGTCCCTCAGTTTTACTGCTGTTGATTTAAGGAACCGTGTCACATACGTGCTTTGATAGTCTATCCCCTCGCACAGTTTTCAGTAGGCAGACATGAATTTTTTTAAAAGGCCATTGTACAGCTACAACTTTTCTGATTAACAGTATTTTATAGGAAGTTCATGTGTTCAGGATGACCAGAGAAACTTTATTCTGAGATGAGCATTAAAACCAGTAAAAAAGAAAGCAAAAATTATTTAAAATATTATAATTACATAATGTCTTCAGATTATTACAGTTACATAAATGGTACATTTGTGTATTATGCAGATTAGGTTCTATTATAATGTTAAGTTTTTAAAACTTAAAGCTTGCCACTTAACCAGCTTTGTGACATTGGATAATGAGTACTTCTAAGCATGTTTTCTCTTCTTTAAAATGAACCCTTTTGATGGTCAACTGAGATAATATATAGTACATAGCACATTTTTAAGATTCACTAAACAGTTACAACTTTGTTGTTGTTATTATCATCATTATTTATGTCAACCCTCTGTTAATAATACATGCTATAGTAGAGAACCTAGAGTTATACAGTATAAACACTTGTTGGCTTTGAGGTATTGAATTTCTGATATTTAAAATATATACTTTAAAGTCTTCAGCTAGGTGCAATGGCTCCCATCTGTAATCCCAGCACTTTAGGAGGCCGGAGCGGGCAGATCACCTGAGGTCAGGAGTTCGAGACCAGCCTGACCAACATGGTGAAACCTAGTCTCTACTAAAAAATACAGAAAATTAGCCAGGTGTGGTGGCACATGCCTGTAATTGTAGCTACGCAGAAGGCTGAGGCAGGAGAATCGCTTGAACCTGGGAGGCGGAGGTTGCAGTGAGCCAAGTTCATGCCACTGCACTCCAGCCTGGGTGATGGAGTAAGACTCCATCTCAAAAAATAAATAAATAAATAAAATAAAATAAAATATATACTTGAAAGTCTTCAAATGAGTATGTGAACTAGGTTTAAGAACTGAAAAGTTCAGTGGGGTTTTTGTTTTGTTTTACCATGCCACTTCATGTATTAAGCAGTTAACTTAAACATTGGTTAATTTTCAAACATTGGCTAACTTTAAACATTGTCAAAGATTCTCTTTTGTTAAGAATATTATTTATGAAATTATTTGTGCCTTGCTGTATCAAAGAGGTTAGTAAATATAAAACTTAAGGTTTCCTAACACCAAGCTAAATCTAACCTTTCACTTATTTTCATTTGTCTCACAGGCAAGTACCATTTTGTGCTATGTCTGCATTACTGGAGTCGTCACAGGATGACAGTGTTGCTCCATGAAACTAGACCCCTTTCCTCTGCAAAACAGTATTTAGCACTTCTCAACTTTCTCTCTTTTTTTTTTTTTTTTTTGTTTTGTTTGAGGCAGAATCTTGCTCTGTCACCCAGGCTGGAATGCAGTGGCATGATCTCCGCTCACTGCAGTCTCCACCTCCTGGGTTCAAGTGATTCTCCTGTCTCAGCCTCCTGAGTAGCTGGGATTACAGGTGCACCCCACCACGCCTGGCTAATTTTTGTATTTTTTTTTAGTGGAGACGAGGTTTCACCATGTTGGCCAGGCTGGTCTTGAACTTTTGACCTCAGGTGATCCACCTGCTTCAGCCTCCCAAAGTGCTGGGATTACAGGCGTGAGCCACTGTGCCTAGCCTCAATTTTCTAAAGTTGAAAAATATGGGAGCTTTTGACTTGTAATAATAATACATAAAATAACTACAGAGTCTTCTGTTTTCAATGTAAAAGGCAGATAAGGAACCCCTTTTCATGATATGCATGGAAAAAAGTTACAACCCCTTTTCATGATATGCATGGAAAAAAGTTACATAACCATTAAATTAATTTTAATATGGCTTAGGTTAATAACTCAAGTTAGAAAAGTACCATTTTCCTGCCATTTTTGAGCAGCCTCTCCTACCTCCTTTTTTTTTTTCCATTTCTCATTTCTAACTTTTAGGTCATTTGTTTTTCTGCATGTTTGCTCTGTTATTGCTTAAAAGCCTAGAATCTATTCTTTCTGACACCTCATACCTACTAAATTAGGTATGAGCATTTGATACTACTATGGTCTTTACCATAGAAGTCATTTCTTTTATGTATGCTCAGCAGATACTTGCTCAACCTGATATTTCTATAGAGGAAAAAAAGACACCGTGTGCTTTTCCTTTTTTCTTGAAAATTAATGACCTCTTTCATTCATGCTGCAAGCAAGACCTTTTTCCTCATGTCCTCTTGAAAATCTCTGCCCTTCAACTGTTGACAGTTCTTCCTTAGCAGTATCCTCTTCTGTTTTTAGTTTATTTAAGCAAACTTGTTATTTGGATATACTTCATGTAGCCATGGGGACCTGAAGCACTAGCTAGAAAGACATCTCATTGTAAGGCATTCTTATACAATCTTATATGTACCACTTGGCTATCTCTTCTGTTTAGAAGTTGTGTATATACACAACTTACATTGTATATACAGGAAGATGAGACTATATATACTATTTTATTTTTAATAACTGGTTAATTAACCATGGGTATGAAGAGAAGAGATTAGTCACCTGTTTTTCTTCTTTTTTTCCCTCTCTTCCGTGATTCATTATTTTCCTCTAATTTTGAAAATTCCACTTGTTAGTAATGAAAATTACAAAATAAGCAAGAAAGTACTCAAAAATATGCAATCATTATTTTCATTAAATTATTTGAATTCTTTTTTCTAGAATTTGTCAGTTGGTGGAAAGAGAAGGTATATTAGTCCATTTTCATGCTGTTGATAAAGACATACCCAAGACTAAGTAATTTATACAGGAAAAAGGGTTTATTGTATTTACAGTTCCACATGGCTGGGGAATCCTCACAATCATGGCAGAAGGCAAGGAGGAGCAAGCCACATTTACATGGATAGCGGCAGGCAAAGAGAGCTTGTGCAGGGAAACTCTTGTTTTTAAAACCATCAGATCTCATGAGACTCGTTCACTATCATGAGAACAACACAGAAAAGACCCACCCCCATAATTCTATCACCTCCCACCAGGTCCCTCCCATGACACATGAGAATTGTGGGAGTTACAATTTAAGATGAGATTTGGGTGGGGACACAGCCAAACCATATCAGAAGGCTAATAGGGAAGGAAGAGTGAATGATGACATCAAGGTTTCTATTTTGACTGAGTAGTGATGTGATTAGGAAATACTGGTAGTAGAACAAGTTTTAGTAGGGAATATAATGAATTCAGTTGGGGAATATGTAGATGTGATATAGAGCAATCTAGATGTCTGTTAAGTTGATATTCAGAAAAGAGTTATAAGGACACAAGACATAGATTTGGGAGTCATAAGCATATGGGTAATAGTTGAAGCTAAAAGTCTTCATGAAGTTAGCCAGGCCAAAAAACTAGTAAGTGAGAGGCATTCAAAAGAAGAGGGCTGAAGATGGAGCCCTGAAATGAACTATAGACCGCAAGAGTTGGAAAATTGCCCTCAAAATTATGGTAATAACAAAAAGAAGAAGGCATGCAGAAGAAACAGTTACAGGAAAAAAAACAATGTTTGACTTCTCTGCCTTTTGGCTAAGATAAAGTGAAAAAGATAATGTCAGATGTCTCACATAGTTGAAGAGAACTAAATACAAATGGAGTTGGTCATTAGGAAATTGCTTTTGATCATAGCAGCTTTAGCAGGATGTTGGAATACATTGGATTGCAAAGTTGGAGGAGTGAATTCATTGTGGTTGAAAAAGTGCAAATGACAAGATGCTTGGTGGTACAGAGAAGCAGAGAGAATGGTAATGGTAAAGGAGAGGTAGAATCCGTCAAAGGAATTTTTTAGTTTGGGAAACTTAAGAATAGTTATGCAGAGGGGGTCGATTAAGAATAGTAGGAGAAAGAACAATGACGAGTGAAAGCAGATTTTATGCTTACCACATCAGGACACGCCTCAGTTTGCTAAAAGAGTTGTTGAGCCTGCTATGAATCCATGCTGGTAGGCCATAGCTGCAAATTACCTAGTTAGTACTTAACTCTACTTTTATATTCCTAACAGGTTAAGGAATGATATTAGTGTTTTATCGTTCTCATGTATTTGTGATGTAATTATTTCTGGTGATTACGTTTATTTCAACAGGTGTTTCTTATGGACAAAGCAGTAGTGACGTTGAAGCCCTACATCAAGCTTATTGTCATATAGCCCATTCATTGGGAGATGAAGACAAACAAAAAATTGAGAGTAACACAGTGGAAGATATCAAGAGCTCAGTGAAAGGTCATCCTCAAGAAAATGAAGAGAATTCAAAAAACATCTCTACTATGGAATCTGGTAAAAACTTACAGATGAATTTTTCAATTATTTGATATCCTTTCTAAAGAGTTTTTAGTGTAATATAATTAAAATACAATTTGCTGTAGTGATTGTTTCTCAGTCTCTGAGCTTAATTAAAGAAATTTTTTCAGCCAGGCGAGGTGGCTGATGCCTGTAATCCCAGCACTTTGGGAGGCCGAGGTGGGTGGATCACGAGGTCAAGAGATTGAGACCATCCTGGGCAACATGGTGAAACCCCATCTCTACTAAAAATACAAAAATTAGCTGGGCATGGTGGCACACGCCTATAGTCCCAGCTACTCGGGAGCCTGAGGCAGGAGAATCACTTGAACACGGGAGACGAAGGTTGCAGTGAGCCAATATTGCGCCACTGCTCCTCCAGCCTGGCAACAGAGTGAGACTCTGCCTTAAAAAAAAAAAAAAAAGATTTTTTCAAATGAAATACAGGAACCCTTGGTTTAACTATAAAATTAGAGCCAAACACAAAACGAAATTTCACTTTCTTTTCTTTTCTTTTTTTTTTTTTGAGACGGAGTCTTGCTCTGTCGCCCAGGCTGGAGTGCAATGGCACGATCTCGGCTCACAGCAGCCTCCGCCACCCTGGTTCAAGCAATTCTCTTGCCTCAGCCTCCTGCATAGCTGGGATTACAGGTGCCTGCTGCCATGCCCAGCTAATTTTTGTCTTTTTAGTAGAGATGGGGTTTTGGCATGTTGGTCAGGCTGCTCTCGAACTCCTGACCTCAGGTGATCCACCTGCCTTGGCCTCCCAAAGTGCTGAGATTACAGGCATGAGCCACTGCGCCTGGCCCAGTTTCTTTTCTAATATGCCTTGATCAAATTAAGAAGTCATTTAAAGGGATATTTTTTACTCTTTTGTATGTACGTATATTAAAGTTGTATTTTGTTAGACAACAGTATTTCAGGATCAACCAAATATGTACTTAGCGTGTGTGTATGTATAGATATTTTTTGATAAATATATTTGATATTGATATTTGAGATATTTATTTGATATTTCATAAGAAAGGAAGTTTTCCTGGTATAAGGAAACTTAAGACGGAAAACTAGGTTTATTGCATGTACCGTTTTATTAACTGTGTCAGAGAAAATATAATTTTGGTGTTATTACACATGTAAATTAAGCAACCTACATAACATTTTTCGTTTCTACTTTTTTTTCCACCTCTTAGATCTGCCCACAGTAGAGGAGCTGATGAAACCTATCAGAATAGATTCCTTTGGGATCAGTGGTTTTGATTTACAACCTGTCAGGTATGAATTTTTTATTTATTGTTTTGTCATTGGAAACTTTTATAGTCATTTGTTCTATGTAATCATTCCTAGTGAATGATTAATGACTAATACTAGCTTGACTCTACCTGTGAGTCATAACTCTCTTCTTTTTATATTTGTCCTTACTCAAGTCATCAAAATTCTAGGGCTAAATGAAAAAATAAATAGATGCTATAAAAAAACTGGGGCCACTAAATAGTCCTAAAGGTTTTCACTGAAAAATACAGTCTCCTCAGCTTTAAATAGTGCCGGAACAGTTCATTCATGATGAGGGAGAAAGTGAATTTTATTATGTTTATGAGTCATAGATTTCCTTCTTTATAAACCAGTTAGTTTTGACTTAGTCACAGACTGGCTGTCATCTCACAGGGTGAGTTTGTAGCCACAAGAGAAATGGTCCTCATTAAAATGCTTCAGGTCCAATACAGTTTAGTGGAAGTATGTGTGACCCACTGTCATTCTTCAACACGGAGTAACATGTCACAGTAACCTTGTAATAGACAGCGTTGCTTTTATGTAGCACTGAAATGTCATGTCCAGTCTCCCACGTGATCCTCATAACAAGTAGAGAATGCATCTTTATGCCCATAATTCAAGAAATGCACCTGAGATTAACTCAATTTACTGGTAGATGATAACAGCTAACATTTTTCACATTTACTTTGGGCACATACTATACGTATATTATTTAATTTAACCTTACAGCATCTCCATGGGTTATACTCCATTATTATCCCTATTTCATAGACAAGAAGATTGAAGCCTAAGAGATTAAAATAAATAAAGCCATTGCCCAAGGTCATATAGTTGTAGACCAGGAACACAGGCCATCCATGTGCTTAACCACTTACATTGTCAGGTCTTTGATCTCCATAAAATACTTCTGTGAAATAGTCTGTCATCCATTCATGTTGTCATTTGTTCATTTGTGTCTTCAACAGACATGTTTTCAGCCTCCTTCCTATACTGTATCCTCATGATGTAAATCCACATGTGGTGATCTCCTGGCCTTGTTTCTACATTTGTGTGAGTTGAGAAAAAAATGATGCAGTGAACCTTCCACTAAAATTCATTCACTTCAATGCTAAGTGTAGTAGTCTTCCATTGATCTGTAGTGCTAATTAGTATTTTTAAAGGAGAGATGGTACCACTCATCATTGCTGTTTGGGAGTATGTTAGCGGTAACTACAGAGATTTTCTTACACATCTTATATCTTTGTTGTTATAGGTAAAACCATTTCAGTAATAGGAATTCTAAAACAGATTTTTACATTTGTGTTTAAAAGCTTAAAACAGATATTTTGAAGGTATAACAGTAATCATACGTAATAGAAATGTCAGTAATATGATCTTTAGTACACATACCTAAAAATTTTTTGGTAAACTATGGAGTAAATGACCCTAGCTGCTATAACATAATCCTTGAAATCTTAGTAGCTTGTCATCAAAAATGTATTTCTTGCTCACATCACTATCCCTTGTGGGTCAGTGGGGTTGGATTGGGGCTCTGCTCCACACAGTCATTTAGGAACCCAGGCTGCTTGTCATCAACACATAGTTTTAAGATTGTTATGACATCATCCAACCAGTCAGTAAGGAAAGAAAGAGAATGGTTTTGCGTCCTTTCTTTTAACTGCCTTAATACAGAAGTTTCATATCACTTCAGCTCACATTCCATTGGTAGGAACCAGCACATCTAGCTAACTAGGTCCAAGGAGGCTGTGAAATGTCGTTTGTTTCTGTGCCAAGAAAGAAAAATGAGTTTGGTCAGTATCTAGTCAGTCTCTGCCAGGATATACCTTTCTAATAACAAAATATCAATTTCACTCTTCTTCATACACAGACCAACTTATCCCCTTCCCCAAGCAGGCAGCCCCAAGTCCCATTCAGGGCTATATGCATCTGAAAGGCCAGGATTTCCAGGTGAAGTGCAGTCCTCTCCATCAGGTTTGAGTATGCTTCTCGTTGTGTACCAATGGTTGAATTAAAAAGACAGGGTTATAATTAAAAAGACAGGGTTATATACTTCCTCACCCCCATCCCAATATATAATGGTGGAACCAGTAGATACACCCTTTCAGCAAGGAAAAGTATGAGGAAAACACAGCAATCAATGTTACAACTTTGAGAACCACTGGAAAGAACTTGTAAAGGCCCCCTACCTTGGGAATAGGGGTTTATTTTCCTTGATTAGGTTATTATTCTATTAAGAAGGGGCTACCTTAAATCAGTTATTCTATATAGCCCCTCATTCCATTCCTTGGAGGATTTGTCTTGTATGTTATCACCATTGGCTACAACTGAAGTGAATTTTAGGTTGAGGGGTATGCCCATCTTGGGGGATACACTCCCTTCTCAATCCACTTCCTGCCCACAGGTAGCTTTAAGGTTCCCAGTCACTGACTTTTGGGTTTCTTTTTTTTTTTTCTTTTGAACAGGGTTATGGTTTTTTACATTATATTCTTTCAGAAAGTTTCGTAACTTAATAATCGCTTTGGTCCCAGTGAATTCCATGTGCCAATAATGAAACTTAGAGTTCTTTGCTACCCAGAATCTATAAGGAACTTAAGCAAATTTACAAGCAAAAAACAACCTCATTAAAAAGTAGGCTGGGCACGGTGGCTTACGCCTGTAATCCCAGCACTTTGGGAGGCTGAGGCAGGCGGATCATGAGGTCAAGAGATCGAGACCATCCTGGCCAACATAGTGAAACCTGGTCTCTACTAAAAATACCAAAATTAGCTGGGCGTGTGGCGCATGCCTGTAGTCCCAGTGTGTCTGGAATTGGTGGGTTCTTGGTCTCACTGACTTCTAGAATGAAGCCGCGGACGCTCGCGGTGAGTGTTACAGCTCTTAAGGTGGCGCGTCTGGAGTCTGTCCCTTCTGATGTTCAGATGTGTTCGGAGTTTCTTCCTTCTGGTGGGTTCGTGGTCTCGCTGGCTCAGGAGTGAAGCTGCAGACCTTCGCAGTGAGTGTTACAGCTCTTAAGGCAGCGCGTCTGGAGTTGTTCGTTCCCTCCCGGTGGGCTCGTGGTCTCGCTGGGCTCAGGAGTGAAGCTGCAGATCTTTGCAGTGAGTGTTACAGCTCATAAAAGCAGCGTGGACCCGAAGAGTGAGCAGTAGCAAGACTTATTGCAAAGAGCGAAAGAACAAAGCTTCCACAGTGTGGAAGGGGACCCGAGCAGGTTGCCAATGCTGGCTCGGGCAGCCTGCTTTTATTCTCTTATCTGGCCCCACCCACATCCTGCTGATTGGTAGAGCCAAGTGGCCTGTTTTGTCAGGGCGCTGATTGGTGCGTTTACAATCCCTGAGCTAGATACAAAGGTTCTCCACGTCCCCATCAGATTAGTTAGATACAGAGTTTCAACACACAGGTTCTCCAAGGCCCCACCAGAGCAGCTAGATACAGAGTGTCGATTGGTGCAGTCACAAACCTTGAGCTAAACACAGGGTGCTGACTGGTGTATTTACAATCCCTGAGCTAGATATAAAGACTCTCCACGTCCTCACCAGAGCAGCTAGATACAGAGTGTTGATTGGTGCAGTCACAAACCTTGAGCTAAACACAGGGTGCTGATTGGTATATTTACAATCCCTGGGCTAGATATAAAGACTCTCCACGTCCTCACCAGAGCAGCTAGATACAGAGTGTCGATTGGTACAGTCACAAACCTTGAGCTAAACACAGGGTGCTGATTGGTGTATTTACAATCCCTGAGCTAGATATAAAGACTCTCCACATCCCCACCAGACTCAGGAGCCCAGCTGGCTTCACCTAGTGGATCCCGCACCGGGGCTGCAGGTGGAGCTGCCTGCCAGTCCTGCGCCGTGTGCTCGCATTCCTCAGCCCTTGGGTGGTCGATGGGACTGGGCGCCGTGGAGCAGGGGGTGGTGCTCGTCGGGGAGGCTTGGGCCACACAGGAGCCCATGGAGTGGGTGGGAGGCTCAGGCATGGCGGGCTGCAGGTCCCGAGCCCTGCCCTGTGGGAAGGCAGCTAAGGCCCGGCGAGAAATCGAGCGCAGCGCCGGTGGGCCAGCACTGCTGGGGGACTCAGTACACCCTCTGCAGCCACTGGCCCGGGTGCTAAGTCCCCCATTGCCCAGGGCCAGCAGGGCTGGCTGGCTGCTCCGAGTGCGGGGCCCACCAACCCCATGCCCACCCGGAACTCCAGCTGGCCCGCAAGCGCCGCACGCAGCCCCGGTTCCCGCTCGTGCCTCTCCCTCCACACCTCCCTGCAAGCTGAGGGAGTGGGCTCTGGCCTTGGCCAGCCCAGAAAGGGGCTCCCACAGTGCAGTGGGGGGCTGAAGGGCTCCTCAAATACCACCAAAGTGGGAGCCCAGGCAGGGGAGGTGCCGAGAGCAAGCGAGGGCTCTGAGAACTGCCAGCATGCTGTCACCTCTCACCAGCTACTCGGGAGGCTGAGGCAGGAGAATCGCTTGAACCCAAGAGGCAGAGGTTTCAGTGAGCCGAGGTCACACCACTGCTCTCCAGCCTGGTGACAGAGCGAGACTCCATCTCAAAAAAAAAAAGTGGGCAAGGACATGAACAGACATTTTTCAAAAGAAGACGTGCAGCCAACAAGCATTTGAAAAAATGCTCAACATCACTAATCATTAGAGAAATACAAATTAAACCACAATGAGATGCCATCTCATGCCAGTCAGAATAGCTATTATTAAAAAGTAAAAAACAAAAAAAAATATGCTGGTTGCAGAGAAAAGGGAACATTTATACACTGCTGGTGGGAATGTAAATTAGTTCAGCCATTGTGGAAAGCAATTTGGCGACTTCTCAAAGAACTTAAAGCAGAATTACTATTCACCCGGCAATCTCATCATTGGATATATACCAAAAGGAATATAAATTGTTCTACCATAAAGACATATGCATGCATATGTTCATTGCAGCACTGTTCACAAGATCAAAGACATGGAATCAACCTAAATATGCCCATCAGTGGTAGACTGGATAAAGAAAGTGTGATACATGTACACCATGGAATACCATGCAGCCATAAAAACGAATGAGGTCACGTTCTTTGCACCAACATGGATGAAGCTAGAGGCCATTGTCCTAAGCAAACTAATGCAGGAACAGAAAACAAAATACTGTATGTTCTCACTTATCAGTGGGAGCTAAACATCAAGTACATATGGACAGAGAGATGAGAACAACAGACACTGGGGCCTACTTGAGAGGTTGGGAGGAGGGTGAAGATCGAAAAACTACCTATTGGGTACTATGCTTATTACCTGGGTGTGAAATAGTCTGAACACCAAATCCCCGTGAACAATACCCGTATCCCTGAACCTGGAATAAAAGTTTAAAAAAAAAAAGTTCTTTGCTAGACAAAGGTTTTAAATCTGCTTTAATATTTGATTCCTTGTCCCTCTAATTTTTTTCTCTGCGTTTATTTGCAGTTCTCTGGATATTTGGGGAAACAATACTTAAATGTGAAGATGACACTCTTTTTTTTTTTTTTTTTGAGACGGAGTCTCACTCTGGATGACACTCTTAATATGATCTTTGCTAAGGGACTGGGTCACTCTTTTCAACCAAGAAGTCTCTTGAAATCTTGCTTTTTCATAGCATTCTTCAAGGCTGAATCTTACAGACTGAGTCTACAGAGAGAGAACCCATTTCCAGAGTTTCTAGATTCCTTCTATTCTCTTTAAATTCTGCTTACAAACCAGCTCATTCTGTGTTGAGCTCATCAGTTTTTTGGTAATATCTTGTTAAAAGAAGCTAATAGTAGCCAGCACTTAACTCCTTGTTCTTTCCAGTCATTTCTCTTAGTTCTCCATGGTCGGCTGGCATGTGGTCTGCCTTATAAACTTTTGTAGATGACAGTTTAGCAATGTTTTGCCACTGTAAAACATAGGCTGCCGTCTCTCCAGACTCTAGTTATCAGTTTCCTGCCATCCTAAACTTGACAACTAAGCCAGTAACAAATAAGTTGGGTTCTTAGCATCATAGCACTCACATTCTAAAGGGAAAAACTAGTAAATGGTCCCATCTAGATGGAAGTTGGCAAGGAAATATAGTTTAGTTGGTACCCAGCAAGAATGAGAAACAATTTTGATTAGCATCTAGCCAGGTTCTGCTGCTATGAAGAAGGAAAGAACTATTATATTTCTGATGATTCCACCTACTAGCAGTTACCAAGAAGCCAATCTACATTATATGAAAATGGTAGCCTCTTAAACATTCTTTAATCTTATTTTATAAATTATAAAATTAAATGGCCTAATTGACACACGATTAAATATTTTAAGACTAACAGTTCCCATATTTTTGGAGACCCTGTAGTTTGCCAATATTTAACCGCATTTAAAACATTTCCTTACGTTGTATCTTCTAGGTATTTAATATCTAATTGAATTGTTACATTTAAGTGTTTTAAACCACAGAAATGATTTTCTTTTCAAAGCCTAGTGATTTTTCTGTTTTACATTAAAATTTTTCCTATACTGTGATTAAATATATGCTTTTTTAGTATTTATACTCTATGCCTCCTTAATACAAATTTATGATTATTTCTTTAGTTTCTTCTAGAAATGTTTAAAATGTTTTTCTTATTTCAAATGCATGTCGACTTTATAAGAAATTGTAGATAAAAGATATATTACAAAAAGTTCACTTAGAAATTTGTATTTTACTTTTCTTCTACAAAAGCAGTCTCAGTCTTGTTTGGTTTGGTCTTTCTCTAAAATAGATCTCAGCATCACCTTTATAATCCTTTGCATTATACTGCATTAAAATTATTATCCGAAATTAAAAGCAATTACACTATGTGAGTGTACTGTTAATCAAAATTATACTGTATTTAACATCATTAACTTAATTTGAATAGTTAACAATTCAAATATATAGTGTGTCTGCGTGTACACACACACGTGGTTATTACTGATATTTGAAAAGCTGTTACATAGGGTTCATTATCTGTGTCCTGTTTTGTTTTATAGCTCTGAGAAAGTGGCCGAAAGAAAAGAAACTGAATTTTTTAGCTCTTTACCCCTGAAGATGAACCCAAATATTTTGTCTCAAGACTCACAACATGTGAACCTTTTTTTTGACAAAAATGATGAGAATGTGATTTTACAAAAGACCACAAATGAGAGTATGGAAAACAGCTGTCCACAAGTAACTGAAGTAACTGCCACAGAAGAACATGTTGATAAAATGTACCTTAATATTTTGAGGAAAAAAATAACTGTTAATTCTTCATCATTATCTCAGGATGACAAAATTAATAAAGTAAGTATTTATCATCAAATTGATTTGAGAGATTGAGAACCGAAGTTATGTAAAGTATATAAGTACTATTGGTAGGTGTGTGCTTTTTAAACTAGTGGGATTGATTATATACTAACCTCCACAGTAGATCTTGGATATTTGTGAGTGATGTTTGTTACAATGCTAGCCAATCCCCAAATTCAAAAATACCACCATAACATTAGCTTGCTTTTAGAAGCCATTCTTTATACATTTTTTCCTTTTTTTGAATAAAATATAGTCCAGAATTTAAATAGTATAAGAAAAAGTTTATTCATCATTGTAGTATGCACTGTTCAGTCTTTCCAGTCATTTGTATTTTTTAAGTTGGCGTTTTATAGGAAAGCAGTTAACACCTGTGAAGAAATTTACATTTTACTGATTATTTTTCCTGTATTCTTGATCTCTTCTGCTTTATAGTTCCCATGATTCAGACATTCTACTTGTATTTTATAATTTTGAATTATGTATTTAAGTCATCTCCAGTTCTTTGTGGAATAAGGCAAGGTATTAATAAAAATTTTTAAAGCATCTTGAGAAGTTCAGATAACAAATAAGATTTTATGTCATTTCAAAATATGTTCTTTCTGCTGCATTCATTCAAGTAATTACACATCTTGGTTTCTGGCAAGCTAATTTTGCTTTATTATTTTGCTTTACTTTGTTTCAATGCTAACTTTGAAGGTCTGCTTCAAAATACTAAAATTCTGATGCATTAGACTTCAAGAACTTAACTATGGTAGTTTGCCTTTTACAAACTACATTATTTGATAATCACTATTGTTTTGCCATCTATTAAATATTCATTTACAACAATAGTTAAAGTTTATTTAGGTACTAAAGAGCTTTTGTTTGTTGTGTACAGACTTACAGATCTCAACTTAGTTCTGAAGAAGAAGGGGCTGTAATGGGTAAACAGGTACCATACAAGAAGGCCAGAAGTGCACCTCCTTTACTTAAAAGGAAACCCCAGAGTGGATTATATGCGTCAGTTAGGAGCTCAGGCTATGGCAAACCCAGTTCACCACTCAAGATGTTTTCTACTCTTGAAAAGAAAACTTCAGAGGACATTATAAAAAGCAAAAACTTGAGATCGATTTCTACCTCCAATCAACCTAGGAAAAAAGGTAATCATATACTCTTTATTTAGTATATTGTTTTACTTTCTTTGCTTCCATGGAAGAGAATTAAGGTACCACATTCCATTTGTAAGATTCAATTTGCAGGAGGCAACAGGGCTTGACCCAGGGTGGTGGCAGTGTAGGTGATGAAAAGTAGTTAGATAAGGACATATTAGAAGGTAGAACCAAAAATCTGAAGAATTGGTTTTGGGTTGCTAAGATTTTTGGCTTGAGCAACTGGAAGAATGGAGTTACACTCAGCTGGAATGGGGAAAGCTATGACTGAGTAGATTTGACAGTTGGGGGAAAACTGGGAGTTTAATTTTTGAAATGATAGTTTTGAGATGTCTATTCAACATGCAAGCAGAAGTGACAAGGAGGCAGTCAGATATAAAATTCTGGAGTCCAGGAGGGAAATATAGATTATAGATACCATTTGGGAGTTGTTGAAATCTGATTGAGAGTACCAAAAGAGTGAGCATAGATAGAAGGAAAGGAGCAAGCCAAGGCCTGAGACCCCTGATCATGCTAACCTGAAGAGATCAGGCAGAAGAGGAGGAACCTGCAAAGGAAACAGAGTGAGGTTGGAAGAATCCTGAGAGCATGTGGAATCCTGCAAGTCAACAAAGTATATTAAGAAGGACTGCTCTGTCATTTACTGCTGAGAGATTAAGATAGATGAGGACTGAGAACTGCTCTTTGGGTTTAGCAAGGAGGAGATGATCAATAAAGTGGACAAGCAGTTTCCATGGAGAGGTGGCTGTAAAAGGCAAATTAAATGGCAGTAAGCGAGAATAGGAGGAGTGGAATGGTGCTTCAAATTATAGACCATGCTGCAGATAGCTGCTGTAAAAGGCAGCAAAATAATGGGCCAGTAGCTGAGATGGAAGGTGAGACCAAGAACATTTTTGCTTTGCTTTGTTTTTATGAAATAAATGATTGTTTTGTTTGTATGACATTAAGAAAGATTTGATAGAAAGAAAAATAATTGACAATGTACGAGAGTGAGGGAAGAATTGCTTTAGCAATGTTTTTGAGTAGAGGAGCTGTAACGGGATCTGGTGCACAGTGGAAGAAGGGATCATGTGCACAGTAACATGGCTAGTTCCTGCATTCTAGGAACTGTGGAGGCAGATAGGAAGGGAGAGTATATGCTGGCAGGTGGTTAGATGTGGTGAGGAGAGAATGCTTTTTGTGATAGCTCCAGTTTTCTCTGAGAAATAGAAAGCAGTATCATTAGATGCGCATGAGGATTAGGCAAAGGTGTTTTGGAGGTTACAAGAGAAAAGAGAAGATACGAAGTAGCCATCTAGGAGAGTTAGACTGTCAGGAGCCAAGGCAGTCTAATTAAAGTTAGTGATCATGAATTTAAACTTAAATAACAATTAAGTTGTTGTTTAACAAGTTAAATAACCAACTTGTTTAACCAACTGTTTAACCAAGTGTACTTAGTAAAACAGTTGGGTTTACCAAGAAATACATTTTTGCCAAGTGAAGCTGATGATGTGTGTAAAAGTGATTAAAATGGTTGACCATGGAATTTAAGCTGAGCAATGAAGGAAGAAAGGGCATCAATGGAGTGTGACACAATGTGCAACAGGTACGATCCATTGACTGTGAGTCCTAGTGAGGTCAAAGGATTATTGGAATCTGGGTACCAGAGGGTGTGAGGTGGCAAAACAAAGATGATAGTCATAGTAGGTGATTAGATGAGGGAATGAGACTGGGGAGTGATTGCATTACTTATAATAGTCTAGGAAAGACCTAAACTATGCCAATGGGAATGAGTATCTGAGATGGAAAGGAGTTCAAGGAACCAAAAGCCAGGGAGTTGAAAGGATCACCTGTGAGTATGCTGAAATGACCAAGAATGAAGACAGAGGTAATGTCACAGTGAGTGAAAAAGAAATGAGAGGAATGATGAGGAGGTTGCTAGATGAAGACTAATATTTTTATGAGTAAAGTGAAATAATATTCTTAAACTCATTTTTCATATTTTAAAATTGTATAGCATTTGTGACATCCAAAATAAAAAAAAACACATTATTAAAATTTATAGTAAAGTATAATGATGGACCATAAATGTTTTTAAACTGAACTACTTTTTCTCATTAGACTGAATATTAAGTATGATATTTTTAATCTCTGTTTTTTATTGAAGAATTGCCCAGAGAAGTTTTAGTTTTATTCAGAGGAACTATAATTCCTTTGGGATAGTGGTTACTTGTCAAAGGTTGAGTTCTCCAAGAAGCAGAGTTTGAGATGAGATTAGTGTTCAGAAAATATACAGAATGCAGTTAAAATTAAAATCAACATTGGTTAGGATGAAGAAAAAGCCCAACTACCGGAACTTAACCAAATTAAAGGCATCTTTTCTTTTATGTAACAAAGAGTCCAGAGATAGGCAGTTCATGGCTGGAAAGCTGTGCAAGGAACCAGATCCCTTTGTCTTTCCTGATGCAAAATCCCTAGTATGTGACTTTTGTCTTAACTGTCACAATGGCTACTCTGCCTCCGGACCCTGTCCATGAGGTAGGGTGAAAGGTAAAAGGTAGATGCCAGCCAAACCATCAACCCAGGAAAGTTTTTGCATCCATCTTAATGACCTTTGATCTTGTGGCCGTAAGTTGAATGGAGTTCAGGGGGTTGAGTACGTTTATGTACGTTGCTGCTCAGGACAGAATTAGATATTTATTAATAGGAAGGAAGAGAAGGTTGGCAGTTAGCAGTACCAACCATGTTGTTGTTTTCCTTTTTAGTTTTGATTAATTTTCTTTGGCTCTAACTTGTGTTTTTATTTTTAGACTAAGTATTTTTTTTGCCATGAAAGGACAAAAATACTTATTATTGTCTTCTCTTATTAAGAATTAAAAATTCTTAATATATGCTTATTATTTAAAATTCAAAATTACAGAAAAGTGAAAGAATGCTTGCAATGATTTAGCCAGAAACAACTGTTGTTATGCTGGGTGAGCAGATTCCATGCATCTCACTATGTATATACTTATATAATAGAAGGAAATGTGAATGAATGGACGGAAGTAGAGAGGCAGATGTGGATAAATGGACAAAATATTTTATAAGAATGAGATTACACTTTACAGGTTCTTTTAAAATAGGATATTAGATCTAGGTTTACTTATATCTATAAGAAGAAAAAGAAATTTCTTCCTAAGAAATTGTATATCTGAAAATACAAGGAAAAGATTATGAAAAATCTTTAAGGAAAGAGATTATGAAAAACACTCAAAGATTGCCATAACTGTAGTGTTGTTTCTTAACTTTTTTAATTTTAGACATTACCAATCGATTCCTTCCCTTCCGTGAAATATAAAGCATATTATATCCCCAACTTACATGCCTCCTATTCATTTTTATTTTATTTTTTAAGATACATTTAATATATTCTCTCCTACAACCTTAATTTCTCTCAGCTTTTGGATTTAATTCTTGGTTCTGATTATTAAAGAGACTGAATGCTCTTCACTTGTCTCTTAGCCATAGTTTCTCTATTGTAGAATTATTTTGATTGGTTTCTTTTTGACTGAATTTTCTTATGCATTGCTATTTCAAGAAGGTTTCGTGGGTTCCAAATACTGCAGTGTTTCATGTTTAAATTTCATATTCAAGCAAATTTTTTTCATGTGTAAAAGGATAAAGTACTGCTCATGTGCCATTATTTAAAGTAATTACTTGACAATTTTGACTTTTGTTGCCATTGCTTTTGGTGTTTTAGACATGAAGTCCTTGCCCATGCCTATGTCCTGAATGGTATTGCCTAGGTTTTCTTCTAGGGTTTTTATGGTTTTACGTCTGACGTTTAAGTCTTTAATCCATCTTGAATTAATTTTTGTATAAGGTGTAAGGAAGGGATCCAGTTTCAGCTTTCTACATATGGCTAGCCAGTTTTCCCAGCACCATTTATTAAATAGGGAATCCTTTCCTCATTTCTTGTTTTTGTCAGGTTTGTCAAAGATCAGATGGTTGTAAATGTGTGGTATTATTTCTGAGGTTCTATTCTGTTCCATTGGTCTCTATCTCTGTTTTTTACCAGTACCATGCTGTTTTGGTTACTGTAGCCTTGTAGTATAGTTTGAAGTCAGGTAGCATGATGCCTCCAGGTTGGTTCTTTTTGCTTAGGATTGTCTTGGCTATATGGGCTCTTTTTTGGTTTTTTGGTTCCATATGAACTTTAAAGTAGTTTTTTCCAATTCTGTGAAGAAAGTCATTGGTAGCTTGATGGGGATGGCACTGAATCTATAAATTACCTTGGGCAGTATGGCCATTTTCACGATATTGATTCTTCCTATCCATGAGCATGGAATGTTCTTCCATTTGTTTGTGTCCTCTTTTATTTCGTTGAGCAGTGTTTTGTAGTTCTCCTTGAAGAGGTCCTTCACATCCCCTGTAAGTTGGATTCCTAGGTATTTTATTCTCTTTGAAGCAATTGTGAATGGGAGTTCACTCATGATTTGGCTCTCTGTTTGTCTGTTATTGGTGTATAAGAATGCTTGTGATTTTTGCACATTGATTTTGTATCCTGAGACTTTGCTGAAGTTGCTTATCAGCTTAAGGAGATTTTGGGCTGAGACAATGGGGTATTCTAAATACACAATCATGTCATCTGCAAACAGGAACAATTTGACTTCCTCTTTTCCTAATTGAATACCCTTTATTTCTTTCTCCTGCCTGATTGCCCTGGCCAGAACTTCCAACACTATGTTGAATAGGAGTGGTGAGAGAGGGCATCCCTGTCTTGTGCCAGTTTTCAAAGGGAATGCTTCTAGTTTTTGCCCATTCAGTATGATATTGGCTGTGTGTTTGTCATAAATAGCTCTTATTATTTTGAGATACGTCCCATCAATACCTAATTTATTGAGAGTTTTTAGCATGAAGGGCTGTTGAATTTTGTCAAAGGCCTTTTCTACATCTATTGAGATAATCATGTGGTTTTTGTCTTTGGTTCTGTTTATATGCTGGATTGCGTTTATTGATTTGCGTACGTTGAACCCTCCTTGCATCCCAGGGATGAAGCCCACCTGATCATGGTGGATAAGCTTTTTGATGTGCTGCTGGATTCGGTTTGCCAGTATTTCATTGAGGATTTTTGCATCAATGTTCATCAGGGGCATTGGTCTAAAATTCTCTTTTTTTGTTGTGTCTCTGCCAGGCTTTAGTATCAGGATGATGCTGACCTCATAAAATGAGTTAGGGAAGATTCCCTCTTTTTCTATTGATTGGAATAGTTTCAGAAGGAATGGTACCAGCTCCTTCTTGTACCTCTGGTAGAATTTGGCTGTGAATCCGTCTGGTCCTGTACTTTTTTTTGGTTGGTAGGCTATTAATTATTGCCTCATTTTCAGAGCCTGTTAGTGGTCTATTCAGGGATTCAAGTTCTTCCTGGTTTAGTCTTGGGATGGTGTATGTGTCCAGGAATTTATCCATTTCTTCTAGATTTTCTAGTTTATTTGCAGAAATGTGTTTATAATATTCTCTGATGGTAGTTTGTATTTCTGTGGGATATCTAATTAAAGAGCTTCTGCACAGCAAAAGAAACTACCATTAGAGTGAACAGGCAACCTACACAATGGGAGAAAATTTTTGCAATCTACTCATCTGACAAAGGGCTAATATCCAGAATCTACAAAGAACTCAAATTTACAAGAAAAAAAACAACCCCATCAAAAAGTGGGTGAAGGATATGAAAAGGATATGAACAGACACTTCTCAAAAGAAGACATTTATGCAGCCAACAGACACATGAAAAAATGCTTATCATCACTGGCCATCAGAGAAATGCAAATCAAAACCACAGTGAGATACCATCTCACACCAGTTAGAATGGCGATCATTAAAAAGTCAGGAAACAACAGGTGCTGGAGAGGATGTGGAGAAATAGGAACACTTTTACACTGTTGGTAGGAGTGTAAACTAGTTCAACAATTGTGGAAGACAGTGTGGCGATTCCTCAAGGATCTAGAACTAGAAATACCTTTTGAACCAGCCATCCCATTACTGGGTATATACCCAAAGGATTATAAATCATTCTACTATAAAGACAGATGCACATGTATGTTTATTGCGGCACTATTCACAATAGCAAAAACTTGGAACCAACCCAGATGTCCATCAATGATAGACTGGATTAAGAAAATGTGGCACATATACACCATGGAATACTATGCAGCCATAAAAAAGGATGAGTTCATGTCCTTTGTAGGGACATGGATGCAGCTGGAAACCATCATTCTCAGCAAACTATCGCAAGGACAAAAAACCAAACACTGCATGTTCTCACTCATAGGTGGGAATTGAACAATGAGAACACTTGGACACAGGAAGGGGAACAGCACATACCAGGGCCTGTCGTGGGGTTGGGGGGAGCGGGGAGGTATAGCATTAGGAGATATACCTAATTTAAATGATGAGTTAATGGGTGCAGCACACCAACATGGAACATGTATACATATGTAACAAACCTGCACGTTGTGCACATGTACCCTAGAACTTAAATAAAAAATTTAAAAAAGAAAAGGAGATAAGGTTTGCAAAGTGGCTAGCTTGGCATCTTGCACATACAGGTATTAAGCAAAGGTTACCCCTTACTACATCCCCTAGGGATGTTCCTCAAAATTGTATTAATCAAAGCATACTTTAAAAGTTTGCAAAGATGCTCAATGGTTGAATAAATTTATTGAAAAAATTTAAATTATTACCAAAAAAGTAAACATATGCAAATTTAAATAAAATGGTTAATGAATCCCATTTATCCCTCACCCAGCTTCAAAATTATGAACTCCTATTCAATCTTGTTTCATCTTCATTTCCAGCTACTCTCTTTTTATTTTGAAGCTAACCCAGACATTAGATTATTTCAACTGCAAATATGTCCGTATGCATCTTTAAAGATAAGGACTTAAAAAAAAACACCATACCATTATCTTACCTTAAAAACGTAACAATTTTTTAACATTATTAAATATCCAGTCAAGTTTAAATAGCCAAATATCTCATAAATGTCATAACTTTTTACAGTTTATTTGATTCAGGATCCAAATATATTTAAAAATGTAATAAAAAGTTTGGCAGTAGCCAAAATCTAGACTGCTACAAATTCTAAGTCTCACATACTGACTTTTCCTAGAGTGCAGAAATAATATTATATCATAATAAAATAATGCTCCCTTATTTGGACAGCATTATTAAGTGCCTTTACTTTGTTAATTCAATACAATTATTTTCCTAATCTCAACTTGGCCACTAAATAACGGTGTGTCCTTGGGCTATTCACTCAACTTGTCCAAGTCACAGTTTTCATACTTTTAAAAAGAGTGTTGAACTAATATTGATTATTCAGGCCAGGCACAGTGACTCACACCTGTAATCCCAGCAATCTGGGAGGCTAAGGTGGGCAGGTCACTTGAGGTAAAGAGTTCGAGACCAGCCTGGCCAACATGGTAAAACTCTGTCTCTACTAAAAATACAAAAAATTTGCTGGACATGGTGGCAGACGCTTGTAATCCCAGCTACTTGGGAGGCTGAGGCAGGAGAATTGCTTGAGTCTGGGAGGCGGAGGTTGCAGTGAGCCGAGATCGCACCATGGCAGTCCAGCCTAGGCAACAAAGCAAGATGCTGTCTCAAAATAAATAAATAAAGATTATTCAGCATGCTTTTATTGTGAACCTCTGGGTGGGAGGCAGGACAGCACAGTGTTGAGAGGAAACATCCAGCAGATCTGGCCTGGAGCCCTGCCACATACAGGCCACGTGAGCTGGGATTAGTTCCTTAATCTCTCTTTGTCTCAGTTTCCAAGTCTCTGAAATGCAAATGAAAGAAAACCAAACCCAGAAAGTTTTTCCTGTATGCATATAGTGGTGGGGTACAGGGAAGGGTGGATAAAATGAGAAAATATGAGTACAGTGATTGTCACTTAGGAATCCTTCAATAAATAGTCAATGTAGTTAGCCTATCAACTAGGGAAGGGGATGAGGAGATGAGGCTGGAGGATGGGCGGAGGTGAGAACTGTCTTGTCCACTGTGGCAGCCACTGGCCACACATGGCCATTTAGCATTTGAAATGTAGCTAGTCTGAATTGAGATGTCTTGTAAATAAATTACCTTTTGTACTTCTAAGATGTAGTATGAACAAACAACATAAAATATCCCCATTTTTAATGATTCATTTATGTCAAAATCTTAATATGTTGGATATATTGTGTTAAATAAATATTATTAAAATTTTTAAAAAATACACTCCAGCCTGGGAAACAGAGCGAGACTCTGTCTCAAAAAAAAAAATTAAAATAAATATAATTACTTGATACTTTAGTCCACTGAGAAGTCAAAATTAAGAATTCAAGAAGGGAGAACTCTGGCATAAAAGGACTGGCAGACTACAACTATGAACAAGAACATGTGATAGGTTGAGTATTATGTATCCAAAAAGCCTGGGACCAGAAGTGTTTCAAATTTCAGATTTCATTGGATTTTGGAGTATTTGCATTATATTTACCAGTTTAGCATCTCCAATCCAAAAATCCAAAATCCTAAACGTTCCTGTAAGCATTTTTCTATGAGCGTCATGTTGACCCTCAAAAAATTTCAGATTTTAGAGCAGTTTGGATTTTGGATTTTCTGATCCGGGACGTTCCACCTGTACTAGCTGCCTTGTCCTAAGGAGAATCATGTGCTAGCAGATCACACCCCATTCATTTAATGAGCCTCCAGTGATTTGGAAGTTTTGAAAGCCTGCTCTTACAATGACTTAAAACAGTCTCTTCATGAACACTTTTAGAAATTTCTCCAGAAAACTTACATCGGTCTAATTAAATATGATCATAACTCTATAAGGAAAACCTTCACATACCTGGAAAAATAATTGAAATGAAATCTTTTGGTGAGGGACTGTTGGTAATTTGTTTTTTCTTTTGACTGCTCTATATTTTCCAAATATTTAATAATCATGTATAACATTCATTTGTAATTAAAAAGTAAACTCTACATTTAAAAAGCATCTTGAATAAATTTTTAAAAATTAAAATTTTGAAATTCTTAATTTATCTCTAAAGCAATCAGATATTGTTTATTGAACTCAGGACCTGTAGTATTTGAATATGGACCTTAGGATCCTTTTTAGGTACTGTTCTTAAACATTGTTTATTACTAACTGAATACTATATTAGCCTTAGAATGATTTCTTGTTTAAGAATTTACAGGTTACCTTAAAAGCTGAAAATTGGAACAGAATATATATTAATCACTTTTTTTATAATTTAATATATATTGCCAAGTTTTTATAGCAGAGTTAATCTTTTAAAATCTGATTTAGATTAACAATTATAAAATCCTCCGTGCAATTTATATTATTCCATTGATACTATAATATCATGATATACATTGTTTATAAAAAATGTGCTCTGAAAGCACACTTAGTCCGCACCAAAATGTTTCATAATGTTATCAGCTGCTCCTTGATTTGTCATTTAGAAATTTTGATTGATTATTGCTATGAACATTTAACAGAAGAATTTATTTAAAACTAATAAACTCTGAAAGTTATTTCTATCCACATTCTCACATTTATTTAGCTCCATTTGTCAATTGACATGAGTCTTGGGTTAATTGGCCATCTGTGTCAAATTTAGTAGAATGTTGATTATGGAGTGGCAATCTTTCTGAATGCAATCAGTTATAGTGAAACAGCTGTGTTATAGTGTAGTCCATCAGCCTATTCTGAGATCCTCATTTTTGTGTTTCCATTGTATTTTTAGTTATTGGACACAATTGATGAGTATACATTTAACTTTACATTTGTGGTGCATTTATACATTGTTTATAATATTTAGAAATCTTATCTGGAACAAAACTCATCAAGCCTGCAGCTTTGGATAAACCAGCTCACAAAACTGAAAGTTGCCTGTCTACTCGTAAGAAGTCTGAAAATCCCACAGAAACTGATTCCTGTATTCAGTTTCAGACTGTAGGTATTCAAAATTAATAATCATAATGTTTTATGTTCTAAAATTATATTAAAACTAAATTATATATAACAAAATATAATAAGGACTGAAATGTCTTTTCCTTTGAGTGATACTGTAATCACTCTTACTAAACAGTTAATTTTCTTATATAATAGAACATTATTAACCATGTCCTTTTTATTCTTTTTTTAATTAACCACCTGTGTTCAAATCTTATACATAAGTCTACTGTAATGAAGTAATGCTTTGTCTTGAAAGGATTCCTTAGGATACTGTGGTGAGAACAAGGAGAAGAAATTACTTATGTTTAAAAGAGTTCAGGAAGCAGAGGATAAATGGAGGGGTGCGCAAGCCCTAATTGAGCAAATTAAAGCCACATTCTCAGAAAAGGAGAAAGAACTAGAAAATAAGTTGGAAGAACTAAAGAAACAACAGGAAAAAGAACTCTTCAAATTGAATCAAGATAATTATATTCTTCAAGCCAAGGTACTAGATACATTGTTCTGGTATTTTTTTATATTTATTAAAAAAAAAAAAAGCTGAATTCCCTGCTAAATACATTGTCATCCTTGGTTCCTAGAGATGTTTGACTTGATGTATTTGCTGTATAAAATATAGAATGGTTCCAAGAGTGATTCCGTACATGAGAGCCTAAATTTTGAACCCTTGGGGGAGAAAATTAAATTTAAATTGGCTCATTTTTATGGTTTTCTTCTGTTAGCAGTCCTTTTTAAAGAAAATCAGTTCATTCTGACCTTCAAAGAAATGAAAGTTTGAGCAAGAACTGCTATAGAAGGTATAGACCCAGAGGATGACATTGTGTAGCATTTGTGAGTTCCTTTACTCACCCAGCACCATCAGCACAAAACAGCACTTTGCTGATTTAACTAGTTATGTCACATTCTAATATGTTCAATATTATAAGACAGTTTTCGATCTAAATAGGAGTTTCCTGTTATTCTTTCTCACTTCTCACCTTATCATTTCCTTCCCCAAATAAAACAATTTCTGCAATTTCTCCAAGTTAAGCAGCTTTGAAGAAACAAACAAAAAACAAAGGTGGTTACATTTTGGAGAAGCAGCTGATCCTGTCACTGGAGAAAAGTTGAAGCAAATCCAAAAAGAAATACAAGAACAAGAGACACTTCTTCAAGGATATCAACAGGTATGGCAATTCTTCAACATATGGCAAATTTACTCTTGATCTTTTAGTTATAAAAATAAGGCAGGCCAGGCACAGTGGCTTATGCCTGTAATCCCAGCACTTTGGGAGGATGAGGTGGGCGGATCACCTGAGGTCAGGAGTTCGAGACCAGCCTGGCCAACATGGTGAAACACCATCTCTACTAAAAATAAAAAAAATTGGCTGGGCATGGTGGCGCACACCTGTCATCCCAGCTACTTGGGAGGTTGAGGCAAGAGAATCGCTTGAACCTAGGAGGCAGAGATTGCAGTGAGCTGAGATCACATCACTGCACTCCAGCCTAGGCAACAGAGTGAGACTCTGTCTCAAAAAAAAAAAAAAAGGTATATTAAAATACTTCTCTGCTTATTTAACAGATAATGGTAATCCTGGCAAATAGGAGATAATAATTTGACTAGTCTGTGTATTTCTCATGAGGAGAATTAAATGGTAAAAGCATGGGTTCTGGATTAGAAAAATGTGGTTTTGAGTCTTAGCTCTACCACCTGCTGTGTGCCTTGGGCATCACTTAATCTTTCTAATCCAGTTTCTTCATCTGTGAAGTGGGGATAATAATATATAGGATCCCTAACTTCCACTGGTTTGACTTAACAAAGTTTTAATTTATGATGGGCTTATCAGGATGTAACTTCATCGTAAGTTTTACTTACTATTTTTTGACTTTACATTGGGTTTATCAGGGTATTAAGTGCATTTTCAACTTAGGACATTTTTTACTTACTTTTTGGCCTTATTGGGATATAGCTATTTGCGGGGCAAGCAAGTTGAGGAGCATCTGTACACTCTTAGTGTGACACACAGCAATCGATCAATGAAAGTTACCTGTTATTTTTAATAGCCAGTTTCTTAAAAACTGTCCTATCTTTTCTTAGTTTCCTGTAATGCTCTTCAGTAGACAGTATTGGCTGGTTTTGCTATTATATTCAGAAATATGAATCTGAAATTAATTGCTAATGCCCTGAGGGTGAAAAAATTTTGAATTTAATGCAAGAAAATCTTTGGGTCCTATAGAGGCAGATGTTTGCAATGTGTAATGACATCTTGGTATCTTGGTGTTGCTAGCCTGACAGTCAACCAGGACAGGTTTAGTTATCTTCAAATCAACATAAGACTTTATCTTTGTTCTGTGCCTCCCACACCCTTTTTTCTTACTTCTCTCCTTTCTTGTCTCTCATTACATTCTTCTCTTTTGACAACTGTAACTTGAACCTTGAGCCTTAGTAACATGCATTATCACCCAGGGACATCATCAAAAGCATTGCCCCATCAATGATTACAATGTTTGCTGTAACTGAATTGGAATGATTTTGCAGGACACACTGCCTTCAGTTACTGGGAACCATTCAAATTCTTCTGCCAGTTTGATCTTGCCATTAAAAAACAGAGGTTTTTAAGAAAATTTAACAGACCCATAAGTATGCCGACCAACCCCTCCAACAGAGACAACACAAAATTTATGTGTCTAAATAGTAGGGGGAAATGTTTGTTAATTCTTCATGTATTTAAGCACAGACTGTCGCCAGGCACTATTCCAGACATGGTAAAACAGTCTATAGTTTGCATTAGATACTCAAAGCCCTTGGTTTGCATCTGATTTTTAATTTTAAACAGGTTCATAAGCCAGGGAGGGCATCTAAGTGCAGATTGGCACCATCTCTTCTCCCTCTGATCTCAACTGGTTGAGTCACTCTTTAGCTCTTTAGCTCAAGCCTTGTGGTGAACTGGGTCTGTCCTCTGCTCTGCCTTGTCCTGACAACTTTCAGAAACACCGGTCTTTAACTCCCTGTTTACAGTCAGTAGCAGATACAAGTATGAGCACCCGTAGGTACATCTGATTACCTCACCACTGGCAGCCAGACTTCCAGAATCTTCCTCCAGCAGTGATTTTTTTTTTCCCCTCTCTTGAGCCAGAAACAGAAAAGAATGTAAAGGGTCTCACTGGGTCTTTCCACCCGGGTCCACACAGTCAGGATGTGGTGATTCCTTCAGCCACTCTCCCACTTACCTCCTGTGAAATGCAGTGCATTAAACTGACCTTAGGCCCTTTGGCTTTGGGAATTTTGCAAATTATTTTTTCAATTAGCCATTTTAAATGTTATGGAAAGAACTGTTTTTAGACACCAAATTTTCTTCAGATATAATATAAAAAGTTTAAAAAAGACTTTACATACGCAAAAGCTAAAGAAACTTAAAAGGCCGTTTAAAGGATTAATCTATTATGAGCACATATATTATGTTATATAAGTACTAATGACTTTTAACTAAAATGCAGTTTTCTGTTTTTAAAAAGGAAAATGAACGATTATATAATCAAGTAAAAGATCTCCAAGAACAAAACAAGAAAAATGAGGAGCGAATGTTTAAGGAAAACCAAAGTTTATTCAGTGAGGTAGCTTCCTTAAAGTAAGTCCTTTTGAACTTCTTAAAATCAAATATACTTAGACTATTTCAAGCATTTTCTTATTATGTTAATAATACATTTATTTTTACTTAGACATAGTAAAATTTTATTTTTATTTGTACACATTTCCAATTTTATGTTTAATACTCAGTGGATTTTTCTTTTGGTGTTAGATGGCCAGCACATACTTGATAGTATTTTCAGCATATTCATATTTGAATTCATATGAATTTATGTTCATAACTGATTCAAACATCAGTTTCAGGAAATTGAATATATAGTATTCCTCTTGATCAGTCATTAAGAATGAGATAATTAACCATTTCCCAAGGAACCATTTGATTAATAATACTAAAAAAGAATGGTCATACAGTATCACTTATGATCTTCTTGGGTCAGGTTCCATAGAAGCAGAGCCTGAGATGGTGGAGGTCCTTGTGGAGATGATATACTGAAGGATAACTCCCAGGAGAAGGGAGCAAGGGAAGCAGGAACGGTGAGGTAGGGGGAGGGCAAATAGTGGTCTCAGCTGGAGACTGGCTTCATTCTCCTCCCAAGAAGCTCTGGAGAATAAATTGTACCAGAGTTGGTCCCTGCTTGAGGCAAGGGGGCAGCCTTAGTCACTGGCCGGAGTGTACTGTGGAAAGGAGTAGGGGCTGCCCTTTATGCCGGGTCAGGGGCTGCGGTTTAAAGGAGCACCTGTAAGTTGTTTTCAGCCAGCATTTATCATGGCAGGGTTATGGAGCACCAGCACCTACTTAGGAATCATATTTCAGACTATAAGGTCTTTTGGACGTTACTGCTTCCAACTTTAACATATTAAGTGAAAAAGCTGGGCCCGTGAACATGGACAAGCTAGCATACTATCTTCTTTTAGAAAATGACCACTATTTGTGTATCTTTTTATGTAAACACCTAATCACTCAGAAAGGACTGTTCTCAGAAGTTTCTGACCCATGAGTATCATGAATGTTTACTGAATTTATTTATATACTTCTCCCCCTTTTTGGTTATATAACCTAGGGCCTAAGAGGCAGGGCTGCTAATAATAGCTCATACTGATCTGTCAGGCAAAATAGAAAAAGACACACTTGGTAGCAGACTATATATATATATCCTCTTTCTCCTTGTAAGTTGGTAAGTGTAACCCCAGGCCATGTGTGATAATCTGCACAGTGGTAATGCATGAATGCATTTACTTACGCTTTTTTTTTTTTTTTTTTTTTTTTTTTTTGAGACGGAGTCTCGCTCTGTCACCCAGGCTGGAGTGCAATGGCGTAATCTCGGCTCACTGCAAGCTCTGCCTCCCAGGTTCATGCCATTCTCCTGCCTCAGCCTCCCGAGTATCTGGGACTACAGGCACCCGCCACCATGCCCGGCTAATTTTTTGTATTTTTTAGTAGAGACAGAGTTTCACCATGTTAGCCAGGATGGTCTCTATCTCCTGACCTCGTGATCCACCTGCCTCGGCCTCCCAACGTGCTGGGATTACAGGCGTGAGCCACCGTGCCTGGCCTACTTATGCTTTTTTTCCCAGATGTTTCAGTAAAGTTATTTTAAAATATCTTATCTTGTACTACTTGGCTTCTAAAAGAAGATCTATCCCAGGATCCAAAATTGAAGCTGTAAATTAACTTTCAGAATGAAATAAATGGTTTCTTTAGTACATTAGGGTTAGATGATCTTATGTGGAATCCAAAACTCCTTCTATAATATCTCTGGAATAACAGGAAAATTGAATCTAAAGTCCAGATATTAGGCTGTGTTTGGTTTTGTTTGTTAGTTTCCATGTATGAGACTGGCGACTCTCAGAAAAGATTCTAGAACAATATGACAAGGACTGCATTAACAACCCCACAGAAAAATGCAGCGCATCTTTGTAGACGATTAATTTTTTTCCTCTGAGAATTGGGAATTAATATTTTTATATTATAAATAAACCAATAATCTTAGGTTTCAGTTCTTTTAGAATAGATATAAGCATTTCCCTTAAAGTATATTTCTCTTTTAGTATGGTAGTATTTTAATCTTTAGATTAAATGAAAATTTTACCTTCATTTATGCATACAGTTTCAATGTATGTTAGTTTTTAATTTTTAAGAATTGAATATTTTCTACTGAAAGGAGCACCTGGTAAGAAAGAAAAACAACTTTTTATTTTCAAAATAAATTAGAGAACAGATGCACAAAAGTCGTTTTCTGTCTCAAGTAGTTGAAGATTCAGAGCCCACAAGAAATCAGAATTTTACAGATCTGTTAGCAGAACTACGGATGGCACAGGTAAGTTGCATAACGATTTTGACTATTAGGGATAATAAAGGTTTTATAAAAATCCCCATTTTTATACAAATTTTTATTAAAAAATTACATAGAAATGTATTAAAAAATCTATAAATTTCATACCATTTAAAACTTAGGGAGAAATATCTTAAATTAGCATATAGTATGCACATGACCTTAGTATAGAGGAAACATTATATTACTGTTTTTAGATGTCATTGTCTTTATGATTCAGCCTCTCATCAGGCATTTGTCACATCTCATCAGGTGCATTTATCATAGAGCCATATCAGAGGCATGATTTTATTTAGGACATGTATACCTTATTTCAAACAAATTCCTTATTTGAAAGCGTGCAGCCTAAATAGTGTAATTTGGAGATAATTATTTACCTTTAAAAGTTAGTAGCTTTCTACCTGTCTTCCGAAGTAGACTGCACTTCTAGAGAGCAGAGACTGTATCTTACAAGTATTTATATTCCACATACCTAACATAAAGTTGAAATGCAATGCTGTTCCATAACTTTTTTATGTTTATTAAATTGTATTATAAAGAATATGGCCTAGAGTTTTCTAAAGCAGTATTTATCAATAGAAGGAGTTTGGGAATTTAAGGCAGGGTAGTTCTATTTTAAGCAGAAGTAATTCATGCACTGCATGATTTTTATCATCCCTGTCCCTAAGAACTATGTGCTTATAGCACCCACCAGTCATTTTAACAATTAAAACCACTCTGCCACATTTCCAAACACGGCCTGTGGAGTACAGTTACTTCCTCCCACCCCTCCCTTTGAGAATGATAGTACTAAACTAAAAAGCCCTTCCAATCTATTTCAATTATTATGTAAATTAGAAAAATTCCAGTTATTTTTTAATAGTAATTTACCACACAGAGTTAGGTTACAAAGAAATAGAAACATACCATAGTTAATAAAGGTAACAGGGTTTTGTAGTATATAAAATACAGCTTTACATATGAATCCATTATAGGAAACTTCCTTTGGTTGCATGTGTATGTAGGAAGGCAGATAGGTAGAAAGGTAAATGAATTATTGGACGACCCCTCCTTTTCAGTGGGCCTCAAAAATAGCAAGCTAAAGCAGAAATTAATATTACCATATTTTATGAAGGCTTGGGGGAACAAAGTAAGGTTTCAAGCATAGCATTAGCATTAGTTCCAAAGGCTGTTGTTTTTACCTTTTAAAAGTCCTGTTTTGAACATATTTTAATGGCAGAAAATTTGAAAACTCCCACTAACAACACCAAAAGATACTGGGAAAAAAAATATAATAAATATCTTGTAAATGGATAACCATGCTCTCAAGAAAGTAAGGGAAATCTTTAGAAGCCAAAAGTAAGGATGGATAAAAAGATAGCAGTAAGTTTAGTAACCAAGAGGCCTGAGCTTTAACAGCAAAGTGTAGACGGGATACCCTTCAAAGACCACATCTTTCACTAAAATAGTGGATTAGGAAAAAAGAAGCTGAGATGTCAAGGAAGCTTTTCTGTCTTAACTTGGTCTCTGGGTGGAGAGAGGTAAAAAGTCTCCTCTGCACATACTTTAATGGTTGTTCAATGTAAATGGTACCTCTTCTGCCTCATTTGTGTTTAGTATTTGAATTGACACTACCTTGCAATGCGCAAACTAAAAAAATAACATTAGTTCTGAGTCAGTGATAACCTCTGGTAGATTTAGAAGAAACAAATGCAAAACAATTCTTAGAAGTATACACCCTTGAACCCAAGCAACACAGTATTCCCACAGATAAAATCCAGCTGATGATTTGCTCACAATGCAAAATTACAAAACCTAGAGAAACAGCCCACCATCAGCAGGCATGAGGTGCTTTACAGCAGGATTAGAACCCCAATAGAATTGCTATAAAATAAATAGACTTAAAGTGCTTAAATATACAAAATAAATGAGAAAGTATGCAAAAAGAACAAAACAGGCCAGGCAAATTCAAACAAACATTAAACAGAGCTGTGGGAATGAAATATGCTGGAAATTAAGAAAGTAGAATTAAGTAGATGATCATAAACAACTAAGGAAAGCATTAAACTGAAAGACCAATTTAAGGGAACTCAGAGTGAAACAGAAAAATAGAGAAATGTAAAGTATCACAAATATTAAGAAATATGAGATGCCCTAATTGCACATTTAAATGTTTTAATAGGTAATGGCTGAGGATTCTCTAGAAGTGGTAAAAGGTGAATTCTCAAATTAGGAAGCACAATAAGTCCCACTCAACATAAATGAGTAAAAGTCCACATTTAGTCCCATCATGTTGAAGCTAGCAAAGTCAGGGGAAGCCTAAAAGAAATCAGGGGAAAAAAAATAAAGGTGTTAGTTTAAAATAATCGTAAAAATTATTTGGGAATTTTTTTGTGCACATACTGCAAGATAGAATGTAAACATACCTTTATTTTCATTTACTTTGGTATTCTTAAATAGTTTTAGAGCAAAAATTATTTATACTGGGATAAATCAACAAAATAATCATGTCAAGTATATTTATGATTTATGTATAGTCTACTTTTTACCTTAAAAATTAGTGCCAATTAGTATATTCTTAAAATGTTAGTTGGTTATAAAGTATGGGTGGAAATGTAATAAAAGGTAAGTTCCTGAGCCCTTTCCTTTTAGTATCCCAGGATTGGGAGGAGAATGGGGCTGACTACAACTCATTTAATCAGACAGCCTTTATTGAACACCTGCCATATACCAGGCACTCATCCAAGCATTGGAAATGTAGTAGGTAAATAAGACAGACCCAGATCTTGCTCACCAGGAACATATGTTCTAGTGAAGAAGACCAACACCAGATACACAAGTGAATAATTACAGGTAGAAGTGCTTTGAAGAAAATGAAAATAGAGAATAATGGGTGATGAGTTAGAGGTAAGGCAGCATTTAATAGTGTGGACAGGAAAGCTCTCTCTGAGAAAGAGATGTTTGAGTTGAGAGCTGAAGAGGAGGAACAGCCAGCCATGCAAAGATTCAGGCTTCAAGCCAGAGGGAAGAGCAAATGCAAAAGCCCGGAGTTTGTTACCTTCCAGAAGCTAGAGGCCTTTGAAGCATAAGTGGGTAAAGACAAGAGTAGCAGAGGCCTCTCTGAATGTCTGCACGGTAACTTATGAGAGAGGGAAAGTACTTGTCAGCCAAAAGCCTCTGGCCAACAGGTTTAACATGAGGCATACTCACTTTCTTGAAGGTAGGCATTCTCTGTCCCTGGAAATATGCAAGCCTTCCATTGATTGATGGCATGATTAAACTTAAGATGTTTACAGTTCTTTGAATTCTAAAATACTGTAATTCCATGAAGTAGACACTAATAGATAACTTTTCTAAATTGATTGAACTAATTAAGCAACAGGTTTTTGCAGAAAGAGCATTCGGCAACTTTTAGATCAATTTTAGTTTCAGGACTCTCCTGAAAGGACATCTACAGAAGATTAAACAATGAAATGATGCAGTTAAATCTGCGATGCAGCTAGAAACTAAGATTATATAATGCTTTACAAATGCTTTTATTTTCTTTCTAAGACTGAATTTTAAATTGTAAGACAGTATAAAACAGAGTTTATAAGAACTTGTCATTTTGAAACTTAAATACCAAGTTGACTGCTGTTGAGTCCAGTAGTTTCATAGGTTCAGTTTAGCGTACATTTATCTAATACATGCCATGCACTTAGTACCATAAAGTAAACAAGTAGTACTAAATCAGTGTTGGTCCCCGTAGAGCCTTCAGCCTAATAAAGAGAAGAGGTTACCTATACATGAATCAGTGTCATAGGAAACAATAATAAATGCCATACTAGAGGTATAACTGAAGTTTGTGGGAGACAGAAGAGGGGGTTATCAGGAATAGCTTAGCTTAACTTGAAGTGAGCTTTGAAAGGTAAGTACGGTTTTTGTCAAGCAGAGGAATGGGGCACAACACTTTGACCTCTGAGAGTAGTATAGAATGTAGTCCATATTGAGAATTCCATTTTTATTTTTTGATGTCCCAAGCATTTTTTATGCATTTATGATACAAAGTTTGGCAAAATAAAATCCTGCATTTTATATGTCAGGTGGTGATGAGTGCTGTGAGAAAAAAATGAAACTGTGTGCCTGGGGGCCAGGATGGGGCTTGCTATTTTAGATAAGGTGGTCAGGAAGGCCTTCTGGGGCTTCATGTGAGCAGAAATCCTGATGAAGTGAGGGAGGAAACTGCCTGGCTATCTGGGTCCCAAAGCACTGCAAGCAGAAGAGACAGTGCAGACCCCTTGAGGTAGGAGTGTTCAAAACACAGCAAGGAGGTCTCTGGCTAGAATGGAATAGGTGGGGATTTATAGAAGAGGTGATCAGTCATGGGTAAAGCTGGGTTATATGACACTAAAGGTCATGGTAAGGACTTTGGGTTAACCCTGCAAGGAGCCAGCAGGGAGTTTTCTTTTTTTTTGTTTGTTTTGTTTTGTTTATTTTACTTTAAGTTCTGGGATACATGTACTGAATGGGCAGGTTTGTTACATAGGTATACATGTGCCATGGTGGTTTGCTGCCCCTATCAACCTATCATGTAGGTTTTAAGCCCCACCTGCATTAGGTATTTGTCCTAATTCTCTCCTCCCCTTGCCCCTCACCCCCCGACAGGTACCCTTGTGTGATGTTCCCCTCCCTGTGTCCATGTGTTCTCATTCTTCAGCTCCCACTTATGAGTGAGAACATGCAGTGTTCGGTTTTCTGTTCCTGTGTTAGTTTGCTAAGAGTGATGGTTTCCGGCTTCATCCATGGCCCTGCAAAGGACATGAATTCATTCCTTTTTATGGCTGCATAGTATTCCATGGTGTACATGTGCCACATTTTCTTTATCCAGTCTATCATTGGGCATTTGGGTTGGTTCCAAGTCTTTGCTATTGTACATAGTGCTGCAATAAACATATGTGTGCATGTGTCTTTATAGTAGAATGATTTATAATCCTTTGGGTATATACCCAGTAATGGGATTGCTGAGTCAAATGGTATTTCTAGTTCTAGATCCTTGAGGAATCACCACACTGTCTTCCACAATGGTTGAACTAATTTACGCTCCCACCAACAGTGTAAAAGCATTCCTGTTTCTCCGCATCCTTGCCAGCATCTGTTGTTTCCAGACTTTTTAATGATCATCATTCTAATGGCTTGAGATGGTATCTCATTGTGGTTTTGATTTGCATTTCTCTATGACCAGTGATGATGAGCTTTTTTTCATATGTTTGTTGACCGCATAAATGTCGTCTTTTGAGAAGAGTCTGTCTATATCCTTCACCCACTTTTTGATGGTTTTTTTTTTTTTTTGTAAATTTGTTTAAGTTCCTTGTAGATTCTGGATATTAGTCCTTTGTCAGATGGATAAATTGCAAAAATTTCCTCCCATTCTGTAGGTTGCCTGTTCACTCTGACGATAGTTTCTTTTTGCTAAGCAGAAGCTCTTTAGTTTAATTAGATCCCATTTGTCATGGTGGCGGGCACCACCTTGCCTGGCTAATTTTGTATTTTTAGTAGAGACGTGGTTTCACCTTGTTGGCCATACTGGTCTCGAATTCCTGACCTCAAGTGATCCGCCCACCTTGGCCTCCCAAAGTACTGAGATTACAGGCATGAGCCACCACGCCTGGCCAGCAGAGAGTTTTTGGTGGAGAATGACATTAACTGACTGTACAGCAATTCATGTGGCTGCTGTGAGAATAGACTGTAGGGGCCAGAGGTAGAAGAGGCATACTAGTTAAGAGCTTATTACAGTAATCCAAGCAAGAGAATTCATGGGTCATCAATATGGTTAGTATATGGAAGAAGTTAGAACAATAGATTGAGAGGTCTTTAATGCTGTGTTGAGATAATTAGAACTGATTTTAATAGGCTATTGCATGCCATTAAAAATTCTGGGGTGGGGCAGGTGGTAGTAATAACATCAGAGCTAAAATTTAGAGAAAATATTTTGCCGTAGTGTTCATGATGGATTGTTTGAAAGACTATACCACAATTTATTGTGGTTGTAAAAAACTTGCTTTTATATTTCTTTTGAATATCAAGAAAGAAAAAGACAGTTTATTGGAAGACATCAAAAGACTGAAACAAGACAAACAAGCTCTTGAAGTAGACTTCGAAAAAATGAAGAAAGAGAGGGACCAAGCCAAAGATCAGATTGCTTATGTCACAGGTAAAACACTGAGCTGAAACAGTGTACCTTTATAATCATAACTGTTCTAATGTTGAATTTAAGTAATAGAAATTGAATGGTATAATCAAAATGCTACTCCTTGAAGTATATTGTAATTTTAGAAACATTTTTTAAAATTAGTTATTAAAAGATGTGTGAATTTGATTGGGTTTAACAGGAATAACTGCAAGACAAGAGAAAATCAAGAATTATTTTGGATTCATGGCATTTATGTTTGGTCGTTCATAAATCTGTCATCCTAGCTAGACTGTGACCTTCCTGAGGGCAAGGCCTGTCTTCTTTTCCCTGGGTCTGAAACTTTGTAGGCTGTTGTGTATTTGCCAAGTGAATAAATAGTAGTGCACTGGGTTTTATAAAGAACACATAGATAAATGTGGCATGGTCCCTACTACGAAAACCAAGGGGAGTAAGGTAAGAATACTCATAATGTAAGAAAAAATTACAAACAAACATGAGAGGAATTGGGATACCAAATGAGGGTTTCGTGGCAGAGTGGCATTTGAGCTGGGCCTTGACAGGTAGTAAAATTTGAAAGTGAAGGGATGGAGAGAGGCTGCAGAAGTATGTTCTATAACTTAGAGTGGCAGAACACAGGGATAGAAAGTTAGATCAGAGGAGCCCTTGTTTGCAAAAGATAGGATCTTTCCTCTGCAGTATTATGAGCTTCAGTGTAAGATATGTGCAGAGAAATCCATTCTGACCTGTTTGTAAGAAAATGACATTTGCTTCCCTTTTCCGTAAAATATAGAGTAACAACAATAATAGTAGTATCCACTGTAAAAGTTTGTTGTAGTAAATAACATAATAAATGGTAATAAGCACTCCTGAATGTTTGTCGTTGTTACTTTTTAGTATAATTATGGGCGTTCTTCATTTTTATTATTTCTTAAATCCAACATTTATTTTCCCATGGAAACAACTTTACTTTTATAATTTTAAAAAGGTTAGTGGAAAATAATTTATCAAAAATTTCTACATAGCCAACTTTGCTATATAAGGTTGACAATTTGGATTATAAACACAATCTCTTATTTCCTTTGACTAATAGATTAAGCTAGACACTATGTTGTATACATCAGTTGTTTTATGCTTCTTATTTTTTCATAATGCTGTCATTAGATGGGCATTGGTTTTCATTTAAAATCTTTTAATTTAGTTTATTTCCATATTTTGGAGAACAACAAGCAGGTTATTGAGTTACTGTATCTTATAGGTGAGAAATTATATGAAATAAAAATTTTAGAAGAAACACATAAACAAGAAATCAGTCGTCTGCAAAAAAGATTACAGTGGTATGCTGAAAATCAGGAACTTCTGGATAAAGATGCACTTCGGCTTAGAGAAGCAAATGAGGAAATTGAGAAGCTCAAACTTGAGGTAATAGATATTTCAGAATGTATTTCTTCTCTAGATGAATCCTTTTGTCCGTAATATCTGTTGTACATAACCTTTTGTCATTGCATCATTAATTAATTAAGATCTGAACTATTAATTAAGATCGGTGGTTTGCTTTTAGATATATAGTCTATTTTAAATTAGACTGAGAATAAATATAAGCTCCTTATCACAACCTGTCAGGCCCCCATGGGGTCCAAACCCTGCCTGCCTCTTCAGTGTCATCAGGTACCACACTCCCCTGAGTCACTCTTCTCCAGCCACATCAGAGCTCCTCTGATTCTTGAACATGCTGGACTCATTCCACTTGTTTTCTTGGCCTGGAATACTCTAGCTTTAGTTCTTTTTTGTCTCACTCGTACTCCTTGTTCCTCTTGGCTCAAATATCTACTCTCTAGAAAAGACGTTTCCTGACTCCCTTTCCTAATGTAGCTGCCAATCCCTCAACTTCTGGTTCTTTGTTCCTATCCCTTCACTCTGTTTTATTTTCTTCTTAGCCCTTACCACTCTGAAGTTATTTCATTTTCCCTTTGATTTACTTTATTTATTAGCTTATCAACTCTCTCCCTCTACTAGAGCATAAGCATCTTGGGAGCAGGGACTTAGTTTGTCTTGTTTGCCCTCCATATCTCCTGCCAGATCTAGGAAGTGCCTGGAACTTGGGAGGAGCTCAAAGAATTTGAGGAATTAATTCCCCAAATTTTGCTGAGGAATTAATAAATGTATGAGTGCACTAATATTATGCTTTCCCCTTGGAGCTTTTCTGTTATGTTTACATATGCTTCTTAACATGTTATTTATTTATTGACAGATTGAGAAACTGAAAGCTGAATCTGGGAATCCATCTATTCGGCAGAAGATACGCTTAAAAGATAAAGCAGCAGATGCCAAAAAAATTCAGGATCTGGAGCGACAAGTATGTGTTCAGGGTAAATTTTCATGAGCATATTTTATATATAGTGCATTTTGGTTTTCTCTTTTGTTTCAGGAGTTCCCATGAGATGGAGTTGACCTGGAAATTTTTGTTTTAAAGTATTTACATTAGTAAAAGTAATAACATCATTTTATATACCTACAGCTTTATAATTACATAATTTTTAGACTAATGTGCCTCATTCGTAAGATGGTAGACCTGTTGATAAAGGTTATTTGGTACCCTAGCTCTATTAGACATCTAGGAAGAAGGAAGTAGAATTTTGGAACTCTGGATATAGAGTTAGGATTTCTCTTCCTGACCGTAGACAGCTGAGAGAGGAGTACAGGAGGGAGATCCCTGAGTTGGGAACATGCTGGTAATGCTTGGGAAATGTTACAAAACACCCTATAAACAAAACATTCAGCTTCCCAAAGAGCTGGCCATTATCTTGAGCTCTTTCTTACCATTCAGGCTTAGAAATACTCATTTTGTGGTCAGTGTGGGAGACCTTTAATCATAAAGTGAAGCTTATTAAAATAAAGATTTTTTTATTTAAGTATTTGTTTTAGGAAGCAAGATTGTTATTTTTTTCCTTCTGTTTTTAAAACACTGTAATATAGCATTTATATTCATAACTAAATATTTTAAAACAAAATATGAATTGCCAGCCTTGTTCATAAGGGAACATGATTCTGTAGTCAAGTCATGGTACTTAGACATATGGGTATTATTCCATCATGAATCCGAAACTGTGAGGTCATTACTGGGCTGAATATTATCCCAGTTTTATGAGAAGAAGGAAAACTAAGCAAAGAATTAACTTTATTACTTTTACAAGACCTATTTTTATATTAAAAGGTATGACTGAGTAGATTGGGTCAGGGCCAAGAAAGGATCAGCCAAATGTGGTATGAAGAACTAGAAATATTTGGCCAGGCGCGGTGGCTCACGCCTGTAATCCCAGCACTTTGGGAGGCAGAGGCAGGAGAATCACATGAAGCTAGGAGTTCAAGACCAGGGTGGCCAACATGGTGAAACCCTCTCTCTGCTAAAAAATAGAAAAATTAGCCAGGCATGGTTTTAGCTGGGCTTGGTGGTGCACACCTGTAATCCTAGCTACTTGGGAGGGTGAGGCAAGAGAATCACTTGAACCTGGGAGGTAGAAGTTGGAATGAGCCAAGATCATGCCACTGTACCTCAGCCTGGGTGATGGAGCAAAACTCCATCTCAAAAAAAAAAAAAAAAAAAAAAAAAAAAAAAAAAATATATATATATATATATATATATAAATAATTAATTTTAAAAAAGAACTAGAAATATTCTGAAGTAAGTATAGTCCAGCATTGCTTGGATTTTCTTTAGTGCTAAAGACTTAGATTAGCTAATCTAAGAAGCCATCCAGAAGTGGGAGAGAAAAAAGACCAAAGGAGCTACTTCTTTATTAGATAACTTATTTTAAGAGAAATTATGTAGAATTGAATCCATATTGGCAAGAGATATACCACTTTATAAAAGTAACCTCCCTTTTGTATTAATACTTTTATTAAACAGTTCATCATCTTATATTTTTCTAAAATAGTTATCTATATAGTTGGATTGCTGCATATACATTTCAGATTGTATTTATTTAGTTTCCATGAGCATTTCTATCCTGATATTTTAAAACTTAATACATATTTTTTAATCAAGGTATATCACAATATATTCAGAATAATTATAATTAGTCTATTCTTAAATAGACTAATTATAAATTATCTATTTTTAAATAGAATATAAGTAAAAATGGGGCTAATTAGATGCATATTGTAATGAAAATTTTAGATTGTGTTTGTGCTTTTTTTATTTAATGGAATATTTCATGGTTTGATTTGCAATGAGAGTTAAAAAAAATTTACTTTGTATACCAGACTGATATTTTTGACCAAAGAATAATATTAAAAAGCAAAATTAAAGAAGATACAAATAAAATCTCATTTTTCCCAAAAAATACAGTATATATTTCAAGATATCAAAATCAGATTGAAAATATTTAATTTTTAAATGAATACATTAATTTAAAATGTTACATTTATAAAACCTAGTTCTCTTTTTACTATATTTAGTGTTGGTATGTATACATGTATTTTCATATACCTACAACTAACTCAGTTAACTAGTATCAGAGGAAACAAAGCTTTGAATTTTTCGGGTGAAAGAAATGACTAATATTTGTAGATGGATATATCCCAATTTATGATATATCAATAAATGTGCAAGCAGTTTTCACAAGTGTAAATATTTATATTAACTATGTAAATCATATGCCCCTTAAATACCTAATATGAACAGGATTTTGAGCACCAGCAAACCATCTTGCCTTAGGAGATGAAATCATCATAAAAGCCAACACTTACCAAGCCCTCACTATATGCTGGGCACTCTTAAGTGCTTAACAAGATGAAAGTCATTTGATCCTCAATTATATCAACCCTTTGAAATTGCTACTGTTACCATTCCCATCTTACCCATGAGACAAGAGAGATTTAAACTGAGGGATTAGTTGACACAAGGTCCTAAAGCTGGTGGCACAGTCTAACCCAAATATGCTCTTAACTGACACTAGACTGCCTCTCAGGCACTATTTTGTTGCATGCTCATAGGCTAGAAAACAGTTCAACAAAGAATTTAGTGTTTGTATGTTTTTCAAAGATATCTTCACCATAATAGTTTTAAAAAGCAGGTATATAGACAGGCATATATAATAAGCTGTCATTTCTGTGGACCCTGGTGTGTTTCTTTCATTATATAATATGTCATTGTTTTTTATATTAAATGAAAAGTATCCAGTCCTTTATGAAGACTTCATTAAATGTTATCTAATCCTCCTTGCTTTCCAATTAAAAGAAATCATTTTAAAGTAGATTAAACTTTATTTGGACCAGAGGATTGGAGTGGAGTAGAGCTTCCGGCAGAGTCAGGTGCTTAGGAAGCTGAATGTTTATTGCAAAAAGTTTACACACTCATGTGCATATAAGTAATTTTTCAGTCAGTAGAGTGTAGAAGCACTATCATATGAGGGAGTCTGGAAAAAAGAGGAGAGAGCTTTGTACTCAAGAGGACTGGTTATTACTAATTGAAAGTCTGAAGACATATTTCTTTTTTTTTTGAGACGTTGTCTCACCCTGTCACTCAGGCTGGAGCGCGATCCTGGCTCACTGCAACCTCAGCCTCCTGGGTCCAAGCAGTTCTCCCACCTCAGCCTCCTGAGTAGCTGGGACCACAGGTGTGTACCACCACACCAGGCTAATTTTTGTATTTTTTTAGTAGAGACAGGGTGTCACCATGTTGGCCATGGCTGGTCTGGAACTCCTGACCTCAAGTGATCCACCCGCCTTGGCTTCCCAAAGTGCTGGGATTACAGGCATGAGCCATCGCACCCAGCCCTGAAGATATATTTCTAATGAATTTAAGAGAATTTCTGTAAATAAACCCATAGGTAATTAGACAATATACTTTAAGATTTTTTCATCAGATAATCTAGGGATGTAAAATGTGAAATTAATTTGTGCTTCTGTGCATTCGATTCAATCTGGAGACATGCTATAAATATCTCCGAAATATTGACAAGTGTAGCATAATCTAAGTTTATGCATTAAATTGCTTTATTTTACATATATTTGTGACCATATATATGTTTCAAAAATTTTACTGTTTTATTTTTATAGATTTAGGGGGTACAATTGCAGATTTCTTGCAGGCATATATTGCATAGTGGTGAAGTCTGGCCTTTTAGTGTAGCCACTACCCAAATAATGAACACTGTACCTGGTAGGTAATTTTTTAGCCCTCACCCCCTCCCACCCTGCCACCTTTTGTAGTCTCCAGTGTCTGTTATTCCAGTCTGTATATACATGTGTGTACATTGTTTAGCTCCCACTTTCAAGTGAGAACATGTGGAGTTTTACTTTCTGAGTTATTTCACTTGGGATAATGGCCTCCAGTTCCATCCATGTTGCTTCAAAACATGCTTTTATTCTCTTCTATGGATGAATAGTGTGTTTGTGTGTGTGTGTGTGTGTGTGTGTGTGTCTTTTTGATACGATTTATTTTCCTTTCAATCCTAGTAGTGGAATTGCTGGATCAAGTGGTTCTCTTTTTAGGTCTTAAGAAATCTCCACACTGTTTTCCATAATGGTTTTACTAATTTATACTCCCACCAACAGTGTACACGTGTTCCCTTTTCTCCACATCCTCGCTAACGTCTGCTGTTTATTAACTTTCTAATAATAACCCTTATGACTGGAGTAAGATGGTACCTCATTGTGGTTTTAATTTGCATTTATTTGGTGATTAGTGAGGTTGAGCATTTTTTCATATTTTTTGGCCACTTGTATGTCTTTTGAAAAATGTGTGTTCGTGTCCTTTGCCCACTTTTTAATGGGGTTATTTAATTAAGTCCCATTTGTTTATTTTTGGTTTTGTTGCATTTGCTTTTGGAGACTTGGTCATAAATCCTTTGCCTGGGCCAGTGTTCAAAAGTGTTTTTCTTAGAATTTTTTCTAGGATTTTTATAGTTTCAGGTCTTAGATCTTTAAAGCATCTTGAGTTTATTTTTGTATAAAGTGAGAGGTGTGAGTTCAGTTTCATTCTTTTGCACATGACAATCCATTTTTCCCAGCACCATTTATTGAATAGGGTGTCCTTTCCCTAGTGTATTTTTTTGGTGACTTTGTCCAAGATCAGTTGATTGTAGGCATGTGGCTTAATTTTTGGGTTCTCTATTCTGTTCCATTGATCTATGTGTCTATTTTTATCAGTACTGTGCTGTTTTGGCTGCTATAGCCTCGTAGTACAATTTGAAGTCAGGTAGTGTGATACCTCCAGCTTTGTTCTTTTTGCTTAGGATTGCTTTGGCTATTCAGCCTCTTTTTTGGTTCCGTATGAATTGTAGGATTGGTTTTTCTAATTCTGTGAAAAATGACTTTGGTAATTTGATAGGGATTGAATTGAATTTGTAGATTGCTTTAGGCAGTATGGTCATTTTAACTACACTAATCCTTCCAGTCTATGCACATGGGATGTTTTTCTATTTGTTTGTGTCACGGTTTTCTTTATCAGTGTTTGTAGTTCTCCTGGCAAACATCCTTCACCTTCTTGGTTAAATATATTCCTAGGTAGTTCTTGATTTGGTCCTCAGCAAGATTGTTATTGGTATATAGAAATGCTACTGTATACAGAGATTTCTGTAGATTGTATCCTGAAACTTTACTGAATTCATTTATTAAATCTAAGTGTTCTTTGGTGGAAAATATGTTTTAATAGGTTAAGGAAATGGAAGGGATTCTGAAGAGAAGATATCCCAATTCTTTACCTGCTTTAATATTGGCTGCATCAGCAGCTGGTGATACAGTGGATAAAAATACAGTGGAATTTATGGAGAAAAGGATAAAAAAGCTAGAAGCTGATCTGGAGGGCAAAGATGAAGATGCAAAGAAAAGCCTTCGTACCATGGAACAACAGTTTCAGAAAATGAAGGTAAGTGGTAAGTAGCCTCAGAGATAAAGGTCAGAGATGAACAATGGGGGCAGGCACTTCTTAGGATCTCACTTTAACAAATAGCTATAAACATTCTTTCCCATGAAACCTTTACCACTGGTATCAATAGGTGCAAAAGAAACCAAGTGCATCCTATTTTGGTGTCGTCTTTCAGCAACTTTTCTATTTCTGACAGAGTAATCAAGCACAGGATAATCTTTACATCATCTCTCTCAATATGAGAATTAGTGGAAATTAAGTCATGAAAAAGCAGAATAAAACACACCTGATATGTATCCAGTACAAAAGGAAAAAAGAAATTACCATGTTTGAAAATATTTTCACTGAAATTTATCTAGAGAAGGGTAAGGGAATAAGACAGAAGTATACATTTTAGGAACAGCGGGTAGGGGAGCATCTTCCAGAAATGTCTTACTTTCTGAGTTTTCCATTATTTTGTGAAACAGGAATGAATCAGAAAATACAAGTGCTAGAACAGACCAAGTATGAAACAGGACATATTTAATTTACTTTAAAAAAAATTTTGTAGACAAATAACAGTTATAGATTATTTTTAAAAATTTGTTGAGCACGTGTCTGTCAGGAATTCATGCTAGATACTTTCATAAATATCTCTGTTCATCTTGCATAATCCTTCCAAACACCTGTGAGGAGTAGATACTGTTAACACTATTTTGCAGATGAAGGAGCTGAGATGTTCTAGGAAGCTCATTTCATTTCCCACATATTTATATCCCGAGAAAAGCAACAAATGACAGAACATTAGATTCCAGAAACAGTAGAAGGTTGATAACCTGGAAATACAGTGGCCTGTTAATTAAGGTCACATCAAGGAGGTTGGGTTTCTTCTATTCCACCCTGTTTTACAGATAGATACATAGATAGATAGATAGATAGGTAGATAGATAGATAGATAGACAGACAGACAGACAGACAGACAGACAGATAGATAGATAGATAGATATCCCTGATAACATGTCTGGAGTCTAGCAAACAATTAATGATTATAATTATTATTAGTGTTCCACCAACTAAATAAGACTGTCAGGTGTAAACTCCAACCCGCTACTGCACTTTTATGTATCTAAATCTAAACACCCTAACTTGTTTCTTTTTGCAGCCCCCTGCCCCATCCCACTCCTGCCTTTGCTTACTACTTGTCTCTTCCCCCTTTCATTTCTGATTCCCTGTATATACCAAACATTCAGCCAGCTTTGCATATGCTCTTCCTACTTCCAAAACATCCCTGACTCCACCTAACCCCAAATTAACAGTCATCTCTCAAGACCGAACATAAATGTGCTATCTCTGTGCAGTCTTCCCACCTTCTGTCAAGCCTCCAGACACTTAGGGCAGCGTCGCCTCCTCTGCACTCACTGCACTATGTTCACAGGCCCATTATTTTACTTGTGGGACGTTGTAGCTGCTGCCATGTTGCTCTCCTCACCAAGCTGTGAGCTATTTGAAAATAATAACTGAGTCTTTTTGTTGCTAGAACCTGCATGTTGCTTGGCATAAGGTCATAACTTGGTAAATATCCATTGAATGAATGAGCAAACACTGCTCGTGCCTCCCTCCGTAGGAGAAATTATTTATTTCATTTGCTGAATACTAAACAAAATATTAAAGCTCCAGTATACAAATTCCAGGCCATTTTACTCTCTATGAAAGTAATAAATTGATGTTAGAAGGTTGAAAATGTGCTGTTTCCCGAAGACTTCAGTGCCCCCAGTTGCTTTACTGTTTATCCTCGAAGAGTGTGTTGACAGTTTGCATGGAGAAGACTGCATAATAATAGGTTTTATTGTGAGATTTAAAATAAATTTTGGAGTGTGTAAGAACATATGTAAGTTAATAGTTATGAAGCAACATATCAATTATTAAATAACATAACATATATCAAGAATATATAATGTTATGCCCTGAAAGACTAGGACTTCAATACATTTGACTCACTCAAGAAACAGAATTGTAGACATCAGAATGTATAATGAGTACCTGAATAAAGGATTAGGTAGGACCCAGTAGTGTGCAGGGCTTCAGCAACTAATGAAACGTTTAACAGGTGTTTGGCATTACATGGATTCTTTCCTTCAGATTCAGTATGAACAAAGACTAGAGCAGCAGGAGCAGCTACTTGCCTGCAAATTGAATCAACATGACTCTCCCAGAATTAAAGCCCTAGAGAAGGAACTTGATGACATCAAGGAAGCCCATCAGATCACTGTAAGAAACCTTGAAGCCGAAATAGACGTTCTTAAACATCAGAATGCTGAATTAGACGTCAAGAAAAATGATAAAGATGATGAAGATTTTCAGTCTATAGAATTCCAGGTGGAACAGGCTCATGCTAAAGCTAAATTAGTAAGACTCAATGAAGAACTGGCTGCAAAAAAGAGAGAAATACAAGACCTCTCAAAAACTGTGGAGAGGCTTCAGAAAGACAGAAGAATGATGCTATCAAATCAGAACTCAAAGGGCAGAGAGGAAATGTCTGCCAAAAGGGCAAAGAAAGATGTTTTGCACTCAAGTAAAGGAAATGCTAACTCCTTCCCTGGAACCCTGGACAGCAAGCTGTACCAACCACATACTTTCACTGATTCCCATGTTTCAGAAGTTTTACAAGAAAACTACAGATTAAAAAATGAGCTAGAAGGATTAATTTCAGAGAAGAATGAACTGAAGATGAAATCTGAAGCAGTGATGAATCAATTTGAAAACTCCATGAGAAGGTAAAATGTTAAATTATTTATAAATATTTGTAAAAATAAAAAGATAAAAATAGAAAAATTATACGATATATTTCCTCCAGATAATTAGTTTGACCCCGAACTGAATTCATAAGTGAATATTAATAAATTATATTATATTGCTGAGCATGTGTCTGTTTCAGGATAGGGTCTTCTACCTGCTGGTGGCCCAAATTCTGATGTACCTGAACATCTGTGTCAACCCAAATTGTGTCCTTGGGCTCGCCAGTCTTGCCTTTTGGCATGTACCCAAATGGTATTAATAAGCTGACTCTTTGGGCTCTTCTAGCAAAGGAATGTCATAGTTTATTATTGCTATAGACAGATTGCTTTCAGAAAACAGTTATTGTTAAAGCTAGTTGGCAGTCTAAAAGGAAAAGGTCCTCTTTTCAAAAATAACTCTTCAAATTGACCTTGTGATCACATCCATTCATGCCTTAAGGAACTTTATACTCATCCATTTCCTTCTCACTATCTCCATTTGCTATCCACTGTCTCTTTCCTCTGAGTCTTTTGACATCCTCAGATCTTTTTTTCACCTGATCAGGTTCCAATCCAATCCTGTCTTTTAGCACCCGTTTTTCACAAATAGTATTTTCTTTTATTTCTATCTCACTTCCTCTTAAATATGGCTCTCATCATCACCCTTTTTAAACCTGGTCTCAATAATGAGCTTTCCCAGTCCAGGGGCATTTTCTCCTTCCTCATTTTCTTCAACAATGTTGACCACACTACTTTTCCTGAAATGGCTTCTCCCCTTAACCTCTGTGGCTTGGCTGCTCTGACCAAAACTCCTTTTCTGTTTCTTTTACTGAATTCTGACCCTTCTTCCTTCTCCATCCCCAAAAATCTGGCTTTCTACCAGCATTCAGCTCTTAGTTTTCTGTTTATTCTCTGTTCTTTCTCTGTTGCTAAACTTACCCATTCTTACGGTTTCTGTGAACCATGACTTCTAGATTTACTTTTAAAGTCTTGTTCTCTTTGCTGAGTTCAGATGTGAAACCTAGAACTATTTATTGGATTGCTTCTCTTGGAATCACTAATACCTCAAGTTTCCTTTTTTTACCTGTAAATTAGTTCCCCTTCCCAAGCTCCCCTTCCCTGTCTATATTTATTTTAATTACCAGCCCAGCTTTATCTCTGTTATTCCTTGGGTATAAATGTTTCCCATTTTCCAGTCTTCCTTACTTTTATAAACCAGTGCTGCCATTATACAATTTTCCCACTCCAATCTTCCTTTTTTTTAACCTTCCCCAGTCATCTTGCTTAAAAATCATTAATATTCTTTAAATACTCATATACCTGGGTCACTCTGCTCTCCGGTGACTCTCAACTTCCTTAAATATCAAGACTAAATTTCTCTGCCTAGCATCTCAAGTCTCATCACTATTCTAATACTACTCTACTTACCTAATCTGTCACATTTCCTCATGCCTTTTCCTCATTCTTGTTATAAGTACTACCTTCACAAAACATTTCGTGGAACTTCCCAGGAAATTGCCTTCTCCTACCCCCAACTCCTACATAACTTACTAATATGTACCAAGAAAGGATTAATCATACACAGCCTTGTAGTTCCTTGAGAACTGGTGTAAGATTATGCTGCTTTTGCATCCCCACAGCAATGTGCTGTAGGAGGAGAATGAGCATGGGAAACACCCAACAAATGCTTATTGACTGGCAGCCATGGCAGTGAGTGAGTCATGTTGTTACCATATGGCAGTCATATTGCTACCAAATGGAAAGCTTGTTTCTTAAGTCCTGAATATTATGACAGTAGCATGAAGCTCTTTAAGAAGAATCACATTTTTTCCAGGAAAGAATTTAAAATTCAGGTTTTCCAATTAATTTTCCTGTACATCATTTAAAATTTGTTAATATTGTCAATCTGTTTCTTAGATAAGTCTGGGCCTGAGAAGTGAAGAATAAACTTTTCTAGTCCAATATTTAGACTTTTTACTATCATTCAGTTATATGTGCTTTAATTTAGGTTTTTATGCTTTTTCTAGGACCCTACTCACACTGTTTCCATGGAGAAATATTCATATGGTGAAATAAGCAATGGATAAATTTGTCTATAGTTGGGAAGCACCATATTAATATATAGCAACAGCAGTTTACTAAAATACATGCTTTAAGTTAAATGCTGTTATTTTCAAAGTCTTTCCAATAAGAGAGAAAATGTTTATCTGTAGGAAATATACCAAATCTTTATTTATAATTTTAACCATTTACTGAACTGCCTCTGAATAAATTTTATCACAGAGACAAATGAATAGTCTTTCACACTTACAGTCCAATTAATTAATTGCATATTACAAGCATAATATGTCCTGAGAATTACCATAAAGATTGTCTCATTCTCACAATATGCAACTAGCCCTGGAGTCTCATGCATGGGTTGAAAATTGGTTAATGCTGCCTACAAGGCATTGGAGATTCTAAAGGGAACAGCTGTGATTTTCCAAAGAAGCATCTGGGCAAGAAATCTGAGTTTATCTTAAAAGATCAAATGTCAAGTGCTTTGCTTTTGGAACCCTAGATTCCCTCAGAAAGTGTAGCCTCAGGTTGGGGTAAAGTAGAGATATATCACTATTTCCTCAAGTTTGCCCTTATAAAATTCAGTAAATAGTAGCTCATGGATTGGTCATAAGAACTCATAGGCAGTAGTAATGTATAAAGCACCTAACACAGTGCAGTTAATATTGGTGCCCATTTTCCCCTTGCTTAATTCCCAGGTTTCTTCTACTGTTTTTGTGCTAACTCTGAATTAGAGGTTGAAGAGCCACTTTTATGTGTGGTTTTCTTTCATTTGCTCTGTAGGGTCAAGGAAGATACTGCAGCACACATTGCATCCCTCAAAGCATCTCATCAGAGAGAAATAGAGAAACTCCTTTGCCAAAATGCAGTAGAAAATTCTTCTTCCAAAGTAGCTGAACTAAATCGTAAAATAGCAACTCAAGAGGTAGATGACAAATCTGTTTTATCTTTTGACTTGAATAAACTCGTTTTGACTTTAATGAGATTAAAGTTAACATTGTTTTATTTGGAAATGTTTTAACTTTTTCAGCTTGGTGATAGAAATGGGAAACTATTATTGGCTTGATTTCTTTTTTAAAGAAGATAATACTATATATTTAATTTTTTTAAAGAAGATAATACTATATATTTAATTTTTCTACTTTAAAACTACACCATATAAATAAATATTTTTACAGTTTGTCCCTATACTTCTCAAATAAGTCTCTAAATTTGTCACAGGTGGTGAGGTATATGTCTAACATGATTAGGACCCTAGTACTTGAACTTGGATGTTGAACCGAGTCCCCAAGTCCCAGCTGACAGTTATCCTTAGGCATTCTTCCTGCCCCATGACCTTTTATTAACAAATAATGATTCAGGTCAATAGACAATCAGGCACTGGAATAAAATAATGAAAAGAGAGATACACAGCTCTTGCTCTGATGGAGCATAGTCTTCTAAGAATTATTATAGGGAATGCTGCCAACTCATCAGCATTTCCTCAAATAAATGTGTCTTCCTTTTTGAAAAATAGGTATATCTACTTAGAATATCTATGAGCATTACCATGTGGCCTGTCTTCTGTACTGTTTGTCACTTATAAAAATAGCATTAAAATAGGACTTTTATCTACAATCTACTTTCAAATGGTATATCCAAGAAAAAGAAAAAGGTGGCAAATCAGCCACCTTTTGGGTTATCAAGTTGAAAAATATATGAATGTTTATTGTGTTCATCTTGTCTGTAGGCTTCAATTTTAAGAAAGAAGGTCAGGGAGAAAAACATCAAGAAAGAATTATCTCACCAAGTGTAATTATTTAATACCATCTTAATTAAAAATAAATTCCTCAATTCGGGAAGTTTGAATATGGACTGGCTATTAGATACTAAGAAATTACTATAAATTTTCTTAGGTATAAAATGTTATGGTTTTGTGAGAAATGCCCTTATTCTAAAGAGATGTATGTTGAAGCATCTGAAGGTTTTGTTTCTTTGAGACAGTCTCCTTCTGTCACCCAGGCTGTCTCAGCTCACTGCAACCTCTGCCTCCCAGGTTCAAGCGATTCTTCTGTCTCAGCCTTCCAAGTAGCTGGGATTACAGGTGCACGCCACCATGCCTGACTAATTTTTATATTTTTGGTAGAGATGGGGTTTCACCATGTTGGCCAGGTTGGTCTCGAACTTCTGACCTCAAGTGATCCACCCACTTTGACCTCCCAAAGTGGCATTTGAAGTATTTAGGGGCAAAATGTAATGAAGTCTGTAACTTAACTTCAGATCGCTGAGAAAAAAAAGGACTATTTGACTACGTTAATGAAAAATACTTAAAGTGCCTTTCGTAAGTAACAATCCATACAGCCTTACAGAGAACCTCTCTGGCCTTATCCTCCATAGGAATAGGGTGTCAGAGGGCAACTATAAGCATTCTATCAAGTGATTTTGTATTAAGGAATAGTCTGGAAGAGGTAGGAAAAGTAGTATCATGATGCCATAGTGCCATAAATGTTATTTTCCCAGCGTTATAAATGTAATATTGTAAAATTGAGTTAAAGAGAAATCAGCATAGTCTGATCATTAAAAATACAGCATTAGAGATAAGATAAATTTTTCCCAATTTCTCTTAGTTTCTTGATGGAAGTATCTGTTCATATATTTCAGTTTACCTAAAGATATGAGACTGACATTTATTTCACAGATATTATGAGGCTTATGTTATATTTAAGCCATAGTTCTTAAATAAAAACTATCATACTTAACCACAGAGTATAAAGATAATATTGTCTACCTTTTTCCAAATGTGTAGACTTTATAGAGCTTTATTTTAAAAGGACTTTTTCTAGTCATGAAAAATGTTCATATTTATTTTCCCCCCCTTTTATTGATATATAATGATTTAGATATTTATAGGATACATGTGAGTGTTTGCTACATGCAAAGAATGTGTAATAATCAAGTCAGGGTAATTGGGATTTCTGTCACCTTGAGTGTTCATCATTTTTATGTCTTGGTATCACTTCAAACTCTCTCTTCTAGTTACCGTGAAATACACATAATATTGTTGCCAAGTACAGTCACCCTGGTCTGCTATTAAACATTAGAACTTATTTCATCTATCTAACTGTATGTATGTTTGTACCCATAACCAACCTCTCTTCATCCTTCCCAACCCCCCACTCCCATCTCTGGTATCTATTGTTCTATTCTCTGTGTTCATGAGATCAAGTTTTTTAGCTCTCATACATGAGTGAGAACATGCAGTATTTTTCTGTGCCTAGCTTACTTCACTTAACATAATGACCTTCAGTTCCATCCATTTAACTGCGTATGACATTATTTCCCTCTTATTTAAGGCTGAATTGTATTCCATTGGGTATATATATCACATTTCTTTTCGTCTGTTGATGGGAACTTAGATTGATTCCATATCTTTGCTATTGTGAATAGTGCTGCAATAAACATGCAAGTGCCAGGTGTCCGTTTGATATACAAATTTCTTTTCCTTTGGATAGATACCCAGTAGTGGGATTGCTAGATAATACGGTAATTCTATTTTTAGTTTTTTGAGAAATCTCTATAATTTTTTTCCATAGTAGCTGTGCTTACTTACATTCCCACCAACAGTATATAAGAGTTCCCTTTTGTGAGTTGGCTTTCTTATATTTTTCAGATAGTGTTCAAGGAGGAGCTTTATTAACTCAGCACTTCTAACAATTTCCTAGGTACTTATAAGACATTTCCAAAGTCAAGTTAATGAGCTGCAGAGTAAACAAGAGTCTCTCGTAGTTTCTGAAGTTCGAGAAGAAATTCTACAGAAAGAGGTAAGAAATGGCCAAAATATTGGGCTAAAATAAGTTTTTCTTAGGCATTTCAATCATATTCATATTTATAAATTTTTTACCTAAATGTACAAATAGATATAACCTGAAAGTATCACGTCAAGAAAATATTAGCAGCGTGCTTATGTAAAATCTGCTTTCCCCAGGTGAAGTTCAGATATTAAGTCATTAAGTTGTCTATGTTTTATTTGCTGTTGAGATTTTGTGGGTAGTGGGGAAAATGGGACGGGAGATGTTTGGGTTTTCTGTTTGTTTTCTTCAGGAGACAAAATTGAATAGTGAAGTCCATTTCTGTGTTAAGTAAAGTACTGTCAGGGAGGAAAAATAATTTTTTCCTCAACCCTCATGAGTTTTTAGTTGAGACAGACCCCATAACAAAAGACAGATTAATAAGAGAAAAACAAGTTTATTAATACGTGCAGCACACAATGCAGGAGAAACCACAACACAAAGTAACTCAAAATGGTGGCTTAGAACTCTCCAAGTTGGTAGCTTTGAAGAGATTTGGATTAGAGATTGTGAGATCAGGGATTGGCAAAGGAAGAGGAAAACATAGATTGGAACAAGTGCAGCTGAACAAATTTAAGTACATTGCCCCATATCAAATCATTGTCTTAGTGCTGAGAATAGGTCAATTCAATTAAGCAGTTGTGTCTCATTTCAGGAGATATTGCAGGTGAGCTCTCATCAAAGTTAGGCCTCTATATGGTGATCTAATAAGAGGCATTTCTATGGAAACAAAAGAAAAACAAAAGTTAATGGTAGGAGTAGTCTGTATACTAATTTCTGAATCTAAGAGCAGCTAGTCAAGAGTTCTAGATGTTGGGCTCAAAGCATTTTTTACAGTTTGAGTATGTCTAGTTATAAGACACGCAGCAATAGGCATGAAAATTGTCCGTATATTAGCTGTTGTGGTGACTCTCTGCAGTTTATATCAAGTCATTCAGCTTCAGCTTATTAAGATTTCAGGAAAAGGGCAGTTAAATGTTTTAGTGATTCCAAGGCAGGAGGGTAGGAGAAAAATTTGAAATACTAGTTTGGAGAATTATAGACAGAGATCTAGACCAGATTACATGTAAATAACAAAACCCCAGAGATAAAAAAACAAGGCTAGAATCTGATATCTACAAGGGTGTGTTACAGTTTTCTAATGAAGCACAGTATTTTTCTCTCTGCAGTCACCCTCATTTCTATCAGAGATAATCACAATAAGACCAATGGCAAAAATAAGTCTAGTCTCATTAAACTTGGCTTGGTTATTTGCATAAAAAGTGCAGCAAGAATAGTGATTAATCATATAGGCTCTTTTATAAGTCTGTTTTGCTGGAACTTTTAATAAGGATTCTCAGATTGGCCCTTTATTGGCATCTCCAGGCTAGAAACGCATGCCAAAGGCTTGCCATCAGATTTTGCCTGCAATACCAATAGATCCAGGTAAATTCCTTTCTCTTCTAGAGATCCCCCAAATATTGTGAGGCTCCTGGGCTTGCCAGGAAGTGACATTTCTTACTCATCTATAAGGAAACCTCGTATGTAAGGTACCAAGCCAGTTTTTTCCAAGGGACTTTATTGGCGTCAGAAAGTCAATGTATTTTTTTAAGTTGTCCGATTATATCTGATTCCATGCACATTCTGAAATATGACATTCCAATCAAAGCCTTGATAGTATAACTGATGTTTCCAGTTGTGTTACAAAGAGAACAGATTCTTACTGAACTTATGCAAATATTTATGTCCCTGTGAAAATAAGAATACTCAGCTAATGGTTTCTGGAGAGATAGAGGAAAAAAAGATAAATATTTCAATTCTGTTTACAAAAGTATAATTTACCAAATTGCTCTAAGCTATGGATAGCTTAAGAGAAAAAGTTCTCTACAGAATATTAAAGAATCAGCAGTGTTTTAAACAGACAGTCCCTAAAAAGAATTCTTCATCAGTTTACTTAGTCCCATGTAATTAATTCTTGTTCTGCTTGATGTTGGGTTAGCACTTCTGTGAACCAATCAATCTTTTCATTAGAATTCTGAAAAATTCTTACCTGGCCAAATGGTATGATCTTGAAGTTATCAGAAGCCTGTATTTGTCAGAGTGCTTTCCATGAATCTTTCTGAAGAAAAACACTTTGTATTTATAGTTGCTTACAAAAGCTCTTAGGAAAGTAACAGTAAAACAATTAACTATCTGTGGATGATAAGACTTTAAACTAGCCATAGTTAAACATCTGATGAGAGTTCATTATAATGCACTTGATATGGAAATTTGGTTATTTTTGTGACAATACAACATTAAGATATTAACTAGCATTATTACTGATAACATCATACCAAGACATACCAGATTTTTAGGAATTGTATACAACTTCTGGAACATTTGTTAATAACGTATCCATACAAAAATAACTCAAAGAAGATTAAACATTGTCTTTATTTGACAATGATTCCTGTACAATTTATCACGTCAAATAAGCCTAATTACTTTGACATCTCTATTTGTAAAAGGAGAAAGAACATTCTTTTGAGATTTTCCAGGGCCCTCTGGAACATCCCAAAGCTAGTTTGAGGTCAAAATAATTTATAATTTGATTTGAGGAAGTTGTCAAAAATATCAAAAAGTTTAAAACATTTGATTAAATAGGATCACAGGTCATTATGAAACAATACTTAGTTATCCAAAGTGATTATTAAAAGATTCTAAAGGCAAATACAGAAAGTCGCATAGTGAGAAAACTCAGTTTTCCTAAGTAATCAAAGAACTGATAGAGACCATAGGAAACACAGGAAGTTATTTTACTAAAACACAAAATCTTTGCTTTCTACATAAATTAACTTAAAGGTAAAGAAAATCTTTTATAATCTCTTATCAAGAGCAGACCGATGCTCCAAGAAAGCTTTGTTGTTTTAAGAGAGAAAACCAGTTTCTAGTTTTGTCCACTGTACTTTTGACATTAAGGCTCATTTTTAAAACTCTTAAAATAAACATATTCTGTTTTAGACAGCTTAGACACACAAGATATTCGTGCATTCTCACTTTCTCTTTCTCTCTCCTTCTGCAAGCTTCTACATTCATTCATTTTTTTGTTCTTCGTTCTCCTTTTTCATTATAAAACAGTCTGTCATTCTACTTTAGTACAGATTTAATTATTTTTTCCCTTAACGAAAACACATCTTCATTCCTCATAACTTTGCTTACCAAAACTACATCTTATTTTCCTTGTATATTTTGCATACAAAGTTGTTTCCCTTATCTTTAGTAGTTTTAAATATATGTATATTAGAACTTTTAATCCTTAGTAACATTAATTTCTTATGAAAACTACAAAGCAGCCATGACCTGTCATATACCAACATTTTGTAGATTAACATCATTTCATGACTTCTAGAAGCATATTTTTATAGTTTTCTTAATGTGACAATAAGAACAGGTGATTTGTTTCTCTGTAAAATTTAAGAAGCCAAGGTAGATAAGGTTATGTTCAGCAATATGAGTCTGTGAAACATAAGTTAATGTTTCAGTATATTTGGAAATGATCTAGATATTCAGTGACTATTTATTATTTAACTTAGCAAAACCCCAAGGATGTAAGCTATACCAAAGAGATTTGGGTAACTAATTTTTTTTTACAAACATAAAACATAGTAATTATTGAAGACTTTATAAATTTTATCCCACTAATATTTACTTAATGTACTTGTTATTAACAATTATGCTTGGATTGCTTATGAAAATTCATGAGCCATTAAACATCTAGTCATCATCTTATTTTACTGTTAACTATTTTTACAACACATGCAGGTTAGGCAAGCAGCACAAGAACTCAAAAGTTAAATACATGTTTTTCTTTTCCTGCTGTGCTTAATATACATGGAATAATGGATACTGTACTTCGACTTGCACGTTTGATTTGGGGATGAACTCCTAGGTCTTTAATTTTAAATGTCTAGCAGAGATACTTATTTGATTAGTAAACCCAGGTAGCATAAGGGTTGTATGTCTGCATTATACTTACTGTTGACAACTCTGAAGTCATGCCTATTTTTATTAAATCAGTAATGTTAAACTAATCATATCCCAGATTTACCTGAGACACATGAACTTGAAAACCATTTGGGTTAGTTTCTATACTTCTGAGAGTTTTTGGAATTCTTAATTTGTGTAAGTGCTTCTTTTTCTGTAAGCCAATTAAATAGTGCTCTTTTATGAATTACTTTTGACAATACCGTCCAAAGGTAGAAAAAAAATGTATACGTATATACACACACACATACACATAGATGTACATAAACATAGACAGATGCAGAGATCATATAGCTTTCATTTTAAAGTTTTAGCCATGAGACAGGCACAATAATATAAAACTCGCTAATTTGTAAAAGAATAGTTGAATGCAAATTGTGTATTTGGCAGATAGAATAAATTAAGGTTACCTGTTTAGCTGGCCAAACTTTTTACTGGTATTTCTGAGGAAGACTTAAAATTTTTCATTTGCCCTTTGCAGATAATCTTATGGAGGGTATGGATGAAATTTGGGGTAAAGGAGTTTTTATAGCAGTGTGTTTAAAAAAACAAAAACAAACTCTTCTCCCTCTGGGCTGCCTTTTTTTCTTTAGTCTCAAATGTATGTGGGGGTTGTTTTAGTTAACTCCTTGAAGGTTTAAATTTCAAAGACATGGTGAGATTCACATCTCTGAGAGACTGAGAAAGGACGGAAGTTTTCTCCAAGAAGGCATTTTAGGGCATATTTGCCTATTATGAAAGATCCAGGGTATTTTTTTTTAAGTTTTTCTTTTCCTTGAGCACAGGACAGTCTTAAGGAATATTTTTGTAATGGAGGCCCAAAATATAAGAAGGCCTGGAGCTGAAGGAGTTGATGATGGAGCTCTGGAAAGTAGGTGGAGTGTAGGTACAGCAAAGCCAGCCTGGCTGCCAGTTCCCTGAGACAGTGTTCTGTTTATCTCCTGGTTGGCAGTATTTACACAAGTAACCTATACACCCCGGCCCTGGATATCAGGCTGGAGTACTTTCTGTAAATCTTTCAGAGGAAGGCAAGTTAGTAGGCAGCTGGGCATTTAAAAGATTTCCTGGGGAAGTTGGAGGAGTTTTAGGATTAAAGGAATTTGTTCAGAGGTTGAGACTGGATTTTGAGGAAAGATGTTTAAGTCAGGGACCCAGAGATCGGAAGATCTTCTGGTAGATCAACATCAGGCAGTTGGGAGTAAAGGAGACTATAGGTAGGTAAGGAGGAATTTATAGCAGATGTAGATGTTAACGTTGGTCTTAAGTCTAGTCTGACTTTTGTTTGTTTGCTTAGACTAGACTTGACACTCTTTTATGCCCTCTTTTAAATTTTATTTTACCATAAGTACCAGTAAGACATTTGTTTTGAATGAATGCTCCCTTTAAAATTGAAAAAAAAAATCATTTTTTGATATAAAAACTCAAATCTTTAAAGGTATACCCATTTTAATGTGATTCTAGACCAGGGGTCCCCAACCCTGGGCCACAAACCAGTACCAGTTCATGGCCTGTTAGGAACCAGGCCTCTCAGCAGATGAGCAGGGGGCGAGTGAGCATTACTGCCTGATCTCCGCCTCCTGTCAGATCAGTGGCGGCATTAGATTCTCATAGGAGCGTGAACCCAATTGTGAACTGCACATGCAAGTGATCTAGGTTGTGGGCTTATATAAGAGAATCTAATGATAAATGTGATGAGCTTGAATCATCCCAAAACCATCCTCCCTCTTTCCGTGGAAGAATTGTCTTCCACAAAACCAGTCCCTGGTACCAAAAAGTCTGGGAACTGCTGCTCTAGACCAGTAAGCTATTTTTATGGTTTAAAACAAGTCAGCCAGGCAAAGTGACTCACGCCTGTAAATCCTAGCATTTTGGGAGACTGAGGTGAGAGGATCTCCCAAGGCCAGGAGTTTGAAACCAGCCTGGGCAATATGACGAGACATCATCTCTATAAAAAATACAAAAATTAGCCTGTGCAGTAACATGCGCCTGTAGTCCCAGCTACTCAAGAGGTTGAGGTGAGAGGATTGGTTAAGCCCAGGAGTTCAAGGCTTCAGTGAGCTGATTGTGCCACTGTACCCCAGCCTGGGTGACAGAGCAAGACCCTGTCTCTACGAAAAACAAACAAAAAACCAAGAAGCCTTTTGTAGCTTAACCATGGTTGCCGGAGGCTTCCTCAAAAAAGTCTGCAAAAGATCAAATCTCCCTCGATATCCAAAGTTTCTCCCAAAGATAGCCTAAGAAAACAAAGACCTTCATTGCTCTGCAGACAGAAGAGTTGTGTGAAAATGGTGTTTCAAGCCTCCCACAGAGACACCTCCAGTCATAGACCTGCTAATCTGTGACACCACACAGGCACTGCTGGGATAGGACTCTCCCAGTATCAACCAAACAACAAAGTTTGAAACGCCAAAGGCTCCTAATGGACTGCCGTCTCTTATTAAGACAAACTCCCCTGAGCTGCATCAAACAAAGAGAACACCACTTGTCACTTGTGTCTTGGGTTCCCACCCTGTTCACCTGGCTGCCTGACACAAGCCAATGCTTGTGCCCCTGCACCTGGCAGAGACCAGAGACCAGTGTTCTCAGTGGTCATGAAAGCCAAGCTCTCAGGACATAAAACAAGATAAAAGGTGAACCTCATCCTTTCTTTTTCTTACTGGGGACCCACAGCAAAGTTTGTCTAAACAGACACCAGTCTGGTGAGAACCGTGAACACACCAGCCTGAGAGGGTGGCTGGAACAACAGGCTTATATGACCTATGTCTGTGTTCTGTCCTGTGATTCTCCTTCTCACAACAAATGATGCAAAAGACAATGGAAAACAATGACCTTTTCAAGGAGGCTAAAAATAATAACCAATAGGTAGCCAAAACCAAACCCACAAGAGTCACAAATTCAAAGAATTTTACAAATTTTTTTCTCCTACCAATCTGAATATGGAAAAGAAGGACCAGGAAAAATTTTACCTTCCTTTCTTGACTGACTGCTATAGACAGATATCTGGGAGAGCTGAGTTTGGTAAGAATTCTTACCTTTTACCAGCTTCTGCCAGTTTTGCTAGGATTTCATCTGCAGGTTCCAGAGTGGATGGGGTATCCCAGAAAGTCCCATCTGCATTGCCAAAAACTGTCAGGAAGGAAAAATTTTTTTTCTCAACCCATGTGAGTTCCTGTTGGGACAGGCCACTGTAACAAAAGACAGATTAACAAGAGAAAAACAAATTTATTAATGTGTGCAGCACACATCACAGGAGAAACCTCATGAAAAGTAACTCAAAACAGTGGCTTAGAACTCTGGTTTACAAACCATCTTCAACAAAGAACAATCAATTTGTAGATAAAGAAAGGACAGAGGAAAGTCGTTTTTAGGCTACAAAGGTGGGAAACTGTGGGAATGTAAATATATGGTAGGAAACTCATGGAGTACTGCAGATTCCTCTGGTGCCATCTCTGGGCTAATAAGCATCTAGAGCCCTCTTCACTAAAGGAAAATGTATTTCCTACTTTTAGGCAGAAAAAGAGGAGGATAGAGAGCTTTTCTTCCATTTGATTCTAAGATCCATTTCATTCTAAAAAGTGTGAAAGGCCAGGAAAGCTGCACATCCCGTTCTTTGATGCATATATACCATTTATTGTTATTGAAGGATTTAAGTCTCACAGGCAAAATATAGAGCCAATTGTATTATGAAAAGATCAATGTAAAAACACTCTACAATTACGCAAGTGTCAGTTTTTAAAATCTTGTTCTAGTAGTTGAAAGGCTAGTTCAGCATTGTGCATTCTTTTCAGTGTTTAAGATGTACATAAAACTTTGTTAACATAAGCACTAAGTTTACAGAACCTCAGAACTGAAGTAAAGTTTTTAGTGAAAGCAATAAAAGAAAGAATATGTACCTGTTTGCAAGATAATGAAGTCAGTTTTAGTTAACTTAATTGTTGTTAATTTAGCAATACAATGGTAAGACAGTTCTTACTTTAAGAATATCTAAAATACTTGAAAATAGAAGACGCAGCACATGATTTTTAAGCCTCACTACTAGAAAGCTAAGCACTCAGTGTCCTGAGTAAAGGTAATGACACCCTGCCTTTTAATTGGAATACCTACCTTTTAATATGGAGTTTATTTATAATGGCTGTATTCTGTGTAATATTCTAGCTGTTTTGACAAGACTAGTTTGAGGACTCTCCTGACGTCCTGTGTATTATGAGGCATTTCCTCTCAGGGTGGTGGAAATATGAACTATTCCCACCTCTGTGTGAGCTCCAGGAAATGCTCAGGCTATTTCCACTGGCTTCAAAACTGCCTCCAGGCAATAAACTGGACAACTCTAGAGCTCACCTTATTTCCCTTCTCCCAGAAATCACAGTCTGTAGTGCTGTTATCCAGTGTCTGAAAACAGTTGTTTCAAATATTTTGTGCTGTTTTCTAGTTATTTAAAGGAGGAGTCTCCCCTTGACTCCACATGACCACAAGTGAAAGTACACTATACATCGCCACAGATGAAAGCACACTATACATTTTAAACCATTAGTGAACTTTTGATTGCTTATGTGTTTTTAACATTTTATAGGCCATGAGATAACTGAGCAATGATTTATAAGTTTTCAGCATAAAGCAAAGATGATTCCCACTTAGTATATTAATTATAGAAATCTGAAAGGATGTTTCTAAACTCTTCATTATGTTTCATGCCTTTGTTACCTAAAATATTTTCAAGCACATCTTTTAAAATTATGTCTGCTGCAATGGGGTGAAAATCTTATTAAGGATCCAGCACCTCTTCCGTTGATGCTAACTCAGGCATGTATTTTTCAAATCCTTGGGTTTTTTTAAGACTCTAGAGTTTTAATATTCTAGAGTTTTAATATTCTTTTGTGTTTTAGTATTCATCATAGATTTTTCAATCTATTGTTCCACTTCTAATTGACTGCAAAAATCTTCAGTTCATTTATTTCTTCACACCCTGCAGTTGTAGAGAAAAGACATGAATCTTTACTCATGATCCCTATGGATAACTAAGGATTGATGCTATTATTGCTTATTTTCATATTTTTTCTATTATTAGGATATACATTTTACTGATTACAGATTTTTTCATTTGTGGGGTTTTATTTTTTTTAATCTGCATATTTTATAAAAGATATAGAAAATATTTAAGACTTACCTCTAATAAGACCCCAGGGACTATTGTGGCCCACTCATAAGAATTATCAAAATTCTTACTGTAATTTGTCGCAAATATTCTACAGCTAGCTGCTGTTGTTTTATGAACAGATAGTGGAATGATCATAGGGTTTATAAGATCTGGGTTTAAATTCTTGACTTGCCGTTGTAAGGCTCGCTAGCATGTTCAAGTAAACGTTTAGAGTCACACAACAACCATAAGGCCACACTTGGCATGCTGGATACAGGCCAGGAAACAGCAGGCTAGCAAGGCAGCATGACGCATTTCTCTTCAATGCAAGTCATTCTCACAGCAGTTCATATAGTTGTCCAGGAGCTGTCCAAGTGACAACAAAGGTGCAAGGAAATAAGACTCATACCACCTGCCAGGTATGACTCTTATTCCCTTGCTAGTTTAGATGCCGCATGCTCCACAAGAACCGATATCTCTTATACTAATCCTTGCACGGTGGCTCCCACAACAACATGCTCAGTTACAAGAGTCAGCATGGTCAGGAGAGCCCAAAACTGTCTTCCTATGAAGTATTTCAGTTCATACAAAGTCCCCCAAGCCTAGGTGCCTGGTGTGTGGCCGATGGCCATTCTTTATCAAGGGGAGAACAGACACAGAAAAGTGATTGAACCCAAGGTCAGTTTCTCATGCAGAAGAAAAAAGTTATCTGTACATAGCCACTTCTAGTGTCTTTAAACTCTCTCAGCCTCAGTTTTTACAGCTATCAAGTTAAATAAGACCTTCATAGCATTTTTTTTCATTGATTTAATAAATACTTAGTGAGCAGATGTCAGTCCCTGTTATTTGCTTCTTAAGATATAGCAGTGAAACATCTGGAGTCCTTGCTGTCAAGGAACATTCTAACCAGTGGGACAGAAAAATAATCAAACAGATACATATAGCCTATAATGTCTCCCACTAACTGCCTTTGCTTCAGAACTGTGTCACATGCTGCTGCGGTTTGAATATCCCTGCCAAAACTTATGTTTAAATTTAGTTGATGTTCAAGCAGGAATGGGTTAGTTATCACAGGAGTGGGCTCATGATAGAAGAATAAGTTCAGTGGTTCTCATTCCCTCTCTGTCTCATCACCTGCCTGCCCTTCTGTCATGGGTTAATGCAGCAAAAGGCCCTTCCCAGATGCCAGTGCCATGCATTTGGACTGTCCAGATGCCGAACTGTAAGCCAAATAAATGTCTGTGGTATTTGGTTATACCAGCAGAAAACAGACTAAGACATGTGCCCACCTCTAAACCAATCACTGCCAAGAAAAACTGGACAGCTATAACTGATCAGTTGTTTTTGTCCAGTAGTTATCCAGTAAACTGACAGTAAAACTGATCAGAATTTACCCCAGCATCACATGAACACCTGAACAATATCAAGGCCTTGTCAGCAAAGAAAGCAGGAATGGCTGCTTAAGACACAGTGCCCAGGATCTCCTTCAGTGCTAACCTAATTAGAATCTAAACCCTCTAGATTAAGTAAGTACTCACAATTCCTCTAGCAAAGTGACCAGGAAGACTTATGCCAATAGTTACAAAGCACGAAGGCACATGACATGATTGAAAAGTACACAGATACAGTGTACCAGGCTCATTTTTTTGTTGTTTTTTTGAGACAGTCTTACTGTTGTCGCCCAGGCTGGAGTGCAGTGGCACAATCTCGGCTCACAGCAACCTCTGCCTCCCTCATTCAAGTGATTCTTATGTCTCAGCTTCCTGAGTAGCTGGGATTACAGGATTGTGCCATCACACCCGGCTAATTTTTGTGTTTTTAGTAGAGATGGAGTTTCACCATGTCGGCCAGGCTGGTCTGGAACCCCTGACCTCAAGTGATTCACCCGTCTCAGCCTCCCAAAGAGCTGGGATTACAGGCGTGAGCCACCACGACCAGCCCAGGCTTGTTTAAAGTAATAAAAATAGGAATAATTTTGTGGTTCAGTTTAAATTGAGATGTGTAGTTTCTAAGATTACTCACCAACAAGTAAGAGAACAAAGACAAATGTCTTCTCTGGGAAGCAGTCTGTCTCTGGGCTACGCACAGATTGTTTGAACTCCAGCACCTGAGCCACCTCCTGCCAGCAGTCAGTGATATCTGTCTTCTCCAGTAAGAAAGCATCTTCACTCACCTTTAAGTGACATCATCTGGGTGAATCACTCTTTTTTACTTTAGTAAAGTAATAAAAAGATAACAGTTTTATTCATTAAAGAATATATGCTTTTATGCTTTTTATTGATGCTATTTCTGTCCTTAGTTGAGCATGGATTCACTATGCATGTGTTTTTATACTATTAATACATAATAATTAGTATTAGCAATTAGAAGGTATAAAATCACTATAATCCCACTACCTAGTTATATTTTGCTCTATATCCTTCCAGATTTTTTTCTATTCATAAATAAATACAAATATTGTGGATATGGTTCTCATGTGTGTACATATGCAAATACATGTTTGTTCATGTATGTATGTATGCATGCATATGATTTTCAAAGCATTTTTAACCTAACACTATATATGTGTGTGTGTGTGTGTGTGTGTGTGTGTGTGTGTGTATATATGATCTTTTCATGACAGTATATATCTTTATTGGCACTTCTATTATACCATTTCAAAATAGAGGCATTATAATATAATTATTTATCAAAAGTTTAATCTGTGGGGGGGAGGCTGGCAAGATGGTCAAATAGGAACAGCTGTATTCTACAGGTCTCAGTGAGATCAACACAGAAGGAAAGTGATTTCTACATTTCCAACTGAGGTACCTGGCTCATCTCATTGGAACTGGTTAGACAGTGGGTGCAACCCACAGAGGGTGAGCCAAGGCAGGGTGGGGCCTTGCCTCATCCGGGAAGTGCAAGGGGTCGGGGAACTCCCTCCCCTAGCCAAGGGAAGCCGTGAGGGACTGTGCCATGAGGAACGGTGCACTCCAGCCCAGTTACTATGCTTTTCCCAAGGTCTTCGCAATGCACACACCAGAAGATTCACTTGGGTGCCTACGCCACCAGGGCCCTGGGTTTCAAGCACAAAACTGGGCGGCCGTTTGGGCAGACACTGAGCTAGCTGCAGGAGTTTTTTTTCATACCACAGTGGCGCCTGGAATGCCAGCAAGACACCCCTGGAAAGAGGGTTGAAGCCAGGGAGCCAAGTGGACTAGCTCAGCAGATTCCCACCCCCACAGAGCCCAGCAAGCTAAGATCCACTGGCTTGAAATTCTCACTGCCAGCATAGCTGTCTGAAGTGACCTGGGATGCTCAAGCTTGGTGGGGGGAGTGGCATCCACCATTACTGAGGCTTGAGTAAGCAGTTTTCCCCTCATAGCATAAACAAAGCCTACAGGAAGTTCGAACTGGGCAGAGCCCACTGCAGCTTGGCAAAGCCGCCATAGCCGGAATGCCTCTCTAGATTCCTCCTCTCTGGGCAGGGCATCTCTTAAAGGCAGCAGCCCCAGTCAGGGTCTTATAGAAAAAACCCCCATCTGAAATGCAAGATGGCCAAAGAGGAACAGCTCCAGTCTACAGCTCCTAGCATGAGCGACTCATAAGATGGGTGATTTCTGAACTTCCAACTGAGGTACCAGGTTCATCTCACTGGGGCTTGTTGGACAGTGGGTACAGCCCAAGGAGTGTGAGCCGAAGCAGGGCAGGGCATCACCTCACCCAGGAAGCGCAAGGGGTCTGGGAATTCCCTTTCCTAGCCAAGGGAAGCTGTGATAGACGGTACCTGGAAAATCGGGACACTCCCACCCTAATACTGTGCTTTTCCAATGGTCTTAGCAAACAGCACACCAGGACATTATATCCCGCGCATGGCTCAGAGGGTCCAATGCCCACAGAGCCTTGCTCACTGCTAGCACAGCAGTCCGAGATTGAACTGCAAGGCAGCAGCAAGGCTGGGGGAGGGGCATCCGCCGTTGCTGAGGCTTGAGTAGGTAAACAAAGTGGCCAGGAAGCTCAAACTGGGTGGAGCCCACCGCAACTCAAGGAGGCCAGCCTGCCTGCCTCTATAGACTCCACCTCTGGGGGCAGGGCATAGCCAAACAAAAGGCAGCAGAAACTTCTGCAGACTTAAACGTCCCTATCTGACAGCTTTGAAGAGAGTAGTGGTTCTCCCAGCATGGAGTTTGAGATCTGAGAACAGACAGACTGCCTCCTCAAGTGGGTCCCTGACACTTGAGTAGCCTAACTGGGAGACACCTCCCAATAGGGGCCAACTGACACCTCATACAGCCGGGTGCCCCTCTGAGACAAAGCTCCCAGAGGAAGGATCAGGCAGCAACATTTGCTGTTCTGCAATATTTGCTGTTCTGCAGCCTCTGCTGGTGATACCCAGGCAAACAGTGTCTGGAGTGGACCTCAAGCAAACTCCCAACAGACCTGCAGCTGAGGGTCCTGACGGTTAGAAGGAAAACTAACAAACATAAAGGACATACACACCAAAACCACATATCTAGGTCACCATCATCAAAGACCAAAGGTAGATAAAACCACAAAGATGGGGAGAAAACAGAGCAGAAAAGCTGAAAATTCCAAAAATCAGAGTGCCTCTTCTCCTCCAAAGGAACACAGCTCCTTGCCAGCTGTGTTCCTTTGGAATAAAGCTGGACCAAGAATGACTTTGACGAGTTGACAGAAGTAGGCCTCAGAAGATCAGTAATAACAAACTTCTCCGAGGTAAAGGAGGATGTTTGAAACCATCGCAAAGGAGCTAAAAACCTTGAAAAAAGAGTAGACGAATGGCTAGCTAAAATAAACAGCATAGAGAAGACCTTAAATCACCTGATGGAGCTGAAAACCATGGCACGAGAACTATGTGATGTATGCACAAGCTTCAGTAGCCAATTCGATCAAGTGGAAGAAAGGGTATCAGTGATTGAAGATCAAATGAATGAAATGAAGTGAGAAGAGAAGTTTAGAGAAAAAAGAGTAAAAAGAAATGAACAAAGCCTCCAAGAAATATGGGACTATGTGAAAAGACCAAATCTATGTCTGATTGGTGTACCTGAAAGTGACGGGGAGAATGGAACCAAGTTGGAAAACACTCTTCAGGATATTATGCAGGAGAACTTCCCCAGCCTAGCAAGGCAGAACAACATTCAAATTCAGGAAATACAGAGAACACCACAAAGATACTCCTCAAGAAGAGCAACTCCAAGACACATAATTATCAGATTCTCCAAAGTTGAAATGAAGGAAAAAAATGTTAAAGGCAGCCAGAATGAAAGGTCAGCTTACCCACAAAGGGAAGCCCATCAGACTAACAGCAGATCTCTCAGCAGAAACTCTACAAGCCAGAAGAGAGTGGGGGCCAACATTCAACATTCTTCAAGAAAAGAATTTTCAACCCAGAATTTCATATCCAGCCAAACTAAGCTTCGTAAGTGAAGGAGAAATAAAATCCTTTACAGACAAGCAAGTGCTGAGAGATTTTGTCACCACCAGGCATGCCTTACAAGAGCTCCTGAAGGAAGCACTAAACGTGGAAAGGAACGACTGGTACCAGCCACTGCTAAAACATGCCAAATTGTAAAGACCATCAGTGCTAGGAAGAAACTGCACCAACTAATGAGCAAAATAACCAGCTAACATCACAATGACAGGATCAAATTCACACATAACAATATTAACCTTAAATGTAAATAGGCTAAATGCTCCAATTAAAAGACACAGACTGGCAAACTGGATAAAGAGTCAAAACCCATCAGTGTGCTGTATTCAGGAGACCCATCTCATGTGGAGACACACATAGGCTCAAGATAAAGGGATGGAGGAAGATCTACCAAGCAAATGGAAAACAAAACAAAAAAAAAGCAGCGGTTGCAATCCTAGTCTCTGATAAAAAAGACTTTAAACCAACAAAGATCAAAAGAGACAAGGCCATAATGGTAAAGGGATCAATTCAACAAGAAGAGCTAACTATCCTAAATATATATGCACCCAATGCAGGAGCACCCAGATTCATAAAGCAAGTCCTTAGAGACCTACAAAGAGACCTAGACTCCCACACAATAATAATGGAAGACTTTAACACCCCACTGTCAACATTAGACAGATCAACGAGACAGAAAGTTAACAAGGATATTCAGGACTTGAACTCAGCTCTGCACCAAGCAGACCTAATAAACATCTACAGAACTCTCCACCCCAAATCAACAGAATTCTTCTCAGCACATCACACTTATTTTAAAATTGACCACATAATTGGAAGTAAAACACTCCTCAGCAAATGCAAAAGAATGGAAATCATAACAAACAGTCTCTCAGACCACAGTGCAGTCAAATTGGAACTCAGGATTAAAAAACTCACTCAAAACTGCACAACTACATGGAAACTGAACCACTGCTCCTGAAGGACTACTGGATAAATAATGAAATGAAGGCAGAAATAAATAAGCTCTTTGAAACCAGTGAGAACAAAGACATGACGTACCAGAATCTCTGGGACACATTTAAAGCAGTGTGTAGAGGGAAATTTATAGCACTAAATGCCCACAAGAGAAAGCAGGAAAGATCTAAAATCAACACCCTAACATCACAATTAATAGAACTAGAGAAGCAAGAGCAAACAAATTCAAAAGCTAGCAGAAGACAAGAAATAACTAAGATCAGAGCAGAGCTAAAGGAGATAGAGACACAAGAAACCTTTCAAAAAAAATCAGTGAATTCAGGAGCTGGTTTTTTGAAAAGATCAACAAAATAGACCACTAGCCAAATTAATAAAGAAGAGAAGAGAGAAGAATCAAATAGACGCAATAAAAAATGATAAAGGGGATATCACCACCGATCCCACAGAAATACACACTACCATGAGAGAATACTATAAACACCTCTATGCAAATAAACTAGAAAATCTAGAAGAAATGGAAAAATTCCTGGACACATACACCCTCCCAAGTCTAAACGAGGAAGAAGTCGAATCCCTGAATAGACCAATAACAAGTTCTGAAATTGAGGGAGTAATTAATAGCCTACCAACCAAAAAAAGTCCAGGACTGGATGGGTGCACAGCCGAATTCTACCAGAGGTACAGAGAGGAGCTGGTACCAATCCTTCTGAAACTATTCCACACAATAGAAAAAGAGGGACTCCTCCCTAACTCATTTTATGAGGCCAGCATCATCCTGATACCAAAACCTGGCAGAAACACAACAAAAAAAGAAAATTTCAGGCCAGTATCCCTGATGAACATCAATGCAAAAATCCTCAATAAAATACTGGCAATCCAAATCCAGCAGCACATCAAAAAGCTTATCCACCATGATCAAGTCAGCTTCATCCCTGAGATGCAAGTCTGGTTCACCATACGCAAATCAATAAACATAATCCATCACATAAAACCAAGGACAAAAACCATATGATTATCTCTATAGATGCAGAAGAGGCCTTCGACAAAATTCAACAGCCGTTCATGCTAAAAACTCTCAACAAACTAGGTATTGATGGAACGTATCACAAAATAATAGCTATTTATGACAAACCCACAGCCAATATCATGCTGAATGGGCAAAAACTGGAAGCATTCCCTTTGAAGACCAGCACAGGACAAGGATGCCCTCTCTCACCACTCCTATTCAATTCAACTTAGTAATGGAAGTTCTGGCCAGAACAATCAGGCAAGAAAAAGAAATAAAGGGTAGTCACATAGGAAGAGAGGAAGTCAAAGTGTGTCTGTTTGCAGATGACACAATTGTATATTTAGAAAACCCCATCATCTCAGTCCAAAATCAATATGGGCAAAGTCTTCATGACTAAAACACCAAAAGCAGTGGCAACAAAAGCCAAAATTGACAAATGGGATCTAATTAAACAGCTTCTGCACAGCAAAAACCGGAGTGAACAGGCACCCTACAGAATGGCAGAAAATTTTTGCAATCTATCCATCTGACAAAGGGCTAATATCCAGAATCTATAAAGAACTTAAACAAATTTACAAGAAAAAAAACATCCCCATCAAAAAGTGGGCAAAGGATATGGACAGACACTTTTCAAAAGAAGACATTTATGCAGTCAACAAACATATGAAAAAAAGCTCATCGCTGGTCATTAGAGAAATGCAAATCAAAACCACAATGAGATACCATCTCATGCCAGTTAGAATGGCGATCATTAAAAAGTCAGGAAACAGATGCTGGAGAGGATGCGGAGAAATAGGAATGCTTTTACACTGTTGGTGGGAGTGTAAATTAGTTCAACCACTGTGGGAGACAGTGTGGCGACTCCTCAAGGATCTAGAACTAGAAATACCATTTGACCCAGCCATCCCATTACTGGGTATATACCCAAAGGATTATAAATCATTCTACTATTAAGACACATGCACACATATGTTTATTGTGGCACTATTCACAATAGCAAAGACTTGGAACCAACCCAAATGCCCATCAATGATAGATTGGATAAAGACAATGTGGCACATATACACCATGGAATACTATGTAGTCATAAAAAAGAATGAGGTCATGTCCTTTGCAGGAACATGGATGAAGCTGGAAACCATCATTCTCAGCAAACTAAGGCAAGAACAGAAAACCAAACACCGCATGTTCTCACTCATAAGTGGAAGTTGAACAATGAGAACACAGTGACATAGGAGGGGAACATCACACACCGGGGCCTGTCGGGGGGTTGGGGGTTAGGGGAGGGATAGCATTAGGAGAAATACCTAATGTAGATGACGGGTTGATGGGTGCAGCAAACCATCATGGCACGTGTATACCTATGTAACAAACCTGCACGTTCTGCACATGTACCCCAGAACAAAGTATAACTTAAAAAAAAAAGTTTAATGTTTACTAGGAACTGTGCAAAGTGTTTTATATACCTTATTTTATTTGATTCTCATCACAACCAAAAGAGTAGTTACTACTATTATTCCCATTTTAGATGAAGATATTGATGCTAAGGAAAGTGAAATAACTTCTATATGGTGGCTTACCGACCACCATATAGAAGTGCCACCGTTAGAACCCATTGCCTCTGACTCTAGGTCTCAGGCTCTTATTAATCATTACTAATTTATTTCACAAATCCCCTATTGTTGGCATGCAGGTTGTTTCCAGTTTTTTTAAATAATGTGTACATAGCAGGAAGTATTTTTTAAATACATGTTTGCTTATTAAGTATTCAGTTATCTCTAGAGGATAATTCATTAAAATGCAAGGATTTTTAAAATATATGTACATATTCAGTTTTGATTATATTCTTAAAGGTTCTTTTAGGTAGGTGCAATTAAAAGGAAATTTTCTCTATTTGTCTAAAACCAGATTTCTAAGTTTATGTGATTTACCAATGAATGTTTAATCATTGAAAGGTGAATGGACTAATTAATTCATGAATAATTGTTAAACACCTACCTCTCTGCCATGGGCAGCGCTGGGTGCTAGGAATAGTGAGGTGAACAAAGACAAAAATCTTTGCTCTTATGAAGCTTACATTTTATGTGAGGAGTCAGACAGTAAACATATATAAGGCTTAATAAAAAAATGAGACATCTGTAAAGTGCTCAGCCTAATGCCTAGCACATCATAATATAATGACTGACTACTACTTACCCTTTAAGACTCAATTCAAACACAGCCACCTTAGGAATTCTCTGTGGCCCTTCTTCTCTTCCAGTCAGGTGTTCTCACTTATCTCACTAGTCATTGGCCATCCCTTTATCATAGCACACAATATTAGAATTCTCATTCACTTGACTGTTTCATTCAGAAAACCAGAGCTTCCTAACTGGTGTACCAGGAACAGGTGTATCACAAGATAGTAACAGCTGGAAATATTACTCAAAATCATTTTTCAACCATTAAAAAGGTTACAGGAATTGAAATAATAATTGACCATTCTGTGTATGACTATGCCTTTATCAGCTTTCTTAGTTTAGTCATTAGTTTTTTAAAAAATAATTTTAATAATCATTATTTTAACACATACAGTTTTTATGCCCAACCAACACTCATCACCACAGCATGTTCTGTGAGGCCTCTCCCTGAGCTCTCTGCAAACCATCCCAATTATAGTCTGTATAGTTCTTTGTTCAATGATGATATCATCAGGGATGCTCCACATTTAAAATAGATTGCCTCTGATTTAATTTGCTTGTATCTTTGCATGTTTTTCAACTAATGTAGGTAAGATACTGGGATTTTTTAGTATTAGTATTATTGTTATTAATAGGTGTTTTCATAGAAAACAAGAGTTATTGTTAGTTCTATCCATTTTCATTTGGTTTTTGTTGCCTTTTGATGTAAACAATTAGCAAAATCTGATTCTTGTTGGAATTTCTTTTCATGATTATATGGGATAAAGAAGATACAATTAATTGTTTTCCCAAGCTCAATATGAAGGCACTGCACTACACTCTGTGAGGATGGGGTCTGTGTCTTTAATCTCTGGATCCCCAGGTCCTAAGACAGCAGTCAACACAGAAAGGGCTCAGTACTTCATTATTTCTACTTTATATGTATACATTTATTTGTGGAATGAACTACTACAAATTATAAAGTGATAAGGGCCATAGAGAATTACAAATAGAATTATAGGGAGTTAACAGAAGAAAAATACATATTCATTGAACTCTTTCTGTGCATGGGGCACTGTACTATGTTGAGTGCTTTAAATGTACTTTTTTAAATTCTGAAAGTAACCATCTTACTAACAATACCTTGTAGTGAAACTTAATGCATTAAAGAAAGTGCCAACTTCATTTTCAGCTCCTTTACCAGACTGCCATACTTGGGAGGTAGAAGATGGTCCATTCATCCGGAACCTCTTAGAATGTGAGGTCAACTCAGAGTTAGGAGGAACCTTTACTTTCTGGATATAGAGAATGAAAGCTATTAATTACTCTAACAATCCAAGGTGCCTCTTACTTATATAGAGAAATTTTATACAAATATTCTGATTTTCAAGATTACCTGTTAAATTCTTGTGATTATAGTTTTTCATTTGCTTCATATGTCAATTTTAGATTACAAAACTCTTAGAAGAATTGAGAGAAGCCAAAGAAAACCATACACCAGAGATGAAACATTTCGTGGGCTTAGAAAAGAAAATTAAGCAGATGGAAATGAGACATGCACAAAGAGAACAGGAACTTCAACAGGTAAAGTAAATCACATTTACATATTTATATAGGTCTTTACTTTTAAGTGCCTTTAATTTGCTATAGTTTTGTCATCCCTAGCAAAAATTACCACTTAAAGTGTTTCCAGTGTATTTTGATCTTGTTAAAAATTTAATAAATTTATAACTTTTACCAGAAAATGAGACTTTATATCTCAAGTGCTTGAAGATTGGTATCCTTATATCTGGAAAAAAAGCAAAAACTTGTATCATGTTCTTAATTATTGATGGATTCCTAAAAACTTACACATCTTACCCTGGGAACAAGGCATGGTGTTCCATATTCAAGTCATTTCAGCAAATGTTTATAAGAAATAAATTGTTTTAATATGATTATTTAAAATATATAGCTAGCACTAGTAATATTACTATACTTAATTATAAACAGATAAATTAATAGAAGTTAAAAATAGCAGATGTAAGGGCATGATGTGTTTTTAGGCACTTGCCTTGGTGCTGAAATTTAACTTGGTTTGAACAGTGTATTAGTCTGCTTGGGCTGACATAACAAAATATCATAAATTGGGTGGCTAAACAGGAAAAATTTATCTTCTCACAGTTCTGTAGGCCAGAAGTCCCAGATTGAGGTTTTGGTCAGTTAGGTTTCTGGTGAGGGCTCTCTTTCCAGCTTGCAGATAGCCACCTTTTTTCTCATTCTAACATGATCTTTCCTCAGTACCATGTGTGCAGAGGAGAGGAAGAGGGGCGAGAGATCACTTTGGTGTCTCTTCTGGTGATGATCTCTTCGGTGTCTCTAGTGGTGGAAACACTGGTTCTTATCAAATCAAGTCCCCACCCTTATGATCTCATTTAACATTCATTATTTCCTTACTCCACATACAGTCACATTAAGGGTTAGGAAATTCAACATATGAATTTGAGGGGGACACAAACATTTAGTCCCTAACACAGTTGGGATGTATATACTCCTTGAAGACAGAAAATGTTGCATCCACGCAGAGCATTATGATTTACCTGAGTTCCCCAAAGAAACCCCAGGTTTGCCTACTTTAAGATTGTTAAATGTTCCTCACCCACCACTATGAACTATAACAGCAATGTGGAATTTTTGTATTTGCAGATAATACAGCAAACACACCAAGTAGTAGAAACTGAGCAAAACAAAGAAGTTGAAAAATGGAAAAGACTGGCACAGTTAAAGAATCGTGAGCTGGAGAAGTTCCGCACAGAACTAGACTCAATATTAGATGTTCTCCGAGAGCTGCACCGGCAAGGAGTGGTTGTGCCAGTTGCTTTTGCAGATGAAATGAATGCACCAGAGTATTAATAGAAATTCAGATTTCATAATGACCTTATTAAAAGGCCTGAAGATGGATGGGATTGTGCCACTGTCAGGACAGCTTATGAAAAACAAGTGTTCCAATATGTTTCCAGAAAGCAAACAACCAAAGCAACATTTCAAAATAAATTGCCTTTAACCAATAAGAAAAAAAACATATAATGGTGTATTTTACTAAAAATCATTAACCAGTCTCATTTTAAGTGATTTATGGACAGTTTCCTTTATAGCAGAGAAGGGCTCACTTGTATGCTAGAAATAGAAAGAAAAGAAAATTGAACATACTCCGCCACATTTTTATTGATAATGTGAGGTTTTTAAAATTTTTATTTTAGATCCAGGGGGTACATGTGCTTGTTGTAACATGGGTGTATTGAATAATGGTGGGAATTGGGCTTCTAGTGTACCCATCATCCAAATATTAAACACTGTACCCAACAGGTAATTTTTCAACGCTTACTGCCGCTCACACTCTTTCCCCTATTGGAGTCCCCAGTGTCTGTTATCTCCATCTTTATGTCTCTGTGTACCCATTGTTTAGCTCCTACTTTTAAGTGAGAATATATGCAATATTTTATTTTTTATGTCTGATTTAGTTCACATAGGATAATGGCCTCCAGCTCTATCCATGTTGCTGCAAATGACATGATTTCATTCTTTTTTATAGTTGCATAATACTCCATTTATATATCTCTCTCTATATATATCTCACGTTTTCTTTATCCAGTCAATTGTTGGTAGATACTTAGGTTGGTTCCATGAATTTGCTATTGTAAATATTGCTGCAATAAACATACATGTACAGATATCTTTTTTATATAATGATTTCTGTTCCTTTGGGTAGATTCCCAGTAATGAGATTGCTGGGTTGAATGGTAGTTCTATTTTTAGTTCTTTGAGAAATCTCTATACTGCTTTCCATAGAGGCTGAATTAATTTACATTCCCACCAAGAGAGTATTCATGTTCCCTTTTCTACACATTGACACCATCATCTGTTGTTTGACAACTTTTTAATAATAACCATTGTGACTGGTATAAGATGGTATCTCAGTGTGGTTTTTGTACTTCTGTAATGATTAGTGACGTTGACCACTTTTTCACGTGTTTGTTGGTCAGTTGTATTTCTGTTGACAAATGTCTGTTCATGTTTTTCTCCCAGTTTGTAACGGGATTGTTTGGGGTTTTTCTTATTGTTTTAGTTCCTTGTACCTGATGAATATTAGTCCTATCTCAGAGAAATAACTTGCATATATTTTCCATTATGTAGGTTATCTGTTTATTTAGTTGATTATTTTGCTGTGCAGAAGCCTTTAATTTTAATTCAGTTCCATTTATCTATTTTTGGTTTTGTTGCATTTGCTTTTAGGGTCTTCATTGTGAATTTTTTGCTGAGGCCAACATTCTGAAGAGTTTTTCCTAGGTTTTCTTCTAGCATTTTAATACTTTTAAGTCTTACATTTAGGTCTTTAATCCATCTTGCATTAATTTTTGTATATGATGAGAGGTAAGGGTCTAGTTTATTTCTTCTGTATAAGGCAAATCAGTTTTCCCAGCACCATTTATTGAGTAGGGTGTCCTTTCCCCAGTGTATATTTTTGTTGACTTTGTCAGAGATCAGTTAGTTGTAAGTATGTGGCTTTATTTCTCAGTTCTCTATTCCGTTCCATTGACCTGTGTGTATTTTTATACCACTACCATGCTGTTTCAGTTACTATAGCCTTGAAGTCAAGCAATGTGATGCCTCTGTATTTGTTCTTTTTGCTTAGGAGTGCTTTGGCTATTTAGGCTTTTTTTTTTTTTTTGGAGTTGGGCGTTCAATATGAATTTTAGGATTGTTTTTCCCAGTTCTGTGAAAAAATGATGGTAATTAATAGGAATTACATCAAATCTGTAGATTGCTTTGGGCAATATGGTCATTTAAAACAATCATATTGGTTATTCAGTTCATAAGCATGGGATGTATTTCCGTTTGCTTGTGTCATCTGCAGTTTCTTCTGTGCTTTGTAGTTCTTTTTTACCTCCTTGGTTAAATGTATTCCTAGGTGCTGTGTGTGTGCGTGTGTGTGTGTGTAGCTATTATAAATGGGATTGAGTTCTTAATTTTGTTCTCAGCTTGAATGTTATTGGTGTATAGAGATTCCACTGGGTTTTGTATATTGATTTTGTATCCTGAAACTTTACTGAACTCACTTGTCAAGTCTACGAGTCTTCTGGAGGAGTCTTTAGGGTTTTCTAGGTATACAATCGTGTCATCAGCAAAACAGATTATTTGACTTTGTCTTTTCCAATTTGGATGTCTTTTACCTCTTTCTCTTGTCTGATTTCTCTGGCTAGGACTGCCAATACTGTATTGAATAGACGTGGTGAGAGTGCACATTCTCGTCTTTTTTCCAGTTCTTAGGGAAATGCTTTCAACTTTAACCCATGCAGTATGATGTTGGCTGTAGGTTTGTAATATATGGCTTTTATTATTGGAGGTATGTTCCTTCAAAGCCTAGTTTGTTGAGGGTGTTCATCATGAAGGGATATTAGATTTTATCTGGTGTTTGTCTCTGCATCTATTGAGATGATCATGTAGTTTTTGTTCTATTGTTTATGTGGTGAATCACATTTATTGATTTCTGTATGTTGAATCATCCTCCTTACATACCTAGAATAAAGCCCACTTGATCATGATGCTTTTTTTTTTTTTTTTTTTTTTTTGGATGTGCTGTTGGATTTGGTTTGCTAGTATTTTGCTGAGGATTTTCACATCTATGTTCATCAGGAAGACTGGCCTGCAGTTCTCTTTTTTTCTTGTATCCTTCACTGATTGTTGGTATCAGGGTGACACTGTATTTATAGAATGAGTTTGGGAGGCATCCTTCCTCTTCAGTTTTTTTGGAATAGTTTCAATAAGATTGATACTAGCTCTTTGTATGTCTGGTAGAATTTCGCTGTGAATCCATCTGATCCTGGGCTTTTTGTTGTTTTGGAAGATGTTTTATTACCAATTTGATTTATTTACTCATTATTGGTTAATCTAGCTGTCAATTTGGTTTACTCTTTCAATGAACCAACTTTTTGTGTATTGATCCTCTCTCATTTTTTGGTCTCATTTAGTTCTGCTTTGATCTTTGTAATTTCTTATCTTCTTCTAGATTTGAACTCAGTTTGTTGTTTTTCTAGGTCCTTGAGGTGCGATGTTAGGTTGTTAATTTGAGATCTGTCTTTTTGTGTAGGCATTTATTCTATAAACTTTCCTCTTAACATTACTTTTGCTGTATCCCAAAGGTTTTGGTATGTTATGTCTCTATTTTCATTTATTTCAAAGAATTTTCTTATTTCTGCCTTAATTTCATTGTTTCCCCAGGAGTCATTCAGGAGCAAGCTGTTTTGTTTTTATGTACTTGTGCAGTTTTTGTTTGTTTTTGAGACGGAGTCTTACTCCGTCACCCAGGCCACAATGCTATGGTGTAATCTCGGCTCACTACAACCTCCGCCTCCTGGGTTCAGGCGATTCTCCTGTCTCAGCCTCCAAGTAGCTGAGATTACAGGCGCACGCCATCACACCCAGCTAATATTTTATATTTTTAGTAGAGATGGGGTTTCACCATGTTGGCCAGGCTGGTCTTGAACTCCTGACCTCAGGTGATCTGCCCACCTCGGCCTCCCAAAGTGCTTGGATTACAGGTGTGAGCCACCATGCCTGGCCACGCTTGTGCAGTTTTGAGAGTTCCTTTTGGTATTGATTTCTAATTTCATTCCACCATGGTATAGGAAGTTACCACACCATGGTATAGGAAAGCCCCCATCTCTTAAAAATATTTTTTAATTAGCCAGGTGTGGTGACATGTGCCTGTAGTCCCAGCTACTCAGGAGGCTGAGGTAGAAGGACCACTTGAGTCCAGGAGTTCAAGGCTGCAGTGAGCTATGATTGCACCACTGCACTTCAGCCTGGAACAGAGTAAGACCCTGCCTGTAAAAAAAAAAAAAAAATTAAAAAATAAAAAGGTAAAAAGCAAGTGAAACGAATTTATATAATCTATCTAAATATTACCAGTATTGATAGAAAAATTGAGTTTTTGCATTTTGTCATACTAAATCTTCAAAATACATTTTACAGTTACAGCACATCGCAGTTTGGACTAGCCATATTTCAAGTGCTCAGTAACCACATGCCTAGAGGGTAGTAAAAGTATTACAGTTTGCTATTTTTTACGTAAAAGAAGAAATTTTAAGTTATAAATAATTTATTTTATTGAGTGTGTTTTGTGTATTTTTATCTGTAAGCCTATTAATGTATAGCTGCACCCATCCTTTCTTTTGTTCTTTTGACTATCTATGGGCCATTCATTCCAAATGCAAGCAATGTCTGGTTCTGGAACACAGGGACATGCAAACATCATATAATTACTTTCAGGAAAGGTATATCCTATTTTGATGACGATTCTATATTCTATTTTGAAATAAGCTATATACATGGCAGGTCTTCAGTTCTATATATAAAGATCCATAAGTACTCTAAAAGCTATTTGTTACAACTAAAAACCCAGGAGCCACATCCTATTCCTTAATCATTGCACTTAGGGGCCAGGATGAGAACACAGAAGATGGATACATCTCACTGTTTTTATAAAGATTCAAGCTCCAGAAGTGATCTATCTTCTCCTAGTGTGATGGTTAATTTTAGATGTCACCTCCACTAGATTATGAGATACCCAGAGAGCTAGTAAAGCATTCTTTCTGGGTATGTCTGTGAATTGTTGATCAAGAGATTGGCATTTGAATCAGTAGACCAAGTAAGGAAGATCCATCCTCACACAATGTGGACAGGCACCATCCAAATGGTTGAGGGCCTATATAGAACAAAAAGGCAGAGGAAAGACAAATTTGCCCTCTCTGGAGCTAAGACACCCTTCTTCTGATTTTGGACATCAGAATTGTAAGTTATCTAGCCTACAGACTCCAGGACTTAAACGAGTGTCCCCCAGGTTCTCAGGCTGTTGGACTTGGACAGCACTACACCTCTGGCTTTCATTTCTCCAGCTTGCACATTACATATCATGGGACTTATGCCCTTCCATCATGTGTCAACCAATTCCCATGATAAATCTTTATCTACATCTCTAAAGAACCCTGACTAATAGAGATTTGTGGCACCAGGAGTTATGCTAGAGGAACAGAACTTTTAGGATGAGTTTCTTTAATTGGTTTTGGGGTTTCTAGAATTTGCTTTCTAATCTGATTGGACTTCAAGTGCTAAGGAGTCTTATTTCCAACAGTACAGGGAACACTGATAGTCTATGGGATGAACTGCTTATTGTGATACACAAAATATCTGGATTGGGTACTCCTGATCAACCACTTGTAAGAGGCATGTAATTTAGTGATTCTGTGTATGACATTTTCAAAACTTGTGGAAAACTTAAGGAATATAATTATGTCAGTTGGTTATCCCTAATGTTGGTGGACAACATAATTTTTAAAAGGATGAGCTCAGGGATTTGAATTTCTGGCTCAGGCAATGCATAAATGATTTAAGAGCTTCTAGTGTGCCCTGAGAGAGAATCTGATCTCCTAGAGGCACAAGGCTGTAATTGCTGAAAATAAACACTAGACCTCATCATGCAGTCAGCTGAGTTAAAGCAAACTTCCAGGCTGACAGGGTGTCTACTGTTAAAAGTGGGAGTGTTGAATAATTGCACAACAACAACAAAAACTTAGGTGAAAGAAATTGAACAAAAACACAAATTGGAAGAAATCCCATATTCATAAATTGGAAAAATATTGAAGTATCCAGACTACCCAATGTAATCTGTAGATTCAATGAAATTCCTATTAAAATTACAATAATATTTTTCACAGAAATAGAAAAAAAAGTCCTAAAAGTTATATGGAACCACAAAAGACCTCAGTAGCTAAAACAATCATAAGCAAAAAGAGCAAAGCTCAAGGCATCATACTGCCTGACATCAAAATATACTACAAAAGTACAGTAATCAAAACAGTATATTATCACAAAAGCAGACACATTGACCAGTGAGACCAGATATAGTGTCCAAAAGTAAACCCACACTTTTACAAATAATTGACTTTCAATAAAGGTACCAAGAACACACAATGGAGAAAAATAATCTCTTCAATAAGTGGCATCAAGAACACTAGATATCCACATGCAGAAGAATGAAATTGGATCCTTATCTCACACCTATATAAAAATTAACTTAGGTTAAAGACTTAAATATATTTAAGACCTGAAACTAAAAATCCAGCCCTAGGAAGAGGGCTGAATCCAGGGTTCTGAGCAGCGTCAGTCTGCAGGCCCACTTCCACAGCTTCTCACAAGATAAGACACACTGGCTTGGAACTCCAGCCAGCCACTGGCAACAGGGTAGAGCCTGCCTGAGAAGGGATGGAGTCCCCAGGGGAAGGGGTGGGCTGCCACCTTAGCTGTTTGGTCAACTCAGCCCTTCCAGCCTGCAGGCTTTAGAAAGTCCAAACAGTCTGAGGAAGCGTTCCCCCAGTGCAGCACAACTGCATTGCCAGAATGTGGTCAGACTGCTTCTTTAAGGACTCATCTGTTCCTCTTCATGGGGCGGGACCTCCCAGCCAGGGCCTCCAGCCACCCTCACCTGCCAGTATTCTAGAAAGAGCTCTGATCTCTCCCTGGGATGGAGTGCCCTGGGGGAGGGGTGGGACACCACCTTTGGTGTTTGGACGACTGCGCTGTTCAGCCTGCAGGCTTTGGAGAGTCCCAGCAGACCAGGGCAGAGGTGGTTTCCCAGCACAGCATGGCTGTTTTGTGGGCACGGCCAGAATGCTGCTTTAAACAGGATCCAGATCCATTTTTTCTCACTGGACTGATCCTCCCAGCTGGGGCCTCCAGCCACCCCCACCCATGTTCTACAGCCTGCAGAGTTCTAATTTCTCCCTGGGATGAATGAAATGCCTGGGTGTGGGAGGCTGGCTGCCACCTTTGCTGTTTGGGTGTCTCAGCCAGTCCAGCCTGCAGGCATTGGAGAGCCCAAATCGATTGGGGGATGAAGGGATCCCCAACACAGCACAACTGTTCCACCAAAATGCAGCTAGACTGCATATTTAAGAAGGTCCCTGATCCCGTTCCTCCTAACTGGGTGAAACCTTCCAATAGGGTTCTCCAGCCACCTCCTACAGGTGCATTCGGCCCAACAACAAGTCAGTATTCCCCTGAGAGGAAGCTTCCAGAGGAAGGGGCAGGCCGCCATCTTTGCTGTTTCACAGCCTTCACTGCTGATACCTCCAGGTACTGGAAAAACCAAGATGACTAGGATCTGGAGCAGACCCCCAGCAAACTGCAGCAGCCCTACTGGAGAGTGGCCAAACTGTTAAAAATGAACAACAACAACAACCACACACACACACACACACACACACACACACACAGACACACACCCCACATCCAAAGGTCAGCAACCTCAAAGACTGAAGACAGATAAGCCCCCAAACATGAGAACCAGAAAGAAATTGAATCCTTGAATAGAACAATAACACATTTTGAAATTGAGGTAGTAATAAATAGCTTACCAACCAAAAAAAAAAGCCCAGGACCATATGAATTCTACCAGAGGTACAAAGAAGAGATGGTACTATTCTGACTGAAACTATTCAGAAAAAAATCAAAAAGGAGATACTCCTCCCTAACTCATTCTATGAAGCTGGCATCATCTTGATACCAAAACTCAGCAGAGATAAAATAAAAAAAGGAAACTTCAGGCTGGGCATGGTGGTTCACACCTGTAATCCCAGTACTTTGGGAGGCCAAGGTGGACGGATCACATGTGCTCAGGAGTTCAAGACCAGCCTGGCCAATATGGTGAAACTTTGTCTCTACTAAAAATACAAAAATTAGCTAGGTGTGGTGGTGCTCTCCTGTAATACCAGCTACTTGGGAAGCTGAGATAGGGGAATCACTTGAACCTCGGTATCAGAGGTTGTAGTGAGCTGAGATCACACCACTACACTCCAGACTGGGCAACAGAGCAAGACTCTATCTCATGAAAAAAATAGAAAGAAAGAAGAAGAAAAAAGAGAAAGAAAAAAGGGAAGGGAAGAAGGGAAGAAAAGGGAAGAAGGGAAGGGAAGGGAAGGAAACGGCAAGCCAGTATCCTTGATGAACATCGATGCAAAAATTCTCAAAAAAATACTGGCAAACCAAATTCAGCAGTACATCAAAAAGCTTATCCACCACGATCAAGTAGGCTACATCCCCAGGATGCAAGGCTGGTTCAACATACACAAGTCAATAAATGTGATTCATCACATAAGAAAACTGAACACAAAAATCACATGATTATTTCAATAGATGCAGAAAATTCCTTCCATAAAATTTAACATTGCTTCATGTCAAAAACCCAAAAAACTAGGTATTGAAGGAATATACCTCAAAATAATAAGAGCCATAAATGACAAACCCAAAGTCAATATCATACTGAATGAGTAAAAGCTGGAAACATTCCCCTTGAAAATCGGCATAAGACAAGTGTATTAGTCTGTTCTCACACTGCTGATGAAGACATACCTGAGACTGGGTAATTTAAGAAGAAAAAGAAGTTTAATGGATTCACAATTCTATGTGGCTGGGGAGGCCTTACAATCATGGCAGAAGGTGAAAGGCATGTCTTACATGGCAGCAGGCAAGACACAATGAGAGTCCAGTGAAAGGGATTTCCCCTTATAAAACCATCAGATCTCATGAGACTTACTATCACGATAACAGCACTGGAAAGTATCACCCTTATGATCCAATTACCTCCCACCAGGTCCCTCACACAACAAATGGGAATTGTAGGAGCTACAATTCAAGATGAGATTTGGGTGGGGACACACCCAAACCATATCAACAAGGATGCCCTCTCTCACCACTCCTATTCAACATAGTACTGGAAGTTCTGGCCAGGGCAGTCAGCAAGAGAAAGAAATAAAGTGTATTTAAATAGGAAGAGAGGAAGTCAAACTCTTTTTTGTTTGCAGATGACATGATCTTAAGTCTAGAAAACCCCATCAAGATGGCCAAATAGAAACAGCTCTGGTCTGCAGCTCCCAGCAAGATCGATGCAGAAGGCGGGTGATCTCTGCATTTCCAACTGAGGTACTTGGTTCATCTCACTGGGACTGGTTGGACAGTGGGTGCAGCTCATGGAGGGCAAGCTGAAGCAGGGTGGGGCCTCACCTCACCCAAGAAGCACAAAGGGTCAGGGAATTCTCTCCCCTACCCAAGGGAAGCCATGAAGGACTGTGACATGAGGAACAGTGAACTCCAGCCCAGATGTTGTACTTTTCCCATGGTCTTCACGACCTGCAGACCAGGAGATTCCCTGCGGTGCCTACATCATCAGGGCCCTGGGTTTCCAGCACAAAACTGGGCAGCCATTTGGGCAGACACTGAGCTAGCTGCAGGAGTGTTTTTTTTTCCATACCCCAGTGGTGCCCGGAACACCAGCGAGACAGATCCGTTCACTCCCCTAGAAAGGGGGCTGAAGCCAGAGAGCCAAGTGGTCTGGCTTGGCAGGTCCCACCCCCATGGAGCCCAGCAGGCTAAGTTCCACTGGCTTGAAATTCTCACTGCCAGCACAGCAGTCTGAGGTCAACCTGGGACGCTCAAACTTGGTGGGTGAAGGGGCGTCCACCATTGCTGAGACCTGAGTAGGAGGTTTCACTCTCACAGTGTAAACAAAGCTGCTGAGAAGTTCGAACTAGGTGAAGCCGACTGCAGCTCAGCAAGGCCACTGTGGCCAGACTGCCTCTCTAGATTCCTCCTGTCTGGGCAGGGCATCTCTGAAAAAAAGGCAGTAGCCCCAGTCAGGGGCTTATAGATAAAACACCCATCTGCCTGGAACAGAGTGCCTGGGGGAAGGGGCAGTTATGAGTGCAGCTTCAGCAGACTTAAATGTCCCTCCCTGACAGCTCTGAAGAGAGCTGTGGATCTCCCAGCACAGTGTTCAAGCTCTGCTAAGAGACAGACTGCCTCCTTAAGGGGCCCCTGACCCCCGTTTATCCTGACTGGGAGACACCTCCCAGCAGGGGTCAACAGACACCTCATACAGGAGAGCTCTGGCTGGCATCTGACGGGTGCCCCTCTGGGACGAAGCTTCCAGAGAAAGGAACAGGCAGCAATCTTTGCTGTTCTGCAGCTTCTGCTGGTGATACCCAGGAAAACAGGGTCTGCAGTGGATGTCCAACAAACTCCAGCGACCTGCAGCAGTGGGCCTGACTGTTAGAAGGAAAACAAATAAACAGAAAGGAGTGGGATCAACATCAACAGAAAGGACGTCCATGCAGAGACCCCATCCGAAGGTCACCAACATCAAAGAGCAAAGGTAGATAAATCCACAAAGATGGGGAGAAATCAGCACAAAAAGGCTGAAAATTCTAAAAACCAGAATGCCTCTTCTCCAAAGGATCACAACTCCTCACCAGCAAGGGAACAAAACTGGACAGAGAATGAGTTTGACGAACTGACAGAAGTAGGCTTCAGAAGGTGGGTAATAACAAACTCCTCTGAGCTAAAGGAGCATGTTCTAACCCAATGCAAGGAAGCTAAGAACCTTGAAAAAAGGTTAGAGGAGTTCCTAACTAGAATGACCAGTTTAGAGAACATCAATGACCTGATGGAGCTGAAAAACACAACATGAGAACTTTGTGAAGCATACACAAATATCAATAGTCAAATCGATCAAGTGGAAGAAAGGACATCAGAGATTGAAGATTAACTCAATGAAATAAAGTTTGAAAACAAGATTAGAGAAAAAAGAATGAAAAGGAATGAACAAAGTCTCCAAGAAATATGGGACTATGTGAAAAGACCAAACGTATGTTTGATTGGTGTACCTGAAGTGAGGGGGAGAATGGAACCAAGTTGGAAAACACTCTTCAGGATATTATCCAGGAGAATTTCCCCAACCTAGCAAGACAGGGCAACATTCAAATTCAGGAAATACAGAGAACACCACAAAGATACTACTCAAGAAGAGCAACCCCAAGACACATAATTGTCAGATTCAACAAGGTTGAAATTAACAAAAAAAATGTTAAAGGCAGCAAGAGAGAAAGGTCAGCTTACCCACAAAGGGAAACCCATCAGACTAACAGATCTCTCGGCAGAAACCCTACAAGCCAGAAGAGGCTGGGGGCCAATATTCAATGTTCTTAAATAATTTTCAAGCCAGAATTTCATTTCTAGCCAAATTAAGCTTCAAAAGTGAAAGAGAAATGAAATCCTTTACAGACAAGCAAATGCTGAGAGATTTTGTCACCTCCAGGCCTGCCTTACTAGAGCTCCTGAAGGAAGCACTGAAGTTGGAAAGGAACAACCAGTACCAGCCACTGCAAAAACATAACAAATTGTAAAGACCATTGACACTATGAAGAAACTGCATCAACTAATGGGTAAAATAACCAGCTAGGATCATAATGACAGGATCAAATTCACACATAAAAATATTAACCTTAAATGTAAATGTCCTAAATGCCCCAATTAAAAGACACAGACTGGCAAATTGGATAAAGAGTCAAGACCCATCAGTGTGCTGTATTCAGGAGACCCATGTCACGTGCAGAGACACACATAGGCTCCAAATAAGGGGATGGAGGAAGATTTACAAGGCAAATGGAAAGCAAAATAAGCAGGGGTTGCAATCCTAGTCTCTGATAAAACAGACTTTAAACAAAGATCAAATGAGACAAAGAAGGGTATTACATAATGGTAAAGGGATCAATGCAACAAGAAGAGCTAACTATCCTAAATATATATGCACCCAATAAAAGAGCACAAAGATTCATAAAGCAAGTTCTGAGAGACCTACAAAGAGACTTAGACTCCCACACAATAATGGGAGACTTTACCCTACTGTCAATATTAGACAGATCAATGAGACAGAAAATTAACAAGGATATTCAGGACTCGAACTCAGCTCTGGACCAAGAGGACCTAATAGACATCTACAGAACTCTCCACCCCAAATCAACAGAATATACATTCTTCTCAGCACCACATCACACTTATTCTAAAATTGACCACATAATTGGAAGTAAAACACTCCTCAGCAAATGCAAAAAACAGAAATCATAAACAGTCTCTCAGACCACAGTGCAATCAAATTAGAACTCAGGATTAAAAACTCACTCAAAACTGCACAACTACATGGAAACTGAACAACTGCTCCTGAATGACTACTGGGTAAATAACAAAATTAAGGCAGAAATAAAGATGTTATTTGAAACCAGTGAGAACAAAGACATGATGTACCAGAATCTCTGGGACACATTTAAAGCAGTGTGTAGAGGGAAATTTATAGCACTAAATGCCCACAAGAGAAAGCAGGAAAGATCTAAAATCAACACCCTAACATCACAAAAGAACTAGAGAGGCAAGAGCAAACGTATTCAAAAGCTAGCAGAAGACAAGAAATAACTAAGATCAGATCAGAACTGAAGAAGACAGAGACATAAAAAATCCCTCATAAAAATCAATGAATCCAGGAGCCAGTTTTTTGTAAAGATTAACAAAATAGATAGACTGCTAGCCAGACTAATAAAGAAGAAGAGAGAGAAGAATCAAATAGATGCAATAAAAAATGATAAAGGGGATATCACCACTGATCCCACAGAAATACAAACTACCATCAAAGAATACTATAAACACCCCTGTGCAAATTAACTAGAAAATCAAGAAGAAATGGACAATTTCCTGTACACATACAGTCTCCCAAGTCTACACCAGGAAGAAGTCAAATCCCTGAATAGACCAATAACAAGTTCTGAAATTGAGGGAGTAATTAATAGCCTACCAACCAAAAGAAGCCCAGGACCAGACGGATTCACAGCCTAATTCTACCAGAGTTACAAACAGGAGCTGGTACCAATCCTTATGACACTATTCCAAACAATAGAAAAAGGGGGACTCCTCCCTAACTCATTTGAGGAGGCCAGCATCATCCTGATACCAAAACCTGGCAGAAACACAGCAAAAAAAGAAAATTTCAGGCCGATATCCATGATAACATTGATGCGAAAATCCTCAAAAAAATATTCACAAACCAAATCCAGCAGCACATCAGAAAGCTTATCCACAATGATCAAGTTGGCTTCATCCCTGGGATGCAAGGCTGATTCAACATATGCAAATCAATAAATGTAATCCATCACATAAACAGAACCCATGACAAAAACCACATGATTATCTCAATAGATGCAGAAAAGGCCTTCGACAAAATTCAACAGCCCTTCATGCTAAAAACTCTCAATAAAGTAGGTATTGATGGAACGTATCTCAAAATAATAAGAGCTATCTATGACAAACCCACAGCCAATATCATACTGAATGAGCAAAAACTGGAAGCATTCCCTTTGAAAACTGGCACAAGACAGGGATGCCCTCTCTCACCACTCCTATTCAACACAGTATTGGAAGTTTGGGCCAGGGCAATTAGGCAAGAGAAAGAAATAAACGGTATTCAAATAGAAAAAGAGGAAGTCAAATTGTCTCTTTTTGCAGATGACATGATTGTATATTTAGAAAACCCCATTGTCTCAGCTCAAATCTCCTTAAGCTGATAAGCAACTTCAGCAAAGTCTCAGTATACAAAATCAATGTGCAGAATCACAAGCATTCCTATACACAAATAATAGACAAAGAGAGAGCCAAATCATGAGTGAACTCCCATTCACAATTGCTACAAAGAGAATAAAATAACTAGGAATAAAACTTACAAGGGATCTGAAGGACTGCTTCAAGGAGAACTACAAACCACCACTCAAGAAAATAAGAGAGGACACAAACAAATGGAAAAACATTCCATGCTCATGGATGGGAAGAAATCAATGTCATTAAAATGATCATACTGCCCAAAGTAATTTATAGATTGAATGCTATTCCCATCAAGCTACCACTGACTTTCTTCACAGAATTGGAAAAAAAAATACTTTAAATTTCATAGGGAACCAAAAAAACAGCTCATTTAGCCAAGACAATCCTCAGCAAAAAGAACAAAACTGAAGGCATCATGCTATCTGGCTTCAACCTATACTACAAGGCTACAGTAACCAAAACAGCATACTACTGGTACCAAAACAGATATATAGACCAATGGAACAAAACAGAGGCCTCAGAAATAACACCACACATCTACAACCATCTGATCTTTGATAAACCTGACAAAAACAAGCAATGGGGAAAGGATTCCCTGTTTAATAAATGGTGTTGGGAAAACAGGCTAGCCATATGCAGAAAACTGAAACTGAACCCCTTCCTTACACCTTATACAAAAATTAACTCAAGATGGATCACAGACTTAAATGTAAGACCTAAAACCATAAAAGCACTAGGAGAAAACCTAGGCAATACCATTCAGGACATAGGCATGGGCAAAGCCTTCATGACTAAAACACCAAAAGCAATGGCAACAAAAGCCAAAACTGACAAATGGGATCTAATTAAAGAACTTCTGCACAGCAAAAGAAACTATCATCAGAGTGAACAGGCAACCTACAGAATGGTAGAAAATCTTTGCAATCTATCGTAGAAAATCTTTGCAATCTATCCATCTGGAAAAAGGGCTAATATCCAGAATCTACAAAGAACTTAAATTTACAAGAAAAAAAAACCCCATCAAAAAGTGGGTGAAGGATATGAACAGACAGTTCTCAAAAGAAAACATTTATGTAGCCAACAAATATATGAAAGAAAGTTAATCATCACTGGTCATTAGAGAAATGCAAATCAAAACCACAATGAGATACCATCTCATGGCAGTTACAATGGTGATCATTGAAAAGTCAGGAAGCAACAGATGCTGGAGAAGATGTGGAGAAATAGGAACACTTTTACATTGTTGGTGGGAGTGTAAATTAGTTCAACCATTTTGGAAGACAGTATGGCAATTCCTCAAGGATCTAGAACCAGACCCAGCAATCCCATTACTGGGTATATACCCAAAGGATTATAAATCATGCTACTATGAAGACACATGCACATGTATGTTTATTGCGGCACTGTTCACAATAGCAAAGACTTGGAACCAACCCAAATGCCCATCAATGTTAGACTGGATAAAGCAAATATGGCACATATACACCATGGAATACTATGCAGCCATAAAAAACGATGAGTTCATGTCCTTTGCAGGGACATGGATGAAGCTGGAAACCATCATTCTCAGCAAACTAAGGCAAGAAGAGAAAACCAAACACCGCACGTTCTCACTCATAAGTGGCAGTTGAAGAACGAGAACACATGGACACAGGGAGGGGAACATCACACACCAGGACCTGTCGGGGGGTGGGGGGCTAGGGGAGGGATAGCATTAAGAGAAATAGCTAATGTAGATGACGGGTTGATAGGTACAGCAAACAATTATGGCACGTGTATACCTATGTAACAAAACTGCATGTTCTGCACATGTACCCCAGAACTTAAAGTACAATAATAATAATAAAGAAGTTGAGTGTTTTAAGAAAAGAAACCTCCCTCATCTCAGCTCAAAAGCTTCTTAAACTAATAAGCAACTTCGGTATACAAAATCAATGTGCAAAAATTGCTATCCTTCCTATATACCAACAACAGGCAAACCGAGAGAGCTAAACCTTGAATGAACTTTCATTCACAACTGCCACAAAAGGAATAAAATACCTAGGAATAGCTAACAAGGGAATGAAGGACCTCTTCAAGGAAAACTATAAACCACTGCTCAAAGAAATCAGAGAAAGACACAAACAAATAGAAACACATTCAATGCTCACGGATAGGAGGAATCAATAGCATGCATATAGTCATACTGCCCAAAGCAATGTATAGATTCAGTGCTATTCCCATTAAACTACCTTTGACATTCTTCACAGAATTAGGAAACACTATTTTAAATTGCCTATGGAATCAAAAAAGAGCCCAAAAAGCCAAGACAATCCTAAGCAAAAAGAACAAAGCTGGAGGCATCACACTACCCGCCTTCAAACTACACTATAAGGATACAGCAACCAAAAGAGCATGGTATTGGTACAAGAACAGACACATAGACCAATGGTACAGAATAAAGAGCCCAGAAATAGGACCACACATCTACAACCATCTGATCTTCAACAAACGACAAAAACAAGCCAGGGGGAAAGGATTCCTTATTGAATAAATTGTGCTGGGAGAACTGGCTAGCCATATGCACAAAATTGAAACTGAACCCCTTCCTTACACCATATATAAAATGAACTCAAGATGAATTAAAGACTTAAATGTAAATCCTCAAACTATAAAAACCCTGTAAGAAAACCTAGGCGATACCATTTAGGACATAAACATGGTCAAAGATTTGATGACAAAGATGCCAATAGCACTTGAAACAGAAACAAAATTTGACAAATGGGATCTAACTAAAGAGCTTCTTCCTAGAAAAAGAAATTATCCACAGAGTAAACAGACAACCTATGGAATGGGAGAAGATTTTTGGCAATTGGTGCATCTGACAAAGGTCTAATATCCAGCATCTATAAGGAACTTAAACAAATTTAGAAAAAAATAAACAACCCCACTAAAAAGTAGGCAAAGGACATGAACAGACACTTCTTGAAAGAAGACATAAATGTGGCCAGCACACATATAAAAAAAAAAACTCAACATCACTGATCATTAGAGAAATGCATATCAAAACCACAATGAGATACCATCTCACACCAGTTAGAATGGCTACTATTATAAAGTGAAACAACAACAGATGCTGGCAAGGTTGTGGAGAAAAAGGAATACTTTTATACTGTTGATGGGAGTTTAAATGAGTTCAACCAATGTGGCAATTTCTCAAAGACCTAGAGGCAGAAATACCATTTGACCCAGCAGTCCCATTACTGGTTATATACCCAAAGGAATATAAATGGCTCTGTTATAAAGACACATGCACACATATATTAAATATATATTTAGCCAACCTGTCATCATATCCCCACAGGACCTCCAAGTACAACTGACAGTGGGGAAAGGGCATAATAATTAAGACTAAATGCTGTGCATACATCCCAGATAATTTGGGAAATATCTTGATAGCCCTGCAAGACATGTACCAACAAATCAAAGCTATGTCTGATCCCACATTGTTGCTAGATCAGTGGTTAATATCCTGGTTTGGTGTATTCTTGAGGAATGACAGCAGATTGCTATACTTTAACCAAGTAGTGACTCTAATTCAGCTACTGTACCACATGTGGTTTTATTGCTTGAGCAAATTAACACATCTCTTGGGAGCTGTATGCAGCTATTAATCTGGCAAATGCCTTTTTCTTCACACCTGTCCATAAAACCAACCATAAACAGTTTGCTTTCAGCTGGTAAGGCCAGCAATACACCTTCACTGTCCTACATCAGGATTATATCAACCCTCCAGCACTGTATCACAGTTTTCTTTCAGCTGGTAAGGCCAGCAGTACACCTTCACTGTCCTATATCAGGATTATATCAACCCTCCAGCACTGTATCACAATTTGGTTCACAAAGATCTTGATTGCCTTTCCCTTTCACAAGGTATCACATTGTTCCATTTCATTAATAATGTTATGCTGATTGGATCCAATGAAGAAGAAGTAGCAACTACTCTGGACTTATTAAGACATTTGCATGTGAGAGGGTGGGAAATAAAATCAACTAAAATTCTGGGTCCTTCTACCTCACTGAAATTTCTAGGGGTCCAGTGTTTTGGGGAATAGTAAGATATTACTTCTAAGGTAAAATATATATTCTTGCTTCTGGCCGCTCCTACAACCAAGAAGGGGGCACAATGCCTAGTGGACCTAGTTGGATTTTGGAGGCAACATATTACTCATTTGGGTGTGTTACTCGTCTCATGTACCACATGACCCAAAAAGCTACTAGTTTTGAGTAGGGTGCAGAATAGGAGAAGCCTCTCCAACAGGTCTAGGCTGTTGTACAGACTGCTCTGCCATTTGGGCTATATGATCCAGCAGATCCAATGGTGCTTGAGGTCTCAGTGGAAGACAGGGATGCGGTTTGGAGCCTTTGGAAGGACCCTATATGTGAATTGAAGCTCAAGCCTTTACGATTTTACAGCAAGGCCCTACCATCATCCATAGATGGCTCTCCTTTTGAGAAGCAGCTCTTTACCTGCTACTGGGCCTTAGTAGAAACTGAACCCTTGACCATAAGCCACAAAGTTCCCATGCAAACTAAGCTGTCTATCATGAACTGCATGTTGTCTGACCCACTGAACTGTAAAAATTGGGCATGCACAGCAGCACTCCATCATCAAATGGAAATGGTATATAAGTGATCAGCCTTGAGCAGGTCCCGAAGGCATAAGTATGTTACATGAAGAGGTGGCCCAAATGCCCATCGTTCCTACTCCTGTTATATTGTCTTCTTTCTCCCAGCCTGCATCCATGGCCTCACAGGGGAGTACCCTACAATCAGTTGACAAAGGAAGAGAAACTCAGGCATGGTTTACAGATAATTCTGTAATATGCAGTCAGGGATGGAGGATATGCATAGGCTCAACAACATGGACCTCCACTCACAAAAGCCTTCCTGGGTATGACCACTGCTAAGTGCCCAATATGCCAGCAGCAGAGACCAACCCTGAGTCCTCAATATGGCACCATCCTCAGGGGTTATCAGTCAGCTACCTGGTGGCAGGTTAATTACATTGGATCACTTCCATCATGGAAGGGGCAGCATTTTGTCCTTAGTGGAATAGACAGTGTGGATATGGATTTGCCTTTCCTGCATGTAATGCTTCTGCCAAAACCACCAACCACTGACGTATAGAATGCCTTATCCACAGTCATGGTATTCCACAAAGCACTGCTACTGACCAAGAAAATCATTTCACAAGCCAAAGAAGTATGTCAGTGGCCTAATGTTCATGGAATTCACTGGTCTTACCATGTTCTTCAACATCCTGAAGCAGCTGGCTTGATAGAATGGTGGGATTGTCATTTGAAGATACAGTTACAGTGACAGCTAAGTGACAGTACCTTGCAGGGCTGGGGCAAGGTTCTCAAGAAGGTTATAGATGCTCTGAATCAGTGTCTAATATGTGATAGATTTTCTTACTGGCAAAATATATAGGTCTAGGAATCAAGGGGTGGAAATGGGAATGGCACCACTCCACATTACCCCTAGTGACCCACTAGCAAAATTTTTACTTTCTGTTCCTGTGACTTTATGCTCTGTTGACTTAGAGGCCTTAGTTCCAGAGGGAAGCATACTTCCACCAAGAGATAAAACAATGATTTCATTGACCTGAAAGTGAAGATTGCAATCCAGCTACTTTGGGCTCCTCATGCCTCTGAGTCAACAGACCAAGAAGGAAGTTATGATATTGCCTAGAGTGACTAATCCAGGCTGCCAAGGGGAAATTGGACTGCTACTCCACAATGGAGGTAGAGAACAGTAACTCTGGAATACAGAAGATCCCTTAGGGTGTCTCTTAGTACTACCATGCTGATATGGTTTGGCTGTGACCCCACCCAAACCTCATCTTGAATTCCCACATGTTTCGGGAGGGACCCAGTGGGAGGTAAGTGAATCATGGGGGCAAGTCTTTCCCATGCTGTTCTCATGATAGTGAATAAGTCTCATGAGATCTGATGGTTTTGAAAAGAGGAATTCCGCTGCACAAGCTCTCTCTCTCTTTGCCTGCTGTCATCCATGTAAGACATGACTTGCTCCTCCTTGCCTTCTGCCATGATTGTGAGGCTTCCCCAGCCACGTGGAACTGTAAGTCCAATTAAACCTCTTTCTTTTGTAAATTGCCCAGTCTCAGGCATGTCTTTATCAGCAGCATGAAAACAGAATACAATAAATTAGTACCTATAGAGTGGGGCATTGCTGAAAATATACCCAAAAATGTGGAAGCTACTTTAGAACTGGGTAACAAGCAGAGGTTGGAACAGTTTGGAGGACTCAGAAGAAGACAGGAAAATGTGGGAAAGCTTGGGACTCCCTAGAGACTTGTTGAATGGCTTTGATCAAAATTCTGATAATGATATGGACAATGAAATCCAGGCTGAGGTGGTCTCAGATGGAGATGAACTTGTTGGGAATTGGAGCAAAGGTGACTCTTATGTTTTAGCAAAGAGACTCGTGGCATTTTGCCTCTGCCCTAGAGATTGGTGGAACTTTGAACTTGAGACAGATGATTTAGGGTATCTGATGAAAGAAATTTCTTTTTTTTTTGAGACGGAGTCTTGCTCTGTAGCCCAGGCTGGAGGGCAGTGGTGTGATCTTGGCTCACTGCAAGCTCCGCCTCCTGGGTTCATGCCATTCTCCTGCCTCAGCCTCCCAAGTAGCTGGGACTACAGACGCCCACCACCATGCCTGGCTAATTTTTTGTATTTTTAGTAGAGACAGGGTTTCAGCATGTTGTCCAGGATGGTCTCGATCTCCTGACCTCGTGATCCACCCACCTTGGCCTCCCAAAGTGCTGGGATTACAGGCGTGAGCCACTGCGCCCAGCCGATGGAAGAAATTTCTAAGCAACAAAGCATTCAAGAGGTGACTTGGGTACTGTTACAGGCATTCAATTTTAAAAGGGAAACACAGCATAAAAGTTGTAAAAATTTGTAGCCTAACTATGCGATAGAAAAGAAAATCCCATTTTCTGAGGAGAAATTCAAGCCAGCTGCAGAGATTTGCATAATTAATGAGGAGCCGAATTTTTATCCCCAAGATAATGGGGAAAATATCTTCAGGGAACGTTGGAGGTCTTCATGACAGCCCCTTCCATCCCAGGCACAGAGGCCTAGGAGGAAAAGATGGTTTCGTGGGCAGGAACCAGAGTTCTTGTGCTGTGTGCAGCCTAGGGACTTGGTGCCCTGCATTCCAGCCACTCCAGCCATGGCTGAAAGTGGCCAATGTAGAGCTCGGCCTGTGGCTTCAGAGGATTCAAGCCCCAAGCCTTGGCACAGCTACCCAAATAATACAAATTGAGGGAAACCCTTTTCTTTCCCATGTATACCTGCTTTATAAGATTGTTGGAAGAATTAAGTTTGTTGAAGTACAGTATTAATTTGAGGGGAAATCTATAGGAGAAGAGGCATCAGGTTTCTTTAGTAGAATAAAATGAGTTGTAAATTCAAGTAAAACAAAAATGGAGTAGACTATAGAGGAGCAGACCAAACAAATGGAGAAGGTAATTATACAAGTTATGCATTCTTGGAGCACAAAAATGAAGTCAAGAACACAGCAGGAGCCTGACCAAGGATATTTAGTCTCAGTAAAGCGTACCCTGCACTTATGGTCATGGTACCAATGGTTCCTATCTAATGGTATTGGTATTACAATAACAAAACCCTTATGCAGATACAGAGGACAGATAATAGAAATAGAGCTACACAAGGTCTATGAAACTTCTTGGAGAAAAGTCTGGAATGGTTTTCTGAAAAGGATTTGTGAGGTACACACAAGTGAATTCATGAAGGAAAGAATTTGAATTATTTATAAAGGGCAAAATTGATCCTGCTTACTGGAGCAAACTGGGTGCAATAAAGCATCTTGGTCTTTCACCAGCTCTGGGCTGTCAGGGTAAGGAATCATACCTTTGCAATCTCATGTCTTCTTACCTATTTTGCTCATTATCAGGAATGAGTGAATGAAGCTGTAGCAAAAAAAGGGCAGGTGCTCACCCCCTGATTTGGAATCAGAGCCTTCACAGCAGTCCAGCCTCACACACAAAGTAGGGGCTCAGGAAATTAATCACCTTTGTCATCCCTTGATCTCCTTCCACAAATAAAGCACTCCCTCCCCTCAAATCCCCACAGATTTTATCTACCATCATGGCACAAATACCACTACTAGTGGGATAACAAGATAACATTGGATCTACGTTTCTACCCTTCCTCTTTCCTTGCTCATGAATGCCAACATCTGTTTCCAATTTCTGCCAGAATCTGTCCTCATTAAACTCAGCTGCCTACTCACTATGTTTCATCATCTCTATTCAGCCAGTTTTAAACTTTGAAGCATCCTTTACTTATCTTCTCCAACATGGAGTCATCAAACTTGTAGCCACTTTCTTCAAGATAATGTATATATTTGTCTGTCTACATTTTCATAGCTACCACCATTACTGAAGCTCTGTCATCATTTTACTTCTTGATTTTCTAGTAGGAGCTTAACTGATTCCTCTACTCCAATGCTCCCATCACTCCAAATAGTCTACAACAGCATTGACAGGTAGTTCTTCCTAAAAAATTGCTTGACACATTCCACCTGCCCACCTCACATTATTTTTTTTTTTAAGTTGTAAACATCAGAATCCTTGCCTTAATCACCGAGGTCCTCCTCACTCTGATCCCAGCCTTCCTATCCACACTCCATAACAGACCTCTAATGTCTTACATAAATCCTCCCTATATTAGTTTTCTATTGCTGTTGTAACAAGTTATAGCAAACATAATGACTTAAAACAACACAAGCTTATCGTCTTACAGTTCTGTAGGTCAAATGTCCAGCACAGTTCTTGTTGGGCTAAAATCAAGGTATCGGCAAGACTGTGCTCTTTTCTGGATGCTCTAGAAAAGAATCTGTTTTCTTGCCTTTTCCAGCTTCTGGAAACCACTCACATTCCTTGGCTTGTGCCTCCCTTCCTCCATCTTCATAGCCAGCAACTTTGCATCTCTCTGAGCCTTCTTCCATGGTCACATCTCCCTCAAGCTCTAACTCAGCTTCTCTGATTTTATGCCCCACTCATGTGATTAGATTGGGCCCACCTGGATAATGCAAGCTCATTTTCCAGTCTCCTCATCTCAAGGTCCTTAATCTGCAAAGGCCCTTTTGCCAATAAATAACATATTCACAGGCGGACATAGGTGGGTGAGTGGTGGGTAGCATTATTTTGTCTACAACACTCCCCTTCCTTCAAACCGCTCTATGAATTTTTTAACCATGCCACTCTGCTACCACCTTTGCTATGACTTCTTTCCATTTGACCATCTCACTCCTACTGCTTTATTTTTTCACCACACCAAGTTTTCCTGATCACATCCTTCTCTCAATGGAATATATATCCAAGATCTAATGTCTTATTATTATTCTCATTGTATACATGCACACACACTGACTTACACACATCCCCTGTGTGTTCAACTCTTTAATTCCCTGGGATATTCCAGAGCAATTAATTCCATGATGATGAAGATAATGATGATAATGACACAGGACTTTGATGGAATTTAAGAGAGAAGCATTGCAAAGCTTCCATAGAAATAGGCTTAAAGGCAAATGACTGCTATAGTATTTAATGGAATCAACTAATAATCATTTTTTGTTTTGATATCTCTGTATTTAATTTTTTAATATAAATTTTCTTTAACCACTAATCAAGTTTCTACTTTAGGATGAAATCTGAGAGCATTTCTATTTTCTAACAAATTATCTACTAGCTTTTAAACATATGATGCTTTAGTAAAGATTAGTGCTATGCTGCAAATAAACAGGATTCATATAATCTCACCAGGTGTAATCAATGTGGAAAGACTAAGGAAGAAAAACACAAAGCCAAATTCATAACTGTCCTGAAGCCTTAAACTGCTCACAGGGGAAACCATTACCCAAGGTGAGTGTCACACTTGCATAATGCCTGAGTGGGATGGGAAAGCTGATTTCCCTACTCATATAGTTATGCTGCTAACTTGTCAGATGCTAAAACAATTTCTGTATTGTATTTGTCCCTAATAAGTATGAAACAATTTAGGCCCTACAAAAAGCAGGCTACACGTATTCCCATGCTGCCAGATCACTAAGCTGAATTTCTTCCCTAAGAAGGACATAATTAAACTCCATGAAAATAATCTTCCTGAGAATAATAAGATAAAGGGCCAGTGTATATTCAGTAGGTCTGAGTTGATGTACTATTGCACTGCTAGCCAAAGATATCAATATCTTTAATGATGTGACATTCCTCCAAGAGTTCAAGGATGAAGGAGGATGTGAACAATGAATACATTAAGATGCAGCTGCATGTTACCATCATAAGTCAATTAGAGTATGTTTGGATATTTGGAAAATAATAATCCCATTATTCTTTGAAAGTACATTAGTGTCAATAGAAATAATAAAAGACTGAGAGATCTTGGAGACATCAAACAATAGAATAAACAATTGTAAATCTACTGGATGCCTTGACAATATGCAGGAAATGAGCTACATGTCTTCTGCAGGTCTCTCTTAATACAGGGCTCACTCCTGCAAAGTATAAAACTAGTTTTTCAAGCAGACAGATGGAACACACCAAGATTCCTGATCTTGAAAGGTTTACTGTGTGGCAGAAAAGATCAGACATGTACATATAGCCAAATGTGAATATATGCAATAAAAATGTTATGAAGTGTGAAGAGAGCACAGAGAAAGTAGAAATTTCTTTCTCCAGGGATCTAGAGCACATTTTTTGAAAAATATAGCTTTCAAGTTGTATCTTAAGAAATGAGTGGAATTTAGGGAGAACAGGGTGTAAGACAGGGAATTTAAAAACTGATTCTGGCCAGGCATGTTGGCTCACACCTGTAATTTCAGCACTTCAGGAGGCTGAAGCAGGTGGATTGCTTGAGCCCAGGAGTTCAAGACCAGCCTGGACAACATGGCGAAATGCTGTCTCTACAAAATACAAGAAAAAAATTAGGTAGGTGTGGTGGCAGGTGCCTGCAGTCTCAGCAACCCAGGAGGCTGAGGTGGGAAGATGGCTTGAGCCCAGGGAAGTTGAGGCTGCAGTGAGCCACGATTGTTCCACTGCATTCCAGCCTGGGTGACAGAGTGAGACCCTGTCTCAAAAACCAAATAAACAAATAAAAATAAAAATAAAAAACTGATTCTAAAATTCATATAGAAATGCAAAGGATGCCAAATAGTCAAAACAAAAATAAACAGGAAGAACAACATTAGAAGACTTGGCTGGGTATGGTGGCTCATGTCTGTATTCCCAGCACTTTGGGAGGCCAAGGCAAGTGGATCACTTGGGGCCAGGAGTTCGAGATCAGCCTGGCCAACATGGCAAAACCCCATCCCTACTAAAAATGTAAAAATTTGCTGGGCATGGGGGCATGCGCCTGTAATCCCAGCTCTCAGAAGGCTGAGGCGGGAGAATCGCTTGAACCCAAGAGGTGGAGTTTGCAATGAGCCAAGATCCCACCACTATACTCCCCTGGGGAACAGAGCAAGAATCTGTCTCAAATAAAAAAAAAAAAAAGAGAGAGAGAAGAAGAAGATATACACTATCTGTATTAATCCATTTGCATTAGTACAAAGGAATACCTGAGAGTAGGTAATTTATAAAGAAAGGAGGTTTGTTTGGCTCACAGTTAAGTTATTCAGGCTGCACAAGTGTGGCACCAGCATCTGCTCAGCTTCTGGTGAGGCCTCAGGGAGCTTTCACTCATGGAGAAGGCACAGGGGGAGCAGGTGCATCACATGCTGAGAGAGGGAGCAAGAAGGAGAGGAGGAGGTGCCAGGCTCCTTTAAATATCCAGCTCTCATGTGAACTCTTAGAGAACTCACTCATTACTGTGAGGACAGCCATTCATGAGGAATCTGCCCTGATGACCCAAACACCTTCCACTAGGCCCAACTCCAACATCGGAGGTTACATTTAAACATGAGATTTGGAGGGGGCAAATATCCAGACTATATTACTACTGATTTCAAGACTTCTAAAGCTATAATAAACAAGAAGTGTGGAATGAGTGTCAAACAGGTGAATAGAATGTCCAGAATTGTAAAAAAAATTTAAAAATAAAAAATAAATAAAGCCAACACATATATAGACAACTGATTTTCAGTAAAGTTGCAGAGGCAATACACTGGAGAAAAGATCTTTTCACCAAACCATGCTGGAACGATTAGATATCCATAAGCAAAAAAAAAAAAAAAAGAAAAGGATCTTTTTTGATCTCTCATTAAAAAGATCATGGTGATCTCACACCATGTTTAAGAAAAAAACTCAAAATGAATCACGAACCTTAATGAAAATCTGAAACTATAGAACTTCTAGAAAAAAAAAGCATAGGATTATACCTTTATGACCTTGGGTTTGGCAAAGATTTCTTTCATATGACACTAAAAGCATGATATCTATTAAAAAAATTATGGATTAGAGTTCACCAAAATGAAGAATTTCTGTCCTTTGAAGACACTGTTAAGGATATGAAAAGACAACCCACAAACTGAGAGAAACTATTTGCAGATCCTATATCTGATAAATAACTTATATTTACAGAATATAAAGAACTCTCAAAACAACAATAAAACAAATTCCCTAATAAAACAATGGGACAAAGACTTGAAAGGCACTTTGCTAAAGATATACTGATGAAAAATAAGCATATGAAAAAATGCTGAATACCATTAGAGAAATGCAATTGAAAAATGACATACTACTACACATGCATATTAGAATGAATACAATTTAAAAGACTGATGTTACAATATGTTGGAAAGGAAGTGGAGCAACCAGAATTCACATACACTATGAGAAAGTTAAAATCATACAACCATTTTGGAAAACTGTTTAGCAGTTTCTTAAAAAGACAAATGCCTACCTACCATATGACCCAGACATTCCTCTTCTAGGAACTTAAACAAGTAGAAGCACATGTTCACATGAAGACTTATAAATGAATATTTACAGCAAATATTCATAGAAAATATTTATTTACAATAGCCAAAATTATAAGTAACCCAAATATCCATCAACAAATAAATAGATAAGCAAATTATGGTATGTATAGCCACACAATGAAACACTACTCAGCAATGAAAAGAATGAACTATTGATACACACAACAACATGGACGAATCTCAAAATAATTACGCTGAATGAAAGAAGCCAGGCAAAACAGAGTATGTACTGCATGATTTCACTTATATAAATACCATGAAAATATGGACTGATCTGTTGTAATGCAAAGCAGATCTGTAGTTTCAGAGAAAGGGATGGGAGGGAGGGATTATAAAAGGGCATCATAATTTTTATGGATGATGGACATGTTTATTATCTTGATTGTGGTGATGGTTTCTTGACTGTATACTGTGTCAAAATGTATTAAATTGTGCACTTCAAATATGTAAAAATTATTTTGTCAATTATATCTCAAAGTTATTTTAAAAATGCAATTCAGTCCTGACCCACTTCAATGCCTGATTCGACTGAGATAATCAGCCTCTAGCCCTATCTACTTAACAGAGGAAAGAGGAATACATCTCTCATGGAAGATAATTTCCCATGTTGTATCAATGGATTTTTCATATACAATGTCTGCCAAATAATAAAAAATGTCTAGACATGTGAAATGTCAAGACCATATGATTAATAATATAAGAATAAGAAACATTAAACAATAGATGCAAATCCACAGATTATTTAGGCATTAGAGTTAGTAGAGTCTTTTTATAAAAACTATAAACTAATTAATTGCAATATTTTAAGAGCTTAGAGGAAATGATGGACAAAATAGATGAAAAGACAAAGATTTTCACCAGAGAAATATACTAAATACATTTTTAAGAAGGATCAAACAGGTATTCTAATACTGAATAAATAACATGTTTCCAGTTCTGGAAACACAGTGAACTGAGATAATTTGAATCCCTCTTAAATAAAACTTTTAGTAATGTTGGATAAAATACAACAACAAAAGTAATATAGAGCTAAGCATGAAGGAAAGTGAAGTTTCCAGGTGACAAAAATAAAGAGGAAACTTAAAGCCACAATCGTAAGCTTGTGAGCTGACAACACAGTGCCCTGAAAAGAGTGGGCTCGTATCTATTCAGGAAAAGGGCTCATCCCAGATGTAATGACTCTTGGCTTACTAAGACCACCCTGCCCTACCCCACCACACACACACATATAAAAGTTATTGGAAGGGCTGCTTCTGTGATGGGCAGGAGAGTAGGACATAGATCATGTAGAGCTTTCAGGTCATCATAAGGACTGTGGCTTTTTCACTGCATGAAATGGGAAGCCATTGAAGGATTTTGAACAGAGAAGTAACCCGACTTATGATATTTAAAGGATCACTTAGACCTCTCTGTTGAAAGTTCTCATAGTAGGCTTACAAAAATTAATTTAGGACAGGGGTAGCTTAGTGCCTAATAAATGTCACCTGTTATTGTTTGTAATGCATGCTGCTAGTGCCCACACAGGGTCCTTTACTAGCCAATGCCTGTTCCCAGCTGCTAGGGATGTTAACCAGCACCTTCTTCTCTCAAGAATTACCCTTGATCAAAGCAGAAGCCATCTTACCCTGACTGGCTTGGGGCAACAAAAGATCATGCCCCTGCCTCAGGATGGGACTGATTCTGTAGTGCAATTTGTGCCCCAGAACTTCCTGTGAGATCAGAATGTGGCCAGTCTGCAGCTGAGATGACATTCTTGGTGGCTTTTCCCCTGCTCTAACTGCTTCCATCATTCCCCTTCTTATAGCTCACCTACAATAAATCTTTTCAGGCTTTTATGGAACACAACCTATGACACTGTTGTTATCATAATTATCTCTGAATTTATTATTTCTTTAATGCAAGTCATTCGCATACATTTCACTTGAAGTCAAAGGCTGGTGCTTTCAAACTCACACTGGTAGGTCATAGGGTCTGTGGGTACTGTGTGGGCCAACTTGTACTACACTTACACTTGACACTATTCTGCTATCTAATGAGGTGTTTTTGGAATGAAGTCGAACAACATTTGTGTTAAATTTTTAACATTTGTCTTTATTAATTTTATCATAAATGTATACCCAAGGTTATCTGGGTAGGTTCAGATTCTCATTATTCATTTTAAAAGCCATCCATAACCACATGGTCCCTCACGTCCCAATTCTACCCCTGAAGTAACATTGCAAACTAGGTTAAAATCTCCTATACATACAACATCTGTATCCTAGACGAGGGATGGAGAAAAACAGAGTTTCTCTGTTTATATACAGGATAAAGAGGCAAAACATGAGGAAGAAAAAACTTTACTCCATAGAGAACAGGTGGAAAAGATCCTAGAAATGTAAATACCTCTCTCTCCAGTATGGATTTTATGAACTATGTTTCCTTAAAATGTACACACATTCTTCCCAAGGCAGGCGTATTTCTCTGGAGACCTCTCACTAGGTATACAGTTGCAGATGAACTTCCCAAGGATTGTTCTTAGCTGAGGATCCCAAGTTTTCTGCAAAATTTATTCAAAAGCTCCAACTCCATAGAAAGACAAGAATATTTTCTCTGTGCCACTCACACACATCTGCCTCGAGAATCAGCACAAGCTGCCAACTCAACACCTCTGATCACAGGCTGCCTGAAGTCGCCTCTCTCAATATATCTAAAAGCCTGGCCTAGACATAAAGACTTTCTATTTCTACTACACATCTTTTCTGGGTGACAGGATGGATTATTGTTCTACCAATAATAGACAATTTTTCAGTAGGTAATAAAATAGCTCACATACACAGTATATATTTTGGCAAAGTCTTGGCAGCTTTCAGAAGGGAAAAAATCCATTGAATTTAACCTGAGGTGGTTGTATATCTCTAAAAGAGAAATTCAGGCATTTAAAAAGTCACCTGCATTCTTTTCACAACTTCTTCAAAGTTGCCTCTTTTTCAAAAATCCCCAGTGACTTATGCAATATACTCTTTGATCATTTTAGGTTTGGGAGGCAGTTTCCAAAGGCCTCTCAGGTTTCTGCATGTAAAGTGAGCAGGGGAAAACTGACAGCCTTTGTCTCAGCTGTCTATTCAACAATGTTTGCAAAGTGAACAGCCTTGGAAGATGGAGATAGTGTCTCCCTCTGGAGCATAGAGCAGGTTTATTTACTATCCAGCATAACAAAGATAATATCTCCTTCTGAGGTAAAGGCCAGGGAGGTTTGCTTGCAACCCATTGTCAAAACACAGGGTTCCCCTAAGCTCAGGGTTCCTCAGCCATGATGCCAACCCACTGTGTGCACAGCATCTCCTTGAGCCCTTGCTTCTCCACACTGTGAGACCTGGAGGCAAGAGGAACTATATTAATTTCTATTGCTGTTGTAAAAAAACAAAACACAACTAAAAATGTGGAGTTGGCAATGGGCAGTGGCTGGTAGAATATTGAAGAACATGATATAAACTGACTAGATTGCCTTGAGTAGCCTGTTAGTAGGAATATGGATGTGAACAACTCTAAGTGAGGACTCAGAGGGAAGTGCTGAGCATGATAGAAAAAAAATTATCTGGCCAGGTGCGGTGGTGCGCACCTGTAGTCCCAGCTACTTGGGAGGCTGAGGCAGGAGAATCGTTTGAACCCAGGAGGCGGGGGTTGCAGTGAGCCGAGATCACGCCACTGCACTCCAGCCTGGCAACAGAGTGAGACTCCATGTCAAAAAAAAAAAATTATCTTATGAACTATCTAAATCATCATGAACAGACTATTGGTAGAAATATGGATACTAAAGGTACTGCAGATGAAAATTAAAATGGAAATGAGGAACATGTTATTGGAAACTGGAGAAAAGGAGATCCTTGTTACATAGCAGCAGAAAGCTTAGGTGAATTGTGCCCTGCAATTATGTAGAAAGCAAAATCTGTAAATAATAAAGTTGAATATTTAGCTGAGAGGATTTCCAAGCAAAATGTTAAAGATGAGGCCTGGTTTCTTCTTGCTACTGATAGTAAAATGCAAGAGGAAAGAAAAATGGAGGGAAGAACTTTAAGTGAAGAGGAATCAGGATTGATGATTTGGGAAATTCTCAGCCAATTATATTGCAAAAACACTAAAATTAGGAGATTCATCATCAGGAAAGCATGCTCTGGAGAGAAAGCCAAGGACTGTGACTAGGCAACCTTTGCTATTGTCTCAAAAGAAACAAAAAGAGTATTAAATCACACGGGGGGCTCTCTGAAAAAATTAGGAGTGTGACTCATGGATCATTTTATCCATTTAAGTACTAACTAGGAATAGAGATAGGGTTATTCAGGAGTGATCCACAGAAGAGCCTCTTGCCTAATGTAGTAAGTTTCTGTGATATATCCAGGAGACACCCTAGTTCTTGAAAATGTTATACCAGCAGAAACACTGCCAACTTTGAGACAGCCAGGCTGGTTCGTTTTCTGTTTTGGAGTGGTTTAGAGAAAAAGAACAAAAGCTCCTTACTCAAGTTGTAGCTTACCTAACTTCCAGCCAATCAGCAAAAGAAGATCCAAGAAGCTGTTAACCGCAAGTTCCTGCTTTAAGGGATTAGGGACTTCCCTGAGGCCCCATATGCATACTTAGACTTAAACTTCAACTCATAGCTACCCCTTCCTCATTTTAATGCTAAAAGTCACTAAGTCACTACCAGGGGTGGAGATTTAAAATGTATTGTGACATGTGATGTACAAAGAAGCATGTGAAGCCACTGCCCAAGCGCTAGAGAAACTCCTCCTATACATGCCCTGATAAAACACTTATCTATGGAAAGGCCCTGTAAAACTGACTCACATACTACCCTCAGGGAGCAGCCTGCCCTTTTCCTTGTGCAGTGCTGACTTCCTTGTGTACAAGCTAAAATAAAGCTTTCTCTTTCTCTTTGCTGTTATGTCTGGTGATCTGTATTTCCATCCTGGAAGATTACAAGAACCCAGGGTGCTGATTACATCTCATGGCACTCCAGATAGAACCCTCATTTTAGGGTCCTGTGGGAGCAAATGGCACAGCCCAGACGACAGAGATGGCTGACCAGGCACAAACCAAGGCAGCTGCACCATTGTTTCACCCTGGTGCCTCGGTGAGTCAAGTTCCTACATAGGATAAGTCCCCATTCCCTTTTTCTTTCTCTCTCTCTATTTTTCTTGCCCTATTCTCTCTCTTTCTCTTTGCTCCTATGTTTGGTGATCTCTCTTGATGTCTATACTGGAAGATTACAAGAACCCAGGGCACTGATAACAACTTCAACTGAAATGGACAGAGTGAGGGCAAGATAAATGAAGGCTATCAGACTCCCAAAATTCTACATGCAGAAAAAAAGGCTGATAAAACTACTCAGCTAAAAACACATTGTACCTTTCAAGAAAAAGAAAAGATGATTCCAAGAGTGGAGCTTCAGGCCCAGAGAATGTAGCCAGAAGTCACAAAAGACTATTTCCAGGCCTTGCAGCTTAACAGTTTTCCCAGTTTGAAGGATTTGTTATTTTGGGGACTGATGATTCATTTTTTCCTTCCATTTTCTCCTTTTTGGAATGGGAATACGGTTGATCCTTGAACAACATAGGGTTGAACTGCACGTGTCCACTTGTATGCAGATTTTTTTTCAACCAAATGGGGATTGAAAATACAGTATTCTTGGGATGCGAAACCCACCTATACGGAGAGCTAATTTTCATATACACGGGTTCTGCAGGACCTACTGTGGAACTTAAGTATGCTAGGATTTTGGTGTATACAGGGGGCCTGGAACCAATCCCCTGCATATACTGAAAGACAACTATTAGTAACTAGTATCTTATGTCGGTCACATCATTGTATTTTGGGAGAAAATAACTTATTTTCTAGTTTTACAGGTCCACAGATGGAGAGTTTTTCCCCAGGATGAATCATACCCAGGATCTCACTAATACTGAAATTAGATGGTTAAGATAATAAGATTTGGGACTTTTAAGCTGATAAGATTTAGGTAATACATGTGACTTTGAATTGATTCTATAATGAATTGAGACTGTGGAGTATATTGGGATGGGGTGTATGTATTGTGCATATAGAATGGATATAAACCTTTGGGGCCAAAGGGAAGACTAGCAGGCTAATGGTTCCCCAAGCATGTCCACATCCTAATCCCTGAAACCTGTCAATATGTAGCCTTATGTGGCAAAAGGCACACACTTTACAGATGTGATTAAATGAAGGATCTCAAGATGGGGAGATCATCTTAGGTAACCCAATGTAATCACAAAGGTCCTTATAAGAGAGAAGCAGGATGGTTAAAGACAGAGATGTAAAGTGGAAGAAGAGGAGCCACAGAGTGGGAGCAACCCCTGGAAGATAGAAAAGGCAAGAAAACTGATTAATCCTGAGAGCCTCCAGATGGAATGCTGCTGTGCTAACACCTTGATTTTAGCCCACTGAAACTGATTTTAGACTTGTCTACTCTAGAACTGGAAGAGAATAAATTTGTGTTGCTCTAAGTCACTAAATTTGTGGTAATTCGTTACAACAGCAGTAGGAAACAAACTCAGGAACCAACATGAGCATGAAGCATATGTGGCCTGCTGTGCTGTAATGAAGATTTTTGTCTCTGACCCAAGACTCTTGTGTCTTCTGGCAGCATCCATGAGACTATGGCAAGCTGATTTGCAGAAGGGGCAAAATCTTGGACCATTCACAGTTCTTAACATTTAGTTCATAAAAATGATGATATAGTCATGGGTATTTGTCTGACGTTTAAGTATCTTTCAATCTTCTGATCAATAAATCTACTTCTAAATAAGATACCACTTAAGTAGCTGTGAACTTTAATAATAGCCCATGATTTATATTTCATTAAATAAATTATGAATAATCATACTCATATTAGAAGTTAAACTCTGGCCAGGCATGGTGGCTCATACCTGCAATCCCAGCACTTTGGGAGGCCAAGGCAGGCAGATAACTTGAGGTCAGGAGTTCGAGACCAGCCTGGCCAACATATAGTGAAATCTCGTCTCTACTAAAAAATACAAAAATTAGCTAGGCGTGGTGGCACGTGCCTGTAGTCCCAGCAACTTGGGAAGCTGAGGCAGGAGAATCACTTGAACCCAGGAGGGGAGGCTGCAGTGAGCCATCCAGCCTGGGCGACAGAGCAAGACTCCGTCTCTCAAAAAAAAAAAAAAAAAAAAAAAGTTAACAAACTCAGCATTCTTTAATACTCTTGCTCTCTTGCATAAAAAATTCATGAAAATAGCATCTATTTATAAAAAATATGTTAAAGTAGCTTTAATTACAAAAAAATTCCATGCTTTGTTTTACTATTTAGAGTCTTAAAGAATGATATTTTCTTTAAAATACACAATAGAAAAGGGATTTCTTTTAGCGAAATAATCCCTAAATCTCATGCATGGCTCAGATCACCAGAATCCCAGAGATGGTACAGTCAGCACTGCCTACTCCAAGAAGTTAGGAGACATTATAAACATGGTACAACTTTTTGGGAAACAAAAAATTGGATGTGTGAAAATAAAGAACCAGAGGAAATTTCTGTGCAGTCAAATGCATTTATTTTGTAGCTTAAGCAAGACAGGTGGTGAACAAATTCATAATGAAAATGCCACCCAGAGGTTAACAGCTTGCCATGCATGCAACTGTGTGCGCAAAATCAAGTTGTTTTAATACCAGTGTGCAGCTTTGATTCCTCCATGAAATTAAAGCTGTGTTGCTCACTTGTTTACATAACTCAGGCCACCCTGAATATCTGCTAGTGGGGAATTTACAACCCACTGACCATCTCAGCTCAAAGCCAGATGACTATCACCTACACATCTGCCAAGGTAATAGCATGGCAAATAGTATTTTTCTTGTTCTGTAGCCAATGGCACAGATACACCAACACAGAGATACCCAGAAGGCACCTCCTCTCATTCAGCTGACAAGCTTCCTAACATTTCTTGGGGACAAGAGTACCATACATGTACTACGAATTGGTACTTATTCTGAGGCAGGGGATGGCTGTCTCCAGGTTAGAGCATGGGTGGTTGGAAGTTCTCAGAAGAGCTGTTTCAGCACAACCCACCAGAAACATTGGCCACCATGACTGTGTAAGATGAGTCTCCTGACATTCTGGTAGACAACCAGATCCCCTGACTAAAGCTTGGCTCAATTAGGGTTAAGTGGAAGGTACAGAGATTTGAGAGAGCCTACAAGAGATACGAGGCAGTACCCTAGTTTATACTGTTTTATGTATAGCTCAGCCTCATCTGAAGGCAAAGTCATAAATTCACAAAATATTAGAGGTGGGATGGATCACTCTAGACCTGTCAACCTACAGTTAAAAATGGGGCAGCCCAGAGAGGTAAAGCAACTCACCAAAGGTAGAGCATAGTAGTGGCAGGGCCAGATTAGAACATGGTAGGCTAATCCTCACCCAAGAATGCTGACAATAGGTATTTGGCCAAATTTTTCAACAAGCAAAACGAGCTAGTATAAATCAGAGGTGTCCAATCTTTTAGCTTCCCTGTGCCACACTGGAAGAAGAGTTGTCTTGGGCCACACATAAAGTACACTAACACTAACGATAGCTGACGAGCTTTAAAAAAAATAGCAAAAAAAAAAACAAAACTCATGTTTTAATAAAGTTTAAAATTTGTATTGGGCCACATTCAAAGCTGTCCTGGGACACATGCCACGGGTTGGACAAGCTTGGTGTAAATACTTTAATACTCCCAAAGCTCCAAATGTATTAAAAAGCAAAAACAAAACAAAACAAAAAACCACTCAGCTTAATCAGCTCAGCTCTCTTCTAAAGGGGTCTCTTCTCTGCCTCTCTGTCTCTATCTCTATGTCTCTCTCTCCCCCAAACACACACAATTTTGGTGGATGTAGATTTCTTGCTACATAAAGATAGAATCCACATCTTCAGGAAGACCCTTTACAGAGCATGTTTCTCAATCCAGGTCTTTGTGTGAGGTCTGGGAAAGTGGCTTAGTTTCCAGAACAATAGGTGGTTCAGAAATCAGAAGATCATCCTCCCCAAAGTAGTTCTGGTCTGTGTTCACAAAGTTGGGGATGTCAAACTTCATGAGCCTGTTCAGCTCCTCCTCTGGCTGCCCACTGCTTCTGATGGCTTCCTGGAGTTGGACGTCACTGTCAAGGGCTGTGGTCTGGTGACAAGCTTTGGCTCTGTCCAAGCGTTCCACCTCATTGATGTAGCAGTGAAAGAGAGACCTGGACTCCTCGTTGCCTTGGCGAGAAAATACTTTATCTGGCTCCAGAGGTCTTCCAAAGTCTGACACAAAGCTGTTCATTCTGAATCTCTTCTCTGAGGACTCTGCATTGCTATTTAAAAAAAGAAAATAAAAGACTGCTTACACTCCAGCCCATTCACCTGCAGAATCATGGTTTTCTGCACGTAGGGCAGGCCAGCACATTTCCACTAAGCACCTATTGAGTGTAAGCCCCTTGCATGGCATGCAGACAAACATGAGAAATAAGAGAAATCCCTTCTGAGTATGTACAGATAAACCCAAGGCAAAGGCTTCAAGATGAGGGCCCCCAGATCATCCCGAAAACAGACACCTTGCTGAGGAATTCCCCAATATTCTGCAGACACACCAGTATTTTTCAGTGGAATTCTTGGACCATTTGCATCATAATTACTTGAAGTGCCTCTTAAAATGCAGATTCCTGGGTCACAGACCCTCAGAATCTGTGAATGTAGGCTCAGTAATAAGCATTTTCATATATTCTCTAAGGATCATTACTCATACTGAAGTTTAGAACCACCGGCCTAAAAACAATAATACTGTCTCATAGGGGTACATTAAATATTTGCCAAAATGCTATAATATCCATTTTTCTCACTTGATTCTCAAAAGTAACCAATACAGTCAGTTAGGGCAAGAATTATGATGTGCATTTTACAAACGTATGAACTCAGGTAAGGAGCAGTCAAATTGCCCACTTAGTCACACAATCAGTTTGTGGTATGAGTGGGAATAAAACCCAGATTCCTAATTCCTTGTTTCCTTTAACGTGGAACAAATAAGCAGTTCAAGGGTAATAAATGAGTCAATGAGTGAATAAAATAACTCTCAATGAGTCCCACAAGTGCGTGAAAGAAAGAGCCCAGGTAAGCTGAGAACCTGATACTCCATCTACTTTAATCACCATCCTTTCCAGACTTAAAGAAGGATTGCCCATGCACAGGTAGTGACTCCTTAAAGGCACAAATCATGACTGAATGTGTTTTCAAGTCCAGAACAGAACCTGACAAAAATCAAGCCCTGGAGTTTGTGCTCAACAGATGTGTAATCCTCTCAGTGTTTCCAGTTCTTAAATCTCTTCCTTCCCATCCTATCACTCAGGAGAAAGCACTTATGACCAAATTCTGTAAGAATTTGGGCAGAGGTGAAAAACAAAAAAACAAAAACAAAAAAAACACAGGTCTGGAAAACCTGATTGTATATCACTAAACTCCAAATTATCAAAATCACCTGGATTTCAGAGGTCAGCAACCCTAGAAGGTTTGTAATCCAGCTAGCTGAAGGAATTTTAATATCAGATCTGTCTCCTAGCATGGTTACCTGGGTGACATCAAGCAAGAAATCCTTTCAGAAACCTGTATTTTTCCTTTTAATAATAAGCCAGGTTAACAATTTTCACTGCCCACTAAACAAACATGTTGTGAACGTCAAGGGTTTATGCAAGAATCCAATATTCTACTATGTCAGGTATTCAGAATTCAGAGAAAATCATTTTAGAGAGACTGAAGATTTATGCTTTAGTGCAAATTTACATGGTCTTCTTTGTCTTTCTGTAAATGAGTTTCCCTCAACTGTCATTTCTCTCAGGTTTAAAAGATATTTGAGAACAGGGATGAGTGTGCCAGCAACCTGTGACCTGATAAACTAAAATGTCACCTAGGAAAAAGAGTGGCTTAAAGCTGTGAAAGGAAAATATCTTGAACCCCCAAATCACTAAGCTAAAGGGAAAAGTCAAGCTGGGAGCTGCTTAGGGCAAACCTGCCTCCTATTCTATTCAAAGTCACCCCTCTGCTCACTGAGATAAATGCATATCTGATTGCCTCCTTTGGAGAGGTCAATCAGAAACTCAAAAGAATGCAACCATTGTCTCTTATCTACTTACGACCTGGAAGTCCCCTCCCTGCTTCGAGTAGTCCCGCCTTTCCAGACTGAACCAATGTTCATCTTACATATGTTGATCGATGTCTCATGTCTCCCTAAAATGGATAAAACCAAACTGTGCTGTAACCACCTTGGGCACATGTCTTCAGGACCTCCTGAGGCTGAGTCATGGGTGTGTGTCCTCAACCCTGGCAAAATAAACTTTCTAAATTAACTGAGACCTCTCTCGGATTTTGGGGGTTCACAAAGCATTTGGAGAAAGCATAATTAAGATTGCTGGGGTCCACACCATTCCTCAATTCCAAGGCTAAGAAGCTCTGAGAAATAGCTTTTCTGCCTACCTGTGGCACCAGCTGAGTGTGACAGCAGACCCAGAAGCCCAGCTGTGTGTGGCTGCTCTTCCATAACACAGCTATGTTTCCTGGAATTAAAGTCCATTAGTCACCCTTGCTGGAGAACTAAGGCACAAGAGACCAAGAGAATTTTGTCCCTCCCCAGGACAGTGCCAAGGCAGTGGACATTAAAGCCCCTCTGAGGTGCCTTTCCTGCCCCCTGAGGCTACCCTGTGCTCCCATGGCCACCCCCTCCCTTCTGGCTTCCTCCCGATGATCCCTTGGTATGGCAACAGTATGATGTGTCTGATTCTCCCTTCCTGAGAAGAGCAAAAAGTTCATCTTTGTACTCTTAGAGTCCAGTAAATATTAAACACTCAATATACTTGACTTTTATTTGTTTCTTCTTTCCTTGACTGATAAACAAAAGGACCTGTATGTTGTGAAAGTTGTCAGAATAAATATGGAGTCACTTAATGTTATTAAAAAATATCCTGATGAATAGAGCTGGGGAAGGCCATGAAGTGGGAATTCTCACTCACAAATGTCTGATAACAAGAACAATCATGAAAGATGGCAAAAACCATAACCTTGCACAAAAAAATACTTCTATAAGGACATCTGCCCAGCAACTGCCTGTCCAACCTGGAACTGGCACCACCCATATTGTTCCTTGTAGCTAAGGATAACTCTCTCCAAACAATCATGTAATCCTCCTTACTTTTCCTTTAAAAAACTTTGTCTTCTTTTACTTCCCAGAATATGCACATAAGTTATATGGCATGAGTATTTTCATTGCAATGACCCATTACCATGTAAACATCATTTTCTTTTAGAGAACCTCTCAGTATTTGTTATTTAGGTTGACATAAATGGTCTCCAGAAGCGGAACCTGAAGCAAGATCACTTTTGGAAGGAATCAGTGATTCTTGGAACCTGCAGGCTGTGCTCACCTTGAGCCCTTTGAGCTCTCTGCCTCCATGGCTCACCTGTTCTTCCCTGGTGAGTCTTCACTCAGGCTAAGCCCCTTCTTCCTGATAGAGGCTTTTTGACTTTATCTGAGATTTGGTTTGGTTATCAGCCTACCTTAAATGAAGAATGCTGCATCTCTCTTGGAACTATAAAATTCTGTTTTTGGCAAGCTCTTCCTGAGAAGTGTCCTTGTGGAGAGTACTCCGGTTTCTACAACATTTACAATCTGTCTTGGAGACATGTCTTTTCTGGTGAGTTCATTTTTGGTTCTTTCTGCATGCCTAGTTTAATATTTTGTTTGATCTGCATGCCTGGGTTAAAATTTCTGTGAACAATCCGATTTGGGTTTGGTTATGCATGTGTGTAAATGATTTGGCTCTTCCCCTTTGCTTGTTTCTGAAAATCTTTCAAGAGCAAAAATAAACATCCTAAGTGGTGGATGCAGGATGGCTAATTAAAAGCCACTATGTTGGTTGCCACTGTGTAAGACACCAGTCTAAACTCCTGACATTTTCCTGACAAGATTTAAAGAATTTTCTTTACACACCAGTACAAACTCCTGACGGTCCCATGACATGATTTATGGGATTTTCTTTGCTTTTAAGAAATTAATAAGAAATGAAGGGGCCGGGCGCGGTGTCTCACGCCTGTAATCCCAGCACTTTGGGAGGCCGAGAAGGGCGGATCACGAGGTCAGGAGATCGAGACCATCCTGGCCAACACGGTGAAACCCCTTCTCTACTAAAAATACAAAAACTTAGCCAGGCACAGTGGCGGGTGCCTGTAGTCCCAGCTACTTGGGAGGCTGAGGCAGGAGAATGGCGTGAACCTGGGAGGTGGAGCTTGCAGTGAGCCGAGATCGCGCCACTGCACTCCAGCCTGGGGACAGAGTGAGACTCTGTCTCAAAAAAATAAAAAAATGATGAGTTAATGGGTGCAACACACCAACATGGCACATGTATACATATATAACAAACCTGCAGGTTGTGCACATGTACCCTAAAACTTAAAGTATAATAAAATAAAATAAAATAAAATAAAATAAAGTAAAATAAAATAAATAAATAAAATAAAATAAAATAAAATAAAATAAAATAAAATAAAATAAAATAAAATAAAGAAATGAAATGAGATTCTCAAATACCAAGGCATGCCTGGTCTTCTGGGACTCCAGCTGGCCACATGGCTTTTCCTGGTGCACACAAACTCAATGGGCATCATGGAGATCATTCAAACTCCCCAAGCCTGTTTATCTTAGAGATGAAATAGAAACTGCAAATATAGAGTTAATACATAGAGCCTTCTAGGCTCTCTCTCCTCTATTTTATTTTTCTGCCTATTTTGAATCTGCAGACTTTTCTGCTGGTGTTAAGACAAACTCACTGCTTATGGCATTCCAGTCAAAATGCAAAAAACTTAACAGCTTTACAGATTACAACAGGTTCATGAAAACCAACAATTTAGACACCTTTGGAAATGTAAATCTAGGTTTGTCTGACTAAAAAGTGCTTTGGGTAATGGAACACTTAATTAAAGGATTGGTATTTTAAAAGCAAATAACTACATAAATGTTCATAAAAGTTAGCCTCTCAGATCAAACAAGTCAAAATCTTGAGCTCAGAGGAATACTATATCTTTGTCTGACATAAAAATTGCTTTATCTACTACGGAGGGACTAGAAAAAGCTGGAAAAAAAACCTGTTAAAATGCTTCCTCACCCACATTGACTAGTCAAGCAAACCAGACCAGCAAACAAAAGATAGATTTGTTACTAAAAATTCAAGGCCATTTGAAGATTTTATTTTTCTTATACAATTTAGCCAGTCCTGGCTAAAATATAAATATTAAAAATATACCCTAAACTCATTTGAAACTGAAATAAAGGATGAGAGGTTTATTATTATTATTATCAAACTGCTATGAAAATTTCCTTATCCAAAATTTTAGTTCACAGCCTTAATAAGATTATCTATTGGGGCAAATAAACATTAGCCATGTGAACAGGTCCCATTTGTCAGAAATATAATTTGAGTTCAACTGTCCTTTTACAAACTGAGTTTGTATTACTATGTTACACTGTCTCATGACTAAAATATCCAGACGAAAGCGAGAGAATCTGCTTCTATGTATTTGTGTTGTCTGTATGTTTTAATGTTGTGTGTGTATAATATTTTTCTACTAAAATATATTAAAGAGATCTGATTAATAAATTTAAAAGGGAAGAAAAGCACTTAAATTGAGTACTGTAACAAAAATATAGTAACTAACCCACGTGTTTTTAGTTCACATTACTTAAATAATTTTTTGATAAATAAGCTGGTTTTAAGTTTGTTGACAAAATAAAAATAGAGAGGTCTTCAAAATTGTCAGCATACAATTTTGCCCGGGTTTACTGTTCATCAAGATTGTACTAGATGTTTTAAGGTGATAAAATTATAAACTCACCCTAAAAACAGAATAAATTTGTTTCTGTAATTCTTTGATATGTAAGACTAATTTCATATTGTTGGCTTAATAAAAGCAGCTGTATCTTCTGAGTTATTGGCAAAATACCCATATATTTAACTTTAAGATTCTTACTTAGGTGAACACCTGATATTCACAGGCTATAAAAATGATCAAAAGGGAAATAACTTAAAATGATGACTAGCTTTGTCTAATATCTCAGTTTCTATGAGTAATCCAGGTATAATTGTTAAAAGTAAACAGGCCAGGCATGGTGGCTGTTGGGAATAACGCTCAAAATCCTAAGGAGATTGAACACTCAAACAAGGGATTTTTAGCAAAAGCAATTTTACTTTTGTGTAGAGGGATTTTTGTTTGTTTGTTTTTTTGCCAGTCGCCATGAGAGCACACTTGAACAAAGGGGCATGAAAGCCTTTATTTCTGACGCAAGTCCTGTCTCTGTACTCTTTTTCTATTGGCCGGGGTCGGGTCGCACAATCTGAATTAATCTCGGTTGGTTAGACATTTGAACTTTTTTTAGATAAGGTGGGCACGTAAGGGAGAGAGGGGAAAAGGGGAAGGGGTGTCTGTGATGAGCTAGAGGGCTAGTCTTTTTTTTAAATAAGGAAAGGAATGTGAGCTCGTACTGATAAGCCTGGTACTGTGGCATGTCCTAGCATGTAACAAAGGCAGAAAGGAAAAAAAGACAAAAAGGAGAAAGGGGTGGGGGAGTGGGTACTATGAATTAAAGAATAAAGGATTGATCAAGCTATTTGAAGAGAAACCTCATCATATCTCACAGTGGCTCACGTCTGTGATCTCAGCACTGTGGAAGGCCGAGGCAGGAGGATTATTTGAGCTCTGAAGTTCGAGATCAGCCTGGGCAACATGGCAAAAGCCCTTCTCTACTGGTAAGCAGGAGAGAGAGACATGGAGGAAGTTATAAGTAAGAAGATGCACTTTCGGTAAGGAAGGTTAAAAAGAAAAGAGAATAATTTCGTATAAGAAAGAATCTGTGTAGTAAATTTTTGTTCTAAAGTAAAATGACTGGTCATTTAAGAAAGAGGAAGAATGGGACAAAACTAAAGGCTTAAGCATGTTACTGAAGATTTGAGCAGGTCATGAAAGGTTCATGAAGGCTATAATTAGATGGGAATTATCTATAAGCCTTTGCTAAAGATTGAGCTTTAATATTAAAAGTATACTAATACGAGAGAGAAAAAGTTATATTTCTAAAGAAAAACTACAACACTCTTGTTATTAGGTTTTTAGCCCTGTGCATTATTTTCAAGTTCTTGTTATCTGCCTATAGAATAGACTGGATCCTGAATTATTCTAGATTCTTTCAATCCAACTCTCTACCATAGAATTACTAAAAATGCAAACTGTTCTATTTCTGAAGCCCTATAACCTTAAACTTGGTGAATTTTAAGGGACAAGTCTAATGTCTAATGTATGGGTCACACAGAGAGTTCACCAAAGCACCTGTATTAATCTGTTTTCACACTGCTATAAAGAACTACCTGAGTCTGGGTAATTTATAAAGAAAAGAGGTTTAATTGACACATAGTTCTGCATGGCTAGGGAGGTCTCAGGAAACTTACAATTTTAGTGGAAGGCAGAGGGAAAGCAAGGCACATCTTACATGGCAGCAAGACAGGGGGAACCCACCACATACTTTTATTTATTTATTCATTCATTCATTCATTCATTTTTAAGATGGAGTCTTGTTATGTCACCCAAGCTGGAGTGCAGTGGCTTGATCTTGGCTCACTGCAACCTCTGCCTCCCAGTTTAAGTGATCCTCCTGCCGCAGCCTCCCAAGTAACTAGGATTACAAGCATGTGTCACCACCCTCGGCTAATTTTTGTATTTTTAGTAGAGACAGGATTTCACCATGTTGGCCATGCTGGCCTTGAACTCCTGACCTCAAATTATCCATCTGCTTCGGCCTCCCAAACTGCTGGGATTATAGGCATGAGCCACTGTGCCCAGCCAAGGAATCACCACAGACTTTTAGGCCATCACATCTTGTGAGAACTCACTATCACAAGAATAGCACAGGGGAAACTGCCCCCATGATCCAATCACCTCCTACCAGGTTCCTCCCATGACAATGACACATGGGGATTACAACTTGAGATGAGATATGGGTAGGGACACAGAATCAAAACATACCGACACCTTATGCCATAAACAGTCACATTCAAACTGCAAACCAGGATGAGAAGTTGACAGCTTCATGCAGTAGACAGTTTTTCCCAAGACATCAGAAAAAGACTCCATATCATAATGAGACTTTGACCCCTCTTAATGCCTACCTTTTTCATTTGACAGGATAATGGTGCACTTGAAATTTCACAATCAATACGTTTTGCTGGTAACTTTAAAAAACCTGACCTAAGAGATCCTTTAGTGCACCCAATGGGTGACTTTGTCAACATCCCTAATACAACTGTTGTTCTCTGTCTGCTCTACTTTAATTCAACCCACCCATGGGATGCCATGTAATAAAATTGCTCTATATTATCTATTGTTTAAGTAAATAAATATATGTGCTATTGCTAATACTACATACTGTACCTAGATATATTCCTCTGGGAAAATTAAGACCCATATATACAAAATAAGAAAACAGGTCACATAGTTACAACAAGTCTCACCTAATCCCCTGTGTTCATTTGATTTATTAATTGGTTGCCTTTAAGCCCAGGTTCATGCCTCAAAACTGTTAGGCAAACTGAGATTATCATATTACTATTAATTTTACTTTCTACTTTTGTTTGTAAACTTTGTACCTGTTACTTGTTAAAATTCTTCAGAAGTACAACTCCTAACAGAATAATGCTGGACCAGCACTTTGAAGTGATAGCCAACACCTACAAAACAGACAAAATTGAACTTAAATATGGACTTCAGGTAGACTTAGCCTGAGAGCCACTCCCTCCAAACTACCTTTGTTGCTCAAATGTGGCTAAAAGGCTTTTGACACTGATTCCTAGTCACCAATAACTTCCCTCTAATGTAGGACTAGATTAAACCAAACCAGTACAGGTAAATCCCAGAACCAAGGGACAATCAAAATTTAACTACGGGATGATTCATCAGTGATGACTTTTGAGAAAGAGCTTCAGCAAAAGAGGGAAATGTGAAAGTTGTCAGAATCAAAATGAAGTCACTTATGTTAAAAACCCTGGCAATAGGGCGTGGTGGCTCACACCTGTAATCCCAGCACTTTGGGAGGCTGAGGCGGGCGGATCACGAAGTCAGGAGATCCAGACCATCCTGGCTAAAATGGTGAAACCCCGTCTCTATTAAAAATACAAAAAATAATTAGCCGGGTGTGGTGGCAGGCACCTGTAATCCCAGCTACTTGGGAGGCTGAGGCAGAAGAATGGCGTGAACCCGGGAGGCGGAGCTTGTGGTGAGCAAAGACCATGCCACTGCACTCCAGCCTGGGTGACCAAGCAAGATTCCATCTCAAAAGAAAAATCAAACAAACAAAAAAAAAACCCTGGCAATAGAGCTGGGGAAGGTTATGAAACGAGGGTCCTCATGCATGAGTGCCTGTTAATAAGAATCATCACAAAAGACTCTGCAAAAGCCATAATCTTGCACAAAGGCCATCTCAGTCTTACAACAAAAAAATACTTCTACAAGGACATCTACCCAGCAACTATCTGTCCAATCTTGACTGATGCCACCTTTGTTATTAACCCTTGTAGCCAAGGATAATTATCTTGAAATAATTGTGTAATCCTCCTCACTTTTCCTTTCAATATCTTTATCTTCCTTTACCTCCTAGAATACACACATAGTTTACTATGACATGAGTATTCCCACTGCAGTGCCCTATTACCAAATAAATATCATTTTCTTTCAGAGAGCCTCTGTTTGTTAATTTGGGTTGACAATGTGAAAAACTCATCGTGGACACCACTTGCTTCAATTCAGTTACCATTCTTATCATCAATGGGTAAAGTTTACATACCATATATGTCAATGTGAAATGCATAAACCTTAAGTACAAAATATGATGAATTTTAATTAATGAACACACCCATGTAACTACCACCCCAATCAACATAAAGGACATTTATTTCCTTCATTCCAGAAAGTTTTATTCCATTCAATTTCTACCCCCTTTAGGTAACACTGCTCTGATTTCTATTTCCACAGACTAGGTTAGCCTGTTCTTGAAATTTATATAAATGGAATCATATGATATATGGCCTTTTGTGCTTGGGTTCTTTTGCTCAATGTTTTTGAGATTTAGCTATATTGTTGCATATGACAATAGTTTGTCCTTTTTCTTACTAATGCCCATTGTATGAACATACTACAATCTATTTATTCATTCTCCTGCTGAAGGACATTTGGGTTGTTTCTAGCTTGGGACTATGTGAGTAAAGCTACTTTGAACGTTGTTGAAAAGTCTCTTTGTGGATATGTTTCTACTGCTCTTGAATAAATACCTAAGAATAGAATTGAGTCATGTAGTGGATCTATGCTTAACTTTATGAGAAACTGCAAAGGGTTTTCCAAAGTAGTTGTACCATTTTACACTCCACCACAATGTGTGAGAATTAGTTTTTCCACCTCTGTTGTAGTCCGTTTCATGTTGCTATAAAAGCATACCTGAGACTGAGTAGTTTACAAATAAAAGAAGTTTATGTAGCTGAGAAGTTCAAGGGTATGCCCCTGGCTTCTGGTTAGGGCTTTCATGCTGCATCACAACACTACAAAGAAGGTCAAAGGAGAAGCAGACCCATAAAAAGGAAGGAAAATCTGAGGAGTGTCCTGGCATTATAGCAGCCTACTCTTGAGGGAACTAATCCATTCCCAAGAGAGCTAATCCAGTCTTGAGAAAGCAAGAACTCACTACTGTGAGAATAGCACCAAGCCATTCACAAGGGATCCACCCCTATAACCCAAACACCTCCCATTAGGCCCCACCTCCCAAAACTGCCACACGGGATCAAATTTCAACATGAGCTTTGGTGGGGGCAAACAAGCTATCCAAGCCATAGCAACCTGCTTCCCAACATTTGGTGTTGTCAATCATGTTAATGTTAGACATTCCAATGGGAGTGAAATGACATTTCACTGTGACTTTAATGTGCATTTCTCTGATGTGTAATAACATCTAAGCATCTCTTACTGTGCTTATTGGCTATTGGTTTATCTTCTTTTGTGAAGCATCTGTAGGAGTCTATTTAAAAACTGAGTTATTTGGTTTTTGTTCTTGACTTGTGGAAGTTTTATAATATATGCGGAATATGAGTTCTTTGTCAGTTATGTGTATTGCATATATTTTCTCTTGATCTGTGACTTGGCATTTTCATTTTCTCAAAGGTGTCTTTTGATGAGCAGGGGTTTTAATCAGTTGTTTATCAATTTTTTTCCTTTATGTTTAGTGCTTTTTACATCTTCTCTAAGACACAATTGCCTACCCTAACATCATGAAGATATTCTCCTATGCTTTCTTCTAACCATGTTGGCCAATATGATACATTACCAATATGTGGCTATTTAAATTTAAATTAAGTAACGTTCAAAATTTGGTTTCTTAGTCATATTACCCATATTGCAAATGCTCAGTAACCACACATGGCCAGTGGCTATCTAACTGGACAGCACAGACACATTTCCATCATCACAGAAAGTTCTACCAGCCAGTGCAGTTCTAGGAGCTTTTACTTTGAAGACACGCTCCATATTGAGATGAGGTAATCTCATTCATTTTTTTTTCATATGTTTATCCAGTTAGACCACCACTGCCATTTAAAAAGATTTTTCTTTCAATTGACCTTATACAAAAATCACTATATTACTACATGCTACTAATGAAAAGGTAACTCCATTCACAATAACATCAAAAAAATAGAATAGTTAACAATACATTTAACCAAGAATGTTCCAGACCTGTACTCTGAAATTTTCAAAACATTACAAAGGGAAATTGAAGAAGACCTAAGTATATGGAGATGTAGATCATGCTTGTGAATTGGAAGATTTCAGGTAGAAAATCATATAACCATAGACATAAGCTAGGCAGTTTCCTTCTTTCAAGGGCCAAAAGCCCTTCAGTTTCAGTCCCCTTGCTAATCCTACAGTCTAGCCACGAAGGATGTGACAGCCCCCAATGTACTCAAGACTGCCACTCTCTGTGCCTTCGCTTGTGCTGTTCTTTCTACCTGATAGGCCCTTCCACCAGTCTGTCTGTCAAAATAAAATACCTTCTTCACTGTCAACTCCAATGTCACTGATGCCATGGAGACACTCTGATCTCCCAATGGGAAGAAATCTGTCCCTCCTCTGTGCTCTTGCCATATTTTACTAACCTGCTCTTACAGGATGCATCCTTTTCTGCCTTGTGTCAGGGCTATTTTGTGTATGGTCTTTCTCTTCTATATACTGATGTGCTGTAATTGGATTCATCTTTGCAACCCTAAAAGAGCTTTGCACTAATTAGACCTCAGTGAGCACTTTATGAAATACCATGTACTGAACAGCTATATCTGTGGGCTTGTCCAAAGCCCTGATTCCTATGAGAGGCACAGCTTCTCTGGTGTTAGTGAAGTGCTCCTACCTCTGTGACCCTGAAGACAAATCAAGACAGAAGGATAGACTCCTTCCACTTCCATTTGCAGAGGGACAACACAAGTAATGCTCTGGATTATTCCACTAGCAATTTTCCAGATTTTTGATGAGATTTTACAAATGAAATACCTGCTGCTGTGCCAATGGTCTTAGCATGCTGACAACTGTCTTCAGTTTGCCCCACTCATGAAAAGTGGTGGGCAGATCAGCCTGTGGGCACCTGATATTTCCAGCAGTCACTTCCAGTGGGCTTTTAAAGATACATATGCCTGGCCAGGCGCAGTGGCTCACGTTTGTAATCCCAGCACTTTGGGAGGCCGAGGCAGGTGGATCACTTGAGGCCAGGAGTTTGGGACCAGCCTGGGCAACGTGGTGAAACCCTGTCTCTACTAAAAATACAAAAATTAGGCTGGGTGCAGTGGCTCACACCTGTAATCCCAGCACTTTGGGAGGCAGAGGTAGGTGGATCACCTGAGGGTAGGAGTTCCAGACCAGCTTGGCCAACATGGAGAAACCCCATCTCTACTAAAAATACAAAACTCAGCTGGGCATGGTTGTGGGCACCTGTAATCCTAGCTACTCAGGAGGCTGAGGCAGGAGAATCACTTGAACCCAGGTGGTGGAGGTTGCAGTCAGCTAAGATCGTGCCACTGCACTTCAGCCGGGGTGACAGAGTGAGACTCTGTCTCAAAAAAAAAAAAAAAAATTAGCTGGGTGTAGTGGACACCCAGTCCCAGTTACTCAGGAGGCTGAAGTGGGAGGATCACCTGAGCTTGGGCAGTTGAGGCTAGCAGTGAGCCGAGATCGCACCACTGCACTGCCACCTGGGTGACAGAGTGAGACCCCATCTCAAAAGAAAAAAAAAAATAACTCCTGAACAAAAGTTATAGACTGAACCAGACACATAAAATAGATTTTCTACCCTTTCATAGCAGTAGATACCTCAGAACGACAGGGCTTCCTCAGGAATCACTCACTACATCTGCATTTTGCCATCTAGTTCCTGTGGCCATGGTCAATATCAAAACTTTTGAACAATGACATTTCCCTGTTGTTAGTCTTTACTTCCATGTACCCATTCTTTAATGAGTGCCATATTCAGGTAAATTGCTATTCAAGATAGAATATAATTCCCATTTTTACAAGGTCCTGAGCAATCCTGCACTGGCCCCTAAGTGAAGAACAGCCCCACCTGGATGAGATGTACTTAACAAAGGCTACAAAAGGAGGGTATGTGAGGCACGTAATGTCTGGGGTTTGATAATTTTTCAAGAAGTCCGAAGTATTCTACATAAAAATGTGACCCAAGCTTTTCCCATTACTCTCTATCTGGCAGATTTATGATAATGGGGCCATAATGCTTTAACAAGACAGCATGCAGAGTAAATGGTTCCTTAGCTCAGAAAGCAGGAGGAAATGCTTCTTTTATCTTCACTGTCCTTAAAAAATCCAGAAAAGAGATCCCCTGCCTGCCCCACCATACAAAAGCAAATATTCCATGGAAAAAATAATCCCCATCAAAGCTGCCTCTTAGGCCTAAAAGCTTTTAAGAAGGGTGATGTCAGCTTTATAACAGTCTTTCTTCCTCTGCAGTCTACCTTCTCAGTGCTCACCAATACCTGCCTCTTTCCTTCTGGATACACAGAAGACTACCCTTCCCAGCCCTGGGCAGTCAGGTGGGTGTGGCTAGTTCTGACTAATGAGCTGTGGGAGGAAGGGATGTGTGCTGCTTCCGGCTGAAGAATGGAGGGGCAGCCTTGAGATCTCCAAGTGTTTTCTTACCGTGTCATAGCAACCTAGGAGGCCGCGTGGTGGGGAAAGGGCAGCTGCAAGTGGAGATGTTTCTGTCTGCCCCTTGCCAACCTTAGCAGACATGGAGTTTAAGCAAGAAATAAACCTTTGTTGTGTCATACCAAGATTTGAGGATTAACTTCTTACTGTCTGACAGCCTAGCCTAGCACATATTTCCCCCGTTAACAGAAGCCACTAAGTAGTTAGTGATTCCAGAAATTCTCATTCTAGCATGATCCCAGGTCAAAAAATTCAGGGGAAAAAAATACCCATTTTATTGCAGTGTGATTGGCCCTGTGCAGTTAAATGGATCTCAACTCCTGTCATCCAGTACATTAAAGGAAAGTCCAGCCAGGGATGGCAGATAAACATTCTCTCTCAGGTAAACTGTGATTGGTTCCTGGTGGCTGCCTGGAGATCTGTTTTGAAAATGATTCTCAGGCAAAATCTTGGCTATGCAGGGAAGATGATGCAGTCCATTGCTGATGTCTGTTGTGGGCACGGGCACAGGGAGTCAGGGCACAGGTGGTGTTATCTGTCATCCTGTGATTACTACTATCAAAGGGAAGCTCACACACTTCCATGTGTCAGCAATTATGAGATCCTAGGGAGCCATTTGGCCCTGGCCTGAGATGTCTCCAGGGAGAAAAATATTAAATTCAGTGGTAGATCCAGCACCAGTCCATTCTGAGCTTGCAGACTTACTCAGGTATCTTAACCATGCTGTTGGAATCATGTTCCAAAAGGATGCTGTTGATGTTCTACTTTAGGAAGTAACTGTCTTAGTGACAAACCACCCAGAGAGCCAGATATGTAAAGCAATCAGAATTCAAAGGTGTTGGTCCTTCTGACCCATCACCAGGATTCTCTACCTAGCTGCCATTCTAGATTCATCTTACTGTTTCACTTTGAGACACAGCCAAGGTGAAGCTGGGATAGAATAAGGCAACATTTTGAAAGTGTAGATATAACGCTTAGGGTCTGGGTATCCCATGGGGAATGGGTTCCTTTTTCTTCTCCCTCCTACTCTTTACCTAGACTCTTCAGCTCACACAGTGACTCATCTTTACTGAGGGATGCTCTGAGCCCAGCTTTTGCAAGAAGCTCCACAGTCTGCTCACTTCTGTGTTTACAACAGGGATGTCCAATCTTTTGGCTTCCCTGGACCACATTGGAAGAAGAATAATTGTCTTGGGCCACACATAAAATACACTAACACTAATGATAGCTGATGAGAAAAAAAAAAAAAAACACACACACACACACACAAATATCTCATAATGTTTTAAGCAAATTTACGAATTTGTGTTGGGCTGCATTCAAAGCTATTCTGGGCCGCAGGTTGGACAAGCTTGGTTTACAATAATCCCAGGAGGCAGACACTTCTTTATTTATATATAAGGAGTCTCAAGCACAGAGAAGTTAAGAATCCAGGCCAAAGTCTCAATAAGTAAACCTGGAAATGTTTGAGTCCAGAGCCCCGTGCTTGGCACAGTATGTGATAAAAACAAATAAACAGAAGTAATCATCATGGTGGATGGGAGGCAGGACTAGATTGCAACTCCAACTTGGATGGACAGAGCAGTGTGCAGAGGCTCACACTGAATTTTAGCTCCAGATCCACTGCAAGAACAAACCAGCAATCCCAAGAGGACCCACAGACCCTCTGAAGGAAGCAGATTGCTCCTGCAGGACCCAGGAGATACCCCAAATACTGTGGGTGCCCCAACTGCAGAAGTGGGAAAGGGAGAGCCTCCTCTCCTGAACACACATCCCCACTAGAGAAACTGAAAGTCTCTTTGTGGGAGAAGTTTCTGACCATACCTGGAGCTGAGTCAATTTAGAGAGCCGAGTGAAATACAGGGGTAGAGGAAGAAGAAGAAAGGCCCTGGGCGCTCGCTGGGTCCACAAGCAGGCCATTCCTGCCTAGCACCATAGGAATATATAGGCAGGGCGGCCAGAGGAGCCAGGGGATCAGGGGGAGAAACACCACAGGGAGAAGGAAATCTCCAGCTGAACTTTGTAACAATTTGAATGGGGCAAGAAGCCTCCTGGCCAGAATTCGGGGAAGGACACGAATCCAGTGTGCAGACTCCATAGGTGGGGAATGAACCAAGCCCTTTTCTTTTGCAGCTGCGGGGAGGGTAGCCTGGGGCAAGTTCTCAAGTCTGGCTGCCCATTGCCTGGAAACAGATTAGGGGCTGTTAGTGGGGACATGGTGGGAATGAGACCGGCCCTTCGATTTGTATGGGAGCTGGGTGAGTCCTGTGACTGCTGGCTTTTCTCCACTTCCCTGACAACCTGCATGACTCAGCAGAGGCAGCCATAATCCTCCTAGGTACACAACTCCATTGACCTGGGAGCCTCACCCCCATCTCCCACAGCAGCTGCAGCAAGACCCACCCAAGGAGAGACTGAGCTCAGACACGCCTAGCCTTGCCCCAACCCGATGGTCCTTCCCTATCCACCGTGGTAGCTAAAGACAAAGGACATATACTCCTGGGAGTTCTAGGGCCCTGCCCACCACCTGTTCCTCCCCAAACTACCACAGCTGATGCTCTCTGGAAAGCAACATGACCCGGCAGGAGGCCAACCAGCACAAAAACAGAGCATTAAACCACCAAAGCTAAAAACCCTCACGGAGTCCATTGCCCCTCCCTACCACCTCCACTGGAACAGGCACTGGTATCCATGGCTGAGAGACCCATAAACGATTCTCGTCACAGGACTCTGTGCAGACAACCCCCAGTACCAGCCCAGAGCCAGGTAGACTTGCTGGGTGGCTAGACCCAGAAGAGGGACAACAATCACTGCAGTTCAGCTTACAGGAAGCCACATCCATAGGAAAAGGGGGAGAGTACTACACCAAGGGAACACTCCATGGGACAAAAGTATATGAATAACAGCCTTCAGCCCTAGAGTTTCCCTCTGACAGAGCCTACCCAAATGAGAAGAAACCAGAAAACTAATTCTGGTAATATGACAAAACAAGGCTCTTTAACACCCCCTAAAAATCATACTAGTTCACCAGCAATGGATGCAAACCAAGAAGAAATTCCTGATTTACCTGAAAAAGAATTTGGGAGGTTAGTTATTAAGCTAATCAGGGAGGCAACAAAGAAAGGCAAAGCCCAACACTAGAAGTCTAAAAAACTATACAAGAAGTAAAGAGAGAAATATTCAAGGAAATAGATAGTTTAAAGGAAAAACAAAACTTCAGGAAACATTGGACACACTTATAGAAATGGAAAATGCTCTGGAAAGTCTGAGCAATAGAATTGAACAAGTAGAAGAAAGAAATTCAGAGCTCGAAGACAAGGTCTTCGAATTAACCCAATCCAACACATTGAAAAAGAATAAGAAAATACGAAAGAAGCCTCCAAGAAGTCTGGGATTATGTTAAACAATGAAACCTAAGGATAATTGGTGTTCCTGAGGAAGAAGAGAATTCTAAAAGCTTGGAAAACACATTTGGGGAAATAATCAAGGAAAACTTCCCCAGCCTTCCTAGAGACCTAGACATCCAAATACAAGAAGCACAAAGAACACCTAGGAAATTCATCTCAAAAAGATCATTGCCTAGACACACTGTCATCAGGTTATCCAAAGTTAAGACAAAGGAAAGAATCTTAAGAGCTGTGAGACAGAAGCATTAGGTAACCTATAAAGGAAAAACCTATCAGATTAACAACAGATTTCTCAGCAGAAAACTACTAGCTAGAAGGGATTGGGGCCCTATCTTCAGCCTCCTCAAACCAAACAATTACCAGCCAAGAATTATTTATCCAGTGAAACTAAGCATCATATATGAAGGAAAGATACAGTCTTTTTCAGACAAACAAATGCTGAGAGAATTCGCCACAACCAAGCCACCACTACAAGAACTGCTAAAAGGAGCTTTAAGTCTTGAAACAAATCCTGGAAACACATCAAAACAGAACCTCTTTAAAGCATAAATCACACAGGACCTATGAAACAAAAATACCAGTTAAAAAGCAAAAACAATAAAACCAAAGTACACAGGCAGCAAAGAGCACCATGAATGCAATGGTACCTCTTATCCAATACTAACATTGAATGTAAATGGCCTAAATGCTCCACTTAAAAAAATACAGAACCACAGAATGGATAAGAACCCACCAACCAACTACCTGCTGTCTTCAGGAGACTCACCTAACATGTAAGGACTCACAAAAACTTAAAGTAAAGGGGTGGAAAAAGGCATTTCATGCAAATGGACACCAAAACAAGCAGGGGTAGCTATTCTTGTATCAGACAAAACAAACTTTAAAGCAACAGCAGTTAAAAGAGACAAAGAGGGATATTATGTAATGGTAAAGGCCTTGTCCAACAGGAAAATATCACAATCCTAAACATATATGCACCTAACACTGGAGCTCCCAAATTTATAAAACAATTACTTATAGAACTAAGTGGGGGACTTCAATCCTCCAGGGAGAGCACTAGGCAGCTCATCAGACAGAAAGCCAACAAAGAAACAATGGATTTAAACAATGGATTTAAACAAATGGACTTTACAAATATATTCAGAACATTTCATCCAACAACCACAAAATACACATTCTATTCAACAGTGGATGGAACTTTCTCCAACATAGATCTTATGATAGGCCATAAGACAAGCCTCAATAAATTTAAGAAAACTGAAATTATATCAGGTACTCTTTCAGATCACAGTAGAATAGAACTAGAAATCAACTCCAAAAGGAACCTTCAAAACCATGCAAATACATGGAAATTAAATCACCTGCTCTTGAATGAGCATTGGGTCAAAAATGAAATCAACATAGAAATTTAAAAATTCTTCAAACTGAAACACAATAATGACACAACCTATCAAAACTTCTGGGATACAGCAAAGGCAGTGCTAAGAGGAAAGTTCATAACCCTAAACACCTACATCGAAAAGACTGAAAGAGCACAAACTGACAGTCTAAGGTCACATCTCAAGGAACTAGAGAAAAAAGAACAAACCAAACCCAAACCCAGCAGAAGAAAGGTAATAACCAAGATCATCAGAGCAGAACTAAATGAAATTGAAACCAAAAAAATACAAAAGATAAATGAAACATAAAGCTGGCTCTTTGAAAAGATAAATAAAATTGATAAACCATTAGCAAGAATAACCAAGAAAAGAAGAGAGAAAATCCAAATAACCTCATTAAAAAAATGAAACAGGAGTTATTACAAATGACACCACTGAAATACAAAAGATCATCCAAAGCTACTATGAACCTTTACGCACATAAACTAGAAAACTTAGAAGAGATGGATAAATTCCTGGAAAAATACAACCCTCCTAGCTTAAATCAGGAAGAACTAGATATCCTGAACAGACCAATAACAAGCAGCGAGATTAAAATGGTAATTTAAAAATTACCAATAAAAAAAGTCCAGAACCAGACAGATTCACAGCAGAATTCTACCAGACATTCAAAGAAGAATTGGTACCAATCCTTTTGACACTATTCCACAAGATAGAGAAAGAAGGAACCCTCCTTAATTTATTCTATGAAGCCAGCATCACCCCAATACTAAAACCAGGAAAGGACATAACCAAAAAAGAAAACTACAGACCGATATCGTTGATGAACATAGATGCTAAAATCCTTATCAAAATACTAGCTAACTGAGTCCAACAACATATCAAAAAGGTAATCCACCATGATCAAGTGGGTTTCATACCAGGGATGCAGGGATGGTTTAACATATGCAAGTCAACAAATGTGATACACCACATTAACAGAATAAAAAACAAAAATACATGATCATCTCAATAGATGCAGAAAGTGCATTTGACAAAATCCAGCATCTCTTTATGATTAAAACTCAGCAAAATCAGAATACAAGGGACATACAGTGTAACAAAAGCCATCTATGACAAACCCACAGCCAACATAATACTGAGTGGGGAAAAGCTGAAAAGTTCCCTCCGAGAACTGGAACAAGACAAGGATGCCTACTCCCACCACTCCTCTTCAACATAGTACTGGAAGTCCTAGCCAGAGCAATCAGACAAGAGAAAGAAATAAAGGGCATCCAAATCGGTAAAGAGGAAGTCACACTGTCACTGTTTGCTGACGATATGATCATCAGCAAACCCTAAAGGCTCCTCCAGAAAGCTCCTAGAACTGATAAAAGAATTCAGCAGGCCGGGCACAGTGGCTCATGCCTATAATCCTAGCACTTTGGGAGGCTGAGGTGGGTGGATTGCCTGAGCTCAGGAGTTCGAGACCAGCCTGGGCAACACAGTGAAACCCCATCTCTACTAAAATACAAAAAATTAGCCAGGCATGGTAGTGTGCGTCTCAAAAAAAAAAAAAAAAAAAAAAAAGAATTCAGCAAACTTTCCAGACACTAGATTAATGTACACAAATCAGTAGCTCTTCTATACACCAACAGCGACCAAGCGGAGAATCAAATCAAGAACTTAATCCCCTTTTACAATATCTGCAAAAAAACACACACAAAAAAACAAAAAACAAAAAAACAAACTTAGGAATAACCTAACAAAGGAGTCAAAAGACCTCTACAAGGAAAACTACAAAACACTGCTGAAAGAAATCATAGATAAAACAAACACATGAAAACACATCCCATGCTCATGGATGGATAAAATCAATATTGTAAAAATGACTATACTGCCAAATGCAATCTACAAATTCAATGCAATCTCCATCAAAATACCACCATCATTCTTCACAGAATTAGCAAAAATAATTCTAAAATTCATATGGAACAAAAAAGAGCTTGCATAACCAAAGCAACACTAAGCAAAAAGAACAAATCTGGAGGGATCATACTATCTGGTTTCAAACTATACTATAAGGCCATAGTCACCAAAACAGTGTGGTACTAGTATATAAATGGGCACATAGGCCAATGAAACAGAACAGAGAACCCAGAAATAAACCCACTTACAGTCAACTGATCTTCAAAAAAGCAAACAAAAACATAAAGTGGGGAAAGGACACTCTTTTGAACAAATGGCGCTGGGATAATTGGCTAGCCACAGGTAGAAGAATGAAACTGGATCCTTATCTCTCACCTTATACAAAAATCAACTCAAGATGGATTAAGGACTTAAATTTAAGACCTGAAACTGTAAAAATTCTAGAAGATAACATTGGAAAAACGCTTCTAGATGCTGGCTTAGGCAAGGATTTCATGAGCAAGAACCCAAAAGCAAATGCAATAAAGACAAAGATAAATAGTTGGAACTTAATTAAACTAAAAAGCTTTTGCATAGCAATAGGAACAGTCAGCAGAATAAACAGACAACCAACACAGTGGGAGAAAATCTTCACAATCCATACATCTGACAAAGGACTAATATCCAGAATCTACAACGAACTCAAACAAATCAGTAAGAAAAAAAAAAAAAAAAACAATTCCATCCAAAAGTGGGCTAAAAACATGAATAGACAATTCTCAAAAGAAGATATACAAATGGCCAACAGATATATGAAAAAATGCTTAACATCACTAGTGATCAGGGAAATGCAAATCAAAGCCACAGTGCGATATCACCTTACTCCTGCAAGAATGGCCATAATCAAAAAATCAAAAAACAGTAGATGTTAGCATGGATGTGGTGATCAGGGAACACTTCTACACTGCTGGTGTAGAATGTAAACTAGTACAGCCACTATGGGAAACAGTGTGGAGATTTCTTAAAGAACTAAAAGTAGGTCTACCATTTGATCCAGCAATCCCACTACTAGGTATCTACCCAGAAGAAAAGAAGTCATTATACAAAAAAGATACTTGCAGACACATGCTTATAGCAGCACAATTCACAATTGCAAAATTGTGGAACCAACCCAAATGCCCATCAATCAACAAGTGGATAAAGAAACTGTGATATATATGGTGGGACACTACTCAGCCATAAAAAGGAATGAATTAACAGCATTTGCAGCAATCTGGATGGGACTGGAGACTGTTATTCTAAGTGAAGTAATTCAGAAATTGAAAAGCAAACATCTTATGTTCTCACTGATACGTGGGAGCTAAGCTATGAGGATACAAAGGCAGAAGAATGAAACAATGGACTGTGGGGGCTTGGGGGTGACGAGAAGGAGGGGGTGAGGGAGAAAGGACTACAAACATGGTGTAGCATATACTGCTCGGGTGATGGGTGCACCAATATTTCACAAATCACCACTAAGGAACTTCCTTATGTAACCAAATACCACCTGTACCCCAATAATTTATGGAAAAAATAACAAATCTGGTTGCTTGCTAACATCTCCGGTTCAATAGAAGGAAGAGATTAAAAATTGCCAATCTGAGATAGTTGAGTGTAGTGGTTAATGACAGGAACTTCAGCACCGAAGAGACTTTAGTTTGAGGTTTGACTCTACATTTTTTCTTTAACCTGTGAAGCCTTAGGCAAGTGTCTCAGCCTCATGTTTCTTATCTGTATTGTGGGAACACATGGAATTTACTTCATCTTCCTGTGAGGACTTGGTGAGATATAAAGTAATTAGTTGACCCTGGAATCAAAAAAAATGGCTCTTATTATTTTCAATGTTGTATCGTCCTTCCCCTCACCCCCTAATTATCATAGGCAAACTTAAAATTAGTTGTTTTCTATTAACATTGGCTATATGGAAAAAACAATGTCCACCTAAGAAGGAAACTCCTGCCAAACAAATGTCAAGTTTGTTAAGACCTAAAGGCCTTTATAACAGATTTATTTCAATGTTTTTCCACATGTTCTGATTCTTTCAGTTTTCTATTATGATATACTGCAACCAAATGCCATATCTTATACTGTGTCATATTGTGCTTAGAAGCATTTAAAATATGGCCCTGAGGGAACATCCATTATTTTCTTAAATGTTATAAAAAGTTATTTTTCCTTAACCTTGTTAGAAGCATTCAGGGTTAAAATGACCCCTGTTCTGTGATTGAGCATTGTTCAGAATAATCATCAAAGACAGACTGTCTAGTGGCAAAAGGGAATTGCCAACTGTAAGGCTAAAAGGCAAGTCTCAACTACCCAGGGTTGCCATGACACCACACGGAAGTGAAGATTAGTCAGGGATCTCCAGAGAAAACAGAACCAACACAATGTGTGTGTGTGTGTGTGTGTGTGTGTGTGTGTGTTTATAAAGAGAGAGTTTTATTTTAAGGAATTGCCTCATGTAACTTTGGGGACCAGCAAGTCCCAAATATGTAGAGTAGGCTGGCAGGGTGGAGACAGTCCAAAGGCAGTGTCCTGGTAGAATCCCTTTTGGCTTGAGGAGGTCAGTCTTTGTTCTCTTAAGGCCTTCAACTGACTGGATGAGGCCCACTCACAGCATGGAGGGTAATCTGCTTAATCCAAAGAGTACTGATAAATGGTACGCTCAACTAAGAAATACCTTCACAGAAACATCTAGAATTGTTAACACATAAAATTAACCATCACAGGAAGTCACATTCTATTTCATGCTAGTGTTCCTAGTCCTAAAATCTCCTGTCTTCTACATCACACACATCTATCTCAATAACCCACAAAACTCCATTGGTTCTTCTGAGGAAAAGGAAGATTAACAGGGTATTATTATTCCCTGACCACTCTACGAGTTGTGCCTTAATCTGAGTTTATTCTAGGCTTTTCTTAACCCTCTTGTAACCCACACCATATTTTCAAATTCGCTGGGCCAATATAATAGAAGTGAAGCATGTGCGAATATTTACAATGACATGAAGAGAGAAAAAGGAAAGCTTGTGTCTTTTTAGTGGTTGTTAAATAGATTCTCAGCCATATGTCTCCAAATGCTTCAATAAAAATGATATTTTCCTTTCATTTAAAATGTTTGTGTTTAAATTTTTTTTTTTTTTGAGACAGGGTCTTACTCTGTCATTTAGGCTACAGTGCAGCAGCACAATCACAGCTCACTGCAGCCTTGACTTCCTGGGTTCAAGTGATCCTCCCACCTTAGCCTCCTGAGTAGCTGGGACTACAGGTGTGCACCACCATGCCCGGCTGATTTTTGTATTTTTTGTAGACACAGGGTTTTGCCATGTTGCCCAGGCTGTTCTCGAACTCCTCAGCTCAAGCAATCCTCTCACTTCGACCTCCAGAACTGTTGGGATTACGGGCATGAGCCACCGTGCCTGGCTGTGTTTACATTTTTTTCTTCCTAGCCCCTGATATCTAGAAATAGCTGAGTGATGGCAAGAACTGTTCCCTTTGCACAGGCATTTGTTATAGTTCAAGTGCAGGCTGAAGAGTGAACAACAGATGCCGGAGGCTGTGACGAGACACAACCATGAAAGAGAGCTGCTGCCAGGCTGTGAGGCAAAAATGAGATACTGAATATAAAAATGCCAGGATTCGGCCCGGCGCGGTGGCTCACGCCTGTAATCCCAGCACTTTGGGAGGCCAAGGCGGGCGGATCACGAAGTCAGCAGATCGAGACCATCCTGGCTAACATGGTGAAACCCTGTCTCTACTAAAAATACAAAAAAGTAGCTGGGCGTGGTGGTGGGTGCCTGTAGTCCCAGCTACTGGGGAGGCTGAGGCAGGAGAATGGCGTGAACCCGGGAGGCGGAGCTTGCAGTGAGCCAAGATGGCGCCACTGCACTCCAGCCTGGGTGACAGAGCAAGACTCCGTCTCAAAAAACAAACAAAAAAACAAAACAAAACCAAAATGCCAGGATTCCTGTGAAACTTATATTCACTCTCCCAGGTCTCTCCCACCCTCCCCTGTCCTGCTCTGTGCTTGGGAAACTAGCCTTTGATGCAGCCTCTGGCTGCTGGTTGTGTTCAGCCAGTGGGGAGCAATGGTGAGAAATGGGAAGGAGGGAGAAGACTGAGGTCTTGGTCTTAACTTTGAGGCTCCTTCCCTGAGAGGTCACACTGGATTAGCTGTGTCCCTCAGCCCAAAGTCACAACTCCTCTCAGCAGACTCCAGGGTTCCAGCTGTGGCCCCACCCCTTGCTTCCTGGGATCTAGGATGGCTGCTCCTCAGTGTTGCCAGCCCTGCTGTCCTGCATGAGCCTGCGTAGTTGCCCTCTTCCCTGTCCATAACTTCCGCACAGCCCCTTTATCAAAAACTTTTTTTCTTTTTCTTTTTTTTAGACAGAGTCTGGCTCTGTTGCCCAGGCTGGAGTGCGGTGGTGTGACCTTGGCTCACTGCAACCTCCACCTCCCAGGTTCAAGTGATTCTTGTGCTTCAGCATCCCAGGTAGCTAGGACTATAGGTGCCCTCCACCACAACAGGCTAATTTTTTGTATTTTTAATAGAGACGGGGTTTCACCATAGCGAGGCAGGTCTTGAACTCCTGGACTCAAGTGATCTGCCTGCCTTGGCCTCCCAAAGTGCTGGGATTACAGGCGTGAGCCACCATACCGGCCAAAAACTCTTTTAATTACTGTTGCCTGCTGGTGCTGACTAATGAGGTATTCAATATTCTCTATTTTCCCTTTTATTAAAAATTTGGTATAAAATATATAAATCCTTTAATATATTTCTGAATTTTTTACAAGCCATTACTGAACAAATACTTTTTGATGTTTCTCAATGTTCTTTAAGCACTCATGTAATACTTTCCTCCATCAATCCAAAGTCCAGCATCATCACAAGTCCTACCATGTTATGAGAATTATGTAAACCACAGTGTTTGCCTTTGTATCCTAGTTTTAAGAAAACTCTGTTAAATTTATTAATCATTGTCAATAGTTAAATTGAGTTGAGTATCCAGGAACAACTATTACTCTGCTTCTTGAAATAATTTTTAAAACTGGTTTTCATCCTATTTTGCCATTGTCTTTTCCACTGTTTTTAATATGGTGAATCATCTAAATCCTTTTGGGAATATGAATAAAATACATTGTAATTAATAAACATTTCAATGTAAAAATCAGGCCCACATCATCATTAAGACTGTAGGAAAGGACCAAGAAACCCAATTTCATAAAAGTCCACTTGAAAATAAGCCCAAGACGCAAGAAACAAAAAGCCAGGAGAATAGCTGGATCCCATCCACGGGCATCTGGGTCCAGACAGCAAATCTATAACCACCCCCTTCTCTTCATCCACGGGAAGCACCTCCGGCCCTGGGTAGTAGTTTCTATTTCCTCAGTCTCCTGTGAGGCTTAAGAGACATTTAGGAACAGCCCAAACTTACTCTTGGTGTGGGGCTCCTGTCTTGGTCAGCAAGGTCAGCACAAAAAACATAAAAATCACGAAGACTGCAAGACCAACCCAAAATCCAATCACAATGGAATCTGAAAGACAGTTAATTCTGGGATTAGTATTTCACAGTAGTTTAAAACTTGAACATTCAAGAATCAGAGCTTTTTGGAGAGGCTTTGGTACATGAAACATGAAAGGAAGTCAACAGTCTGATCCGCAGTTGGCTGGAGACTGATAAGATGTAAAGGATGAGGAGGAGGGAAGAGTCTGCTCCGCCTCCAGGTTTCTGTCTCAGATAGCATGAAGGGATTTAGGCCTCATTGACTCATGCTTTCCATATCTCAAGGAAGGAACCTAGACCAGAGCATAGGTTATCTAGGACCTCAAGATTCCACTAATGTGTTTTGAGTTAGAAAATAAAATTTTTAGCAGACTATCAACTCAAGTTTTAAGTGCATTTGGATTCCTACTGTTAAAAGAAAAACTTTAGACAAATTAAATTTAACAGATATTAACTGTGCAAGGAAAACAAAATTCTTGAACCGGGAAGCTCCCAGAATCAGAATAGATTCAGAGAGACTCTGGGCTGCCTCATGGTTGGTTAAGATTTAGGGACAGAAAAAGGAAAATGATGTACAGAAAAAAGAAGCAAGGTACGGAAACAGCTGGATTTGAACACCATTTGAACAGCTGTCTGCCTGGGAGTGCCTGAAGTGTAGCTGCTGTGATTAGCTGAGACTGAGCTATTGTTACAGAAGCATTGGCTAGGTTTTCAGTTTGCTTACCTAGTAAGCTAGGTCACAGCTCATACCTAAGAATGCAAGTATGCAAATAATGGAGGCCTTCTTGGGCCAAATTTTAGTTTAACAACTCAATTGGTTAGCATCTCAATTAGGTAGCAACTTTGCATTCTCACTTACGTTCACCATGGATAATTCAGGCTCTCATTACTTCTTGCAGAGAACATACAGATGGCCTCTTGAGTGCTCTCTCTGCCTTCTGCCTTTCCCTGTGCTTTATTTCTGTACAAACCTGCTTTAATCACAGCCCTGATGATATTGCTCTTTCATGAAAAGCTCTCCAACAAAAACAGAACTGACCCACTTTTCCAGAGTAAAAGAGATTCCACACATAAAGCACTTTATACAATGTCTGACATCTGAGAAAACAGTACACCACAGGTGCTGGCTACTGTCATTAGAATTGTCATTTTCTCCCAATTTACCACTTTAAAAGCCATGTGTTTCCAATCAAACTAGGGGACACTGTGTCCCTGTATTTACCTTAGCCACAGCTTCCTCACAGCCACACCTTACCAGGGCTCTTACCACTACCTGGCTGGAACAACTTTTCCCAACGTGGAGCTAATGAAAGTGTATCCATCCTTCCAAGTCCATCCGCTACACTATCTACTAAGCCTCAACTAATTTCCATAATTGATGTGTTGTCTCCCTCCTTTGAACCCAATAACATTTTTGTCTGTAATTCCCTAAACAGGGCTCTCCTTGGTCCTATCTTGGATAACAATCACAATTCTTTATCTCTAGGACCAGGGTTAGATTGGATTGTCTACAGAACTTGGTACTTGCACAATAAGGCCTCAAATCTAGGACACAACAGAGTTGAATCATTCTACATTTTTTGGCCTACACTAAGAAGCTTGTCTATGTGGAAATACAATGAGGATGCTTAGCAATTTTCTAAAAATAAGTGATTAGAGCTTAAATATTAAATGTGTTTAAATGCAAAGCTTTATTCTAATTAAATTATGTATATGTAGCACTTTTTCCAAAGTGAAGAAATCAGATTAACAATTTACTCTGCATAATTCATACTTTCATCCTACATATACTATTGCCTAGAGGTTAACAATGTGTATTCAGCACTCTGAAAAACTAATGTGTCTAACCTTAAGTGCCAAAGAAATAGAAATTGTATACTTTGCCTTTTAATATAGTAGAAATGAGGCATAAAAAAAGACATAAGGGCCAGGCGCAGTGGCTCACGCCTGTAATCCCAGCACTTTGGGAGGCCGAGGCGGGCAGATCACGAGGTCAGGAGATCAAAACCATCCTGGCTAAGACAGTGAAACCCCGTCTCTACTAAAAATACAAAAAAAAAAAAAAAAAAAATTAGCCGGGTGTGGTGGCAGGCGCCTGTAGTCCCAGCTACTCGGGAGGCTGAGGCAGGAGAATGGCGTGAACCCGGCAGGTGGAGCTTGCAGTGAGCCAAGATCGCGCCACAGCACTGCAGCCTGGGTGACAGAGCAAGACTCCGTCTCAAAAAAAAAAAAAGATGTAAGGACAAATACCAAACACCACATGTACTGAGGTACAACTAACATGAAACAATTAAATCTCAACTATCTAGGCATGGACTGTGAAGAAACATTGTACAGATAAATAACAGTTCCCTACACTGTACTTTATCAACTGCCTGCATAGCAAAAGCAAATTCTAAAATTATACACCAATGCTATATTTAAGTCTTCGGTTTAGAATTGAATCATGTTGATTGACATTTTTCAAATCTGTGTATTAGGAAGGTGTTCTCCTAAGGACAGCTTTCACACTGCAAATGGTGGACTGACTCCCAGAGGTGGAGGAAAGCGTGCCCTCAACCCAGCCCAGTCCCCCTTCCCTCTGCCCTTCTAAGTACCCCCAGGGAGATAATCAAAAAGCAGCAATAATGTGAAGCATGGGAGGGTTACAGCCTTCAGAGAAGGCAGGTGGCGGCAGAGTTGGGGAGAGGCAGGCTGTGGGTAAAATCTGAGAATCCTCATGATCCAACAGCATTTCCAAACATTTCCTTAATAATGCGGCATCTATGTTTTTCATGGCAATATGCTTTAAGTAGCTCTGCTTATTCACATTTCCCTTTGAACAAAATTTAGCTTCCTCAAGTTATTTCCACTAATTTCCCCCAACCTCATCTTCTGCCCTATGACCCATCCCCAGGGGATTTTCTCACCCTGAGCCTCTTACAAGAAACATCAGAGATCCCCATCTCATCCCAGAAATATCCAAACTCTCCTGAAGTTTTATTCACATGTAAGTTTCATGGGCATAGGCACTACAGTAAGATGGGAAAAGTGGAGCCCGTTGTCTTCCCAAAAGCATCCTTTTCTGGGAAGAAGTCAGAATAAAGCTTTATACAGAGCAAAGCTCCAATGAGGCTAGATGGTTAAGAAAGTCAAAAGAAGCCTTCCAAACGAGTTTCCACCACCGCCAAGCTACCACACTCTGTCCTGTCTAGACACTGAGCTACTTAGAGACTACTATTGTAAAGGGGTAGAACAATTGCCCAGGGGAATTGCAAATGGAATGCGTCAGAATAAAGTAACCCCCCTTAACCTAACCTTTAATGAATGGAATGGAACAAGAGAGCTGAAAGTTGACATGATTTTTTTCCTTCCCAATCTAGGGTAGGACTAGGTTAACTACTCCATCCGACTCACCCTCCTCTCCACCTCCTGAGAATAAATGGTGAACTTTCCACTTCGTGGTTATATGAAAAACAAGGGTTAATACTTCACTTGAAAGAGAGGTTCATGACACTTTCCTCACACCACTTTTTGTTCCTAAGGCAGTAGGGCCAATTCTGTGATATGAATTCCTGGCAAAGAGCCAACAGTGATGTTCCCACACTTGTCTCTACTATCTTACTCCAAGCCTTTGCAAACTCTAGCTGTTTCTCATCCTAATGACCTGGCTTCTTGCTGACCCATCCATGCATGGGTCTGGTATCTGCAAGGTGGCACACGAAAAAGCATGAATTTGGCCACCACTGATAGCTCAAATTAAGAGGCTATTCCTTTAGTCTTTTCTCAACACAGCGGCCAGAGTGGTCCTGCTAAAATGTGATTGTCCACTCATTGACTCATCAGCTTTTGCTTCTGATGCTTTAAGAACACCCTGTCTCACCCAGCCACACTCTTCATAAATGACCCATTCCTCTCCTTCCCTTTATAGTGAGACACTTGAGAGATTTGTCTGTACATGCTGTCCCCAATTCCTCTCCTCTCATTTTTTCTTGAACCAATTCCATCAACCTTTTACCCCCAGCATTCCACTAAAACTGCTTTTCAAATCATTGCCAGTAACTTCTACATTATAAATCCAATGGTCAAATCTCAGTCTTCAATTAACTTGACCTAATAGCAGCATTTGACACAGACTGTCTTTGCAACCCTTTTTTCAGTTGGCGTCCAAAAAACCACAATTGTCCAGTTTTCTTCCTACTTTCTGTACATTCCTCTCAGGCACCTATGCTGCTATGCAACCCTCCAACTTCTAAACACAAGCGTGCCCAGGGCTCAGCATTGGACTCTTCAGTTTTCTGTCTACACTCACTTATCCAGCCTCTTGGCTTTGAACGCATACCGTTTACATGCTGATGACTCTCAAGTCTACGGCTTCCCCCGACACCTCTCCTCCCTTGTCCTCCTGGATATGTGATAGATGTCTCAATTTAACAGGTCCAAAACAGAGCTCCTGGGGTTCCTCTCTGAAACCTCCTTCTCCCATACTCTTCCCCCTCTCAGTTAAAGGCAATTCCATCCTGCCAGTTACTCAGGTCATAAATCTTCAAATCATTCTTGACTCTTCTTTCTCTTACACATACCGCCAATCCATTGACAAATCTTGCCAGATCCATCTTTTAAAAATATCCAGAATGTATGCATTTCTCACCACTTCACTCTCCCTACCTGGCTCCAAGCCACCATCATCAGCTGCCTGGACTATGGCAAAAGCCTCCTGAATGGTCTCTGCTTCTAATCTCATGCCTTTCACTCCGCAGTTGCAGAGTGATCTGTTGAAACCTAAGCCAGATGGCACTCCTCTGCTCCAGACCCTCCAGTGACTTCTCAGAGTAAAAGGCCAAACAAAGTCCTTAGCATGACCTCTAAGGCCCCCCCATGTCCTTGTCCCCACAGCCTCTTTGACTTCGTTTCCTGCTGTTCTGCCTCTTATCACTCCCCTGGTACCACGCTGGCCTCCTTGCATGATCCAGTTCACTCCCGCCAAGGATCCTTTTCTGGGATGTTCTTCCCCCAGATATATTATAGCTCAATCTCTCACTTCCTTCAGGTCTTTTATCAAATCTCTCCTTCTCAGTAAGGCTTTCGATGGCAATTCTATACTGTCGCCTCCACACTCCACATCCCTTTACCCCCACTCTATTTATCCTTTTATATTGCCATCTGACATTATCTATTTAACTATTTATTGTCTGTCTCTCCCACTAGAATGCAAGCTCTATACAAGGAAATATTTCTGTCTTTTCAGTTCACTGTTGTCTCTCCAGTGCTTAAAATAGTACTGCACATAACAGGTGCTCAATAAATATATATTGAATGAATGAATAAATAAATAGGTTTCCACTTTGTTGGTGCCAAATCTGTATCAGATACATGTCCACTTCTGATACATGATAAGGTTTAATATTGGATTCAAAACTGATGGCAAAAGAATTCTCAAGCACCATCTGAGGTTGCTTCTCAGATGAAACACCCTTTGAAGGTAGGAATCTTAATTTCAGCAGAGGAACTCAGTCTAAAGATGGAGCTATTGTTGCCAAGTGTGATCCATTACAGGTAAGGCAAATAAAGATAACTGTTATGGTCATTCCTGTCCGCAATGAGTGCTTCCCCTTGAAATGTCCTGCTTCTGTTCTTTTGAATCTGCATCTAATTAGCTTTGAATTTTGCCCAGCAAAACAAGGAGTCATACTTGAAGGTCAGAGTCACAGCATTTTTAAATGAAAGAGACTGTACCAGAGCACACATTTCAACAGTTGACTTGATCTTTTCACTTTCCTGTATATCTGGGGTTTTGTGTTTGTTTATTTTTTGTTCTCAATGTGTCGCATATATTTTCAGGTTCCTGAAGCTAAGGGCTGCTACTTATCAGCTCTCTTATATCAGAACAGTAAGTGCTCAGGCATTTTTGTTTTATCTTGACGTGAATATTAAAATTAACAAAAGCAATTGTTATTAATGGTATAGTAGGTAAAGTAAGTAAGTAAGGAATGAGTCACACCTCTGCCTATGTTTCTCATGAAGTTTTCCAGCTATAATTATTTCTAGAATGTAATATCCTCAAAAAATATTTTATTCAATTGTCTCTGGAAATGTACCAACCAAAATTACAGCAGCAGGCCTGTCTTCTGTGCTTCTTAAACTAAGGAAAAGAGATAGGAGCAAGCTGACACAAAAGTAAAGTTGATGTCACCAAGCAGTAAAAGCCCACATTTCAAGAAAATATGTGGCAATTTTCCCAGTCATTTTGATATCCACTATAATTCAGAACAAGCAATTGTCCTTACATAAAGGTTATCCTAGAAAAACAACATATTAAAGAATTTAAGTAAATTAAAGAAGGTGATTTCACACCCAACAGCCTTCTCTCAGATAATCAATGACAGCATACCTTGATAAATGCCATGTGCTTTTTTTCCACAAAGAAATACTGAGCAGATGTCAATAAAGGAATGAATGAAAGTATTTAATTATTACTACTCACTTAAGGGGTAAAGGACATATGGTTTAATTAATGATTTTTGCTAAAGGAACAAAAATAGAAAGCCCTTCTTGCAAAAGAGCACCAAGTTGGTGCAAGAGATCATGAATGCCAAGACAGGTCAGGATAGAAGCAGCCAGGAAATAATTAAAGGAACAAAAACACTTTCTTTGCTACATTTGTTTCTCTGATTCTAAGCCCTCTTATATTTCCTAATGTGTCCCACTAACCTGGACCAGTTAAGAGCATAAAAATTTTACAGTGCTGTGGATAATTCACTCTGACAAAAGTGAACATTTCAGGGATATTTACGGGGTTACCAAGACAGGATCTGAGACTGGGCAGCAGTTCCTGCCTACCATGTTAACTGTTAACTCTACCTAATGAAGCAAGGATGTTCCATGCTGGCCAGTCAGCATTCAGTTATGACTGGAGTTGAGTAGCAACGTCTCACAGAATTACATTTCCTTGCTCTGTGCTGGACCCTTAATTACTCCAATAGCATGAAACACAATTCATGCCTAGAACACAGTGTTAGAAATGATCGCAGGCTATTCTGGTCCATCATTATGAGCACACATGGATACACTGCTCTCCACAGCTCCAGGAAACCAACTGGGATGAAAAGATGCTGCTGTGTTACAAAAGAAGGTTCTTCAAATAACAGTTCCAGATCCTATTTTTATACATATTTTTGATAGTTCAAACATTCACAGTTTGGAGGAGCTAAAAAAGCAAATGCTTTTTAAAAATTCTCAATCTCAGCTTGACATTGATTCATGTTCTCCTACTATGGGAATTTTTTAGTCTTTCATCAATTAGAATCACCAAGGCCCTCCTGTACCATTCCTGAGCAATCAGCCTATGTGTGGAGGCGAGATGTTTTGTAGAATTTGGGAGGTAGAGGACAGAGAGTTCTGTAAAGAAGAAAGAATGCTCAGGAGAAGTAATCCTTGGGGATTTCACAGGTTAAGAGAAATACAATTATGCTTTCAATGAGGAATTGTATAAAACTTACATTTATGAGCCTTCAGTCCTTCAAAGGAAACTGGTCCAATCTCATAATATTCATATTCCCAGGTGTAATCAGAATTAGATGCCGATTGCTGGGAGGTTCTGTTAGAAATTAACCTCTGGGCGGACATCTCCGACCTGCACAAATGGAGAAAGTCAAGCGCAGAACCTGTTAATTCATCCAGAGCTGCACAGTTACCTTAATTACTCTTGATCGCATTCAGGAGTTTGGCAGCAAACCCCTTGAGGAGGTCTTACCTCCTAGGCCAGGAGAGGTTCTTACCAGCTGCTCACACCTCATATCATGTGGCCACTACTTCCTTTTCTCTTGCCACTAGAGTGGAATAATGTATTTGAAATCAGACACTGTATATTTTTTTGAACTTAACCCAATGCCTGGCACATAACAAATGTTCAGTAACTGATGAAGGAAAGAAGGAAAGGAGGGAAAGAGTATGTCAAAATCTCTGAGCTTACAGCTTCAGCCTCAGCACCTATACCTGCAAGAGTATGTAAAGAGCCTGCTGAAACTAGTTCATTGCTGATACTAATTTGATGTATTACTCAATCTCAGATTGACATTGATTTATGTTCCCCTATAAGGGAATTTTTTAGTCTTTCATCAATTAGAATCACCAAGGGCCTCCTGTACCATTCCCAAGCAATCAGCCTATGTGTGGAGGCGAGATGTTTTGTGGGATTTGGGAGGTAGAGGACAGAGAGTTCTGTAAGAAGAAAGAATGTTCAGGAGAAGTAATCAAATTAGTATCAGAAATGAACTAGCTCAGTAGGTATCCATTCAACACCTACTATGCAACAATGGAGATGAGCAACCTAAGGTTTTGTTTGTTTGCTTTTCTTGCTTCCAGTGGGTTTGGAGGAAACTAAGTTTAATAAAATGGAGTGAATAAAGAAAAACAGGCAGCAAAAGTTGCATAGTGGATCTTGCAGAAGATACTCAACAGAAGTCCACAACTTGTCCAACTGCTTACTCCTGAAATTTATGATATTTTCAGGATTTCCCAAGTATCTTTGTTAACTGTGACTATTTTAGACCAAAAAATCCTGACTTCTTTGGGAGAAGATGGTTGCACTGCGCAGCACGGATACCGAAGGTGATAAGTCAATGCAGCCTGTGTTCAATAACTGTGTTTGAGCACCTACTGTGTGCAAGACACCGCACACTGTGGGGTGGGCAGAGATGCCTGAGACAGATCAGTACTCCACAGACCTTCCCTTATAATGGAGAAAGGAAGACAAAGTGACAAATAGCAGTAACATAAGGGAAAATCTGAATGAAATGTCAGCGGTAACAAAGATTCACTGAGCAGTCACCAGTCATCTTGAGCTTCAAGATTCTTGAAGCAGCCCCACTTCAAGAGCTTTCTGAGGTTTCTTTCGCCCGCATCCGTCCCCACTGCCTCCAGGGCACAATCCTCAGGGAAGCTGAGGCAAAATCACCACCACCCTTCCACCCCACTTCTGCATCACTCTCCCCTTTCCCTTACCCCTTCTTTCCCATCCCAGACATGGACTCCACAAAAAAAGACTCCAACCCCACATCATCATACTGTTCAAAGGATGGGCCCAAAAAGCCTAAAATATTTACTTTCTGGTATTTTATAGAAAAAGTTTGCCAATCCCTGCTCTAGAGCCCTGAAAAATCTGAGCTTCAGTTTTCCCACTAGTAACATGAAGATGATTATAGTACCCACTTCATGGAGTTGCCATAAAAGTTAAATGTGATGTTGCATGAAAAATTAAGAAAAATATTAGCAGGCAGCACAACTATTATTAATTAGAAATGCTGATCTTGAATAGAAAAGCCTCGCTTTGTTCTTCAGACACACCCAACTCCCTGGTCAGCCAATTCTTATCAAATGCACCAAGTGTTAATTGATTGATTCAAGCAATCTACCTGCCTCAGCCTCCAGAGTGTTGGGATTACAACTGTGAGCCACGGTGCCTAGACAAATAAATAAAACTATGACAAAAAATTACTTAAAGGCATTTAGATCATTTAAAAGTTAAAATGATCAACATTTACATCCTGGGATTCATGCTATTCTACCAACTCAAAAATAAAATGATAATCTTTCTCTCCTTTTTTTATTAAGGAAAATAAGATGAAGTCTGGTTTGATCATATCATTTTTAGTAGAAATCAACATTACAGCTACTATAATAGCAGAGCAGAGGGAGGGACTAAACTTCATCTGGAATAGAAAAATAGGGAAAAGTACTTAAAGGAATAAAGAAAATAAAGATGGAGGGTGTCGTCTATTCAGCACACCACAGAACCGAGAGCTGTTCTCCCACGGCCACGCAGTTCTCAATGTCAGCACACGGTGGGGACCCCCATTTGTGGCTACCAGGTTCCACAAGACCAGTCAGAAAGCAGCAGTAACACCACCCTCATGGGGCCGGTCAGTGTGTAAGAGTTAACTGTAAGGAATATCAACCACCCACCCTACAATAGAGACATGCCTTCTTTTACTCCCCCTTACACTATTCCCTTTCATCTAAACGAACTATTTAGGGATGGATTACTAAAGGGCATTACCAAAGGGTAATGAAAGCTACATGTGCAAAAGTCCTGAAGGTGGGAAGAGAGGAGCAAAGCTCTGACAAACACTGAGAGACAAGAATGAGTGAATACCAGAGCCAGCCTACAGGAGGTTCTCATTCTGCAGAATGAAATGTGACACCAGCTCTCCCCAGGCAGCCACCAGTTGCCTGGGTAGCCTTCAAACAAAAGGAGGGGCATTTGTCTCCACTGCCTCTTTCCTCTCACTTCTTGAATCCCAAAGATAGCTTTGGAGGACAGAACCTCTGACCTCTTCTTTAAAGCAGTCACCTAGTGCCCTTGAAAAAGTCCACAAGGCATTATTTTTTCATGCAAGCCTCAAATTAATCAGCTTAGGCCATCAGATGCACAAAGACCAACAACAAACATACGGCAGTGCTAGGGAAGTGTTCTGTGTTGTCCCCATTACCAAGCCCAGCAATGACTCTCCAAGCTTTGCTGAAACATAAGCTGGGAACTGCCAGCATGTCCAAGTAGCAGCCCCCAGAGTCTGCTATTCCCGCCACAGTGTGCATGATCTCGGCCACCCACGCAGTGAGGGAGGCAGCCTGGCCCTGAGCCTCACTCCCTGGGGTGCTGACAGGCCGGCAGCTGCTCTCTCTTGAACACAACAGCAGGAAGCGGCAGCTCCACGGGCAGCTGCTCTCTGTATGGCTGCCACTCCTGAGAACCACCCTCTCCGCACCGAGATTTTCTTAATGTCAGATTTCTTCATAAAATTAGAGTCATGAAAAATAACTTCTTTGACAGGAAACATATCCTAAACAAGCTTCCAGGAGCATGAGGGAGAGACTAAATTGCTCTTTTGAACAGCTGAAAGCATCACTGCCAACAAAAGCAAAAATGAAGATTAGGACTGCATCCGAAAGCTAGCCCTGAAAGGAAGCTTACCTTTTCCAGGTGTGCACAGGGTAGTGTGGCCCAGGCCAGCCCATTGTTGGGGAAGACGGGAGATCACAAACCCAAACAGAGAAAGCGTGGTGAGCAGGCCCAGACACCTCTCATTAAACCATCACCCCTTCTCCAACCCACATTCCCATCACTTTCATCCCTTCTTTGGACTATCCAATCTTTCCTGCTCCAACCCAGGTTCCCACACCACTCCTGGGCACTCTCTTTTCCTCCCCGCTCCCCTTTTTTTGAGACAAGGTCTTACTCTATTGCCCAGGTAGGAATGCGATGGTATGATCACAGTTCACTGCAGCATTGACCTCCCTGGCTGAAACGATCCTCCTGCCCCAGCCTCCCAAAGTGCTGAGATTACATGCATGAGCCACCACACCTGGCCTCTTTTCCTTCTTTTATTTTGAGGCGAGTCTTGCTCTGTCACCCAGGCTGGAGTGCAGTGGTGCAATCTCTGCTCACTGCCACCTCTGCCTCCTGAGTTCAAGTGATTCTCCCGCCTCAGCCTCCCAAGAAACTGGGACTCCAGGCACATGCCACCAGATCCAGCTAATTTTTGTATTTTTGGTGTAGACAGGGTTTTGCCATGCTGGCCAGGCTGGTCTACAAACTCCTGACCTCAGGTGATCTGCCTGCCTGGGCCTTCTAAAGTGCTGGGATTATAGGTGTAGTCACCGTGCCCAGTCCTCTCTACCTTCTTAAAAATGGATCAAGCAATTCTCTCCACCTCCCTGAATTTGAGGAGATGTACTCAGACATAGAACTTCTCAAAGAGTGAATAAATGTCTTTGTGTCAATATCCCTGGTGGATTACGATGGTATGCATGTTAAGGGGGCTGCTTCTTTGGAGTTAGACACTTTTTTTCCATGTTAAGGGGTAAACATCAGCAGATGAGTTTTACAAGTGACCACCAACCCAGGCACAGGACTAGCACATTAAGAAGAAATCCAAAAGGTGCCAGAAACCCTGAAAAATGAGCATGCCCCCACACAAACATGCACACAACTGACAGCACAGCTACTAAGGCATTCCAAGAAACTGCCAGCCAGTGCCACAAATCCAAAGACCTATGCTGACCAGTTTGTACAGGGGAAGACCTAATGGCCAGTCAGATGATCAAAGTTCCCAATTGCAATGACTCTCTCACCTTCCTCTTCAATCCTCAAACTCCAAAAGTAGGCATGCCACCCAGGACCACCAACCTCTGATCTGGCCCAGGCCAGAAAGGTCTTTTCAGTTACCTGTTCTTATCCTTCTTCCTCTTACTTCCAGGAATGACTGTCCCCCGCACAACATAGAGAAGTCACCCTTGTGACTCATAACGCTGTCTTTCCTCCAGCAAGGAGACTTGAGAAACCAAAGATAAAGCTCAGACACGCTGCACTTTGGTGGCTGATGAGCCCAAGGTGGGAACTTCAGAATCGCAACTTTAGAAGCTTAATTTCCTCCTTGCACAGAACAATGGTGCACCCAGCTTACTCGTGCCTAGGGTAGGGCCACACAGAAAATGAGAGACTTCAAGGTTATGAATCACACTCTGAGCCAGCTGGATCTTCTTAAAGCATCTCTATAAGGCAATGCCTCCCAGCAAGGGATCATGCTTGACCCTCTCAAAGCTGCCACAGTGTCCTCCCAGGGCAGTACTTTAAAAAAACAGTAACATGGTGTTATTCTCAAGTTTACTTCTGCTTTTTATAGAGTCTGCGTGAACCATCACCTTCTACTGGCACTTCCCACTTAATTCCCAGGTCTGCTGATTCTTTTTCTGTGAATCCATTTTAAGTCAGTGATGTCTTTCCTGGGGCGTGGATTTTTCTCTCCTCCAATTAAAGAAAAAAGGTCATGCTTCCAGGACTTTGTAGTCTTCTCCTCCTCACGACTATTTTGACTCGAGTATGACTCTTACTTTTGAAGTCTGATGCTCTGGCCACTCAATTCAGTCTAGAGACATTACACGCACGTACACACACACACACATGAATGCACGCACGCTGGGCTCTTCGTTTTCAAATGGACATACTTCCCACATTTTTCTACACTGCCAAGTTTTATGCCATTCTCTAGTGTATCCTAGAAAGTACTCAATTACCCAGCAGTCCTCAAAAAATGGTGACTGACAGCTAACAAGAGAATTCAGGATGTATCTATTTCCTGCCTATCCCCCCTTCTCCTGTGCACATAAGCAACTTGTTTCCAGCAGCAAGACAGCTAACCAAAAGTGTTCCCAAGCCTGAAGACTTCTTCCATCTTAACATAAAAATCAATGCCAATAGAAGATCAACTTCCAAAAACAGAAATGGGACTTAATATTTTACACTGATAGATATTCAGTCACCACCTGAAATAAAGAATTGCTTAATTAAGAAGTGGGCACCCTTATTTCACCAGCTGGTGTCTCAAAGGGGACAAGCAGTTTGGATTCATAAATCTACATCTTCCTGTTATGCCCTGGGCACCTATATAGTAGTAAACAGGCTAGTAAGTTTTTTGTTGTTGTTGTTGTTGTTTTGTTTGTTTTTTGTGTGTTTTTTTTCTGAGATGGAGTCTCCCTCTGTCACCCAGGCTGAAGTGCAGTGGTGTAATCTTGGCTCACTGCAACCTCCGCCTCCTGGGTTCAAGCGATTCTCCTGCCTCAGCTTCCCTAGTAGCTGAGATTACAGGTGTGCACCACCATGCCTGGCTAAGTTTTGTGCTTTTAGTAGAGAAGGGGTTTCACCACACTGGCAAGGTTGGTCTCAAACTCCTGACCTCAGGCGATCCGACTGCCTCTGCCTCCCAAAGTGCTGGGATTACAGACATGAGCCACCGCACCCAGCCAGAAGTAATTTTTAAAGTGAGTGTTTCCTGGCTCTGTAGTACTCCACAGACTAGTCCCATTCTAATAGACTTCAGCTGGACATCAAGAATTTCATGTTACACACCAGGAAAGAAGCTGTAAAGTCTCCATCTGGAGAAAATTTCCAGAGAAGAGAAGAGGCATGGCCCTGAGATGCGACTGCACCTCCGCCCCTGGCTCTACAGATTCAGGGAGCTGAATTTTCAGTTTTCCAGAGATGAGAAAGCCCTTATGGACTCAGTCATGCTAATCAAGCATAGCAGAATGATTTATAATGAGCATATCCATTTGTTGAATTAGGAAAACAATGGCCAAGCTGACCACAGCACATGTTTTACGTGGTCTGGGAAACAAAATTTAAGATCAGAAGATTAGCTGGTGAATGTAGAATCAGGACAAGGGAGTTATAATAATACGACAAAACAGGACCCTAATGCTCCATCCCACTACATGTGTGTCAACGTGTTAGACTGCCATCCTTTATTCCAGTGTCAATGGTTGCCACCACAACATGCTATCATGGTTGAGTTGGGTTCCCCATCACAGGAAAGGCATAGGCTTAACTCTCGCCTTTTCTAGACCTTGCTTTTCTTGGTCTGTACTTCAAAAAATTCTAGGCAAGTTGAGGGCATCAGTAGAATACCAAGCCAGCCACTTTTATTATAGTTAGGTTTTCTGGGTTCCCATGACTATTTTATTTTTGCTCTATTTCTAAACTGTTAGGAAAAGCATGCTTTAAATTACTAGTGTCAAGTCAAAGAATCAACTATCAAAAAGAAATGCTTCATAATGAGATACCACTACACACCCTATTAAGATGGCAATTATCAAAAATCAGAAAATAAGTGTTGGTGAGGGTATAGAGAAACTGGAACCCTTGTGCACTGCTGGTAGGAAGGTAAAAAGGTACAGCCGCTGTGGAAGACAGTATAGCAGTTTCTCAAAAATTTAAACATGGAATAACCATATGATATAGCAATTCTAACTCTGGATATATATACAAAAGAACCACAAGCAGAGACTTGAACAGATATTCATACACACCTATGTTCATAACAGTATTATTTACAATAGCCAAAAGGTCAAAACAACCCAAGTGTCTAATCACAGATGAATGATAAATAAAATGTTGTATATACAATGCAATATTAAGCCTTAAAAAGCAATGAAGTTCTGAAACATGCCACAACATTGATGAACGTTGAAAACATTATGCTAAATGAAATAAGCCAGTTACAAAGGGACAAATATTGCATGATTCTACATATATGAGGGTACCTAGAATAGCCAGATTCCTAGAGACAGCAAGTATTGGGTTGGTGCAAACATAATTGTGGTTTTTGCAAATACTTTTAACGGCAAAAACCATGATTACTTTTGCACCAACCTAATAGAATGGTGGTTATCAGGAGCTAAGGGTAGGGAAATGGGAAATTGTTATTTACCAGTAAAAGAGTTTCAGTTTGAGATAATGAAAAAGTTCTGGAAATGGATAGTTGTAATGGTTGTACAACAATGTAAATATATTTAATGCCACTGAACTGTACATTCAAAAATGGTACATTTTATATTATGCGTTTTTAACCAAAATACAAAAAAGTTCTAATATTGTTTATAGTTTTTTTTTTTTTAGGCTAGGCTTGGTGGATCATGCCTGTAATCCCAGTACTTTGGGAAGCCAAGGCAGGTGGATTGCTTTGAGTCCAGGAGTTCGAGACCAGCCTGGTCAACCTGGCAAAACCCCGTCTCTACTAAAAATACAAAAATTAGCTGGGCATGGTGGTGCATGCCTGTAATCCTAGCTACTTGAAAGGCTGAGGCACAAGAATTGCTTGAACCTGGGAGGCAGAGACTGCAGTGAGCTGAGATCATGCCACTGCACTCCAGCTTGGGTGACAGAGCAAAATCCTGTCTCAAAAAGTAATTAATTAATTAATTAAATAATACAAATAATTTAAAAAATAATAATAATAAGCAGTGCTTCCAAATCACAGCACTTGAGGGGAGGGTAATGAGAACTCTCTAAAGCAAAAGAGAACCCCAGAGGATGACAGGGTGCTGAGACATCTGAGCACCCCTCCCTGTGTGGATCCTTCCTCCCTGGTCCACCTTCAAGGATCCAGCTTTGCTCTTTTCAGCAGCCCTGTGGGGATTCCCTTTCAAGTAAAAGGAACACTCCCTCTAAGCTGTGAGGAATCATCCCTTTCAACCCCTGACAGAGTCATAGACAGGTGGGAGAATATGTGTGCTTTGCCAGCTCATGGTCCTCTCACCCTGACCAGTCCTGGAAACACACTAGCCACTTCCCAAATTCTCCTTTTTTTTTTTTTTTTTTTTTTTTTTGAGATGGAGTTTCGCTCTGTTGCCCAGGCTGGAGTGCAGTGGCGTGATCTCAGCTCACTGCAACCTCCACCTCCTGGGTTCAAGTGATTCTTCTGCCTCAGCCTCCTGAGTAGCTGAGACAACAGGCACGTGCCACCACGCCCAACTAACTTTTTCTACTTTTAGCAGAGATGGGGTTTCACCATGTTAGCCAGGATGATCTCCATCTCCTGACCTGGTGATCTGCCTGCCTTGGCCTCCCAAAGTGCTGGGATTACAGACATGAGCCACCGCACCCAGCCAAATTCTCCTTTTTATAAGCTTTACCTTCTGTTGTACCTGTCATTAGCCCAATTCATTTCAGGAGAAGTGCACTACAAATTATCATTCCAAAGCTTTCAGGTCCTTCTCATGGATTACATTGAAAATTAGCAGCTTCCCAACGACAAAAAGGAAGCACCCTAATTTCATTAAACTGGTTCCATCCAGTCTCTGGGGAATGTTTTCTAGAGACCAGCCAGTTTTCATGGACCTGGAATACAGAGTTTCCAGCATTTTTATTTTGCAAAGTAAAGAAAATTTTAAAAAAACAACTATTATTAACAATTATCATTTTGTAGACAGTTATCTTAAACACCCTCTAAGTAGAGAAGATATAATTTCACAATAAAGGCAGTCCTCTGCAAGACAGGAGGGCTAGCAGTCTGACATCAATATTTTCACAGCAAGCAGACACTTCCATGGCGGTTCACATCACACTGCCTCTGTCTACTGCATTCACATGAGAGCTACCTATTATGGCTGAAATACTCACCCCCTTTACAAACAAAGGAAAAGAACCAGAAGGGATGTAGTGAAAGTCCTTCCAGATCTATGATTCTGTAACTTAACGAAATACCAAGTTGCTTTTCACTTGTATTACAAACTCAGTGGTCTCTATCTATTTGTATTATGGGTGTGTATGTGTGTTCACATGCATGTGAAAGCACACATGTGAACATACACATTGTGTGTGTGTGTCTGTATATACTTTTTTTTTTATGAGACAGTCTTGCTCCTCACACAGGCTGGAGTGCAGTGGCGTGATCTCAGCTCAATGCAACCTCTGCCTCCTGGGTTCAAGCCATTCTCATGCTTCAGCCTCCTGAGTAGCTGGGATTACAGACGTGCACTACCACGCCCAGCTAATTTTTGTATTTTTAGGAGAGACGGGGTTTCACCATGTTGGCCAGGCTGGTCTCAAACTCCTGGCCTCAAGCGATTCACCCACCCTGGCCTCCCAAAGTGCTAGAATCACAGGTGTAAGCCACTGTGCCCAGCCTGTGTGTATATTTTTTTTTTTCAGGCTTCTTCATTTTCAATGAAGGGTGACGGCTGGGGGCAGGTCATTCGTGGAGGTGGCTCCAGAGCACAGAGGTCTTGGGGGCAGGCTTGCCTACTCCAGGGCCTTCATAAGGGTTTCAGTGCAGATTTGGATCTCTGCCCTCGCAGCCTCATCAGCTGTACCTGACAGCTCCACCAACACCTTATTCAAGTTCATCTTGGCTGCCCGATGTCCAGCATGTCCAGCGTCACTATCATCATTCATTGTGTATATATATAAAGTCATTCCTTAGCATCTGTGGGGGCTTGGTTCCAGGACCTCTCAGATACCAAAATCCAGAGATTCTCAAGTCCCTAGTATAAAATGGTGTAGTATTTGCATAGAACCTATGCACAGCCTCTGGTATACTTTAAATAATCTCTAGATTACTTATAATACCTAATACAATATAAATGCTATGTAAATAGTTGCTATCCTGTATTATTAAGGAAATAAATTACAAGGAAAAAAAGTCTGTGCATGTTCAGAATCCTTTTTTTGTTCAAATCTAGTCAACTATCCTTTTCTTGTTTAAATATTTTCCATCCACAATTGGCTAAATCCATGGATGTGGAACCCACGGGTGTGGAGCCCCGACTGTACTACAATGTGAATAAGGTGCCGTATGTACTGAATTGTGTCCCCACACCCAACATCCATATGTTGAAGCCCTAGCACCCAGTATCTCAGAATGTGACTGTATTTGGACATAGGGCCTTTAAAGGGGTAATTAAGTTAAAATGAGGCCCTCATTCATTCTGAAGAATATCTTCATAAGAAGAGGAGATTAGGACACAGAGAGAAAGGCATCAGGGGAGCCCATGCACAGAGGGACAACTGTGTGAAGAGGCAACAAGAGGGCAGCGGCTACAAGCCAAGGAGGGAGGCCTGGAGCAGAGCTTCCCTTATGGCCATCAGAGGAAACCTACATGTGACCAGCACCTTGATCTTGGACTTCCAGTCCCCAGAACTGTGAGAAAATAAATTCCTTTGGGAGGCCAAAGCAGGTGGATCACCTGAGGTCGGGAGTTCAAGACCAGCCTGACCAACATGGAGAAACCTCGTCTCTACTAAAAATACAAAAATTAGCCAGGTGTGGTGGCGCATGCCTTTAATCCCAGCTACTTGGGAGGCTTAGGCAGGAGAATCACTTGAACCTGGGAGGCGGAGGTGGCGGTGAGCTGAGATCATGCCATTGCACTCCAGCCTGGGCAACAAGAGCGAAACTCTGTCTCAAAAAAAGAAAACAGAAAATAAACTCCTGCAGGTTAAGCTACCCAGTCTGTGGTATTTTGTTATGGCAGCCCGAGGAAATTCATATAGGTGCTGAAACTAATTTGGAGAAAACAATGTTCTCTTTGGTAAACTAATTAAACTGTCCTAGGAAGTCCATTAAAAATGACTTACTTTGTACCAATCACTCTAACTATAACTAAAAAAAAATACATTTTTGAAAAGAAAACATTTACAAAATGTCATTAATCTATCCCACTACATGCCGTCTTCAGCAAACACATCTACTAAGTTCTCATAAATATGCCCTTCACAGAGAAAGAGCACTAGTTTTGAACACAGTAAAATTATTATGAGTCCATTCAGATCAACAAGGATATTTTAAACACTGTTACTTAACCATGAAAGATTTAGTAGAGGTCAAAAATTCAAGGACTGTGGACTGTGCTCTTAAAGAATTCAGGCTTGTATTTCAAACTATCCTCTGCCACACAATGAACTTCATTCTTTCAAATACACCCACCCACCCACTCACCCCACACCCCTCACCCCCCCATACACACACAGCTTGAGGGACAACACAAAAGCCTGAAGACATAGACAGTAGAAACAACAGGGTCATTAAAAAAGGGAGGGCTCATGATGGTACAGGAACCTGCAGCGGGGGAACCCTCAAAATGGTCCTCTGAGCTTTTGCCCATTCAGTTCCACCTGCAAGCTGGACTTCCTCTCCCTCCTTTCCAGATTCCTGTCTACCCTTGAGGGTAGGGATCAGATACTACCTCCTCCAAGTAGATCTCTCCAACTATTTCACTACATTGAGGATCTCTCTCTTCTCTTAAATCCCATTATGTGGATTATCTGAATCTCTCATTTTAGTAGCAAGAAAGTATACATCAGACTCCCCAAAGACTAGACTTGGCCTCTCACTGAGTCCTCATACTGTTTTATATAGCTGCTATTCTAAAACGGCCTGACTAGGTGAATTAAAACTTTAAAGATTTTAAACTTTCAAATTAGACCATTTTAAGAATACCAGGGAATCAACCACTCTTTAAGTTCTAATTAGTGGAGTTATTGAAAGAGTTGGCAGAATAAGACTAAGAAGAGAGACTGGCCGTGTCTTAAATCACTGTGAGGATGACTTGCCAAACAAGACTACTTTGTATTTTTGGCTTGTGGTATCTGTCTCCAAACAGCACACACCATATCACACACTATTTATTATGGTCCTGAGCTGAACCATTCTTTTAGCAAACAAGTGAAAAGGAGAGGTACCAGGTATTTCCAGCTCTGTTCCACAGAAATGGAAATGTAAGTTAAAGCAGTGGTTTATTTAAGAGCTTGAGACACAGCAGTAGAAAAGCTGAACGTTCTAATGACCATCTTATCTTCTGAGGCCTGGGCTCTTAAACTAGGATGTGTGGCTCTTGTGGTTTCTCCACCTACTGCACCCACTGCAACCTCAGGACAATCAATTACAAGCAAACCAGAGTTTGGGGTGCAAGGGCAGTGCAGGCTCAAGGCACCCCATAGCCTCCTCATCTTTCAGGGAGGGGCCTGGCCAGAAAAGAGGGGCTTTATAAAGTGAGGGCAAGAATATAGTGTCCCTCAGCTTGCCAAGGTCTAAGGGTCCCAAATAGTCCCCAGAGTCTCAGGGCATACCTGGTTCATCTTCCTGGAGCATCAATAATACAAGACCTGGAGGATTATGTTTTATATTAAATAAGTGCAGATATGTTACAGAGTAAACTGTAAGAACCAAATAAATGTTTGCTCCTGCCACCTTTGGCCTCTGCTTCAGAATCCTAGAAATAAGGATTAACCCTCCTCTCCCATTGGGATAATTCAGTGGAAGTTTTTAGTCCATTCTCATACTGCTAATAAAGACATACCTGAGACTGGGTAATTTATAAAGAAAAGAGGTTTAATTGATTCACAGTTCAATATGGCTAAGAAGGCCTCAGGAAACTTACAGTCATGGTGGAAAGGGAAGCAAACACATCCTTCTTCACATGGCGGCAGCAAGAAGTGTGAGCAAAAGGGGGAAAGCCCCTTATAAAACCATCAGCTCTCATGAGAACTCACTCACTATCAGGAGAACAGCATGGGGATAACTGCCCCCATGATTCAATTACCTCCCACCAGGTCCCTCCCACAACACATGGGGATTATGAGCACTACAGTTCAAGATGAGACGGGTGGGGACACAAAACCTAACCATATCATTACACTCTTGGCCCCTCCCAAATCTCATATCCTCACATTTCAAAACACAATCATGCCTTCTCAACAGTTCCCCAAAGTCTTAACTCATTCCAGCATTAACTCAAAAGTCCAAGTCCAAAGTCTCACCTGAGACAAGGCAACTCCTGCCTATCAGTCTGTAAAATAAAAAACAAGTTAGTTACTTCCTAGATACAATGGGGGTACAGGCATTGGGTAAATACAACTGTTCCAAATGGGAGAAATTGGCCAAAACAAAGGGGCTACAGGCCCCATGCAAGTCTGAAATCCAATAAAGCAGTAATTAAATCTTAAAGCTCTGAAATAATCTCCTTTGGCTCTATATCTCACATTCAGGTCATGCTTATGCAAGAGGTGGGCTCCCATAGCCTTGGGCAGCTTCACCCCTGTGGCTTTGTAGGGTACAGCCCCCTCCTGGCGCCTTCACAGCTGGCATTGAGTGTCTGTGGCTTTTCCAGGTGCACGGGGCAAGCTATCAGTGGATCCACCATTCTGGCGACTGGAGGACAGTGGCCCTCTTCTCAGAACTCCACTAGGCAGTGCCCCACTGAAGACTGTGTGTGAGGGCTCTGACTCCACATTCCCTTTCTGCGTTGCCCTAACAGAGGTTCTCCATGAGGGCTCTGTCCCTGCAGCACACTTCTGGCTGGACATCCAGGCATTTCTATATATCCTCTGTAATCTAGGTGGAGGTTCCCAAACCTCAATTCTTGACCTCTGTTTACCCATAGGCTCAACACCAAATGGAAGCTGCCAAGGCTTGGGGCTTAAACCCTTTGAAACTACAGCCTGAGCTATACCTTGGCCCCTTTGTATGCCTTGGCCCCTTTTAGCCATGGCTGCAATGACTAGGATGCAGGGCACCAAGTCTCTAGACTGCACGCAGCAGGGGGGGCCTGAACCCAGCCCACAAAACCATTTTTTCTTCCTAGGCCTCCAGGCCATGGGTGGGAGGAGCTGCTACAAAGGTCTCCGACATGCCCTGGAGACATTTTCCCCTTTGTCTTGGCAATCAACATTTAGCTCCTTGTTACTTATGCAAATTTCTGCAGCTGGCTTGAATTTCTCCCAGAAAATGAGTTTTTCTTTTCTACCACATTGTCAGGTTGCAAATTTTCCAAAACTTTTATGCTCTGTCACCTCTTGAACACTTTGCTGCTTAGGAATTTCTTCTACCAGACACCCTAAATCATCTCTCTGATGATCCACAGATCTCTAGGGCAGGGTAAAATGTCACCAGTCTCTTTACTAAACCATAGCAAGAGTCACCTTTGCTCCAGTTACCAACAAATTCCTCATCTCTATCTGAGACCACCTCAGCCTGGACTTCATTGTCCATATCACTATCAGTATTTGGTCAAAGCCATTCAGCAAGTCTCTAGGAAGTTCCAAACTTTCCCACATTTTCCTGTCTTCTTCTGAGCCCTCTACATCTCCAGGAAATTCCAAACTTGCCCACATTTTCCTGTCTTCTTCTGAGCCTTCCAAACTGTTCCAACCTCTGCCCATTACCCAGTTCCAAAGTCGCTTCCACATTTTCTGGTATCTTTAATAGTAACTCCCCACTACCTCAGTACCAATTTATGGTGTTAGTCCATTCTCATGCTGCCAATAAAGACATACCTGAGACTGGGTAATTTACAAAGGAAAGAGGTTTAATTGACTCACAGCTCCGCAGGGCTAGGGAGGCCTCAGGAAACTTACAATCATGGCAGAAGGGGAAGCAAACACATCCTTCTTTACATAGCGGCAGCAAGGAGAAGTCAGAGTGAAGAGAGGGAAAGCCTCTTATGAAACCATCAGTCTCATGAAAACTCATGAAGGCAACCAACCCCCTGATTCAATTACCTCCCAGTGGGTCCCTCCCACGACACATGGGGATTATGGGAATTCAGTTCAAGATGAGATTTAGGCGGGGACACAGCCAAATCATATCACACTGGTAGGAATATGGTGTAGGTTTTATATTAGATAGTTGATCTTAAATTTGTTTCTTTCTCTCTCGTTTCTTTTTTTCCCCACAGAAGATAGAATTATATTTCCTGAAATAATCTATACAAAGGTTTGTAGAAAGACAGAAAACGTTTACAACCACATTCTCTCACTCAGCTCCTAATTTTTCTCTCTTGTTAAACCAGGCAACTTCAAAACTAATCCTTAAGAAGCCCCTCCCTCAGCCTGCTCTGCCTTCCAGTGATTGTTATTTTTGCTATTACCAAGAACATGCAAGAGGAAAACAAATGCACCTTGCAGGAGAATTATTTGAAGCTTACAAACTATTTTCACTTGAAGGGTTATGAAATTTTACTAACGTTCTCTAGTGAGGCAAAAATTACACAGGTCTTGATAACAGAAACACGAGCAACAATTAAACTCAGATTTTAACATATATAATTTTAGCATCTCATAAAGCTAGTCTCAACTTCTGCTTTTTTACTTCATATCTCAACAATACTATAAGGGACTGCAGAATCATGATTGCAAGGAAAATGCACAGTTTCCACCTCTCCAATAGGACTAAGCACTTCTCATACTCCAGTCAAGCAAAAAAATCACTTTGTACCCTGACATGAAGCAAAAATAACATGATCATCCTGCCTGAAAGTTGGTCTCCAAAATAAAACTTCAAACACATCTCATTCCCTTAAAGAAATAATTTTTTCCCTTGATTGTTTGCTATGCTGATGTCTGAAAACAAGTCACGACTTTTAGGAATAGATAATTGTGTAAGAAAGTTGTTTTTAGTCATGAACAACAGACTAATGTAAATGGAGAACTTTGGTAATTTGGTGGAATATTTTCTTTCAAGTATTTATTGTGATTTTATTTGATGAGCCAGTCTTATAAAGCCTGACTCCCTTGCACTCTGGGGAAGTAAACATTTTCTTTCCTTTTCTAACTGCTTCTGCCTCTAAGTCTTCCTTTGTCAAAAGTAAATGTAACAATAAACACAGATTGCTACTCTACTTAATTTTAACCCAAGCATATGTTACCTACTCTGAGCTAGCACAACTTGTGGGGCCTGCTCAAATGTCAACTGTATTTTGGTTTTCTATTGCGCCTCAAAATACACTCAAGGGATTCATCTTCCCTGCCCTCAAACAAATACTTGAGTAGATCCCATGATGTTTCTGCTCATGCAACAACTTCAAAGTCCCAAAAGAGGCCAGTCACAGTGGCTCACAATTGTAATCCTAGCACTTTGGGATGTGGAGGCAGGAGGATCACTTGAGCCCAGGAATGCAAGACCAGCCTGGGCAACATAGCAAAACCACGTCTCTACAAAAAAAGTTTTTTTAATTAGCTGGGCATGGTGTTCTGTGCCTGTAGTCCCAGCTACTTGAGAGACTGAGATGGGAGGATCACTTAAGCCCAAGAGGTTGAGGCTGCAGTGAGCTGTGATCATGCCACTGCACTCCAGCCTGGGCAACAGACAGAGTGAGACTTTGTCTCAAATGAATAAATAAATAAATAAGAAATATAAAAACCTAAAAGAATTAAAATGTCTAATCTTTGGAAACAAAAGAAACTCTGACCCATTATAACACAAATCTGCCCTATTTCTGCAATGTCCTGCTGCATGCTGGTCTCCTGCTGGGGTTGGGGGAAGGTAAACTTCTTTTCTATTTCTCCACCATCCACTCAACTGCTAGCTAGTTTCACATCACTCCAAGACCAAAGCAGGAGGAAAGGACTGAATTAACTATCTTCATACCTCACATGGGTGTGTTAGTAATACTCACCTTCCTTCAGCTGGCTGCTCATTCCTACTTCTGCTGCCAGGGGCCCTCGCCCTTAGGCCAGCCCTTCCTCCCATGTGGCCCCACCTGGCTCCCAGATCATCTTCAGACATCCTTTGCCCAACAAACTCTGGGAAGGTGAGTGATCCAGCCACCTAGGCCCCTGTGTGAGCCCCAAATGCAAGAAGCACATGGACAGCTCAACTCACCCTCAAATGGCCCCACTGAGAGGTGACAACATGCTAGCAGCCCTCGCTCACTCTCAGCACCTCCTCAGCAGTGTCTGCTCCGGCCATGCTTGAGGAGTCCTTCAGCACACCGCTGCACTGTGGGAGCCCCTCTCTGGGCTGGCCGAGGCTGGAGCTGGCTCCCTCTGCTTGCGGGGAGGTGTGGAGGGAGAGAGAGGGGCAGGAACCCGGGCTGGCCAGCGTGAGTTCTAGGTGGGCGCAGACTCAGTGGGCCCCACCAGCCCTGGGCAGTGAGGGGCTTAGCACCCAGGCCAGCAGCTGCAGAGGGGGCGCCAGGTCCCCCAGCACTGCCAGCCTGCCTGCGCCGCACTCAAATTCTCACCGGGCCTCAGCCGCCTCCCTGTGGGGCAGAGCTCAGGACCTGCAGCCCGCCATGCCAGAGCCCAGCCCCCCACCCCGTGGTGGGCTCCCGCACTGCCCGAGCCTCCCCAACGGGCGCCGCCCCCTGCTCCATGGCGCCTGGTCCCATCAACCGCCCAAGGGCTGAGGAGTGCAGGCTTGTGGCATGGGACTGGTGGGCAGCTCCGCCCATGGCCCTGGCGTGGGATCCACTAGGCAAAGCCAGCTGGGCTCCTGAATCAGGTGGGGACTTGGAGAACTTTTATGTCTAGTTGGAGGATTGTATATGCACCAATCAGCACTCTGTGTCTAGCTCGGGGTTCGTGGATGCACCAATCAGCACTCTGTATCTAGCTAATCTGGTGGGGACTTGGAGAACTTTTATGTCTAGCTAAAGGATTGTAAACACACCAGTCAGCACTCTGTGTCTAGCTCAAGGTTTGTAATCACACCAATCAACACTCTGTGTCTAGCTCAAGGTTTGTAAACGCAACAATCAGTGCTCTGTGTCTAGCTAATCTAGTGGGGACTTAGAGAACTTTTATGTCTAGCTGGAGGATTGTAAATACACCAATCAGCACTCTTTGTCTAGCTCGGGGTTCTTGGATGCACCAATCAGCCCTCTGTGTCTAGCTCAAGGTTTGTAAATGCACCAATCAGCACCCTGTGTCTAGCTCAAAGTTTGTAAATGCACCAATCAGTGCTCTGTGTCTAGTTAATCTAGTGGGGACTTGGAGAACTTTTTTGTCTAGCTGGAGGATTGTAAATACACCAATCAGCACTCTGTGTCTAGCTCAGGGATTGTAAATGCACTAATCAGCACCCTGTCAAAACGGACCAATCAGCTCTCTGTGAAACAGACCAATCAGTTCTCTGTAAAGTAGACCAATCAGCAGGATGTGGGTGGGGTCAGATAAAGGAATAAAAGCAGGCTACTGGAGCCAGCAGTGGTAAGGCGCTCAGGTCCCCTTCCACACTGTGGAAGCTTTGGTCTTTCCCTCTTTGCAATAAATCTTGCTGCTGCTCACTCTTTGGGTCTGCACTGCCTTTATGAGCTGTAACACTCACCGTGAAGGTCTGCAGCTTCACTCCTGAAGCCAGCGAGACCACAAACCCACCAGAAGGAAGAAACTCCAAACACGTCCGAACATCAGAAGGAGCAAACTCAGAACACACCATCTTTAAGAACTGTTAACACTCACCGCAAGGGTCCGTGGCTTCATTCTTGAAGTCAGTGAGACCAAGAACCCACCAATTTCAGATACACCATCACTAGCTTTGGGATGAAGGAAGTAAATCTATTCAACAAGGCCTCCTTGCTCAACCCTCATATTATTTTTCATTTTGTTTATTAAAACATTTCTTCATATTCCTTTGCATGATGAACCCTCATACTCTTGAAGTAACCAGTGGGTTCAAGAGTTATGGAGAGGTTCTCATATATCTACCTTGATATTTCATTTAGGAAAAAAAGCCAAAATGAGAAAAATTTAAAAAAAAAAAAAGACTAGACAGAAAATGACACAATGAGGCATTATCTGGTAATCTTCCAAATATCATAGCTTGGTATAATAATAGTTCCTTAAATATATTACACAAACATCATAAGAATATTGTTCTTCCAATATTTTTTGTACTCCAAGTAATGAAAACATTTCCCTTGAAAGCTAAAAAGGACAGATGTGATATTCTCTTTATACAATTTGAACTAATTTAATATGTTTGATAAAAGTTATCTATGAACTGTGACTATCAAAAAAGGTCACAGATAAATAATTCAGAGATGAATTCTGATTGGCAAAATACCTCAGCATCTGGGGGCCAACAGAAATGGGGAGGAGGAAGCGAACAGCTTTCCAGAATATGTTGATGACATAATCTGCAAGGTAAAAGAAGATGACCCCCACTGTGACCAGAATGGGGCTAGCTCAGAAGGCTGAAAGGGGGCAGCTAGCGATGGGTATGAACACTCACGCAGAGGCAGCAGGATCAGCAACACAGAACAGGACACATGCATCACCAGCGCGCGCTTCACAAAACAGTACTTTCCCTTGCTCCTGCAATGCACTCTGATATCTTATCTTTCTTTCTCTTGGCTTTCATGTTTTAAAAACTGCTATTTGCAACTCACTAAACTGATCATTAGCCTAATGAGTCACAGCCCACATTTGAAGACAATGGATACAGCATACCCTGATCTATATCCCAGTAGATTGCTAGAAAAGGGAAGGGAGTTGGTTTGGCGTAAGTATTTGTAAATGCTTCCCTAGGTAGTTTTGAGCTATCTTAAAGAATTTGTTCTAGAATGTTGCCAGGATTCAATGTTTCCCTCTTTTAAAAAGTCTCCTGGGTCCATTCTCATCTCTCATACCTGCACAAAGATGACTGTAACCGCTTTCACTACTCTAGGACGTCTGCCATTTGGGTTTTGAACAATCCAGTCCAGTTTCGGGCTTCGAGACCCTCTTTAAAGGGTTTAGGCTGGCCTCACTTTGAAAAGAAAGATACAGACTGGAAGCAACTCTTCCTTTTCCTATCACCTGTTAATATTATCTATTCTTCCATAAACACTGGATGATCTTCCTCATAAGAACGAAACTCCTTGTGGGTACCCCAGCTCACAGTGGCCTCTGGCTTTCCTGACCTTATCCTTGCAGGCCCTCGTCACTCTCCTGCACCTGTTCTTGTCTGTGTACCCCATGCAATGTACCTAAAGGAAACTAGACTCACAGTCCTAGCTTCCAGACCCCTACTCCCCACTATTACTTAACTGGGGCAGTCACCTTGGAAAACGTATTTAATATCGCAATCTAATTTTCTCTACCTGCAAACTGAAAATACTACTGTTTACTTTTGGGGTTTTCGTAAGAATTAATTTATGCATAAGAGTTCCCTTCTCTCGTCTCCCTGGACACATTCCCTCAAGCTTCCTTTGCCTTCAAAACACCAGAGTGTTTCACTGTTGTCAAACTAAATGCAGAGTAGTGGCTGAGATTCTGTGCCATCTAACATGCTGTGGAAACCACAACGCCTCCAAACAGGTTTCTGCAGAGACTACTCTTTGCCTTCCTCAATTAATTACACAGAAAGGATGGGAAAGGCACGGGGCACGGGGCGCGGGGCGGGCGGGGGGAGCGGGGGCGGGTTGCGGGGTGGGGCGGCGGGGAAAGTGTAAAACCCCTATTTCCCTCTAATCAGTAACACGACCTGCGAGCAGGCTCCCCAGTCCAAACAAAATGAATGAGCAACTGTCAAGCCAGGCATCATCTGAGAACCCTGCCCAGTGCATGGAGGCGCGCCCGGGGCCAGGAGCCAGCACATTTCCCCAGCCCAGGGGGGCTCTCTCAGTTGCAGGGCACCAAGGCGGCAGGAGGGCCGCAGCAAGGAAAGTTTTCTCACCAGCGGGAAAGGGTGTGCCTCGGCCGCTGGGGCCCAGCGGAGGGGAGGAAGCCCACCCAAGCCCCGAGCGCCGCCGCTTCCAGGCTTTTCGGACGCCCAGCGGCGTCCACACGCACATCAGCGGGCTGCCGGGAAGGTTTTAAACTTGGTGCTCTCCACGGGGTCCACACTCTTCCCGTGGGCGTCCTCACACCCCAATTCTCCTCCTCCCACCCCATTCTCTAGCCCCTCTAAACTAAAGACTGCCCCCAAACCCAAGCAAGCCCTGCCTTGACCAAAGCTGCACGCGCCCCGCACCCAGCGCCCGGGCTTTGCTCCGCCCTGGGCGCCCTGTCCCGCCCGTGGTTACCGGCTGGCTAGCCCCGGCCCGCGGGCTCGGCCCTGGTTCCGGCTCCTGGCTCCTCCGAGGTGCGCGAGCGCCGCCGCCGCCGCCGCCTCCCACCGCCCAGGGCCGGGCGAGTAGCTCCTAGATCCGAGGTGCGGCGGAGACGCGCGCTCCCGACCCGCAGCGGAGGCGGCGCGGGGCGCCGGAGCAGGGCTGCAGCGCGGGAGCCGCCTCCCCAGCGCGAGAGCCGCCTCCCCAGCGCGAGGCCGCCTTGGCCAAGAGGAGGTGAGCTTTGCAGATCCCTTTCCTGCTCACTTTGCCCCTCCGAGTCCGGGTCAGAGCCTGAGTCAGAGAATTCTTTGCCATCCCGGGCTCTGCAGTGGGTCCCTCGGGTCAACTTTGGGTAACAGGAGGAGCTCATTAGCTGAGCAAGAGGGAGTGGGGTATCATGAATCAAGGCTTATGAAAAATCGGCAGCATTGAGTTCAAGTTCAGTAAGGCCAGAGCCCCCCCATAATGTGCTGCTTAAATTACTACCTCGATTTTAGTTTCTCTTCCTGCCCACTGGTCCAGGTGTCAAAGGGCAGTCAGACGTTCAAACGGGGTCCCAAAGGGCTAGCACTGGGCCGGGAGTAGTTTCAGCATAGCAGGGCTGGCTCATCTCTTCCTCCCTTGAGTCCTTATTGCATGCCAGGCATTGATCTGGGAATACAGGTGCTTGGTGCTTGCATTCTACTAAAGAGACAGGCATAAACATAACAAATAACTAAAATACATAGTATGTGAGATAGTGATGAAGTGCGGTGGACAAAAAAGAAGGGAGGAAATGGGATAATGTTTGGAGGTAGGGGGTGCATTTTTAAATGGGATGGTCAAAGATGGCTTCACAGTGGAGTAAAGATCTAAAGGAGATGAGACAGAAAGAAGTCACGCTGGTATCTGGAGAGAAAGCACTTGCTGTGTGGCAGGCACTGAGATGTTCTTTACTGCACTAGTCATTTCTTTTACTACTCTCCATATGCCATATTAGACAGGTATTGCCACCATTTCCATTTTACTGATGAGAAACTGTAACTTAGGAAGGTTAAAGGAACTGCCCAAGGTCATATGCTAGTCAATAGAGGAGCTTGCCTTCAAGGTCAGGAAGCCTGGTGCCCCAGAACCATAGTTTAACCACCATTATACAGCAGCAGGGGAAATGCAGCACCCATGCAGGCTGGTGGCAGTGTGATGAACTCAAGCTGGTGGTGCCAAAAGAGGATTCCTGGAAATGACATCTCATCACTGATTTTTTTTTAAAAGCTCAGTTTCATTACCACTTGTAAAATGAAATATTTTGAACACCATTTTTCTTCTTCTTCTTTTTTTTAATTTTAAGTTCTGGGATACATGTGCAGAATGTACAGATTTGTTACATAGGTATACATGTGCCAGCGTGGTTTGCTGCATTTATCAACTTGTCATCTAGGTTTTAAGCCCCGCTTGCATTAGGTATTTGTCCTAATGCTCTTCCTCTCCTTGCCGCCCACCCCCGACAGGCCCCGGTGTATGATGTTCCCCTCCCTGTGTCCATGTGTTCTCACTGTTCAACTCCCACTTATGAGTGAGAACATGCTCATTTGGTTTTCTGTTCCTGTGTTAGTTTGCTGAGAATGGTGGTTTCCAGCTTCATCCATGTCCCTGCAAAGGACACAAACTCATCCTTTTTTATGGCTGCATAGTATTCTATGGTGTATGTGTGCCACATTTTCTTTATCCATTCTATCATTGATGGGCATTTGGAGTGAACAGGCAACCTACAGAATGGGAGAAAATTTTTGCAATCTATCCATCTGACAAAGGTCTAATATCCAGAATGTACAAGCAACTTAAACAAATTTACAAGAAGAAAACAACCCCATCAAAAAGTGGGCAAAGGATATGAACAGATACTTCTCAAAAGAAGACATTTATGCAGCCAACAAACATATGGAAAAAAGCTCATCATCACTGGTCATTAGAGAAAACCATCTTTATAGTGTGTGTATGTATCTTCTGCCTCATCCACAAGCAGTTTGATTCTAAATAACATAATTTGACAATCTGTGATAAGATTTATTAATCATTCCCCAAGTGTCCACACCAGTTCCAGTTGCTCATTCCTATTCACAGGGATGTGATTCCTCACCCCTGCAGTAGAGCCTCTGCCAAGTGTCTTCAGGGCATTGTGAAAAAGAGTGACAAAACTGCTGCTTCTGAGGGGCTACGGTGTGAACAGGCCAATTTCTGCCTTAGCTGTCGGCATCAGGTGGCCTTGTTCTGGGCAGAGCATCAATGGCTCCAGACAGAAAACCAGGGCACATTGTACTTTGTGAAAAAGGCAGGTCACTAACCCTTGGTTTCAGAAGCTGAAACTGCAGCATCTGGTGAAACAATGACATCAATAGGATGGCCAAGCCCACATTTCTCTCCTAGATATCTCCACCTCCTCATGGTTGCATTCATTCCTGTCTTCCTTCCTCCACTGTCAGCAAAAATCTTTTGACCTTTCCTTTGTAGGAAAGGTCTTTTCAAACACCACTTGTCCCAAAAAGCCTTCCTCATTGTCTCAGCTACAAACGAACTCTTAATCTAAAATCTGATACCTCTCTTATGGCACCTGACATTTCCTACTTTATTTTAAAATTTAGCCTATACTGTATACCTTAACTCCTCCATAGGCCAAATATTAATTTATATTTAATTTCTCCACAGGTCCTAGCATAATGTCTTCTACCCAGTAGACATTCAATGAGTATATTTTTACTGTTGTTCTTAATAAATTAATCTGCAAGAATACAGCTTCATTGTCTTTTAATTTTGTCTTTTCATTCCAAGATAACTCACAGAAATTTAGTGACAGGACTAAGTTATATGTAGCTATAGCTGTTGTTCATCAATATAAGTTGACAATGGTTTGTCTTGAGGTAAATTCCATTTGCCTTATTTCAAGATTAGAAAACAGAGGCTTTAGAGTAATCTCCCTTAGGTCACAATACTAGTCTTCAAGAGAGCCAGGATTTAAACCCAGCACCGTTTGGCTCCAAAATGAGCTCACCACAAGCTCATACTTCTCTTTCAGTCGTTCATTCAGGAATGCATTCATTTGATCTTTCAACAGATATTTGCAAACATTGACTGTGCTCAGCTCTGTCCTAGACACCAGGAAAATAGCAATGATTAAAACACAGTCCTTGTCCTCAAAATGCTCACAATCCTGTAGAAAGGACAAAGGTAAGGAAATAATAAAAACTTAGTATTATAAACCTTTTAGACTCATGGATGTCCTAGAGGAGCACTTGGTTTAACTTAGGTTATAGGAAGTAGGAGGTGACAGCATGGATTCTCTAAGAAGACAGAATGTAATTTTAATTTTGAAGTTTTTTACAATGCTAATGAAGGAAAGCATATGGTAGACAGAGGAAAGAGCGCTTGCAAAAACACGCGTGGAAGGATACAATGCATTCAGAGAATGGCTTTGCTGATTCAAGAGGGCTGCAGCATGGTGAAAGCAGAGTTGACATGAGGCTGGAAAGGTAAGCAGGGCCAAATCACAAGAGGTGCACAGAGTAGCTTTTATGAAGTTCATCACCCGCTTAATATATATAAAAATCATGGCTGTCTATGTATGTCAACTTTCCAGGGTAGAGAGAGGTTGTCTAACTTTAGTCAAATTCTCAAAAAGGCTGAATGACCCAGGGCTAGGAAGTGGGGGAAGTCACTTTCCTTTCCCACAGCCTTCCATAGGTCCATGGACTTCAGGAAATCCCAAGGAATTGCAACATCAACCAGGATATGCTGGATACCTGGATTGGGGTGGGTGCAAGGCTTGCCCCTGCCAAATCACCTCCAAACATGCAGTGGCACTGACATCCCGGGGCTAGGATGGCTTGACCCTGGTCCTCCCAGCACCTGTGCCCATGTGCCTTCTAAGTGTGGAAGGAAGGGGTTGCTGGGTGGCCAGAAGGCCAAGAGGCAGGGAGGCACCTGAGAATGTGTCCTGGGAAGGTGGCAGAAAGCAGGGCCACAGAGAGCCACGACTCTAAGCCCTAAGCGCGTGCTTCATTGCCTCATCTGACTTCAATTGCTGCGATGGGCTGAATGGTGTCCCCCAAAATTCATATGTCCTAAGCCTTGGTACCTCAGAATGTGACTGTATTTGGCGATCGGGCCTTGAAAAAGGTGATTAGGTTCAATGAGATCATATGGGTGGGCCCTACCCCAATCTGACTGTTGTTATAAGAAGAGTACACACAGAGAGACACCATGGGGCATATGGATACAGAAGGACTCCGATATGAAGAGGCAGCATGGGGGTGGCTATCTGCAAGGCAGGGAGAGAGGCCTGGAACAGAGCCTTTCCTGACAGCCCTCAGAGGAAGCCTACCCTGCTGGCACTTTGCTTTTGGCCTTCATTTCCAGAATTGCAAGAAAATACATTTCTATTGGTTAAGCCACCCAGTCTGTGGTACATGGTTATGGTGGCCTGAGCAGACTGATAGACTTACAGAATACCAATTCAAATTTCAAAGAAGTTTAAGAATTCCAAGATGGCGACCACAGAGCATTAAATCCCCAGGGAGGATTTAATGCTTAACCTTCTAAGCATGGTGTCCTGTGCCACTGCACCAGTCATACGCCCATGAAGCTAGGCCTTGGGAATTGGGAAATGGAGATCTGAAGACAACTTGGGGTTCATCAGTGAGGTGGTGTGATTAAAGCTGGCAGATGGGTGAGACTGCTTCTTGGAAACATAAAGTGAGAAGAGAAGAGGGCTGATGTCAGAAAGAGCAACTAGGGACATAGAGGTGGACAAGAAAAGGTGAAACCCAGTGGAGAAATGGGTAATAATGTCTAAGGCCCAAGGACATGTAATTAGGAACCAAACCCCATGGGCCCTAGCATGGAGGTCATGTGGTAGGCACTGGGACCAGGTTGCTGCTGGTTAAAGAATAGGGAGTGCAATTACAGGCTAGTCTTCTAAGCAGGCTTGGGAGGAAAGAGGAGACTGGGGCTGCTGAGGGCCCTTGTGCAGATTTATGGGAGACAGGAGGTCAGGAGGCCTAATATCCAGCCCACACCCAGTCACCAAAGCTAAATCAGCCTGCTGGAAGGGCCAGTGGAAGGCCTTCTAACCAAGACTCCAAATAGCCTAGGCCTGAATAACAAAGCTGTAGCTGGAGCTTTTCCTGTGGATATATATATATATATATTTTTTATCTGAATCCTCTCCCTAGATCCATGAGAGAAGCAACTGTTCTGCCTCCATGCAGCCCCCAGAACAGTGGCGCATAGTAGGCACAGGAAACAAATGTTGAATTAACCAATGGGAGACAGAGTCAAGGGAAAGGTTGTGCTTGTTTTGTTTTGTCTTTATTCATTTGTTTCAGATGAGAGACATAAACATGTTTCTAGATTGAGAACAAGGATCCCAAAGGAAGGGATAAGTTTAAGATAAGAGTTGAGAAAGGAAATAATTGATGAATAAGATAATAAAGAGTAAGAGAATAAATCAAGAGAACTTCTGGAGGGGAAAAAAAAAACCTGAATTATCCTTCAGGAAATTTAATCATTTAGTCATTCATTGATGAGTATCTCGCATTGTCCTGGGCCCTTCTGGGGTTGGGGAACTGAAGGGTTGGAGGGTCAGGGTGGATACAAAAGAAAACCTAAAATATATTCCCTTTCATTTGTTCAAGGTGACACCATCTAGTTAAGAAGTATTTTATGGAAAAAAATACACAGCAATGAAACACAGCAAGAATGTTCCCAGACGTCTGAGTAATAAAGAAAGATTTGAAAACAGAGTGAACTAAGAAAATGCCCGGAGGCATTACAGCAGAGGTGGAGAGCAGATAGGGAAAAGGAAGTAGAGAGAAAATAAGGGAACATGAGCTCTGGCATGGTTTCTTGGCAATGGGCTGGCTGGCAGCTGGCAGCATCAGGAAAACAGGGGCTCAGTGTTGACTCAAGACCTGGGAAGCTCCATTTATTTTCCAGTTGATTAGGACCAATGCCAGCAGTCAGGCTCAGCAGGAAGCAGTAAAATCAAGACTTGTCTCAGAGAAGGACACATCCCTGATAGTTAATGTGTCTGGGCATGGAAAACCTGGCTTTTTTATAATGAGTCCAACAACAAGGCAGGACCAACTGAAGAAAGTGATGAGAAAGAAAAATTGACATTGTTTTCAGAAGTTAAAGTACATACTATGACACAGTTACCTCTCTAACTTGTTTCCTTTAGAGACGAGGATAATCTATCATCCAGTCAAATCAAAGGCAAAACCTCACACACAAAGGAACCCAGGAATTCTACTAGCTAAAGCCAACCCAGGGAGCAGCAAGTACAACTCATATCAAGGATACAGTTTCCTCCTTTTCCTCAATTAAGTTTCAGAAAGTAAATAGGAGGAGTGAGTGTTCAGAAGCCCCAAGGCTTGCAAGATGTGAGGAGTGCATGCTGCAAATGGTCACGTTCTCATCGTGAATTGCTCCCATCTCATTAATGGCAACAATTCTCTGCCCATTTCTTTCTTAGGTGATTTGAGGGTTTATTGAGTATTATAAACTTTCTTACTCTTTGGCATAAATTGGATTTCATTTGCTTTGTCTTGGTTTTATACTGTTGCTCTTTTCAAATCAGCACAATTATTCCTGAATATATGTGCACTGCTTTCACTTGCCAATCATTCCTTTTTATTCCAGGGAACACATGCCAGGGCACCGCACACCTCTGCAGGCTCATACATACAGGACCTCAGCCCCTACTTCCTGGTAATATTCATTTTTTCTTTCCCTTCCAATGTTTAATCATTTACTTGAAGCTTCCCGCTTGCTGCTAATCCTATTGTTTTGTTCCTCCAGTAGAACTGCACAGACTTCCACCCACATAACGTGGCACTAGGCAGACAAAACATCTGATATATTTTAGTTCATGCTTGGCATTCAATCAAGAAGACGAAGCTGTGAGCCATGCTGAAATGCCAACTAAAATTCATTTTGCACTACCAGAAAGAGAGAGAGATGGCACACCGAGGAGAAACTGTAGCCTCATGGCGATCATGTGTAGCCCTAGGCTCTAACACTAGCAAATTTCTTTCCCTCAAAATTGAATTGGTGCATTTTGAAGTGAAATCCTGATGGCTTCTTGTTTACTATCACACAATAATGAGGAAGCTTCAGTTTATTGGCACGGAGCTCAGCCACTCTCAGACAGCAAATGGAAAAGAGAGACTAACTTGTCCTGGTGCTTTGCTCCTTGTTATTCCTTTAATTGTGTCACAGCCAATACAACGCATGATGGAATTATTCCGAAATAGAGAAACACGTTGAGCCTAGACATTGACTGTTACAGCGGTGTGGGTGGAGTCCACACATACTCATGCCCCCTCTCTTTCCCACATGCCTGCACACCTGTCTATTCAGTGAGGGGAAGATGAGGTCTTGCAGCCCTGGGTGGCTTCATCTGCCCATGAGGGTCACTTTTCTCTTCTTGGTTCTTTTACCTCAAAGATATTCTGTGATCACTATGTGCTGAAAGCATTCAGCATTCTTCTGCCTCTGCTCAAATTATCACTAGTACTGTTCTTAACATTTCTGGTCCCACCAAAATTCATGCCCATTTTGTAGAAACTGACCCAATGTGAGGATGATGAATAATAAAAAGGAGGTGTGTGTGTGCGTGCGTGTGTGGGTGTGTGCATGTGCGTGTGTGTGTGTATCTGGGTATGTGTGTCTGTGTATAAAATCTCAGAAAGAAATGTTGAAATAAATATGAAACATTTAAATTTTTTATTATTTTAAAGGTAATATCAGCACTTTTTGGAAAACAAAATAGAAGAAAAAGTCATCTATAACTTCACTACTGTAAAACCACCAATGATAGCATTTTGTACTTTTATTTTTAAATTTTTTTATTTTTAATTTTTATGGATACATAATAGTTGTAAATATTTATGGGGTACATGTGATATTTGGTACCAGTGTGTCAATATGTAATGATCAAACAGGGTAATTGGGATATCCATCACCTAAAGCATTTAACATTTCTTTGTGTTAGGAATATTCTAATTCTACTTTTTAGTTATTTTGAAATATACAATAAGCTATTGTAAACTATAGTTGCCCTATTGGGTTACTGAGCACTAGATCTTATTTTTTTTTTTTTAATCTAACTGTATTTTTGTGCCCATTAACCAACTCCTCTTTATCCTCTCTCCCTACTACCCTTCCCAGTGTCTGGTAATCATCATTCTGCTTTCTATCTCCATGAGTTCAATTTTTTTTTTAGCTCCTATATATGAGTGAGAGAATGAGATATTTGTCTTTCTATATCAGGCTTATTTTACTTAACATATTGCATTTACTTTAAGACTGTTGTAAAACATGGCTGTTTACATAGCAACCATATGGTGTATTAGTCCATTCTTAAACTGCTGTAAAGACATACCTGAGACTGGGTAATGTGTAAAGAAAAGAGGTTTAATCAGCTCATGGTTCTGTGGTCTGTACAGGCTTCTGTTTCTGGGGAAGCCTCAGGAAACTTACAATCATGGTAGAAGGTGAAAAGGAAGTAAGCACATCTTCATATGGCCAGCAGGAGAGAGAGAGAGAAGGGGTGGGGTGCTACATACTTTCAAACAACCAGATCTTGTGAGAACTCTATCGCAAGAAAGTCAAGGGGGAAATTCACCCCTATGATTCAATCACCTCCCACCTCCCACTGGTAATTACAATTCAACATGAAATTTGGGTGGGGACACAGAGCCAAACCATATCATATGGTACCTTTAAATGAGTATATTGATTTTCCCACATAATTCCATTATATTGTAGGCATTTTCTATATTATTATATAACTTTATAAGCATCGACTCCTTTTTGAGAGGGTGTTCTTGCTACATTACCTAAGTTGACCTTAAATTCTTGGGTTCAAGTGATCCTCCCACCTCAGCCTCCTGAGTAGCCAGTACTACAGGCAGGCACCACTGCACCTGAATCCAAACATCAACTGTTAATGGCTGAGTAGACACCATAATTTATTTAACTATCTCATTATTAATAGACACTTAGGTGGACTCCAGATTTTTTTCTACTATAACTATTGCTGCAATGATATTTATATTTATCATTATATTATATAAAGGCAGATATGATAAAATACACAGCTATATTACAGATATTACAAAATACAGTTATTCTCTCTGGACCTTAATATTTATTTCACATTTGCAGAAATTTTTCAGATGTCTACCAATAGGTGGGTCCAGCAATATCTAGCTTTGCAAACAAGGGCCTCCTGTGGGTAACAGCAGACATATACCAATGCAATTTTTTGTTTAAAAACCCTAAATTTTTCCTTATTTTATTATCAAGAAATGTAATTATTAAATGCCTTACATTTATAAGTGAGAAATCATCCATTTAGCCTGGACATGGTAAATCTGAGGGCAGGGAGAGATAATAACTGTCTCCAAATGTCTGAAGACCCAGAAGCCCAGGGAGACTTGCTCTGTGGCCTCAGGTGGAGGCAGGTTTCAGCTGAGTGAGGGGAACTTCTGCCAGGTTGTCCAGAGAGTTCCCCCTTGGTGGCTATGATCTCGAACAGGCTGGATAAGCACCTGGCAAGGACAGAGTCAAGGTGTTCATCAACCTGCAAGGCTGGATCATGTACTCATTAAGCTCCCTTCCAGCCCTGAGAAACAGTGACTCTAGAAGTTATATAAAATGAGTGTTCTCTGGCCGGGCGTGGTGGTTCAGGCCTGTAATCCCAGCTCTTTGGGAGGCTGAGGCAGGTGGATCACCTGAGTTCGGGAGTTCAAGACCAGCCTGACCAACATGGAGAAACCGCATCTCTACCAAAATACAAAATTAGCCAGGCTTGGTGGTGCATGCCTGTAATCCCAGCTACTCGGGAGGCTGAGGTAGGAGAATGGCTTGAACCTGGGAGGTGGAGGTTGCAGTGAGCCGAGATCGCACCATTGCACTCCAGCCTGGGCAACAAGAGCAAAACTCCATCTCAGAAAAAAAAAAAAAAAAAAAAAAATTAGTGTTCTCCTTTTGTAAAATAGAATATAATTGATTACCATAATCTTGAATAGTTTAAAGTGAAAAGGTGAGTTCCTTTATCATGTGCATTCATTCAATAAATTTGTATTGTGGACTCATGATGATTCAGGCATTGTTTTAGATGCTAGGGCTCCAAGAGTGAACAAACCGACAAAAATCCATGCCTCTATAGAGCTTACAAATGCCTACTACAGTTTTCAAAATGTTTCACTTGTTTTCTTATTTGACCCCATGATGATTGCCTGAGGTATGTAGAGCAGCTATTTTCCCTGCTATGAATGAAGAAACTAAGGCTTAGAAAGATTCAGTGACCTCCCCAGGAGCACACAGAGAGTTGTGGAGGAAGAATGAAAACTCATCCCATCTGGGCAGGATGGCTCCCAGCACTTTGGTAGGCTGAGGCTGGAGGATCACTTGGGCTCAAGAGTTCAAGATCAGCCTGGACAACATAGTAAGATCTTGACACCAAAAAATTTAAAAATTAGCAAGGCATGGTGGCATGCATTTGTAGTCCCAGCTACTCCAGAGGATGAAGTAGGAGGACTGTTTGAGCCCAGGAATTTGAGGCTGCAGTGAGCTGTGATTGCACCACGTACTCCAGCCTGGGCAACAGAGCAAGACTCTGTCTCAAAAACAAATAAATAAATAAATATGAAAACTCAGCCCTGGTAGCACCTGCTCTGGTGCTCCGCACCTGCCATGTTACCTCACCTGGGGTCCCTGCATGTGGAGAGGAGCTCATATTCCTGCAGTCCCACCTCATACTTCTGGAGTGGACAACATATCCTGAGTTTCCTAAAAATTACCACAAATTTTATGTTACAAAGAGACAAAGCCGCAGAAAGAAGCAGTGCTCTTTACAAGCCTAATATATTTTAATTTTTAAGCCATGAAGTTCTCCAAAGGCTGACATTACCTCTTACTCATTTTTTTTTTCGAGCCCGAATCTCGCTCTGTCGCCCAGGTGGAGTGCAGTGGTGCGATCTCGGCTCACTGCAAGCTCCGGCTCCCAGGTTCATGCCATTCTCCTGCCTCAGCCTCCCGAGTAGCTGGGACTACTGGCGCCCGCCACCACGCCCGGCTAATTTTTTTTGTATTTTTAGTAGAGACGGGGTTTCACCGTGTTAGCCAGGACGTTCTCGATCTTCTGACCTCGTGATCCACCCGCCTTGGCCTCCCAAAGTGCTGGGATTACAGGTGTGAGCCACCGCACCCGGCCCTCTTACTCATTTTTGAAAACCCCATGTCTGGCACATAACACGTGCTTTATCAGTGTTTGTTAATGGATAACCACAACTCACAAAACACAAACACTATTCTTATATTGTGTTTTTAAAGTATGTTGTTCTTATGAAGTTACAGTACCTTAGAAATGGGAAGTTCTGGTGTTTCATACAATGTTCATGAAACTGGAAGGGTAAAGTATGGATCTGTGTATTGATAACAGAAATGTTTGGTAAAATGTGCAGGACTGGCAGGGCAGGGTGACTCATACCTACAATCCCAGAACTTTGAGAGGCTGAGGTGGGAGGATAGCTTGAGGCCAGGAGTTTGAGCCCAGCCTGGATAACACAACAAGACCCTGTCTCTACCAAAAAAAAAAAAAAAAAAAAAAAATTTTTTTTTAATTAGCCGACCCTGGGGGCACAGACCTCTAGTCCCAGCTACTTAGGAGGCTGAGGTGGGAGGATTGTTTGAGCCCAGGAATTCAAGGCTGCAGTGAGCCATGATTGTGCCACCACACTTCAGCCTGGGTGACAGAGTGACACCTCATCTTTAAAATAAAAATAATAAAAACATGTAGGACTGATGCCTTAGGGAAATGTTTAATCTTCATTTTAAAGCATTGCTTATTTTGAGAGTTGCATGATTATTTTAGTGCACTTCAGTATGTTTTGCTTAATTAAATTCTGGCCTTTAGTTTTCCAGTATTTTACCAAGTTCTCCATTATAATCACTGGATTGTATTTACCCAGAAGTGAAGTAATCGTGTGACATCACAGATGTCCTCTGCACTTGGAAATTGAGAAAGATAAACATATCTTTCCATGGAAGGTTTCTAGCAGATTGCCCTCTATTTTAAGGGAAAAGTTAATACTCACTCCTCATGTTCTCATTAATTGAGAACAAAGCCATGTTAAACCTAAAGTAGAAGACGGGATATATCTATAAATATACATACATAACATATTGTTTTAGTCCATTTGCGGCTCTAACAAAATACGGTAAACTGGATGGCTTATAAACAATAAAAATCTGTTTCTCATGGTTCTATAGGCTGGGAAGTCCAAGATCAAGGCACTGGGAGAATCAGTGTCTGATGAGGGCCTGCTTCCTGGTTCGTAGGATGGCAGCTTCTCGCTGTGTCCTCACATGGTGGAAGGGATGAATGAACTCCCTTGGGCTCATTAATTTCATTCATGAGGGCTCTACCTTTAGAACCTATTCACCCCCAAAAGGCTTCACCTCTTAACACCATCACTGAAGGGGTTAGGATTTCAACATATGAATTTTGGGAGGACATAAACATTCAGACCATAGCACATATATAACATAAATGTATTTACAAATATATATGATACATTAATGTATGTAATTCATGAAGGAAGGATATTCAGTGGAAGAGAAAGAGCATCAGGTGAAAATGATTTAAAACACATGTCTACCTAGGTAGATGGGAATATTTGGAAAAGCTAATTACTGAAGATAGGTCTAAACTCATGGGTGTCTGTGCTCTGGAAAAACAATTGCTCACCATTGTCCACTTCTGAAAAATAAATTTAAAAAACCGATTAATGGAATGAAGCTGTTTGGCAGGATCAATGTACTTACGGAGAGGCAGTACAAGAGGCAGTGAGAACACAGGATCAGAGTCAAAGAGGTCTTCATTGGAATCTCTGTTCTGCCACTAACTTGTTCTGTGCCTTGGTTTTTTTATCTGTAAAATAGGGATAAACATGGCCTCCAGGTTTTTTGCAGTGATGAAATGAAATCACATACGTGGAGAGCTTGGGATGGTGTCTGTCATGGAGTAAATACCATGGGGCAGCAGCTGTTATTCTTGGTTATGCATGATATGAGCAACAATCGCATGGCCACAGTTTCCACCTTGTTGTGAAAAAATGTTCAAATCTGGACTTCTGAGTTTGAGTCCAAAAGTAAATAATTTTGGTACTCTGGGTAAGTCAATGAATCTGTTTATGCTCTTTTTTTGTGACAAAGCATCAGTTATCTAATCCTCACAAGTAATTTTGCTTCAATTCCAGGGTCACATAAAAAGTGGTATCCCATGGCACATGTTTTCCTATGTAAGAAAGCTGCACATCCTGCACATGTACCCAGGAACATAATAAAATACAATAATAATTTTTTTTTTAAGACAGTTTCACTCTTGTTGCCCAGGCTGGAGTGCAATGGCACCATCTCGGCTCACTGCAACCACCACCTCCTAGGTTCAAGTGATTCTCCTGCCTCAGCCTCCCAAAGTAGCTGGGATTACAGGCGCCCGCCACCATGCCCAGCTAATTTTTTTTTTTATTTTTAGTTGAGACGGGGTTTCACCATTTTGGCCAGACTGGTCTTGAACTCCTGACCTCAGGTGATCCACTCGCCTTGGCCTCCCACAGTGCTGGGATTACAGGCGTGAGCCACCGCAACCAGCCATATATATATATATATTTTTTTAAGTGGTATCAAGAATGGCCCACCTCAAATGGACATCATCTCGGGATGTGAATGAGTTAGGCCTCAATTAGGCTTTCCATGAAACTAAAATATCTCCCAAGAGACGCTGCAGCTGCTGTCTGTGGTTCATGTTTTGCCAGGTTTGTTTTTCTCTGTGCCTGAGAGCATTTTCTGGAGCTGGGTTGCTTCCTTTTCACAAGAAACGGTGGCTGCTTGGGTAACTCGAGCTCCTTTTTTATTTTTTTTTTATTTTTATTTTTTTTTAAGAAATCCAAGCAAAACATAATGAGGACAATAAATCTCTGGGCAGAAGCATTCCCAACTTAGAAAAGAAGTTGTTCACTATCTGCGGTTTTAGTAGATCTTAAAAGATGGCTCTGCTTTCTTTTGATGAGAATGGTCTCTGCAATATTTGCTTTAAACACGGATTCATTCCCTAGAGCAGTGCTCCCCCCCCCAACCCCACCGCCTCGCCCCCGAACCCACCGCCTCGCCCCGCCTCCCCACCGCCTCGCCCCGCCTCCCCACCGCCTCGCCCCCCTCCCCACCGCCTCGCCCCCCTCCCCACCGCCTCGCCCCCTCCCCACCTCCTCGCCACCCTCCCCACCTCCTCGCCACCCTCCCCACCTCCTCGCCACCCTCCCCACCGCCTTGCCTTCCAAGGCTTTTCAGGTGAGCAACTGCTTTATCTCCGGGAAGGACACGATTAAGCAGCAGGTCTACAGCACACGCTCCCCTTTAAGAAGGCAGAGAATCCCCGTGCCCGCCTGAGGGAAAAAAAAAAATCAGTGACCTTCTCTAATCTCCTTGTAATGATGGTTCTCCTGCAAAGTAAAGTGATGAAATTGATAGGGGAAGAATCCTGTAAGGAGAGATTTAGTCATGTGTACCAGATCGCCTAGGATTGCTTCTGGAAAACAAATCTGGCGTCTGTAAATCTCTGGGGCATGGCTCCTTGTCACAGTTAAGTAAGCTATATAACTAGCTGAGTATAAAATGGAGAGGTTTCAAGACTGAAATGGCTCTCCTTTGTATAAGTAATTTGACCTGCATACATCCCTTTGATACCTCATGTGTTCTCCTGAGCCAGAGTGGAACCAAAACTTCAAGAAAGGGCCTGGACACCTGCACTGAAAGTCCCACTCTGGTCCCTGCTCAGCCTATACTTCTTGATTCCTTGTCTCCTGGAAATTAGTAGTACAGCTTGTCACTAGGGAAGACTTCTGATTCATGTGAGTCAGATTTGACATTCTCACCTGGTGACCAGTCAGAAGTCTGGTGAAGGAAAAGGGAGAGGTGTGTTCAAGTCAAGCAGCAGGCACCATGCTGGGAGGCAAACTTCCTGCCTTCTTGAAGACAGGTGCCCCTTTTAAATCTCCTTTGAGATCTGCCTGCCATATGTAAGGACCTGGGACTTGGTCCTCAAAGAAAAATTAGTCTAGATTAGTATTAAGGGATACTTAATAAGGATAAAGGGATAGAATTCAGAACCTCAAATGGTGACATCATTCTAATTGGACAGATTTCTCTCAAATTCAAAATAAAGCGGTTTCACTAAAAATTGATCTTTGAATTTCCTCTAAGAGTATAGCTAAGCCTATGTCTTTAGAGCAGGAATGGCTATACCACACATTGTCAAATCTTGCCAGATAGATGGAATGTAAAAGTAGTTAATCAGGCAAGGCAACTACACAAAGCAGGAATGCTGATTTTTTCCAGATAGGATGTGGATCAGTGGGCTTCTGGGCATACACACATTCTTCCATCCTATATCCAGCTCTGCCTCTTAACAATCTCACTGCTTGGTCTATAAAGTCTACCTTTGTCCTCAGACTTATCATTTTGATTTTCTACCTATTTCCTCTTATTTTATTTTAATTGCCTTTGGGCTCAACCTTGGTAAGATCCCTGCTTGATCAGAAAAAACAAAGTTCACAAGACACTTCCTCATGATGGAGGAAGAATCAGCTTTATTTTGTCCTCTTTTAGTATTCTGCTGTACAACTCAAATGAATCAGTAAACAGCATGTTGCCTGATTAAATTCAGAAGATGAAAGTGCATGTGGTTGCTGTAGTCACCAGAAATAGTTATTTGTAGAGTGGGGATGAGAAACTGAATGCACTGTCAGTTCCCTCGCAGGACCAGGTGAAGTAATTTAACTCATCAATCAGACAAATCAAGCCATGAATGTCATTAGATGACAATTAAATTGTTTGAAAATCAGTTCTTCCTTCCAGTTTCTGAGGCAAACTCAACTCATAGTGCTGATTAGAGAACAGAGTTTCTGCCAAACTCTAATGGATGTTCTATCAGATTTTGGAAGCAGAATAAAAACAAGTCATCAAAGAGCAATCAACTGTGGGCTACCTTTCAGTTGTCTCATCAGGCAGGAGATGTTTAATTCTATACCAGATGCAAGGTTTAAATCAATAACTCATGCTTCCTTAAATCTCAGGTAGAGATCGTGGATTTCTGCATATTCTAAAGAGATAAAATACAGAATATTTGCTACAGGATAAGAGATACTAATACACACAGTAACATTCTTATCTTCCTTCCACAAAAGATAATTATTTGTTTATATTTAACATACATTTATATGACATTTATTATTTGCCATGCATGGTATGAGTATCTTGTAAAGATTAACTCATTTCATCCCCATAACAACCATGTGATTAGGTAGGTACTATTAATATCTTTATTTCCATTTTGCTGATGAGAAAACTGAGGCTTAGAGAGCTCAAATAACTTGCTCCAGGTCACCTAGCCTGCCTGATTAAAACCTAGAGTCTGCTCCAGAATCTAGGCTCTTATCCACTTTGTTATGCTGTCTTATTAAATATTTTAATCACAAAATTTTTAAGTATTTAATTCAAGATGGTGGACAAAGTAGGCACCTGCTGCTTTGATTCAACCATCTTGCTAAAACCTGGAAAGTTCCTTCCTGTCCCAGTTTTGCTGTCATCAATTGGGTCTGAATGGAGGGTTCCACCTGTTTCTCCATTCCCTGTTATATTCCCAGGCTCCCAAATTATTGTTGCCCATTGGTTGCCAAATAACCCTCTCAAGATCATTAATTCATTCACTCCATAGACTCCTTCCATGTGCCAAGTGTGTACTTGGCTTGGAGAATATCTTCTAGGTGACTGAAAATATAATAAAAATCAGACTAGAAAATATAATAAAAATCAGACATTAATGTTAATAAAGAATATCTCAGACAGATCAAAGAATAGTGAGTGATTCATCCCTGTTTTAGTGAGCACCAGTGCTAGACTAAGTGTCTTTACGGTTCTGGTTCTGTACTAAGTTCTGGGGACATATCAGTAAATAAGATAAACTCAGCCCTTGCTTCATAGAGCATACAAGCTTTGCAAAAGGCTACCAATAAAAAAGTAATTACAAGTGCAACTATAAGTTATTTAAAATTATAAATTATATTTCTAGATTTGACTTTGTGAAATGCTAAGATTCCCTGATGCAGCAGTTATATTCTCAGGAGCTCCTTATACAGTCCGCCAATTCTTCCTTTTAGAACTTTTGTAATACACATATATTGGCCACTAAGTAATTGAATTGTAATTCAATCAGCATTGCTATTGCTGGGTGGCAGAGAGATTCAGCAGTTACATAGGTGGTATGTCATGGTGGGGTGCACTGGGGGATTCTCACTGGGGAAGAATTCTTTCCTCCAAAGATCCTAAAGAGACAAAGTTGGCCACATCCATAGCACCCTGGAGGGGAACAAACCCTCCCTTGAAAATCAACTGACAAAAATTTAGTACATAAACTCTATAATTGGAGAAGATTTTTTTTAAAAAAGGACAGTGTCTCAGTGATAAAAGCCTTGAGCAAAAGGCAGAGATTAATTCAGTACAGATTGTGAGGACAAGAGCCACAGAGACACATATGTGAATCCAGGCTGCTCTGTAACCAAGACAACTTCCTTTGTAAAGTTATCATTATCCATTTAGTGAAGACAAAGTGGCAATTAGTACCAGGACGCAGCTTGCAATCTTTGAAGTCTGTATTTCTAAAGGACCTATACATTCTTCTTAGGAAGAAGGGACTATCATTTCTTTCTGTCATCTTCATAAATTTCTAGGTACACATCTGGAGAATGTGGGAACTTCCTGATCAGAATGAGCCAGCTAGGCAAGCAGACCCCTGAAGAGATGCTCACACCTTCTTTACCAGGGCTCTGCTCTCTGCACTTACCTTCATTCAGCAGCAAGGGGCAAGTGTTTTGGAGAGTGACCATTTCATCAAACATCTTTCTGTTGACTGTAAGCTCTGTTATTGCCTCTCAGAAGAACACCTGAGCTCCAACCCAAAGGGTCAATGCTACAGCCCTGAGTATTGCTTATGGTTATCATTTCCTTTTCATATTCTCCAAGCAGAGCCCCAATATTTTTTATAAGACTTAATCCATTTAATAATACTAACTGAAATATATCCAGTATGTACAACAAATGAAGAATGTGCCAACCAGTGTGCTAGGGCACTCTTATCCAAAGGGTCTATCCCCATGGAGGATCTTGGTGTCCCAAATAGTGTGAAAGGAAGTTCTTGGCGCTGCTACAGATGGATGACTGCAGAGGCCTGTTTAAGGAAAAAGTCTGTTTAAGGAAAAGCTATAGGGGCCTCTGTGTTCAGTGGCCCTGGCACACTTCACTTTCAGGATTCAATTAAACAAGTCCTAGGGCAGTGTCAGCCATTAGGTTTGCTACTCTGGGGTAATAGCAGGAGATTAGAAAGGGAGGTAGGAAGGGAGATCTGAACAGTGTTCTGGGGTCATCACAAAGCAGCAGCCCGAGTTATGTGCCAAGACAACATTCTGAGATGCTGCCTTCAGGAAAGCAAAGTAAGGCTGGTCAAACCCAGTAGTAAAGGGCAATGAAGTATGTGAAGAAAGCCCCAGGCTTCATGTTGATAGAGCTGGCCAATTTACTTTCTAAATAGGCCAAGTTTTTCTGCCCCTAGAAAAATCAGTTGTTCATAACAAAATCTGATTAAATTATCAGTGTTTTATGATCAGTATGGGGATTTAGAATTACACATAGGTAAAATGTGTTGGTAAATGGGATGTGTTAAGAGACAAAAAGGTCTTGAAAGAAAAAGCATTTGTGGGCTCAGAAATTGTTTTATGTCAGCTGGGCATGGTGGCTCACGCCTGTAATCCCAGCACTTTAGGAGGCCTAGGTGGGTGGATCACCTGAGGTCAGGAGGTTGAGACCAGCCTGGCTAACAAGATGAAACCTCATCTCTACTAAAAACACAAAAATTAGCCGGACATGGTGGCAGGAGCCTGTAATCCCAGCTACTCAGGAGGCTGAGGCAGGAGAATCACTTGAACCCGGGAGGCGGAAGTTGCAGTGAGCTAAGATGGCACCACTGCACTCCAGCCTGCAGTTTCACTGCAACAAGAGTGAAACTCCTCTCAAAAACAAAAAAGAAAAGAAAAAGAAATTATTTTTTGTCATTCCCATTTAAGAAGTAAGATCTAAAGAATATTTCCAAAGGAAAAGAAAATAACAATAGAAGGGTTTTTTTGTTCATTTTGTTTTTTATTCTTACTTTCATCCTTTTGCCAAGTCAAATTTTAAAGACTTTATCAGAAAAATCATAACAAATTGAAGCAAATTCTGACCACAGTTCTAAATATATATATTTAGGCCCAAGTGACCCACCTCAGCCACCTAAGTAGCTGGGACTACAGGCACATGCCACCACGCCCTGCTAATTTTTGTATTTTTTGTAGAGACAGGGTTTCATCATGTTGCTCAGGCTGGTCTCAAACTCCTGAGCTCAAGTGATCCACCCTCCTCAGCCTCCCAAAGTGCTGGGATTACAGGCATGAACCACCACTCCCAGCCAGAGGAGGTATTTTTAAAATCCATTCTCATGGATGTATAAGGACTTTAATTCAACACTCAATAAATATTTCCTTTCCAATCCCGGTGGACACACAGATAAGGATTGGGAAGGAAAAATCTAAAATCGTGCAATTGATGACATAGGCTTTGACTAATTTAGGTCTTGGGATTTGGAAGACCAGATAGTTTACTTAGACTCCAACTAAAGAATGTCCACGGCTCTCCCAGCATCACCCAGTGTGATAGTTCCATTAGATTACACTTTATCTGTAACATGATACTTTTATATCCTAGCAGAAAAGTGCATTTCTGAGCTCATATTTGTTTTTGCTAACCTGCCTGTTCCTAAGCAGCCAGTGCACTATCCCCAGAGCTCCATATGTCTCTTTAGATCTGAATGTGAGGCCCCTAGAACAAAAGAAAAAAAAGAAAAAAAATTTCAATAATGATTTTTGATGCTGTTATTCAAAGTACTAGTATGTCTTTCGAAAAGAGCTACAAGGATATTAGGGATTAGGGATTCACAAGGGAACACATTATAGAAATGATAAAAACTTGAAAAAACTTTTTTGTAAAGCTCTTCGTTGTGTAATTTTTGACTCCTATCATTGCTGAGGATAACCTGGCTTGTTCTAAGCCACACAACTTGCCATGCCCAGGTAATATAAATTATTTCCTTCTAAGGCAGTTGTATTTAATCTGATAAATAGCAAGTGACTCTGAAGTCTGGGAAAATTCAAAGTTCACTGCCTTATTTCCTGATGCCCAGAAATACAAGTTCCCAGCTCTGTGGCTCTCCAAATGAACAAAGGAAAAGGAAATAACAATAGAAGTGTTTTTTTTGTTTGTTTCATTTTGTTTTGTCTTTTATTCTTACCTTCAATCTTTTGCCGGGTCAAATTTTAAAAACTTTGCCACAAAAATCACAACAGATTGAAGGAAATTCTGCCCACGGTTATAAATGATTAAAAAACCAATTTCTTTTTTTGTTTCTGAAGAGAACATGATATCAAAGTTTTGTGTATTTGTGTTCTCTCTCTAAGCCTAAGACTTGGAAAATATGAGTTAATAATAATATATAATATTTTTTCAGCTCTGTCCTCCATCTGCCCCTTCTTTAAAGAGGCATTAAAAAGGCATCCTAGTAATCCCAGCACTTTGGGAGGCCGAGGCGGGCGGATCAAGAGGTCAGGAGATCGAGACCATCCTGGCTAACATGGTGAAACCCCGTCTCTACTAAAAACACAAAAATTTAGCCGGCGTGGTTACAGGCGCCTGTAGTCCCAGCTACTCGGGAGGCTGAGGCAGGAGAATGGCCTGAACTGGTAAGACGGAGGGGTTGCAGTGAGCCGAGATCGCGCCACTGCCACTCCAGCCTGGGCAACAGAGCGAGACTCTGTCTCAAAAAAAAAAAAAAAAAAAAAAGGCATCCTTTTCTATAAATCATACCTGTGCCTATTTTTCTGTGAACTATTTATATCCTTTGCCCATTTTTCTATACCTTTTTTCGCCCAGGCTGGAGTGCAATGGTGCAATCTCAGCTCACTGCAACCTCTGCCTCCTGGGTTCAAGCGATTCTCTTGCCTCAGCCTCCTGAGTAGCTGGGATTACAGGCGCCCGCCATTGTGCCCAGCTAATTTTTGTATTTTTAGTAGAGACGGGTTTCACCATGTTGGCCAGGCTGGTCTAGAATTCCTGACCTCGTGATCCACCCACCTTGGCATCCCAAAGTGCTGGGATTACACCGCGCCCAGCCTAACACTTTTTTGTTTTTGAAACCGGCATTCATCCCCCTCTCCCTAATTAAGTCCTCTTTTACATCATGAAAGTTGGAAGCTGGAAATTACGATTTAGTAGACTTCCTTTCTTCCCTCTGGATGCAATTTACATTGTATGAGTAAAAGGCATGCCTGCAAGATTTTGGAAGGTGTTGAATTTCCTTTGCCTAATTTCTTTATTATTTCTCCAGAATTCTTTTCAACTTTTAACAGAAATAAATTTCTTTTCATTGTAATATTTCACTGTAATCTTTTGATTACAGTGTCTAGTCTGTATCATTTATTTCTGTATCATAGTCATTTATGCTCCTTCCAATTATTCCTTCTTTCTTTCTTTTTTTTTTTTGAGACAGAGTTTCGCTCTTGTTGCCCAGGCTGGAGTGCAATGGCGCAGTCTCAGCTCACCACAACCTCTGCCTCCCAGGTTCAAGCCATTCTCCTGCCTTAGCCCCCTGAGTAGTTGGGATTACAGGCATACGCCACCACGCCTGGATAATTTTTTGTATTTTTAGTAGAGACGGGGTTTCTCCATGTTGGTCAGGCTGGTCTTGAACTTCCGACCTCAGGTGATCTGCCCGCCTCAGCCTCCCAAAGTGCTGAGACTACAGGCGTGAGCCACCATGCCCGGCCAATTATGCCTTATTTTTATGATTTTTTTTTCTTCTAATACTCTGCTGGTTTCACCAGCTCACCAGTTTTTATCTCTTTCTGTTGCTTTGCCATCTTGTCCATGAGTTCTTGCATTTTTGCTTTCTGGCCTTCATTTTGAGTGGCAAATACTTATTAATTTTTTAAGTCCATGAATAGCTTCCTCTCCTTGTTATTTCTCTTCATTTAATCAATGAAATTTCATGTTTCACTTATATATTTTTCTGTCAGAACAGAGCTTTATTATGCAGGCAATCCCTGCAACACACAGCAGTACATGAAAATAGATGGGACAAGAAGGCTTCTTTTTCTTTCTTTTTTTCTTTTTTTTTTTTTTTTTTTTTGAGACAGGATCTTGCTCCATTGCCCAGGTTTGGAGTGCAGTGGTGTGATCTCGGCTCACCACAGCCTCCCTCCTGGGCTCAAGCGATCTTCCCACCTCAGCCTCCTGAGTAGCTGGTACTATAGGCATGTGACACCACACTTAGCTAACTTTTAAAAAATTTTTGGTAGAGACAAAGTCTCTCTATGTTGCTCAGGCTGGTCTTGAACTCCTGAACTCAAGTTATCCTTTTGCCTTGGCCTCCCAAAGTGCTGGGATTATAGGCGTGAACAACCGCACCTGGCCAAGAAGGTTTCCTTGTTAATGGAAAGATAGGGTTTGACAAATATTAATAAAAAATAAGCTTATGCTTTATGGGATTTTTACTACTGAGAACCTGTATATGAAAGAGGATTGTAATATATGAAAGCAATGTGAAAGATGTCCTTGTAGGGGTGTAAGGATTGTGGCCTTTGGAGAGAACTTATATCAGCACATTCAGTGTGGTTATAGGATAGCTGGGGATCTGTGAGGCCTGAATTCTGAGGTCATACCAACCCAAGTTCCTGCATACATGCTCAGGGAAAGATGCAGTGATATTTATGGATAAGATGGATCCATGAATTCTTGATATCCTTTTTTAAACAAATCTTAACATAAACTTTATAACCATACTTAGCTCATATTTTAGTTATTCACTGAAATGCTTGGGAAAGGAATATGTTACCTCGACACCTACCATGAAAGGAAGTATCCTCATGGATGTGCCAGGTATTCCTCTACAGATATCTCATAGTTTATGTGATCTACTCAACAGCTTAAAAAGCTGTGGACATCTCCAGTTAATGATACGCATGCTCAAGTATTTTGGGGGATGTGTACTGATGTCTGTAATTTACTTTTCTAACTGAAGTTGAAAGCATGATTGATGGCATGGTATGGCTCTAAGAGCATGAAGAAATGAGTGGTGCTGATACAGAGAAGAGAAAGAGATTACTTATGATCATTTTGACTTTTGAAGTCCTATCTATGAGGCTTCATAATTGTGATCAGTGCATTGGTTTCCTAGGGCTGCCATAACAAAGTCCGGCAAACTTGGTGGCTTAAAACAACAGAAATGTATTCTCTCACATTTCTAGAAGCTAGAAGTACAAAATTAAATTGTCTCTCTGAGGGAGAGTCTGTTCCATGCCTGTCTCCAAACGTTCAGTGGTTGCCAGCAACCCTTGGCATCCCCTGGCTTGTAGATGCATCACTCTAGTATCTACCTCCCTTGTTACATGGTGTTCTTCGCTGTGTGTCTGTGTCTCTGTTCTTTATTCTTATAAGATGTTAGTCCTATTGGATAAGCAGTCTATGCTACTTCAGAGTAGATGAACTCAAGATGGTGTTACACAAGAAGCCAAAATGGAGCAAGTGGCTAATAAGAGACCCATCAGGACAGTGCCACTTGACCTTATTGAAACAATCCATTTGAGTTGCTACACTTGAACAGTCTCCAGAAATCTCCTATTTGAAGTTGACTTCTAGCATCCAGACTTACTATGTATGATAAGAGACCAAAATTTAGTGTGTTGGAGTTTATGCAACTCAAGTATTGGATGCCCAAGTAGGGGATCCAGTGCTGGATACCCACTTTGGAGGTTTTGTATATGACTCAAACTTGGACAACTCCCTGGGGAATTTCACAAGAAGATTGCTTGGAAGGTAGTTTTTTGGATTTCAAAATAGTAATAGGAGAATGGTCTTAACAGCATTTCCACTGAGAGTGGCTCCCTTTGATACTGTTCCCATCATCCTGAAAGGGGTCCTGGCCAGGAGCACTTTATATTGGACATTCAAGTTAGAATAACCCAGCCTTTTAACTAAGCAAGTCAATCAGGCAGCTTTGAGAAAAAGACAGGGTAGAGAGAAATCATCCAGCTGTTGTGACTGACTCCTCCATTTTTACCTTCTGGAATTAAATATACTAAGCCCTTAATCTGGGAGTATTGTAAATGCCATGAAATCAACAACTACATAGCAATTGCTTTCACTTCTACAATTTTCCTCAGTACTTTATAATGAAAAGCTTTAAGCATACAGCAAAGTTGGAAGAATTTTTGAGTGACTATCACCTAGGTTCTGCCATTAACATTTCAGTATACTTGCTTTCTCATATATCTATCCATTGATTCAACCCTCTATTCACCTATCAACCCATCTTATTTTTATGTACTTCAAAGTAAGTTACAGATATCAGTACACATCCCCCAAAATACTTGAGCATGCATATCATTAGCTGGAGATGTCCACAGCTTTTTAAGACTGTCTCTCCCCACCCCCCCAAAAAAAATTATTCAACATGAATGTAAAATATACAAAAAGCTCATAAGATGCCAAAAAGGTATAGAAAAGTGGGCAAAGGACATAAATAGTTCACAGAAAAATAGGCACAGTTATGATTTATAGAAAAGGATGCCTTTTTTTTTTTTTTGAGCCAGAGTCTTGCTCTGTCGCCCAGGCTGGAGTGCAGTGGCGCGATCTCGGCTCATTGCAAGCTCCACCTCCCTGGTTTGGGCCATTCTCCTGCCTCAGCCTCTTGAGTAGCTGGGACTACAGGTGCCTGTAACCATACGTGGCTAATTTTTTGTATTTTTGGTAGAGACGGGGTTTCACCGTGTTAGCCAGGATAGTCTCGATCTCCTGACCTCTTGATCTGCCTGCCTCGGCCTCCCAAAGTGCTGGGATTACAGGCGTGAGCCACCGCTCCCGGCCCAGAAAAGGATGCCTTTTTAATGCCTCTTTAAAGAAAGGGGCAGATGGAGGACAGAGTTGAAAGAATATTATATATTATTATTATTGGTAGAAAGGATATTTTATGGTTGAATTATATAAATATATTGCCTAGTCAAAAATAAATAATTTTATCTAAGAAGACTAGAGGAGGAAGAGAACTTGACAGAAGTTTGGTGAAATCCTACAAAGGCAGATCAAAGGCTTGAGAATCAACCTTATGAGGAATGAGGAGTCTGTGTTATTCGAGTCAGAAAAGGGAAAGTTGAGAGCTGACAAAATAGAACTTCGATATACAAGGTAAGTGCTAGCCATGTGCCATCTTCCCTGAAAACAGAAGGCAGAAGAGATAAAATAAGAATGATTGAGCTTGAATATTTATTTAATACTGTAAATGTGGAACTAGGTTAGCAAAAGAATATATAGGACTTGCCTTCTCTGAATCCAGCCACTTCTCCTTACTCTGTGGGGTGTTTGACAACACCTATTGCCATGAAATATAGAACTCCAAGTTCACTTGCTTTAATACCCTTCACTGACTTTTGTCGGAGTCCAGTTGCTTTAGAACAGAGTACAAAGCCCTTCAAAATCTGCACCTGCCTGTCTTTTAACCTAGGGGTATTGATAGGCTCTTTTTTGCTTTCTTCTTTTCACACAATGCAGACTCACTTTGGGCTGGCGTAACTTCCCGTTTTCAAAACCTACAGTGCATTTTCATGTCTCTGTGCCTTCGCTGATGCTGGTCTCTCTCCCTAGAATATCCTTCTACTTATCTTCCTAGAGAGTCCCCCTCACTCTCGAGACCCAGCAAGGAACACCTCTGTGAAACATTTTTGGAACCCTTCCTAATTGCCACATAATTTATTGTGCCCTCCTATGCCTTCCCATGCCATCTGCCCATATCTCTGTACTATTGGAATAGAGGCTTGGTACTTCATTAAATTTTCACAGATGTCAGGTGTTACTTATTTTCTTATCTTTAGAAATCAATATGGTGGCCCACAGCTAGCATAGTACCTGGCCTCAAGTTATGGCGACTGCTTGAAGAATGAGGTGTAAGCAACATGGTTGGGAATGAGAAAATCCAGACTCTTATTCTGTGCTTATGTATTTCAAACACATTCAGAAAATAAAATGATTACTAGTCTGTTCTCCTATGTTTACATCTTCAGAGACAGGATCCAAGGCAATCTCTGGAGTGTACTGAACAGATCTTAAGTACATAAGAATATATTCAATTTCAAAAGATGCACAATGGCCCTGCTAGCAATTGTATAATAACTGCAGAGTGCAGAATATTAATGTGAAAAAGCATGCTTTGAAAATGAAGCACCATCAATTCTCCATCATACTTAAAGATGACAATTTGAGCATGTATTCCTGATTACACATGTATTTAAAACTTCCAAACTTAATTTGCTACTCATTTATTTTAGCATTTTGGTTTATTTCCTCAAGAAGAAAAAACCCACAAATGTTTCTACTTTGACCACATCACAGTGACTTCCACATCTCCAATCATAAAATACATAGGAATAGGACCTCTTTACGAAGGCTTGGTTTTGGAACAGGATCTTCTTTTTTTTAGGAAAAAAATGCCAGAAAAATATTTTTTAATTTATGCTTCATCAAAAATTTTCTATTATCAAATTTAATCTCAGGTTTATATTTTATATCCAAAGACTTTTTCAAACATGTGAGTCCTTATGAAACCATTTCTTTTATTGTAATTGGGAATTATCAGGAAATTGAATCAACCAGAAATATCTATGCCTTCTTGCATTCCCATTTCATATCGAATCTATATAAGTTGAATGAAACTCCTCTGAAGTTAGGCCAAGCTGGGATGAAGTTCCAATCCAGTCATAACTGTTGGACCTGCAGCAAGTACTCATCCTTGCCAAACCTTTGTTTTCTCACCTATAAAAGAGGAATAACAATGATGGGCCCTACAGAGTTTTGAATTATGAATAACATAGACATTGGTAGCACACAGTACCTGGCACATAATAGGTTCTCAGTAAGTTTCATTTATTTATATCACGGTTCCATCTGCCAATTAACATTTTCCTTGTCCTATTGCTGTTTCTTTAGTCTGGATCACCCTTATACATTCCTACCCTTACCTACCAGGCAAACTCATCTGGGAACTTTTACACTAGTGTTAACTCCCCTAAGAAAACTTCCTGATTCCCTCTCACCTTTCCAGGCCAGGTAGTCACCCTTGCATGTTTCCCTTAACATTCTGGGGTTACTGCTGTCATTGCCCCTCTTACACTGCATCAAGATGGTTATTTACGTATCTGTCTCCCCTACTTTGGTGTAAGTTTCTTGTAAAGAGAGCTTGGGTCTTGATCTGTGTTATTTTTGTAGCTTTATTTCTAGCACCATATCTGCATTTAGAAGGGAAATAAATATAAGGGATCCTAAAATACTTTAGTCCAGACAATTAAAATTAAAAGACACTATAGGTGTTAAAGAGATACCTGCAGACCCATGTTCATTATAACATTATTCACAATAGCCAAGCTACATGCTATAGTTTCAATGTTTAAAATTTGTATGTTGAAATGTAATCGCCAATGTGATAGTCGCCTGTAGTCCCAGCTACTCGGGAGGCTGAGGCAGGAGAATGGTGTGAACCCGGGAGGTGGAGCTTACAGTGAGCCAAGACCATGCCACTGCACTCCAACCTGGGTGACAGAGTGAGACTCCATCTCAAAAAAAAAAGAAAAAAAGAGGTGAGGCCTTTAAGAGGTGATTAAGAAGTCAAGAGGGCAGAGCTCTCACAAATGGGATTAATGACTTGATAAAAGAGGTGCTAGGGAGCAGTTTTCCTCTCCTTTGCCCTCATGTCCTTTTCATCATGTAAAGACACAGCATTCATTCCCTCTGGAGGATGCAGCAACAAGGCACCATCTTGGAAGCAGAGAGCAGCCATCACCAATGTCTTGATCTTGGACTTGTGGCATTTTATTATAGCAGCAAAAATGGACTAAGAAAACATGGAAGTAACCTAAATGTCCATTGACAGATAAATGGGTAAAGAAAATGTGATATACATATACAATGAAATATTATTCAGGCTTAAAAAATAAGAAAATCCTACGATTTATGAAAACATGAATGAACCTGAAGGACATTATGTTAAGTGAAATAAGGCAGATACAGAAGGCCAAATACTACATCATATCACTAGCTGATGAATCTAAAATAGTAAAACTCATAGAAGCAGAGCTCTTTATTCACTCATCTGTCAATGGACATTAGGTTGCTTTTGTGTTGTCTTAGTCCATTTGTGCTCCTATAATAAAATATCATGGTCTGGGCAATTTGTAAACAATAGAAATTTATTTTTCACAGTTCAGGAGGATGGGAAGTCCAAGATCAAGGCACTGGATCCAAGAAGGGTGGTTGTTAGTCGCTGAGAGAGGAGGGGAAACAGGGAGGTATTGGTTAAAGGGTACAAAGTTTTGTTTATATAAGATGAAATCCTAGAGATCTACTATCCAGCACCATGCCAATAGTTAATAATACTGTATTTTATACTTAAAAATTTGCTAAAAGACTAGATCTTATGTTAAGTGTTCATGTCACACACACAAATAATTATAAATAAAAGTAATGGGAGGACACTTTTGGGGGTAAGGTATAGATTGATGGCATAGATTGTAGTCATGGGCATAGGCTTATCTCCAAATTCATCAAGTTGTATATATTAAATGCGTGTAGCTTTTTGTATGTCAGTAATAGCTCAAAAAACTGAGAGAGAAAATTTCTAACATTCCAAATATATTATATTTTTAAAATCTTGAGGTAGTCATAAACTTTCTCAAAAAAGAAAAGGGTCATGCTTTTTTGTTAATCCAAAGAACCTCAGATTCTGAGTGTATTGTTTTCATGTAAGTATAATAAAATGGTAACTCTGCCAGAAGCAAATTCAAGTATAAAATGAACAATGTCCATAATGTATATCCATGATGTCCAAAGTCTGTAACAATGTCTCAACAAATATACAGATGAATAAATAATGTATGAGAGATCTTTAGTTTTAGGTGAAAGTTTGGGAGAAAGTTTTGAAAAGTTCAGTGATGAGTGTTTCTAAGCTGATTCTGTGTAATTCTCTGATGAACTATGTTTGGGAGTGGAGTAGTACTGATTCCAGAAATGGGGCTGGGAATGTGCAAGAGTTCTCAATATCGCCCCTTTCAAATTTCTCTTCACACACAAATGTTTCACCATTTAAGATTAATTAACAAAATCATCTTTCAAAATGGGAAATACCACTGGGGGATGAAGGGAGAAGTAAAACAATAATTTAAATCCTGTAATAATTAGTGTTACACTAGCTAAGGTCAGAGTCAATCTTAATAGAGGAGAGAAAATCTGAGGCTGAAAGCTCAGACCTGTACACTTATTCTTTACACTTTTGGTGCAAAATGGTATATCCAGATTTTGTAATTGCCAGAATCTAGAGAGGTGCTTCACTTCAAAAGTCAGGAAAATCTGGCTTTCAAACCAAAGGCATGCAGAAGCCTAAAAGAACTTATATATATATTTTTAACAGCAAGTACACAGAGAAAACACTTTTATTTATAATTACTCTGTATTATCTAAGGAAGGAAGATTCTGGTAAATGAACGATTTGATTTGCCATGAACAAATGAAGTCACTAACTGGCTGTCTTTTATAGACGGTTTTAAGAAATGAATGTGGGGAGCCCCAGCTGGAGGAGTCTGTACCACATCCTATAGTTCTATCTAAAAATGGAGATATAGAAGGAGGAAAGGCTGGAGAAAGGAGATGGAAGTGAAGCAGAGACTCAGCCCCCTGCTGTAATGAAAGACAAGATAATATATTGTCTTCACATGGGGAGGAGGTAAAAGGCTCCGAGCTCTGTGAAATAAACCAACTCCTCCCACCAAGCCTCCAGTGAAATATCTATTTCTCATCAATGCTTGATGGAGAGGCTTTTTGTGGGGGGGAATAAGGAGACCCTCTTAGTTCTGAATGAGATAAGACAAAAACTGTCCATAGCTCCCCGCATCGGTCTCACACAGTAATTTTAGTATTTTGGTTTGGTTTAAACCCCAAAGTGGACAAACCAATTTCACTATCAACAGAGCGAGAAAAAAAAAAGACAAACTAACCCCAACCACCATGGGCTGTACATACTGCAAGGTTTTGCTTTTGGTAACTGGTCAAAAAGAGGGTTAATTTGGGTTAATAATGATTAAACTCTTTAGAAATCTTTGAAATAGAGTTTAACCTGCCATGTTGTCACAATCTAAACTGGAACAGCTATACTGACAGAGTTGTAAATATTTCCCTTTGAAATCACAACAGTCCAGTATAGACTGTCTCTAGTAAAATCCTCCCTCCTGGCTGATTAAGTCAGTTGCTATGGTAACAGAGTTAGCCGCAGCAAGTACCAGAAAATCATTTTTCATCCCCAGCATGATGCCTCCCCCTTTCACAAAATAATGCCAACACTCAGACAGGCAAAATAACAGAAAAGAAAAGCCCTAATTGTGGACACTCTAGAAGTCACAGTCTTTCACTTGCTCCACTAATCCATCTCCCCCACATCACCCCATCACCTGATGCTTACCCAGAAAATTGTTTTAATTCATCCTGCCCTGCACCCTATTACAAATCTCCCTTCTCTTTGGACTGGTTTTTATAGTTATAGTGTCATTCTATAGTCCCCCGCAGATGTTCATAGGCAGCCAGGAGTCAGATCAGTCTCAACATCCTTCCTAAGGTCCCATTCATCCACACTCCAATTACAAACACATTCTGCAGGATCCTTACCTGAGAAGGTAAATGCGCCATCATCCCCTCCAAAGTGACTCTCCTTTCTAAGTTTCTTATTCCATCCCATGATGGGGCTACTTTCCTAAATATCCCTGATTCATAATTCTGGTGTAACTTTACTTCCCCATCTCTTTGGTTCCACAGGTCCCACCAGCTGCTAAGTTATTCAGATACTTCTTTGTCATGTTGCTTGATTTCAATCCTTCCTCTGCCCTCCCTCACAACTTTTCAAATTCAGAAACTGCTTGACCTATCTTTGTGACCAGCCTCTCTGTTGGCATCATACTCTCTCATTTTCCCTCACTGTCTTATTTTAATGTGGAGATCCAAAAATATTTTTCTTTTCTCAATGTTTAAAAAGAGAGCATTCCTTGTAGGACAAAACCTGCCCATATTGAGGAAATGAATGGTGAAATAAGCTGCTGTGGGGCAAAAGCTCGGTCTGAAGGGCCTGAAATTAGGTGGAACTGATGCTACAGTAGGGGAGGGGAAGAATTTGTCTGTTACAACAGCAAATGGGGAAGGAAGAGGGAGACAGAAAGATGGGAACTCCAAACCTTTAGTGAAGTGAGCAGAGTCACAAAATGTCTAGTTAAAGTGGGTTTTATTTTTTTTCTTTAGTGTATTTCGTAGGTTTTGAGTGTGTGAATGTGTGGCAACTAGTAAAAGTACTGTGCTTATCACCTGGATTGATATGGGCAAGACTTGGGTAGCCAGTTTTCACTGTTAGGCAGACAAAGGAGTTAAGAAAAACACATGAAGAAGTCAGATATTCTCAAAATCTTAGAAGGGCTCTGGATTCTCATTTGCCACATGTTCAAGTATTTGATGTATGTTTACATAAATCCCCGAGGAATAGAAGACCCCTGCTGATGCCTAGCTTCCCTTTTACTGAATTTATGTAATTTTATAGGCTGCTTTTAATCCTTTCTGGAGTGAGATCATAAAAGTAAATAAATAAAGAATTTTAAAATAATGTGGAAAAGGGCGCTGCTTATAAGTTGTGATTATAACCTTATCAAAACTATTCATTGGGAAAAAATAACAGGAAATATGTCAAAATGATCAACTATGTTTGGTAGTGGGATTATGAGTAATTTTTTTTTCAAACATTCTGTAATATGATTAAATTACTTTAGTTTTAAATTTTAAAAAGGTAACTATGAAGGCTATTTATCAACATGAGGAGTTGATCATGATAGAACGTTAAGATTAAAAATTATAACAAAAGTAGTACTTCAGTATGTCTGCAATAATGTAAAATAAAAATGCATGTAGACAGGAGGTGGAAGGGATCTTAAAAGTTGTCACAGTTTGATTTTTTTCTAGGAGGCAGATTCTAAGACAGAGTTGGATTCAGGATGTTTATCAGGAAATACCCTTAGGATCAAGACCTGTAGAAAGAAGAAAGAGGAATCAGGAATGGGCAGAGGGGGGAGTCTAGATGAACTGGCCCATTTAGAGTTGTCCCACATTGGGCCAGAATACCTGGTCTGTATACCCCCAATCAGTGATTGGATGTTGGCCACCGAGGGAGAAGGCGAGCCTGGGAGAGTCAGTTCTCTCCCCCGAGGGGCTGCCAGCTGAAAGGTGTCTCATAACAACACTCTTAGGAGCTAAGGCAACAGGTCCTTCCCTGAAGGTAGATCTGAGTCACACATGTCCATATTCAGGACAAAATTAAAACATTTTGTATAGAATGGTAGGCTAAAATGTCAATTTTTTTTTGTAAAAATCATTTTTAATATTGCTACATCATCTTTTAATAGCTATAAAATGAGGATTTTCAGCTGAGGCAGGTGAATTGCTTGGATCCGGGAGGTGGAGGTTGCAGTGAACTGAGATCATGCTTCTGCACTCCAGCCTGGCAAGAGAGCAAGACTCCGTCTCAAAAAAAAAAAAGAAGATTTTCATAGTATTACTCTCATAGCACTGTTGTGAAGATTAAAAAGATAATAATTGTAAAGCACAATGCTTGACACAAAGTGTACAATATTATTACTGTTCATTGTTTTAACATTTGCCAAGTTATACTACCCTGAGGAGTTAGTGCTCTTCTTATAACTAGTCAGTGCCAAATCACTTTTTTTTTTTTGCACCTGCCCCTTATATTTCTGCTTCCTGGCATTGAAAATGATGTAAGGATGTGATGCGGGAATTGTGCTATCTTGTGAACATACAATGACAACCAAGGGGACAATAGGCCAACACTGAGAATGGTGAAGCAAAGGAATAAAGATCTATGATTGGCATCTTGGAGGTACCAAACAACCATGATGCCATCTATACCACTCTAGACTGCTCATTAAATAAATAATAAATATCCTTATGACTTAAGCTACTTTTAGTTGGGCTTTGTTACTTAAAGCTAAAAACATTCCTAACTAATATGTAGGGAAACAGAAATAGACGAAAGATTGGGAGGAAAAAATGCATAAAATTTATAAGCTGGCATGAGCTCTGTAAATTAGTAGAATTGTGTGATATGGGAACATAATAAATGTCACTTAATGATAAGGTTACTTCTGACTGTGTCTGTTTCAAGTTTATCCATGATTTAATTTTCTGAATACCTCCCTTCCCATGATACAAAACAAATTAATCCCCACTTTGCCTCTAAGCCATATAGAGAGGGTGTGTGGGAAAGAGAAAGGATGCTAATGAGATTTTCTGTTTATTGGTATACACCAGTGTGGCCATTAACAACAACAACAACAACAGCAACAAACCCTTCATTTAGTAAAATGCAGCTGCTAGAACTTTTGTAAAAAGACCTGCATCCTGAAAATTCCCAGTTGTACCTACAGTAAGTAGTTCCTAAATGTGAGCCATTTATCCTCTTTATTATTCAGCAGCTATGGTGCCTGTGGAGTTGGAAAGACACTTTAATTTCCATTTCTTAGGAAAGCTGTATGGACATAACACACCTGATGACTGGTATAGCTCACAGGGGGAAGACATTTAGGAACCACGGGCAAAAGCCACTTTCCAGAATATTCCCAATAAATGTGAAGTGGAGAAAAGAGTAGACTTTAGTGCGTCCCAGATTTTTATTCTTCACCCTCACCGTCTAAGTGATGCTGCTTATCCAAGGTAAATTTCAAATTTTTATATTATCCACCTCATATATTTAAAAAGCTACAGAAATAATTTCCTGAATTATTTTTGAAGAGTTTCAAGAACTGTCAAGTTTTGAACTGGAACACTATGAAAAATGAGACTGAGTGTCTGAGTTGGCTTTTAAGAATAAGGTGAATCTGTTCCAAAAGAGATGGATAAAATGATCTACACCCAGGTCTATTGATCACGGGCACTAATACACATAGGGAAGATGGCAATTATTTAGCAAGATATTTCCCCAGATTGGTGGCACATTTTTTATTTACTTATACCCTAAATCCTGTTCTGTTATGGCTCTTAACTTTAAATGGATGACTGCAAGTGTGTCCCAGTGAGATGATTTCTCAGTTCATGGTTGAATTCCACAGGACTAACAGAAAAGCTCCCTGCCATTCTCTGCTGGAGTTGTGCTTCTCTTCCAGATCGCAACACTTTCCAGTTCTGACACACTGGTATATCCTTCCAGACCTGTCTCTTGGATGCTCACAAGCTTGAGCATTTATCTTTGACCCATCAAAAGTCATGCAAAAGCCCATGCATATAATGCCTGTGTAGCCTGACTCTACTCTCAGGATCTGTTTGCTGCTTTATCTCAGCACATTAGGTGAATCCTGAACTGTGAGGACAGGCACTGAAGCAGCTGGCAAGTCAGGTGCCACAAAGCCTCCATCAGGACCAAGTGCTTATATGCCCAACCAGCTCTCACTTCTTTTGTTCATGCTTCCCTCAAGCCCTCTGCTCATCAGAAATGACTCAGAAATACCCAGTATGAAACACAAGTTAAGCAAGCAAAGTCCTTAGCTTCAGGGTGCCTACAGGGCCCTAAATCAGACTAAGTGATCAGAGGTCACAAAAAGGCCGACATAGCACAATCATGAAACTCTGAACAGATGCATCAAATGTATAATGGACTTTTTAACCTCAAGCCAAAGAAATTGGCATAGAAAGAACCAATTTTAATGGATGAGAAAAAGAACTACTTGGCAGAGAGATTAAATTATTCCCTCTTATTCATACATTGCATGACTTGGTAGCAGAAACAAAGCTATTGAAAATTTTCTCCTAGATTAGAGACTATTCCTAGAGTTATCTTTTTAGTCTAAATAAGGGTAACACAATGTTGGGCAGTGTTTTCCAAAATGTAGGATGAAAGCCCTTTTGCCCAGAATTACCAGGAGAGTGCTTGTTTAAAACCCACTTGTTCTGACACCATCCTAGACCTTAATCAGAATCTCTGGGGGATAGGAATGCTAGGAGTGTGTATTTTAACCAGACCCCAGATGATTGTTATGTGTCCTCAAATTTGAGACCTATAGATATAGGGAAATGAAATTTTACTAACATCATCTCCATTTCCCAAATGTGCCTAGAGCCCTGAGGCTCTTGTTAAACAGAGTCCTGGGCCCCTCCTCTGGAGATGCAGTTTCAGTAGGTCTGAGTCAGGGCCCTGGAATCTGTATGTTCCATAAAAGCCCCAGGTGATTGTTATGATGGGCAAGTTTGGGTAATTCTGATACAAGATGATTGATTAGAGCATATCTCAGTTATACTTCATAAAAATAAAGCTGACATTTATTGAGTCCTTACAACTAAACACTCTGTTGAATGTTTTATGGTGTTAGCTCACCTCAAACAATCTTATGAGGTAGGTAGTTTTATGACCCTTATTTTTTAGAATAGGAAGATAAAACTTTGCAAAAGTAACTCAAGGTCACATATCTAGTAAGTAGTGGAGACAGAATTTGAACTCAAGGCCTAGGAATCTAGGATTCCTGTTCATTCCCATGGGACTATCCTGTGTATCTTTATGTATCAGACAACTGTCAGAACTGAGTCACTCTACCTTAGATTTTCTACTGTATTTATACCTGTCGATTTTCATTTTCTTGGTTTTGCAATTTTTTGAAACAAGGCTTAATACTCCAGGTCATAAAGCCTATTCCTCTCTGTTTTACTAAGTGTTTTTCTAACCAAAGCCTTATTTTTTGATTTTTATTAAAAATTTTTTCTCTGTGTACAATATAATACCAAATTCACTTCTTTGTGGGAACACTGGAAATTTCTGTACTATTAGCTTCTCCTTCAGTGATCTCGTTGACTGCTTCTATGTCACAGCACAGAACTCAGGATTATGACTGCCAAGGGACTAAAATGGATGCCACAAAATCTCCCGCTTAGCAGCTGGAACAAAAAAGCTTTGATCTTAGGTGTTCCTGATGATTTTTTAAAACTATGTCTATTGTTTGCACATAAACCTGAGTCAGACTGATCTCCTGAGCCATGAGCTAATTTTGAAATCTGTTGAAGTTTGTAAAAAAACAATTCTCAGAAATCAACTTTCTGTGTACACACATTGCCTGGGACTGTGGTACTTCAATGAATGGGTTGTGTCAGGATTAGAGAGGGACATAGAGAGGTCTTGGTGGGAGGAGAAGGGAGTGGGTAAAGGGTGAAAGTTGGTTTTATACCAAATTAATGGACATGATGAGCCATTTTTTTCCATATTCAAATTCAAAGGTAGGAAGAGGAACTTGGTGGCTGAAATTAATGGGCATGCTAAGCCTGATTTGGAGAGCGGTCATCTTCCCGAAGGGTTATTTATTGGTTGGCAGTCCCTAAGCAACCAAGCAATGGATCATGAATAGTCCAAATGGGCAGGAAACACAAGTTAGTAATTGTTCTTAAAAAGTAATTGCATTTTGGTAACCAAATGAAACAGTGTTCTGTTTAACTATTGAACATGCTTAATGTACCACTCAGACCTGAAAGCTTCACAGTCCTCTTTTTTTCTTAAAAAAAAAATTGTAATAGCTTTATTGAGGCATAATCGACAAGGAGTAAAGAGCATATATTTAATGTATACAAGTTCATAAGTTTTGACATATGTATACAACCATGAAACTATGACCAACATCAAGATAGTAAACTATGCATCACCAGCAAAAGTTTCCTCATGATCCCTTGTGGTACCTCCCAGCCCATCCCCTTCACTCCTTGGCAACCACTGATTTGCTGCTGTCTGTTACTACAGATTATTTTGCATTTACTAACATACATAAATGGAATCATAGAGTATGTACTCTTTGTCCAGCTTCTTTCTCTCAACAAAATTATTTTCCAATTAAATCCATTTTGTGTTTATTCATAGTTAATTCCTTTTTATTGTTGAGTAGTATTCCATTGTAAAGATGTACCAAAATTTTTTATCCATCCATCTGTTGATAGACATTTTGGTTTTTTCCAGTTTATGAATAAAGTTGCTATTTGCTTACACGTCATTGTGTAGATATATGCTTTCATTTCTCTTAGGTAAATATCTAGGAGAGTAATGGTGGGGTCATATGGTGTATGTTTTTATTTTTTAAAAACTGCCAACTGTTTTTTAAAGTGGTGGTATCAGTTTACCTCCCTACAAGCCATGCATGAGAGTTCTGGTTCCTCCACATCCTCGCCAACACCTTGTATGGTCAGTTGTTTTTTTTTTTATTATTTTAGCCCTTCTAATAGATGCGCAGTGGCATCTCACTGTAGTTTTAATTTGTGTCGGGGGAAATTCACCCCCGTTATTTCATGTAGGTTCTTTTCTATTTTCCCTAAGTGTCGGCCAGTCTGAGAAATAAAGGGAGAGTACAAAAGAGAAATTTTAAAGCTGGGTGTCCAGGGGAGACATCACATGTCGGCAGGTTCCATGATGCCCCCCAAGCCACAAAACCAGCAAGTTTTTATTAGTGATTTTCAAAAGGGGAGGGAGTGTACAAATAGGGTGTGGGTCACAGAGATCACATGCTTCACAAGGTAATAAAATATCACAAGGCAAATGGAGGCAGGGTGAGATCACAGGACCACAGGACCAGGGCAAAATTAAAATTGCTAATGAAGTTTCAGGCATGCATTGTCATTGATAACATCTTATCAGGAGACAGGGTTTGAGAGCAGACAACTGGTCTGACCAAAATTTATTAGGTGGGAATTTCCTCATCCTAATAAGCCTGGGAGTGCTACAGGAGACCGGAGCTTATTTCATCCCTTATGGACGACCATAAAAGACAGGCGTCCCCAGAGTGACCATTTCAGAGGCCTCCCCTTAGGGATGCATTCTCTTTCTCAGGGATGTTCCTTCCTGAGAAAAAGAATTCAGTGATATTTCTCCTATTTGCTTTTGAAAGAAGAGAAATATGGCTCTGTTCCACCTGGCCCACAGGCAGCCAGACTTTAAGGTTATCTCCCTTGTTCCCTGAACATTGCTGTTATCCTGTTCTTAAGGTGCCCAGACTTGATATTGTTGAAACACACATGCTCTACAAACAATTTGTGCAGTTAATGCAATCATCACAGGGTCCTGAGGTGACATACATCCTCCTCAGCTTACGAAGATGAAGGAAATAAGAGATTAAAGACAGGCATAGGAAATCACAAGGGTATTGATTGGGGAAGTGATAAGTGTCCATGAAATCTTCACAATTTATGTTCAGAGATTGCAGTAAAGACAGGCGTAAGAAATTATAAAAGTATTAATTTGGGGAACTAATAAATGTCCATGAAATCTTCACAATTTATGTTCTTCTGCCATGGCTTCAGCTGGTCCCTCCATTCGGGGTCCTTGACTTCCCGCAACATTTTTGCATTTTCCTAATGACTTATGATGTTGAGCATCTTTTCATGTGTTTATTTGTCATCCACATGCCTCCTTTGGTGAAATATTTGTTCAAACTCTTAGCCCAGTTTTTTAGTTGTGTATTTATTCTCTTACTTTTGAGTTTTGAGAGGTCTCTTTTTACATTCTGGATACAGGTTCTTCACCAAGTAGTTTCTCCCAGACTATGGCTTTTATTTTTATCCTCAGAGTTCTTTATGAAGCCTATTAATTAGGGAAAGCAGATCTTCCAGGAGCCTGGGTGTTGCCTGCCCACTGCTGCAGATGCCCAGACCCATGTGAGAAGAGCTAGAGGAAGCTGCAGTGTGGTATCAAGGTCAAGGAGTAGGGTGGGACAGAAGAGGCTATCGGACGAGAGATAGGAAGGGCATCTGTTAGAAATAGGCACTGGCTGAGAGGCCTTCTCCTGTTATTTCATTCTTGCACTCACTCCTAAGTATTAGCTATTGTTACCCTGATTCTATAGCAACTTCCCTAAGTTACAGAGCCTGAAAGTAGCAAGATTTAAAATCAAACTATGTAATGGGTGAATCTCACAACCAGTAATGAAGGAAAGTCAGAGTCAAAAGAGTACATAGAAAATGGTTCCATTTACTTAAATACAAAAGCAGACAAAACTAACCTATGCTGTTAGAAATCAGAGAAGGGAGTAATGACTGAAAGAAGGGACAGTCTCTTGGGCTGCACACTAGATTGCTGATGGTTTCTAGGTTGTAACTGTGTACCAGTGAATGTGGTACAGTGTTCGCAGGTTGATGAACTGCTACTTACATTATCCATTGACAAATGCAGCAATCCTAGGATCTTCTCAAATGTTACATTTTTAAACACGAGTTTAGTTACTGGCATTTTCCTATTTACATAAAACATGGTGGTTATGGTGTGTGAAACTTAACTATTTTAAGATACTTCTTTTATGGTGATTAGGCCCTATCTCTAGGCCCTAACAGTTCCATGAGCTTTCTTAGGCCTCCAGGTGCTTATTTAAGACAACTTTTCCTTTATTCCAACTCTGAAGAAGAACGTCATCCTCATTAACAGCTCATAGGAAATGAAACATATCTAAACTGCAGGGATTACGGTTTAAACAGGAAAAAGAAAGGTTTGTAACTGATCCAGTTAGAAATTATTTGACATCTCAGCCAACATGACATGATGGGACTAACTCAAATGTACAATAATTACATATGTCTATTGAACAAGCTGCAGACAAAGGTTATGGGCTTTCAGGGGACAAGCTCTCTCAAATAACCCTTGCAGTGTCTGAACAGAATATACACTATCCAGAAAGGAAGACTGATTAATCCTTTTAGGCAGGTGACTATTCCCAACTATACATGATTTGTAACATAATCCAGAAATGTTTATTCCCAGTCTGAATTTATTTTTCCTACCTTCCTCTGTTTTGCTCTTATGAGTAATTTCTGCTCTTAGAGAATGCTCTTCTCATCCTTTTTCTGATAATCTTTGATATTTCTATGTAGGTGGAAGGATACCTCATGAAAGTTATATTTTAATGGCAGTTGTTTTACTTGTCCTAGATGTGGAAATTTGTGTTCCCCAGGTAGGATGGTCTGTCTCAAGATACAGCCAGATGTGACCCAGTGTGGAGAATGAAGCCCATCTGTGAAGAGCCAGAACTTGGGTCCAAAGAGCTGTACAATGGGGTAGGCAGGTCTGGGGAAAGGGGCTTCCCACACCCTCACTCAACCTGAAGTCTAACAGGCTTCTAAAGGCCAGCCACATCATGCTGTCCTTATATACTTTTACATTTATTTAATAAACATCTATAAAGGGCTTACTGTGTGCAAGGCACCATTCTAATCGCTTTACAAAGACTCACCCATGGAATTCTCATGACAACCCCTTGAGGGTAATGCTCTTATGATCTCTACCATACAGAGGAGGGGAACAAAGGCATTTGCTCAAAGTCAGCCAGCCAGGAAGTACTAGAGCCAGGCTAGGAGGTAGGTTCCTGAGTCCACTCTCTTCTTTATCCTCATCCTGTGCTGTTTCCAAGAAAAGCCTAACATGAGATAATGGGCTATGTCATGTCAGTGAAGAGTCAGACAGGAGCAAGTGGCACTCAGAAGTCCAGGCTAAACGGGGCATAAAGAAAGTCTAAGGAAAGGTGGCCAGGCATGGTGGCTCATGTCTGTAATCCCAGTACGTTGGCAGGCCGAGGCAGGCAGATCACCTGAGGTCAGGAGTTTGAGACCAGCTGGGCCAACATGGTGAAACCCTGTGTCTACCAAAAATACAAAAATTAGCTGGGTGTGGTGGCGGGCGCCTGTAATCCCAGCTACTCAGGGGGACTGAGGCAGGAGAATTGCTTGAACCCAGTACGCGGAAGTTGCAGTGAGCGGAGATTATGCTACTGTACTCCAGCCTGGGCAAGAAGAATGAAACAAGGAAAGGAAAGGAAAGGGAAAGGAGAAAGGAAGAAAGAAAGAAAGAAAGGAAGAAAGAAAGAAAGAAAGTCCAAGTAAAGGTAGGAACAGCACTTAGGCTATCAGGGTCAGAATAGCCTGGGGTCGGGAAGGAGGCTCTGAACCAGAGGTGGCTGCCTGGTGGGGCATACATATTCAAAGGATCATTCTTGTTTCTAATTTGTCATAAAATATGCATATGACTAAACATACTTTTTTGATTAAAAAATCCAGTCATTCACTCATTTACTCATTTATTCACTCGTGCTCATCATTTATCTGCCAGTCATCCAACAAACATTTACTGAGTATGTCTTATGCGTCAAGAACTTTGCTGAATGCCAGGGGAGAAAATAATAAACCATAGACCATACACTACAAATTTAAGATTTAATAATATCCCTAACTGAAAGTACAAATTCCTTCTGAGAAGCCCAGTGAATAATTTACATTCAAACTTGTTTAAAAATGAACGAATGCTAAATTGTAAGTTAGAAATGAATAAGTTTGTCCATGATCTAGTAGTAATGCACATTCAGTGTGGATCTTAACCATTTTAATCAAATAAGTCAATGTTTCCCTATTGCTAAACTGATATTAAAAATAAAAAATAACAGGAGATGAAAATATAAATTTTGACTTCAAATTCCTTAAAAAGAAAAAAAAAACTGTAGGTACTATTTGAACCATACATTTAAACTCCAAATCAACATTATTGCTTCAGCAATTGTTCTTTTATGAAAAAGGATACATTGATTTTTATTTCATTAGTAGGGTATAGCTTTTTAATAGATAAGGTAAATAAATAGGCAATTTAAATCAAGGTATCCATTAAATAAATTGGGTAAATTAGGATTTACTTTAGATTTGTGGTTCTCAAATATTTTGGTCACAACACCATTTTACAACTCTTAAAAATCATTGAGGACTCTAAAGAGCTTTCATTTCTGTGGATTATATTTATCAGCAGTTATGATATCAGAAATAAAACTGAATTTTAAAAATATTTGATTGATTCAAAATAACAATAAGCCAATTGCATGTTGACATAATTAACATATTTATGACAAATGTGTTTTCTAAAACAAAAACATTTAGTGATAAGCGTGGCATTGTTTTACATCTTTGCACGTCTCTTTACTGTCAGCTGGATTCTCATGTTTGTTTTTGCTTTCAATCTGTTGCAATATGCTATTTGGGTTGAAAAAATTCAAACTTCATAGAGACATATACTTGAAAAGGACAGAAGCATTTAAGTAGCCTTTTATAACTGTGGATAGCCTTCTTTGACATAACATCAAATTTCAACAGGCGGTAGTTTCTGAAAGGTAAGCTTCATTGTGGGATGTGAAATGATTAGCAATGAACTTTTGGTACTCTGTAACATTAAAATCCACTGGTCTATCTTGCACTTTGAATAGATCTTTACCCATGTATATTTTTTACAAGATTACATATTGGTAAATATAAATTTGAATATTGATATCAAAAAGTAAATGACATTTAAAAAAATCACATTTTTGGCTGGGCACAGTGGCTCACACCTGTAATCCCAGAACTTTGGGAGGCTGAGGCAGGCAGATCATTTGAGTTCGAGACAGCCAGGCCAACATGGTGAAAACCTGTCTCTACTAAAAATATAAAATTAGCCGGGTGTGGTGGTTGGCGCCTGTAATCCCAGCTACTGGGGAGGCTGAGGCAGGAGAATTGCTTGAACCTGGGAGGTGGAGGTTGCAGTGAGCTGAGATCACTCCACTGCACTCCAGCCTGGGTAACAAAGCAAGACTCCGTCTCAAAAAAAAAAAAAATAAATAAATCACATTTATGAATACCTATAAATCTCATAAAAATGTCTTCAAGCATTGTGAAGCGGACAAATTCACAGTGGAAGATAAAACTTTTCCAAAATTCTAATCTCTTAAAAGTTGAAACTTTATCATTAGCACCAAACACAAAATCAGCAACATTAACAAAAAATGTTAGTCCTGGCAGTGACAGGCTACTTTGTTAATTTTCCAGAAAATATCTGCCAAAATACGCAACTGAATAACCATAGTTTGTATTTTCCTTGTTCATTCAAGTAAAAATGGTGTTCTGTAAATAAAGCAGCTAGCTCAGCTTGCAACTCAAATTGATTTTCCTGAGACAACCATCTTCCTTCAGGATGCAGCAGAAGTGAAATTCACTGAGTTGCTGTAATATTGGAAAGTGTTCCTGCTGTAACGTCTTTTATTTACTTTTCATCCAGCAGGCATTCAGCAATATTTGGTTTTAAAATTGTAAAAGGTCTCTAAGTTATTGGTTATGCTCTTACGGTTAATGCAGTATGACTATTTACCCTAGAAGATGCTTCAGGGAGTTTTCATTTCTAGTTCAAAAATTTGTAACAAATCATTTTTGGCATTTAAAGAGCTCATCAAGTCTACAATTAAAATATTAAATTTTCCTTCTTTAAACTATGAGTCATTGCCCTCAAAATTGACAACAACTTAATTGACACGCTATATCATCTGAAATTTTTGTTTTTCATAAGACCCACTATGGCAAATTATTAACATCTAAAAAGTGAGGGAAACTCACAAATGATGATAGTTTTCATCATTTGTTTGTTTTATGTAAAGTTTTGCATGATTTCTTTAGAAAGTCAGAATTCTCTGTTACGTCAGTTTTCACATTTTTCAGTATCTTTAGACATAGATGGTACAACTATGGGTTGAGAAAGCAAGTCTTCTAATCTCCCCTTTGTAGACCAATAATCTTTCCTTAAATACAAGAAAAATATACTACAATTTAAAAATTCTGTATTAAAATATTACTGGACTGTAAAGTAAGTTTTAGATATAATTTAAAACATAAAAGTTTTCATAAGATTTAAAAATTATTATAAAATTGCATATATAATATGATCCCATTTATACAAAATTATGTGTGTGTATATATAAACATAGAAAATTTATGTTAGAACGTTCACTGACAAGTTCATGGTGATAATCTCTGAGTGGTGGGAATTTAGCCATTTTTGCTTTTTTCCTTTATACCTTGAGTATTGCCTAGGTTTTCACATGTATTATTTAGAGCATTTTAAAAGACATTTTCCTTGTTTGTTGCAGAGAGGGAAGCCTGTTCCCTACGGTGAGCAGTCATTGTGCAAATACCTTGGGGGATGTTATAACTGCCCTAATGCATGCCGCCTTGTGATGTGATATGGTCAGGATGAGTGCGACTAGTCAGATGATTTGATAAGTTTGTGTGGAAGTGATTTGGGAGAGAAAATTGTCCAGGCTGATCAGAGTCTGCAAACATGGATGTGAATATGCCAAAACATGAATACTCTAATTTAACTTATTGAGAGAACTATAACCGTCATAGCCCACTGGATTATCAACTCATTGTCTTCCAAATCACAGAACTGATCAGAGAAAACAAACTTTAGAGTTATAGAATGCCAGAATTGGAAAAGAACTTAGAGATCGTCTGGCTTACTCCTGTCATATTACAGATGAGAAAACTGGGCCCCAGGAAGAAGAAGTATGTCTTCCAGGTTGCATGGAAATTTAAAACTCTCTCTCCCCGTGTGTGTGTGTGTGTGTGTGTGTGTGTGTGTGTGTGTGTGTGTGTATGTTTACGTATGTGTGTGTGTGTGTGGTGAGGAGCAGCATCATTTGGGAGGCCTGACACCAAGTCCACATTGGAGCCATGATTTATCAGCCTTGGAGAAACAGTGACCCAACCCTTACTCTCCATGTCTCCCTTATCGACATCTCCAAAATTTTCTGTAAGCTTCTTGCCACAGTTTCCAAGATAGCTGCTTATCCTGGTTTAATTACACTTTACTATATAAGTTTCCTGTTTCCTTCAGAGGGGCCACTTCATTCTCACATATGCTATCTAAACCTTAAGGCAGATGGAACAGCAGTGTAGGCTGTGTTCATGTTTATTAGTATCAACTGCAGACTAAATCTTATGTGCAGACTCCAGGGATCAGTCTCTGTTAAATGCATTGTCTCTTCTTTTAGTGTAGTTACTGTAAGGATCATTAGACAGAGCAGCAGTAGCCTGGGGACTGTAAGCAATGGACTGGGAGAAAATAAAGGTTGACACTCAAAAGTCTATTGAAGGTACATTCATTGCCCCCAAAATTGCTTAAACCTACAAAATGTAAAGCCAGATTCAACTGAATGTGGCTGCTTAGCAATCTCAAAATCATTTTGGAAACAGTTGGGGTACACATTAGGATTCTTCAGAGAAACAGAACTACTAGAGGGGTGGAGAGAAGAGGAGAGAGAGAGAGAGACTGCACGCCTGGCTTTTTCACATTCTTGTATTTGCTCCCCAGTCTGTCCTCAGCCCTGACCATCAAAATTCTACTTCCTGACAAAGCAGCTCAAATACCAAATCCATCCAAAATCTTTACAAATGTTCAAATCTAAAATAACATGTTATTCATCTGTGTTTCCCACAAGAATAGGTTTCTTAATGATTCTACAAAACAAAAATGAAAAACATTCTCCCTTATACCTAGACCTTTTAAAATGCATTCTTCTGGATGTGAGCATCTTGAGGACAGGGAGCATCCCTACATCTTCACAGCATAGGCACTCACATATTCAATTCATTGCAGAGCTAGAGAAACAGGGAAGTAGAACAATTTCTCAAGGTCACCCCACAGGACAAGAATACTTAGAGATAAGGCAAAGTCTTGTTGTAATTATCCACCCCCCACCTACTCCTGCACTCTGCCATCTGGGGTCACCTCATACCCACCTGTACATCCAGGCTGCATGATTCTGGCCTTAGCTGAATGAATATAAGGGGTGCAAAATCAATTTATTAGCTCAGCCTGAGTTCAGCTAACTTTGCTCTTGCCTTGGACTCATAAGTCCAGACCTTGAAGGGCTAGATTTTCTGTCCTTCAGCACACGCCCTCATAGCTGAGGTGAAACAATTATGAGCTTATAAGAGTTTCACAAGACCACGGCTTTGGGTAGAGACTGAAGCTGTGGGCTCAGGAGTCAAGAGATCTGGATATGAGTTCTAAATGTTACTCCCACCAGCTAAGGAACTTGGTTAATTATGCGACTTCCCCTAGCATCTATTTCCCCATTGGCAAAGTAAGAATTATTAATACAATGCAGTTTGTAAGTTTTAGTGAGGAAGACATGAGATGCAGTTTATGAAAGCGCTTTACAACATTGCTACAGATCTCAGTTATTCTTGAGAACAGGTCCCCCATGGACTTCTCACTCCAGCCCTTCTGTTCCAGAAACACTTTAAATGAGGGGCCTGGTCTCAATACACCAACCTTCAACTAGGGCCAGATTACGGTCTTTATATAAACTAATGTAAGTGTAGGGAATTATAACACAACATTCTTATATTTCCTAGGACAATAGCTTTGAGGATATTTTTGAAACAGAACATTCTTTCAATAGGATACTCAAGGCCCCTGTTTTGCTGCCCCAAGGACATTGTGGGATCAGCCTAGTGGTGAGCCAGCATGGCCTTCTTCTGGCTTTAATGACCTGAGGCCTGGCTTTCTCCTGACTGGATCAGCTGAAGCCCCCATCCCTGATTACCCTGGTCTGACTCACTTGTTCTAGAAATGATGAGGTAGGGGAAAAGATCAGCAAATGGCATGGTCTAGATGGAAAGACAGTTCTTACCTTGACATCAGTCATTTGAGACAGGGCGAGCCAGCCAGGTGAGATGAGGGCAGATGGCTCATACTTAGAGTAACTCTGGTTGAGTGAGGCAGAACTGTTTTCTCTAGGTGAGATCTGAGAGTTGGGTATGCATCTTCTGTGCCAGAAGGCACGATCAGCTATTCCAATTCAGAAAAGTTATGCTTTGCTACTTACCCTTCCTCTCCTCTCTTGCCTTATTTCTCATGACTGGAGCATTTTAGCAGATGGGAACACTGGATCCTCCATGTACCTGGCCTTACTGCCTTTACAGAGCTCCACCAATCCCTTCACTCCTACGGCCTTAACTCCTCTTACCCATTGATATAGTTTGGATCTGCGTCTCCACCCAAATTTCACCTTGAATTGTAATAATCGCCACTGTCAAAGCCAGGACCACGTGGAGATAATTGAATCATGGTGGACGTTCTTCCTGTGCTATTCTTGTGATAGTGAGTCCTCATGAGATACGATAGTTTTATAAGGGGCCTCCCCCTTCGCTCGACACTCATTCTCTCTCCTGCCACCCTGTGAGGAGGTGCCTTCTGCCATGGTTGTAAGTTTCCTGAGGCCTCCTCAGCCATGTGGAACTTTATAAATTACCCAGTCTCAGGTATGCCCTTATAGCAGCGTGAGAACAGATTAATATATCCATTTATACCCAGTCTGAAAGAGCTTTCAGATAACCTTGCCTCAAGGTAAAGCTAACCTTTATAACTTAAGCTTCAGTTCCTCTTCCAGGAATCCTGTTATGATTCCTTAATATGGAGTGAGGGATTCTGTCTCTACCTCTCATATCACTTTTGCACATTTCTAATGTAGCATTTATTATGATGCACCATAATTGCTGGTCTATTTATCTGCATGCCTAATTACACTAAGAACTTTTTCATTAAAATAAAAAATTCCATTACACTGAGGGATGGAACTATTACCCCAGAGTAGGCTCAGAGGACATCAGGAATTCTAAGTCACCAAAGAGATCAAATTGATGGGTGACAATACAGACATATATAAACAAGCTCTTCCAAATACTTCATATTACTTAGGTGCTTGCCAATGCTGGAGAAAGGGAAATCCATATTATCTGTGGGTCTTGACTTCATGTGGATAGGGGGTTCATCAGCTTGGCAAAGTGCCAAATGCTAAAAGAAATCAGCCTATGGACTATGATTTAGAAATAAATTATGTAGATAGTCATTGCTTTCTTATTTTCTTTTCACTTGCCTGCCATGCTGTAATTTAGCATTTATGAGCTCTGCAGTGAATCAGTGTTTTAAGAAAATAGAAGATCCTTTTTCTCTTGACTCTAAGGTTACCTAGAAATTTGTTATGCAATAAAAACAACATTAACATTCTCTGAAAATATTCCCTTGGAACATACCTTCTAGGGCTCTCCAAAAGCTCCAAAGAAGGGTTTCAAAATTTTTCCTTTAAAGAACAACTTGAGTCTAGCACCTCTCAGAGGAAATGCCAGCCTCAATTTTTCTTGGCTTAATTTCATTTCAAAAATAGTACACTTTCTTCTTCCTCCTCTCAAGCTCTGCTCCCTAGTCCTAGGAATAAAAGGAGTCGCAGCAAAGCAGCTGCATTTCATAGATAACAAAGGTAAGAGCAAAAGTAATGATATTGAAGACAAAAGTACATTAGAGAGAAATGACAAAACCAGAGACTAATTCTTTAAAAAATGCTAATAACTAAAACTTTGAAAGTATTGATGAATGAGAGGAGAGAGAGAGAGAGAGCAGGTAAACAGTAGAAATAAAAAAATGGCTTTAACTGCATATATAGAAAGAATACCAAAAATAAAACAATGTGAACAAATTTTTTGCCAATAAATTAGAAAAGTTAGACTAAATTAACCATTTTCTAGGTAACATGTTAGCAAAAATGATTCAAAGAAAAAGTCACAGAACCAAATAGACTTAAAAATATTAAATATAATCTATAAAGGAATTTTAAAAACTGCTCTTGGGTTCGGAGAAGAGGGCTGAAACAGTTTTACAAGTGAGATCTACCAACTGTTAATGGAGCAGATTCCTGTCATGTAGGAATTATACCTTAGATTCTTATGCTGGAATGTCATAGATATGTGTTTCTCATCTTCATTGGGCCTCATCTTCCATCTATCAAGGTATAAGTTTATCCATGGATAAGGCTGGCTTATACATTCTGTCCTAGAAATGTGTTCTAGATCTTCTCTAGGACAAGGAGGGACCTTCTACTCTATGGTGGAACACACAGATCCTAGAAGAGACCAGGTTTGGGTTTTTTTTCCCCTGTTAACAAACAAACAAACAAACAAACAAACAAACAGGAGAAACAGGAGGAAAAAACCCAAAACCTGGTCTCTTCTAGGATCTGTGTGTTTCCTTAAAGTCTTAGTTTGATTATGTCACGGGTAGTATGAGTGACTCCATTTTGGTTTGGTCTGCTCTGTTGGGGCCTTGTGCATGAGTTCAGTCAAAAACAATGGCCTCCCATAATTTTGTTAAAAAACTCCCCTTTTTGGTCAGGTTCTCACTTAGGTGAGAGTGTGACCAAAACTTAGGGCTTTTGTGTCACTCTTAGTTACTACCATTTTGGGTTTCTGGTCTCAGCATGTCATTTATAGGTTACAGTGCCCTCAGGGTCACACATTTCTTTCAGCTCTTGTCATTCCAGTTGGAGAGACCATTTGACTTTCTAGAGATGGCTGCATGCAAAAATTTAAATCTTTTAAGAGAATACAGTATATCAGGGAGACTACTATCATGAATATCGGAGCATAACACGAAGAGTTACCCAAGATCCCCATATCCAAACCACCTAAAATTAAATAGATCAAAGAATAAGCTAGATAAAGGGTCTGCCTACTTAACTAAGCAGTCTCTTCATTAATCCCCTACAGCTGAATCTCTGTAATACCTGATGTGATGTATTTCTCCACAGGCCACAAGTGCCAGCAGCTGCACAGACACTTCTCTGTTTAGCCAGTAAGTAATCTACAGCAATTCCATTATTTAGCATAACTTTCACAAGAGAATTTAAAGTCTGTTTTGCAACCATAGCCTTTACAATAGAATCTGCTATAGAGCTTATTATGAGGGATAAATTTCTAGTCACTGTCTCTTTTACCCCAAACCATGGTGGAAAAGGACCTAATAAATAATGCCCTTCTAGAAGAGTGAAGGCCTCCTGGCATTGTTCTCTTTAACCCATGATGTGGGTTAAGAAGAATGAACAAATGTGTTATTTCTGACTATGAGGCCACATATGTACCTTTAAAATTTCTTACCTTCATTGCGCCTCATCTTCCATCTATCAAGGTATAAGCTTATCCATGTATAAGGCTGGCTTCAAAATCCTTCACAAATCAAAGTATACACAATTAGTACACACAACAGACCCCCTTTTCACTTCTATTGTTCATAGAGGCATAAGCAAGGGAAAAATATTCAAAGTAAGAGTCTCATGATAGTAGAGAAGTCTTGATGCATGATCTTGGGAAAAAGCTGTTCATATCAAGGATGCAATCTTCTTCTGGGTAGAAACTTCCTTGGTTAGCTTTACCTTAAGGGTTCTAATGGGTATAGTTCCAAGGGTGTAGATGAAGCCGTCTCAGTTGTGAAATTATTAGCCCAAGGTTCAAGGTCCTGAAGTTTTGCTGCAGTGTGGATGACAAGGGCAGTCTTTCTCTGAGGTTCTCAGAAGATCCGATCTTCAGGTTCTAAATTATGAAGTGGTTGATGGTCCTCAATAAGTGAACCATGAAATGCTTTCTTTACCTGGTGAAAATACATGGTGGTATAATAATCTACTGTTATAATGCCAGCCCTCTTGCATGGGAAAGCTTTTATACAACCAGAAAACATGCATTGAAAATGACAACTGAATGAAATCCCTCTATAAATGTCTGAATGGCCCATAAAGTTGCCAAACGTACCTAAAGCTTTGTCTTCCAAGGAATATGGGTTTCACAAACCAAACATTGGTCATAAACTATTTTAGCAATTTAGAAATCACCACACCAATATATATTTAATTTGGATCATTTTATGTTTTCCATGATGAGTCACAGAATGCAAAACCTTTAATAACAAAAGTTTTGAGAACTCAGAAAGGACAAGGCAGCCCTCCTGGTTCTCCGTGAGCCCATGCTTAATGTTGGACTTATGTTCTCTTGAATACCAGTTGTTTATCCAATTTAGGTGCGTAGCACTGACAACTAATGGGTTGTCATAGGTAATTTGACTTAGACCATGGAGTTCATTTAAATTGTGTATCTAAACAATTTCAGTATTGGTTGATTTAGCATGAAAATCTGGCAAAGTATTTTCTTGGTATTCAATTAATTTTGTTCTACCTGGGTTAGTGGTTTTATAAACCAGTCAGCCTTTTCATTAAAGTTATAGGAATTCTTACCTGTATTCAAGAGTGCTTTTCAGGGTCCGTTCCATCCTTTCATAAACCTCCTAAAATATATCATATTCTAGGATTTTCAGTGCTTGTGAAGTTTTCAAAAACTGCATCAGAATTAAGCAATTAACTGTAGAAATGACTTTAAACAGTCATAAAAACACAATTGACATGGAAATTTGGTTATTTCTGTGATCTACAATAACTAACATAATACCTGATATGGTTTGGCTCTGTGTCCCCACCCTAATCTCATCTTGAATTGTACTCCAATAATTCCCATGTGTTGTGGGAGGGTCTCAGTGGGAGATAATTGAATCATGGGGGTGGTTTCCCCCATACTATTGTCATGGTAGTGAATACGTCTCACAAGATCTGATGGTTTTATCTGGGGTTTCCACTTTTGCATTTTCCTCATTCTCTGTTTGCCTGCTGCCATCCATGTAAGAAGGACTTGCTCCTTCTTGCCTTCCACCATGATTGTGAGGCTTCCCCAGCCATGTGGAGCTGTAAGTCCAATGAAACCTCTTTCTTTTGTAAATTGCCCAGTCTCAGGTATGTCTTTATCAGCAGCATGAAAATGGACTAATACAGTAACCATAATTATGATTGATAGTATATATTTAGTCATATTAGAATTTTAGAAATCCCATACAATTTTGGAACATATATTAACATTCGCTAAAATATAACCTGAAGAAAAGTAAACATTATTTTTTATTTTGACAATACTTCCCATGTAACTTAACATGTCAAATAATCCTGTTTACCTATCTTTTGGATGCTTCAGGGGCCCTCTGTAGTATCCCAAAGTTAGAGGTTGGAAAAGACAATTTTGAAGCTGAAATTTGATTTTGGGAGGCCTGTCAAATATGTTAAAGATTTCAAACATTTGATATTATAAAATAGAATTCCAGGTCACCATAAGTTATTTATTTTGCCAAAATAATAACTCAAAAACTTCAAAAAGGCAAAAACTTTTACTTATTGATAGAGGGAACATTTAGCTTTCCAATCCGTCTCTTGTCTTTCCCTTCTTTTTCCTGTAGTTTATTTAAAAGGCAAGCAAAAATATTTCGTTATCCTTTAACATTAGATGAAAATCTTGTTCAAGAGAGAAAGCCAAATTTCACCCTTGCATTAGTGTACTCTTAATGTCAACCCCAATCTTTAATAAAACTTTACAGACAAATCTCTCGAACCTTAATCAGTTTTTCTTACAATAGCTGCAAAGAAAATTAAATACCTAGGAACTAATTTAACCAAAGAAGTGAAATATTTCCATAATAAAAATTATAAAACACTGGTGAAAGAAATTGAGGAGGTGACACAAAAAAATGGAGAGATATTCCTTGTTCATAGATTGGAAGAACCAATTATATTTAAATGTCCATACTACCCAAACCAATCTAGAGATTCAATGCAATCCTTATCAAAATACCAATGACATTCCTCACAAAATAAAAGAAACAATCTGAAAAATTTTAAGGAACCACAAAAGATCCAGGATAGCCAAAACTATTCTGAGCAAAAAGAACAAAACTGTAGGAATCACTTTGCCAATTCAAATTATACTACAGAGCTATAGTAACCAAAACGGCATGGTACTGGCATAGAAACAGACACATAAACCAATGAAGCAGAATAGAGAACCCTGAAACAAATCTATACATCTTCAGTGAACTCATTTTTGACAAAGGCTCCAAAAACATACATTGAGGAAATGACGGTCTCAATAAATGGTGCTGGGGAAACTAGATATCCATATGTGGAAGAATGAAAGTAAACACTTATCTCTTGCCATATACAAAAATAAAATGATTAAAGATTTAAATATAAAACCTTATACAAAGAAACTCCTACAAGAAAACACTGGAGAAAATCTCCAGGACATTGATCTGGGGAAAAATTTTCTTAAGTAATGCCCACAAGCACAGACAACCAAAGCAAAAATGGATAAATGGAATCACATCAAGTTAAAAAGGTTCTGCAAACTGAAGGAAACAATAAAATGAAGAGACAACCCATACAATGGGAGAAAATATTTGCAAATTGCCCATTTGACAAGGGAGTAATAACCAGAATATATAACAAGCACAAACAACTCAATAGAAAAAGAATCTAATAATCTGATTTAAAGATGGGCAAAATATTCGAATAGACATTTTTCAAAAGACAACATGCTAATAGCAAACAGTTATATGAAATGGTGCTAAACATCACTGATCATCAGAGAAGTGCAAATCAAAACTGCAATGAGACATCATCTCACCCCAGTTAAAATGGCTTTTATCCAAAAGACAGACAATAACAAATGCTGTTGAAGATATGGAGAAAAGGGAACCCTTGTACACTGTTGGTGGGAATGTAAATTACTAAAACTACTAGAAAATAGTTTAGAGGTTCCTTACACAACTAAAAATAGAGCTACCATATGATCCAATAATCCCACTACTAGTAATACCCCCCCAAAAATGAAATCAAGATATTAAAGAGATATCCGCACTCCCATGTTTATTAAAGCACTATTTGCAGTAGCCAAGATTTGGAACCAACTTAAGTGTCCATCAGCAGACAAATGGACAAAGAAAATGTGGTATATGTACATGATGGAGTACTATTCAGCCATAAAAAAAGAAGAAGACCCTATCATTTGCAACAATATAGATGGAACTGGAGGTCATTATGTTAAGTGAAATAAGCCAGACACAGAAAGACAAACTTTGCACGTTCTCACTTATTTGTGAGAGCTAAAAATTAAAACAATTGAACTCCTGGAGATAGAGAGAAGAAGGATGGTTACCATAGGTTGGGAAGGATAGTGGGAAGATTGGAAGGAAGTGAGGATGGTTAATGGGTACAAAAAATAGAAAAAAAAGAATAAGACCTAGTGTTTTATAGCACAACAGGGTTACTACAGTCAACAATAATTGTACATTTAAAAATAACTAAGAGTGTAATTAAATTGTTTGTAACACAAAGGATAAATGCTGGAGGTGACAGATATTCCATTTACCCTGAGGGGATGATTACATATTGCATGCCTGTATCAAAATATCTTATATATCCCATAAATATATACACCTACTATGTACCCATAAAAATTAAAAATTCAGAAAAGAAAAGCACTATATAAATATTGGCCATTATTATTTAAGTTTTAATGGTCAAGAGAACAAAAAATAGAATATTTAGGTGTGAACACACCTCCAAGAATTTTGCTCTACATCTAACAAAACACCTCGTGCACAAATGTAAGGCCTTCCTCTGCAGCCCAAGCTTGTATGTTGGGGCCTGAGGGAACTGGTAGTTATCTCAGAGAATCATTCTGGCATAATAGTACAGAGCTCCAGGGTTTTATTACTGAGTGCACAGGTGGCACTTTCTCATAGTACTTTTGAATCTGTACTCTTCCTGAAACTACGTTGAGTGCAGGAAACCCTGTCCTTGGTTTCCTTTGCCACTTCCTAACTAGGTGAGGGAGAGCGTACTTTCTTCTAATGGTTTATTGTGCAGAATTTCCACCTCACAGTTTAGAATAATAAATTCAATATTTTAAAATATGACAAGTATGTATATTTAAAAACACCACAAAATATATGAAATGTAACAAAACCTAGATGTTGTGTAATGTTTTTCTGTGATTTTTTTCCCTCAAGTAGGTGGCTATTCTGACAATTGCCTGTGACAATTCTTGTATAAATAAAATAACTTGCTCAGAATGTGGAAACCCTCAGCCTAACAAACACTTGGATGTATTTTACTAAAAATTTCAGGCTTTTCCTTTACACATGTTTAAAGAGCAATTGCAGAGCACAAATAACTGCTTTTCTCAGCATGTTTTAAATGAGGAAATAGAATTGTAATGCAGCATTGTCTCTCTCTCTCTCTCTCTCTCTCTCTCTCTCCAATTTCATCTCCGTCTATTCTTTTTGCTTATTTTAAGGACATCTACACAGGCTGACTGTGTAGATGTAGACACTCCAATAAAAACAGTCCCCTTGCTGTTCCAATTACCATGGCCTAAGAGGGCTAATTAGAAAATCCTGTGTCAGAACATAAACTGAATTTGAAAAAGAAAGTTGCCAACACATTTTTAGCTTTACTTCCAAGTTCCCAGTTGATATAAAGCTGTGAAAGAAAAATAAGAACTTGGGACCTCAATTCATTATGCCAAAAGGAACAAATGAAGCTGAAAGCTGAGTCATGCAAGAAGCTGCCTTTCCTTTTGTTCCTAAGCAGATAGCTAGAGATAAAAAGTTAAATGATTCCAGAGGTAGCTTATCTTATGTAAAGTGCCAATTTATTGAGCATGAGATGAATACATAATTGACTATTCCCGTACCCGCTCCTTTTCTCTTACAACATGGGGATTACTATACTCTACCCCTCTCCCCTCCAGCCTACATTTTCCCTTTAAATATTGAAGCCTTGAAATTTATCTTTGGAGAAAGACTCAGACCACAGACTGTTCCTGTGGGTCCATGTTATTTTCTTCCAGGCATGTCTTTAACCTTGGCAAAATAAACTTCTGAATTGATTGAGACCTGTCTCAGATACTCTTTGGTTTATAAACTGGTGGCCAATGGAAGAGATGAGGTGGCCTGATCTTTGACAAATCCATCCATGCTTGGTACCAGCTTGGCCTATCTTTATTGCTCAAACCAATAATACAATTTGCTGAGGTCTGGGAGGTCCCTTCAGAGAATCATTGCTCTCCCCAAATTTGGTTGAGGTCTAAGGTTCATTTTGCTTTATAACTCCTTTCCTGGAGTTTTACTCACTTCCAACAAGGAAGATTAGTTTTCCTGTTTCCATGATGATGGAGGGCCAGCAAGTCCTTTCTGGAGTTTCTGCTCCCTTCCAACAGAGAAAGTGAGTTTGAGTTTTTTCCTGCTTCATAGATGGTAGACAGCAGTGTTCAGCGTGAGCCTCATTCCTAGGTAAGTAGCTCAATTAGAGTTTTGTCTTGAAAATTCCCCTTAGTGACTAAAAGTTAAGATTGACAAGTAACTGGTCTTAACTTCTCCTTACCATTAAAAGTCCTCAGTAATCATATTTGTTTTGTTATTTTGGTTTTCTTCCATCAGATTTGATTAACTCTACCTGAGTTGGTCAAATTCGAAGGAGAACTCCAAATTACGGGGAACAAGGCCTCTGGATTCACTAAAATTCCATGCAGCTGCAAAAAAAAAAAAAAAAAAAAAAAAAAAAAGGCACGCATTTGGTTTCTCTGTTCACTTCCTTTCTTTAAAAATTGTCCTCTCATTTACTTTTCTTCTACTCTATTTGTCTGTTATAAAGTTTTGGTGCCACAAAAGAAATAGCACTTGAATATAATATTTTCTTTTTAATTCTCAGCGAGGCAAGGTACTTCTATAGAAGAGTGGAGCAATGGTGAGCGCACACTTGGACAAGGGAGGGGAAGGGGTTCTTATCCCTGACGCACGTGGCCCTTGCTGCTGTGTCATTCCCCTATTGGCTAGGGTTAGACTGCACAGGATAAACTAATTCCAACTGGCTAATTTAAAGAGAGTGAGGGGGTGGGGGTGAGTGGTTTGGCGGGAAAAATGGTTATGCAGGGTGGATAATGAGTCAGGGTGGAGCAGGTAGCAGGTCATCGGAATGAGTCAGGGTGGAGGAGGTAAACGGAGTGAGTCGGGGTGGAACAGGTGATTGAAATCAGTCAGGGTTGAGCAGGTAATCGACAAAGATTGCTTTATGAGGAAGTTAAGTTTAAAAGTAGAAGGCAAAGAATTGAACATACTGACATATTGATTCTTTGAAAAGAAATTTAGAACTCATATCTAACATCTCCTTCTCCTTTTGCCATCTTCAGTACCAAGTGAAAAGAAAATAGAGAAGGCTTCTAATGACTCAGACCCCTTAAAGAACTCAGAATTAAGGTGCCACTCACCCCTTTTTGAGCTGTTCTGATTTGCTGTGGAGTTTCAACAGTCATGTGCTGATTCTTCTCAGGTCTAAAGCTCTGCTTTCTTGTATCGCATTACCTGATTTATTTGGCTTTTGGGAGTACCAGAGATCACCTTGTACTGTGAGAGTATTTGCCTTTGGCGTGTGTAATGCTGCATGAGAGCTACAATGTTAGGGGTGGTTGAGGGCAGTTTACAGGAAATGGTCATTACTATAGGGGACGACTACTCTTTGTTTTTAATGTTTAGATAAGAAAATCCTGTATACTTTCTTCGCCCCATTCCTTAAAGGCCTCCACCCTAAAGCCAGTAATCTAATTAAGCAGCTAAGTTGAAAATACCACCTTTAAAGGAAATTTACATTTTGTAAGGGCATATCTGTCTCTGCACCTAAAGTTCCTAATGGAACTTTAACTAGGGGTAAGACAATAGCTTAAAGTTTACATAACAAAACTTGTCTTTGTTTAGATCTAATCCTGTGCCTTTGAGTTGTACATTTTCTACCTTGTTTCACGTGATTCATATCTTTGGAGATGCAAATTTAGAATTACCTAGTTAACAATGATTTAGGACATGGAACAGATAATGAAGAGGTTCATAGTCTAAAGTAGGGAAGAGAGAATTTTTGAATACTAGCAAATGAAAAATTTTAAATCTATAAGATCTGCCTCTGAGTCTATTATGTCTGTATGTTCATATGTGTCATGTGAAAATATTTCAGTACCAATTATATGAAAGACATCTAATTAGTTGGCTTAAAGAAAAGTAAACATTTGTCAGACTAATAGAAGCTAGCTCAGAGGCTTTTCAGTTCACATGACGTTAGTCATCTTTGGTAAGATTAATTTGGTTAATTTAGTCTCAAAATTTTCTCCAGCAATTTAAAATCTTAAGGTCATGTTATGTTAAATTAAGTAATCCTATGTTTTCTCTGGGAATTAGGGTTACTGAGAGTTAGAATAGTAGGAGAATAAGATGCGGTTTTGGTGAAGTTTGCAAAAAAAACAATGAGGATGTGATTTTTGCTTAAGAAAATGTACTTTTTTTTTCCAATTTGAAGGACCTTTCTACTGGTGTTGAGAAAAAAAACACTATTTGCATCCAACCATTTGTGGTAAACTGGTAAGTTTGTATTAATATCTCATGAGTAGAGTTCTGAAGTAAAAGCTATAGGATCTTTATTTGTACGAGTATGTGTATGTGCTTAGATGTGTTTATCTGTACATATGTGTATGCATGCTTAGGTGAGTTAAGGTGTACATACATGTGTTTTGTTACGTGTTGTGGCCACAAGGTACCAAATTGGATTAGAAATAAAGGACTACTCAGGAATTAAGTAAATGAGCCAAAATGCTTTGCAAGTTCACGTGACATAAGTAAATTGCAAATAAACAAGCTGGCTTTAAAGTTATTGGTAAAATAAAATTAGAAATGTCTTCAGAATTGTCAGCCTACATTATTGTTTAGATTTATTAGCTAGGAAGTTTTCTATTTATCTCTGCTAAATATTATGAGGTATCAAGATTTAGCATGAGTTATAAAGCTGTAAATGTAGCCCCAAAGAGAATTTTATCTTATATAATTTTTTGATAAATAAGAAATTTAATATTATTGTGAGAGAGAAGAGAGAAAGAAATCAACTAGGCAGATAGTTAGGGCTAGAGTCCTCAGTAGAATTCCCTTCCAACAAAAAGCAGCTTCTCTTCTAACAAAAAGCAGCCCAACAAGTCATTTCTCTTTTAGCAAAGAGCAGCCTGAAAGATCAGGCTGCAAACACAGATAAGGAAGGCAAGTTCTAACACAGAATGGGACCTCGTATGTAATCAACAAGTTTTGCTGATATATATTGAGCCCAAGTAGAGCACATTCCTCTCCCTTCTTGGAAATGCTCAGACAAGGAGGCTTGCACAGGGGAAGTGCCTGCAGCAGCACTGATAAGAAGAGCGACCCTGGACCAGGCACATCCACCACAGAGGGTTCTGACCCTCTCCTCTTTTTTTTTTTTCCACACATACGCAGTAGGAAGAGATAAGCAAGATGGAGTAACTCAGACTAAGGAGCCCACATGTGCACTAGAAAGGTTGGGGTGAAGACTGTCAGAAATTTGTGCCATATGCAAATGAAACACCTACTCCTGATTTTTTTTGTGCAGTATATAAATGAAACACACCTCCCCACCAGTTTGTCTATAAAAACCTTTGCATTTCACTGTAAAATGGCAACCCATTTTTCTAGGACCCCTCTTGGTGCCAGAGAGCTTTCTTCCTTTTGCTTATTAAAATTCTGCTCTAACTTCACCTTTGGAGTGTCCAGGTCCTTGATTTCCTCAGCCATGAGACCAAGAACTTTCGGTGACACCCCAGACAACAAGGCTGGTTTCAATTGGTTTAACTAAAACAACTAAATCTTGAATTATTGGCAACTCCCCCACCACCTATTTATTTAACCTTAAGGTTCTTACTTAGATAAACACCTGAAATCCATAGGCTATAAAAATGGATAATAGGGAAATAACTTTAAATGATTATCATAGTTTTCATAACGAATCTAGGTAAAATATTAAGAAATTAATTAGGTAAGTATAATGGAATAAATGCTTATAAAAACTTGTCATATAATTTAGAATCTAAAGTTAAATTAATAATAAATATTAATTAAATGGGTCTTTCCAATATTTTAAAAAAATTACAGGAAAACATTTTTCTAAAAAATAATGGGTCCTTATTAAAAAAAAAATTTTGTCTACTTCAAAGGTTATTTAAAGGTTATTTATAAAACAAGGTAAAGGAACCATTAAGTAAGAGAGATGACAAGAAAGTTGTAAATATAAAGAGGTATTAAAAGGAATATAATTTTATATGAGAAACAATTTTGTATTATACATTTTTTGCCCTAAAATAAAATGCCTGGTTATTTAAGAAAAAAGAATGTTTAGGATAAAACAGGAAGTCCAAACATGTCATAAATGGTTTGTGTAAATTGTAATAGGGTTTGTAAAAAGTGAATTTATGAAAAAAACCTATGTGATCAAGTTGGCTATAATTAAAAGGAAATTGATTTACTCTTAATAAAAGATATTAAAAGGTACTGATTTATTTTTAATAAAATTACAAGAGATTTTAAATTTTTAAACCCAAAAGTTCTTTTATTGCATCTCACTGTGTTTAGCTTTGTTTACCCTTTGAGAAGGCCTGAGATAATAACTTTCTTCTTCAACTCTTTCATCAGCTCCTGTAACCTTTTTTCCTTAGGTTCTAACTGATGTTGTGGCCTGCTGCTAAAAACGCTTTATCTTAAAGTTCTAAAAGGAAATGTTTTCTTCTAACATAACATTCTGGGCTCTTGACTTTATGAAATCAAAAACTTTCACTTATGACCCAGGATACACTCTTCCTCTGTCTAACTAATTCAAGCACTATCTTCATTCATTTTGACTTGCAGATTATCCAAACAGACTCCCCATAATGAAAAGCAATCACACTGCAGAAGTTCTTTTTTTTTTTTCCTTTTGGTAACCAGCCTAACAGATTTTATGTTTTATTGAAATAATTCCTATGTCATTGTTAGTAAACTTTTTATTTGCCTAGAAAATTGAGATTAAAAAATAAGTTTATTACATCCATATAACTTTCTGTATTGCTTTTAAAGTCCTCATGCTGTTAAGTTATAGGGCTTTGACTCCTAGATCTAAAAAGGACACCAAGTCCTGCTAAATCTTAAACAGTGACAGCAGTTAAATTATCATCTTCAGATTTGGGAGAAGATGACAATCAAATAAAGTACATTCGTGAGACATAGTGCCATAAATGAAAACTATTCAACTCCCCTAGGCCCAGGGACTATCACAGAAGTGGTGGGTGTGTGAGATTGTAAGGGCCAATTTTGAGAGAGAACATTAGTTCAGAGTTTCTCTATGAATTAAACATTAATATCAAAGGCACACTGATGAAAGATCAGCATGTGGGCACCTGTGTCAGATTAACAGGGTTTTCTTGGAGCATTAACTAACTTTTTAATAAAAAACAGGCTATAAAAATGTTTATAGAAACTATATATTATGGTCAAGATGACTAACGTTTAATAGTTTTTTTATAAGATTTGAGAGACAGATTTAATTGGCCTCATGCTGTCTTTCTTAGGGCTTATAATTTGGGAAAGTAAGTCTCCCCTCTCTAAAAGTTTTTGCTTTCTTTTCCCCAAATCTTTGAATTATTACTTTGGCTAAATGAATGACTTATTTTACAATGACCTGTGATCCTATTTTGTGATATCAAGTGTTTTAAACTTTTGTTTTTTGAAAAACTTTCCAAAATCAAATTCTAACTTCAATCTTTTTGACCTCATTACTGTTTTGATATTAGGCCCCCTGAAGTCCAAAGGAGATATATTTGGCTTATTTGGTATAATAAAATCATACAGGAATTATTGCCAAATATGAAATGGTGTTTAATCTTCTTTTATTTACATAAACGTGCTTTTAGTAGGCGTTCCAAAATTATATGAGATTCCTGTGATTCTGATATGTCTTAGTATATATTATCAGTAGTAATTATGATTGTTATGTAAAATTGACACAGAAATAACAAAATTTCCTTGTCAGTTGTATCTTTAACCATGGCTAAGACTTTTGTCATTCACAATTGTTGTCTTACTTTGATCCTTTTATAGGGTGGTTTATAATCAGCTATAACTCTGAGGAGTATTATTAAATATAGGTTTCTGATAAATTTAGAAATTATGCCATTGGGCCAGGAATGGTGGGTCACACCTGTAATCCCAGCACTTTGGGAGGCCGAGGCGGGTGGATCACCTGAGGTTAGGAGTTCGAGACCAGACTGGCCAACATGGTGAAACCTCATCTCTACTAAAAATACAAAAAATTAGCCATGCGTGGTGGTGGGCGGCTGTAATCCCAGCTACTCATGAGGCTGAGGCAGGAGAATCACTTGAACCCAGGAGGCGGAGGTTGCAGTGAGCCGAGATCAAGCCATTGCACTCCCATCTGGGCAACAAAAGCGAAATTCCGTCTTAAAAAAAAAAAAAAAGATACAGAAATTGTGCCATTGGAATAGAGTGAAAAATTTCCAGAACTTTTATGGAGAGCCAAATGTATTCATGAAGTTTACTGATCCAATATCAAGCAGAACAGGACTGAATACTGAAATACTATTTTATGACTTGAGGATCACCTGAGGTCAGGAGTTTGAGACCAGCCTGGCCAACATGGTGAAATCCTGTCCCTACTAAAATACAAAATTAGCTGGGCATCATAGCGCGTGCCTGTAATCCCAGCTACTCAGGAGACTGAGGTAGAAGAATCACTTGAACCCAGGAGACAGAGGTTGCAGTGAGCTGAGATTGTGCCATTGCACTCCAGCCTGGGCAAAAAGAGTGAAACTCTGTCTAAGAAAAAAAAAAAATAGGAAAGATCTTGTGTGGTCTGACTACACCATGAGGGAGGTAGTATTGTGAACCTTTGATTCCATCTCACAGCCCAGTGCTCTAGGAGTTTAACTTAGTGAAAATTCTTCTCAAAGTTTAATAATAGTTTTATCAGCAGAGCTAATTTTAATCCACTTCACCCCAGAAATATTTAAATGGAAAATACAGAGAGACTGGAGACCAGATGACATTTTTTATTATGCATTTGCATTATTTCACATCTTCAGAATAACAATACTAATACAACCACTGCCAAAACTGCTGAAGTAGTTTAGCATATATCTATACTCTTTCTTTTTTAACTCTCATTTTGTTTTAGTTCTACAAGTTTAATGTAGATAATGTAAATAAACATTTGCTGATACTTTTTGTCAGAGTCAAGAAAACTTTCTCTTCTTTTAAGCTATTTATAGCTTTTAAAAATTGAGCAAAGTATACTCTAATGAGCAAGATTTAAAACATAATTTCTTTCTACCTAATTTCTCCAAAATTTGGAAACTGTTTGTCAGTATTCTTAACTTATGGCAATATAGTTATTTGCATAAGTTCAATAAGAATTTATTTCATAACCAGACACAACTGGAGACATGGTTATTTTATGAAGCTTTTGACTGGAATGACATAGTTTCAGATGGCCTTGAGAAAATGAGGCTGACTTATGGAATTGATAAGAGCCCCTTGGAATAGCTGGCCTCATATCTTGTCCTTTACAGGGTTCTAACTTCTGGTAAGTAAGGAATGTCACTTTCTGACAGGTCCAGGAACCCCAAGTTTTCTTGGGACCTCAAAAAGAGAGGAATTAACCCAATTCATTCAGTTATCTGTGGGCACAGATAAATCTTTGGCTGAGCTTGAGACTTTTAAAAAGATTCCTTATGGAAAAGTTTCCAGCAAAGCCATTTTTTTTAAAGAGAGCCTATATGGCAAATGATGACTCTTGCTGCACTTTATGCAAATAATCAAGCCAAGTATAGTAAGACTAAAACTTATTTTACAAATAATTGGTACTACTCTCATTTTGTCTTTAATAAAATTGGGGAATTGGAGAGAGAAAAATTACATTTAAAAATAAACTACAGTACACCTGTTATTATTAATACATTCTAGCCTTGTCCAGTGTTTTTCCATTTCTATTATTTTCTGCAATTTGGACTGAATCCTAAATTTTTTGTAGCTACAAAGCTCCAAAATAATGTTTTCAATTTCTTTTCCTTTTTCCCATTTTCCCAGATTTGAAATCACTAAAAAAAATTAAGCTGCACTTTTCTTAAAGCCCTGTGAACCGAAGCTAGACAACTTAAACTTCAATGGAAAATAACAGCAACATATTTATATACATAAACCATTTTCATACCTGCCTACTGATATATGGACTTCAGGGTAATATGGCCTGTATCAGTTTTCTAGGATTGTTCTCCCTTTTTTGTTTCTCATTTCCTCCTTTTTTCTCTGTTCTCTTTCTCCCTTACTCCCCCTAATTCTACTTCATGGGATGTGGGACTTCACAACCTACTTAAAATGAGCTTGCCTAACAACATGGGACCTATCCATCTAGGAATAAACTGTCATAGTCATAAGAGATCAGGCAAAAGCCAAGACCAGAGACTCAGTTCTTTTAAAATGCCTTCTCTGAAAGATTTTAAAATGAAAGGGGGGATAAGTGTGAAAGGAAAAGAAAAACTTGGACCCCAATTCACCATGCCAAAAGGAAAAAATTAAGCTGAAAGCTGTGTCATGCAAGATGCTACCTTTCCTTTTGTTCCTAAGCAAATAGCTACATATAAAAGGATAAATATCTCCAAATAGCTACTCTATGTTCACCTTATCTTATGTAAAGTGCTGATTTACTGCGCATGCGATGAATACATAATTAACTATTCCCCTACCTGTTCCTTTTCTCTTGCAACATGAGGATTACTATCCCTTCCCTTTTTCCCCTGCAGCCCACTTTCCCCCTTTAAATATTGTAGCTTTTAAATTCATCTTTGGAGAAAGGCACAGACCACAGACTGTTTCTGTGACTTTGTGTTTTTTTCTTCTGGGCATGTTCTTAACCTTGGCAAAATAAACTTACAAATTGATTGAGACCTGTCTCAGATACTTTTTGGTTTATAAAGCAATGAACAAAATGTACTACAACATGTAAGTGGTTTGTTTCTTCTAACCTAGCCAAGCTTATGCAATGTCTGTATGTTCTTTGCCTTCATGGCTAGAATTATGGCTTTCATGATTTAATGTGTATATTACTGGACCAAACTTGAAGGTGTCTCTTCATGGCCCTGTTTGTCATTAATTGCTTGCCTTTTAGGTCTATCTGCTCCAAAAGTTCTCCCCACTCTGCCACTGGAGTTCTTCCTTGTTTCAGTTATTCACACATCAACTTCACAGTTGCTGCATGTACTATTACTTATTTTACATTTTTATTTTGGTCAAACAAATTGACATATTTCTCTAAGCTTATTCTTGAACTAAGCACTAACAACTGCAAAAATGCACATAAGATTTATCACAAATTCGAAGAAAATGTTCACAAAACATATCTGACCAAGGTCCTGTATCCAGAATACATAAAGCTTACAACTCAATATGAAAACAACCCAATTAAAAATGGGCAAAAGATTAAATAGATGCCCTACAGAAGACAATACACCAATAGCCAATGAGCATGTGTTAACATGTTCAACTTGGTTAGACATCAGACAAGTGCAAAGTAAAACCAATGAAAATAGCTTTGCTCTTCCTCCAGGATCCTTGGAATGATATTCCTCCTTTCCTTATATTTTTGTATTATGCTAGAATAAATCCTATTGTGGATTTTTAAAATTTGCTCAGTTTTGAATGAGGAGTAACCTTGCCTTGATCTTCTCAACAGATAGGTATATAAACTGTCTTTGGCCCTATTCTTTGCCTGTTTGGGTGCTGTTTTAATTCCTTTTCAGATGTATACCTAGATGGCTCACGCGCACAACTCCTAACTTAATTCCCAGTGTTTACTTGTTTTTTTCCTAGCATGGATTATCTAAGATATGATTTTCTCAAGCCTGGTTTTCTCACATTCTGAAAAAAACTGAAAGCATGAATGTTGTAAACCCTTAGCATAAACTACTAATAACCCTCTTGTTCCTGTTCCCCCTCAGAGAACTTTACTTATGGAAACTACACCTTCCAGGACTCATGTTGCTTCTGATAGTCTTCCACCTGGTTCATATAAAATTATTTTGGGGAGTTAACAATCTTTAGGTGTAGAGTGAAGTACTAGTGGATAAGACAGAAACTGTGATTGCCTTAAAAATCAGTCTCACAAAGAAGAGTGAAATTGCCATTTTCTCCTCTGGAAAGATCTTGTGGCCTGTCGTGGTGGCTCATGCCCATAATCCCAACACTTTGGGAGGCTGAGGCGGGCGGTTCACCTGAGGTCAGGAGTTTGAGACCAGCCTGGCCAACATGGTGAAATCCTGTCCCTACTAAAATACAAAATTAGCTGGGCATCATAGCGCGTGCCTGTAATCCCAGCTACTCAGGAGACTGAGGTAGAAGAATCACTTGAACCCAGGAGACAGAGGTTGCAGTGAGCTGAGATTGTGCCATTGCACTCCAGCCTGGGCAAAAAGAGTGAAACTCTAAGAAAAAAAAAAATAGGAAAGATCTTGTGTGGTCTGACTACACCATGAGGGAGGTAGTATTGTGAACCTTTGATTCCATCTCACAGCCCAGTTCTCTAGGAGTTTAACTTAGTGAAAATTCTTCTCAAAGTTTAATAATAGTTTGATCAGCAGAGCTAATTTTAATCCACTTCACCCCAGAAATATTTAAATGGAAAATACAGAGAGACTGGAGACCAGATGACATTTTTTATTATGCGTTTGCATTATTTCACATCTTCAGAATAACAATACTAATACAACCACTGCCAAAACTACTGAAATAGTTTAGCATATACCTATACTCTTTCTTTTTTAACTCTCATTTTGTTTTAGTTCTACAAGTTTAATGTTCTCCAATCCTTTTATTGATGACTTTCTAGTCTTTCTGGTTGTTTAAAGCTTGTTCTTTTGTAGATTACTTAGGAAAGGCTTTGGAAAACAATATTTCCCAAGTTTTTGCATTCTATATTGGTTTATGCCTTTATATTCACCATTAAGTTTTGTTGGGTGTAAAATCCTTGGCTCACATTTTTTTCCATCAGGATATCAAATGTGGTACAACACTTTCTTAAAGCATAAGGCAATGCTGTTGAAAAGTCTGGTGATGATCTAATTTTCTTTCCCTTTTAAGTAATTAGTTTTTGTTTAGATAACTAAAGGCATTTACTTTTCATGGTTCAGTAATTTTACTAAAATTTATATTAATGTTGGTCTTTTTGGATGTATACTCTCTGGTGCTCTTTCAACATTAATTTCAATTTTTCTTGTTAATTTCAGGATGATTTTTCATTAAGTAGAGTTTTTAGTATTCTTTTCCTTTGATTTTTGTCTTCAAGGACTACTATTATTCATATGTTGGATATTCTTTGCCTATCTTCACTATTTACCACTTCCTCTAGAATCCTTTTTATTTGTTTTATTTTTTGAGATGGAGTTTCACTCTTGTTGCCCAGGCTGGAGTGCAAAGGTGCAATCTCGGCTCACCGCAACCTCCGCCTCCCGGGTTCAGGCAATTATCCTGCCTCAGCCTCCCAAGTAGCAGGGATTACAGGCCTATGCTACCACACCTGGCTAATTTTGTATTTTTAGTAGAGAGAGGGTTTCTCCATGTTGGTCAGGCTGGTCTCAAACTCCCGACCTCAGGTGATCCACCCGCCTCGGCCTCCCAAAGTGCTGGGATTACAGGCATGAGCCACCGCACACAGGCCTCCTTTTTATTTTTATTTTTTTAAAGATTTATTTTTACTCTTTTCTTCTTATATAATATGTATTTCCTCTTATGTTCTTTCTAGTTTAGTCTTAGTACCCAAAAACATTTTTATATCTTTACTGAGATATGGTTCAAATTAGATACAATTCATCTACTTAAAATGTACAATTCAACATTTTTAGGTATATTCATAAGTATGTGCAACCATAACCACAGTAAACTTCAGAATATTTTAGCATTTCAAAAACACCCTCCCAACCCTTTAGTTATTATCCCCTATTCCTGTATCCCCTGAACAGCCACTTAATTACTTTATGTCTCATAGATTTTCCTGTTCTAGACATTTCATAGGAATAGAATCACTGCTGATAAAGACATACCCAAGAAATTAAGCCAAGAAAAAGAGGTTTAATTGGACTTATAGTTCCACATGGCTGGGGAGGCCTCAGAATCATGGCGGTAGGTTAAAAATACTTCTTACAGGGTGGCAGCAAGAGAAATGAGTAAGATGCAAAAGCGGAACCCCCTGATGAAACCATCAGATCTCATGAGACTTATTCTCTACCATGAGAACAGTATGGGGGAAACCACCCCCATGATTCAAATTATCTCCCACCAGGTCCCACGTATAACACATGGGAATTATGGGAGTATAATTCAAGATGAAATTTGGGTGGGGACACAGAGCCAAACCATATCATCCCACCCCTGGCTCCTCCAAATCTTATGTCCTCACATTTCAAAACCAATCATGCATTCCCAACAGTACCCCAAAGTCTTAAATCATTTCAGCATTAACCCAAAAGTCCACAGTTCAAAAGTCTCATCTGAGACAAGGCAAGTCCCTTCCACTTATGAGCCTGTAAAATCAAAAGCAAGCTAGTTACTTCCTAGATACAATGAGGGTACAGGTATTGGGTAAATACAGCCATTCCAAATGGGAGAAATTGGCCAAAACAAAGGGGTTACAGGGCCCATGGAAGTCCAAAATCCAGTGGGGCAGTCAAATTTTAAAGCTCCAAAATGATCTCCTTTTACTCCAGGTCTCACATCCAGGTCACGCTGATGCAAGAGGTGGCTTCCCATGGTCTTGGGCAGCTCTGGCCCTGTGGCTTTCAGGGTACAGCCTCCATCCTGGCTGCTTTCATGGGCTGGTGTTGAGTATCTGCAGCTTTTCCAGGCACCTGGTACAAGCTGTAAGTCGATCTACCATTCTGGGGTCTGGAGGACAGTGGTCCTCTTCTCACAGCTCCACTAGGCGGTGTCCCAGTAGGGACTCTGTGAGGGGGCTCCAACCCCACATTTCCCTTCTGCACTGCCCTAGCCGAGGTTCTCCATGAGAGCCCCGCCCCTGCAGCAAACTTCTGCCTGGGCATCCAGGCATTTCCATACATCTTCTGAAATCTAGACAGAGGTTCCCAAACCCCATTTCTTGACTTCTGTGCACCCACATGCTCAACATCACATGGAAGTTGCCAAGGCTTAAGGCTTTCACCCTCTGAAGCCATGGCCTGAGCTTCATGTTGGCCCCTTTCAGCCATGGCCGGAGTGGCTAGGAAACAGGGCACCAAGTCCTTAGACTGCACACAGCACAAGGACCCTAGGCCTTGCCCACAAAACCATTTTTACCATTTTTTCTTCCTAGACCTCCAGGTCTGTGATAGAAGAGGCTGCCACAAATGTCTCTGACATGCCCTGGAGACATTTTCCCCATTGTCTTGGAAATTAACATTCAGTTCCTTGTTACTTATGCAAATATCTACAGCCAGCTTGAATTTCTCCTCAGAAAATAGGATTTTCTTTTCTATCGCATTGTCAAGCTGCTAATTTTCTGAATTTTAATGCTCTGCTTCCCTTTTAAAACTGAATGCCTTTAACAACACTTGAGTCACCTCTTGAATGCTTTGCTGCTTAGAAATTTCTTCCACCAGATACCCTTAATCATCTCTCTCAAGTTCAGAGTTCCACAAATCTCCAGGGCAGGGGCAAAATGCCGCCAGTCTCTTTGCTAAATCATAACAAGAGTCACCTTTGCTCCAGTTCTCAACAGGTTCCTCATCTCCACCTGAGACCACCTCAGTCTAGATTTCATTGTCCATATCATTATCAGTATTTTTGTCAAAGCCATTCAACAAGTCTCAAGGAAGTTCCAAACTTTCCCATTTTCCTGTCTTCTTCTGAGCCCTCCAAACTGTTCCAATCTCTGCCTGTTACCAAGTTCCAAAGTTGCTTCCACATTTCCCGGTATCTTTGCAGCAACACCTGCTCTACTGGTACCAATTTACTGTATTAGTCCATTTTCACGCTGCTGATAAAAGACGTACCTGAGACTGGGGAAAAAAAGGGGTTTAATTGGACTTACAGTTCCACATGGCTGGGGAGGCCTCAGAATCATGGCAGGAGGTGAAAGGCACTTCTTACATGGCGGCCGCAAGAGAAAATGAGTAAGATGCAAAAGCGGAAACCCCTGATAAAACCACCAGGTCTTGTGAGAGTTATTCACTACCATGAGAACAGTATGAGGGAAACTGCCCCCATGATTCAAATTATCTCCCACTGGGTTCCTCCCACAACACATGGGAATTATGAGAGTACAATTCAAGATGAGATTTGGGTGGTGACACAGAGCCAAACCATATCAGGATGTTTGGGTTGTTTCCACATTTTAACTCTACGTGTAATGCTGCACCCAAGATAATGCTTCCATTCCATGAATGGGGGATATGCATCAAAAGAGAACTTTAACAAAGAAAGTAAACTCATTTTTGAATTTTAAGATCACTTTGGCATTCTGTTTTGAGGTCTGCTAAACTTGCAATGCTGGGTGAAAATGACTTCAAAATAAAACCAATGTTGAAAGACACCAAGAGACTGTAACTACTTGAGATTCCATTTTTCCTTTATAATTTATTTGCCACAATGTTAAATACTGTAGATCATACAGAATCTGTTTTTTCTGCCCAAAAATGGGGGTCTGTTATCAACAGACTCAGCCCCAACCTCGTTCAGGACAAGCTTGTGTGGTTCAGAAGGTAGATCACAGAGCAGGTTGTACCCATGCCTTTGCCAGCATAATGAAGTTGACTCTTTTGGGGTGGGTGTCAAAGCTCCTCTCATGTTCTGTTACATTAAGGTAAAAACTGAGGGCCCATAGCAAGGGCCCCTATCTAGACAAAACCTAATCATCTTATCTTGGACAAATTTCTCTGTTCTTTCTATAGCCTGTGGTAGACACAATGTGCCCATCAAAGATGTCAACACCCAAATGCCTGCAACCTTTGAATATATTATATAGGAAAAGGGACTTTACAGCTATAATTAAAATTATAGATTTTTAAAATAGGAAGATTACCCTGGATATCTGGATAGGTCCAATCTAACCACATGAGATCTTAAAAGCAGTGAACTCTTGCTAGGGCAAGAAAGATATGGCAGAAAGGGAATTCAGAGAGATTGAAAGCATAAGATTCATCTACCAATGCTGAAGAAGCCCACAAGGGAATTCAGAGAGACTGAAAGCATGAGATTCATCCACTAATGCTGAAGAGGGCCACACAGAAAGTATGAGAAGGAATGTGGGCAAATTCTAGAAACAAAGACTAGCCCACAGCTAACAGCTAGCAAGGAAATGGGGAACTCAGTCCTACAACTGCAAGGAACTGAAATCTACCTAATGAGGCTGAAAGAACTCTTATCTAGGGACTTCCCCTTACAGCCTCTAGCTAAGAGCCCAGCTCAGCTGACAATCTGATTACAGCCTTGTGAGGCTTTAAGCAGAGGACCCAGTTGAGCCATATTGTGCCTAGATTTCTGTGCCATGGAACTGTGAGATAATAAATGGGTGTTGTTTTAAGCTACTAAGTTTGTAGTAATTTGATCTAGCAGCAATAGAAAATTAATAAACTTTTTTTTAAAAAAAGCAGAATTTGCAAGCAAATGTGACTTTGAGCGTAATTCTTCTTCACTGCAAATATGTGATGTAGGAGTCTTTGAGTTATTTGCTTGAGAATAACAGTGATAAACTATACTCCTATCTGTGCTCCTCAGTATTTGGTTGCATTCATTGGAAGACTGAGGCTCTACTTAGGGGATTTTTTCCTCCAAGTCCTTCTAGAATACCCTGGAATGGAGAATGAATTTTAGGAGATCAGGACTGCAGCATGAAGATGAATTATCAAGCTACTGTACTAATCCAGCTGAGGGATGATAGGACAGGGTTAGCTGGTATGGAAGAGTCAGACTGGAGAAGGGGACATTGATGTTGATTCCTAATAGTTCTAGAATGGCTTACTAGGTGGATGGTGGGGTGGTATGCAGGAAGTAAATGGATATTGAAAACTGAAGCTCAGCTGATTCTCAAATTAGTCACTCCCATTTGGGAATTAACATGTAAGTTGATAAAATCATGTCAGTGGAGATTACCCAGGAGACACTTATGGATTTGTTTTAAAATATAAACAAAATATAAATATAACAAAATATAATAAAATATAACAAAATATAAACAAAATATAAATAAAATATAAACAAAAATATAAAACATAAAAGGAGGAATGAGGAAGCATTACATATAGCGACTAATAGGAGATTCTGTTGCTTGGGAAAGGAGAGAGAAAAAAGAAGAGGCTTAGAAAAGATGAGAAAGATGTTGGCTAAGTTAGATTTGATACATCGCAAATGAACTAAAAAAAAGTGGTAAATAGTCTCTTTTTATATTAGTCTATTTTCACACTGCTATAAAGAACTACCTGAGACTGGGTAATTTATGAAGAAAAGAGGTTTAATTGACTCACAGTTCTGCATGGCTGGGGAGGCCTCAGGAAATGTACAATTATGGTAGAAAGCAAAGAAGAAGCAAGGACCTTCTTCATAATACAGCAGGAGGTGGGGAGGAAGTGCCACACTTTTAAACCATCAGATCTCATGAGAACTCACTTACCATCATGAGAACAGCATGGGGGCAATCACTCCCATGATCCAATCACCTCCCACCAAGACCCTCCCTCGACATGTGGGAATTACAATTTGAGAGGAGATTTGGGTGAGGACACAGAGCCAAATCACCTCACCCTTAGATGGAAAAAAATAAGTAGGGGGAAGGCATGAAGCTAGAAAAAGTTCTTGTTACCTACCAGGGAACAGTACCAGTCCAGGACAGCTAGATTCCTGTCTTTGTGAATAATGATGATGGTGGAATTGGCTACAGAAGACAGAGGCACAGGAAAAAGTGATAGTGTTCAACCAGCCATTTGCACATAGGAAGCTTCACAAGCTGGGCGTCTGTAATTTGGGGAATATTAATATTGTGTTCCTCTTGAGTATATTATTCATTCAGCAAAGATTTAGCTGTTTACAAAATCATTTACAGAGAAATTGGAGACTCTTTCAATCCCCTATTTCTGTGAAAACATTGCAGCTGTACTAAGACTGAAAAATCCTAGTTAGCTTATACAGTAGCTACCTATGCATTCAACAGTTTCCTCACGAAAAGCTCACAATGACTATCCTTGATACCCTTTGCTGATCTGAATCTGTGAAAGTATTTGACAGTTGCACAAAGCAGCAGGAAGAGAAAATAAGTTGCCCACATGCAAGAACCTAAGAGGGCTTCCTGCTGAACCACCAGTTGTGGAGAAAGCAGCCAACCAGGGGAAGAACCATTCAAGGCAGAATGTTCCTCATTTTTCCAGCTGATTTAGATGGACTAAAGAATTAAAATTCAACCCATTCCAAAGCACCAAATAATAACTTTATGCTGTGGAACTAGACACTATACTTTCACTCTCTTTCCTAATGTCTTTGTTTTTGGCTAAGAGTAAAAATAGCTGTCAAGGTTCCCTCTCTCAAGCTCTGTTAACACACCTAGTCCAAAGGCGCATGTGTGTCATGTCTCTAATATATTTTATTGCTGCCTTTTAAAATTCCCCTTGAGACGCTGGCCCAATATTGTTGCATTCAACCACATTTCTACCACAAGGATTAAAAAGAACTTAAGTATAATTTTATTCTATTCTGCATCAATGCCATACACACACAAAAAAATGTTTGGATCACTTAATAAGTTATAACATTCTATGTTTTAACATTAATAACAAGGACATAAATGATCATTTCCTGAGTTAACAGTGCAAGGTAAAATTTAATCTGTATTGCTAATAAGACATTTTACAGCATAGAAACATGATCGAAGTGATCATTTACTTTATCATGTCATAAAACACAAGTGCTTATTGTAGAACAGTGATATAATTTAAATGGCAAGGAAATTTGTGATTCATAACAAAGAATCCTGTATGTATTTGTTGCCATGATTAACTTTCCAGGTCAAATATCAGTAGTAAAATAAGTTGTGGTACAAAAGAAAGCCAAGAAGTTACCTGTACTGAAGGAACATTTGATTTCATTTAAGAAACTGAAGGCTGGATTCTAGTTAACCTTTTGTTATGTACAAAAATGTTCTCTTAAAAAACCCTAAGCAATCACAAATTTAGATAAACTAGTTGAATAAAGGACAATGACAGCTCTTCATTATGCTGTAAAACTATGGATCTCATTTTTGGAAAAGTTGAGATCATGCAGCAACCTGAAAAACAAATAAAAAGCACATGTTTCTTAGGGAAAATGCTTTAAAATGAAGAAATAAGAGCAGTTTACCACCATAATCATGATACTTTTTCATTTTCCCCATTCACTATGTAGTTTTTTTTAAATAAAAAAACACTATCACCTCTTAAAAAATTAGTGATTAGTAACTCCTAAATATCATGAAATATCTAAGCAGTGCTCAAATTTTCAACTAGCTCATAAATGTCATAATTTTAAAAAATAGTTTCAATCAATAGCCAATTAAAATTTACTCATTATGATTGGCTGATAAGTCTTTTAGGCATCCTTTGATCTGTAAGATCCCCCAGACCCCCACTCCATCCTGCAATTTATTTGTTGACAAAAATCAGATTTTTATTTGTTGAGTCTCCTAAAACCTTCATTTTTCTACATCCCTGTGGTATTCCTTAATAATATGTCTTTATGTCCTCATATTTTCCATAACTTAATATATGGATCTAGAGGCTTGATCAGACACAGGTTCAAATCTTTTTGACAAGACTATTTCACAGGTAATGTTCCTCTATCTGGAGGCATGTAATAAATGGTTGCCTCTCTTTTTGAGTGCTAGCTACCATTATGATCTATGTATAGATCCATTAGTTCATTAAGCACTGCAATTGGTGATATTCTACTTCTATCATTCTTTATTCATTAATCAGCTGAGGAATCCTATAAAGAAAAATGTCTGCTCATTTATTATGTGATTATTCAGTAGTATGGCTCATATAACAAAGGGAGAATAAATGTTTGATTTTTTTCCCCTTTATTCACCAGTTTTCAAAGAAAGGAGTTGATTCCCCTACGATTCTATCTTCATTCTCCCCCTACTGAACAGGAAAAGCAGAAATACTGCGTATTGTTCAACTAGGAAAATAGTATAATAACTACTTTTTTACCACTTACTCTATTATAAATGTCACTTTGCTATGCACTTCACATGCATAGGTATTATTATTTATTCATTTTTATAGATAAGTGCACTAAAGCTTAGAAGGGTTAAGAACTGCCCTAGGACACCCAGCAAATGATTGTAAGATGCTTGTAAGTGGTAGACCTGGGATTTAAACCCCAGCTGGCAGCTCCCAGAGGGCATACACATACTCACACAAAGGGCCAGTAGGGCACAGGAGTTGAAGCCAACACAGTGCAGCAGTAAAGCCTCTCAGTATCTGGGCCCATGCTACCATTCCATCCTGTTCTCCCAGGCAAGCAGCTTCACTCTAGCCAAACCAGTCTAGTCTTTTGTATAAATCTGCACCCCTAATGCATCTGCCAGTTCTCCCTGCCTGTACTATCCCCTTCTCCATCTCTCTTGACTGGTAGGTTTTAGTCCACATGCTGTGCACATGACTTTTTTGACCATGCAGCTCCTGTCTCTCCAACACACACATCGCTAGGTAAAAGTAACCCATCTCTCCCGGAATTCCTGTAACATCTTGATTTTATCTCTAGTAAGATATTTGTGGTGTTCTGAGTCATACTTTGGTTATCAGCACGTGCATTTGTTTCTACCACTAGATAGTGTGGTCCTGGAAAGCAGAGACTGTTTTACTAACCTCTGTAATAAAGTACATATTTAATGGATAAAGAACCATTATTGGCCAAGTAATGATAAGCTGCTTATCTGTATTTTTTAAAAAATAGGTTTCTGAGTCTTTCTCTGTTATCATACCATACAGACTGACAAATGTTCACCAAATATGGAGAATATGTCTGGGATGGCTATATTTTTAATATAATCTATGTAGCAGACATGAGATTAACTTTGCAGCACTCTAGGAGTGGACATCACAATCACAAGAAAGACTCATTTTTCAGAACAGCAAAAACTATAATAAGAAACCCATATAATTGCTAATCAAGAAAAATACACCACATCCATTAAGATGATGAGGATAAGGAAACCAAAGAAATGAGTCCTAACTGAGAGTCACAAGGGCAGCTACTATGAATTTTAAGTACTAATTTGAATCAAGTTACATCTCAGAATGCAACTCTATGCAGCATGTTCAGGAGTGAGTAATAGCAGGAATCCACATGTAATGATTAATAAATACTCCTGAGCAACTCTGGGTAAGCCAGTTAGCACAGCATTGAAAGATTGGCTCTGAGGTAAAACTGAGAAAAGAAAGCCATATAGGTTCTGGTCAATTTTTTTTTTTTTTTTTTTTTTTTGAGACAGAGTTTCGCTCTTGTTGCCCAGGCTGGAGTGCAATGGCGCGATCCTGGCTCATTGCCAACCTCCGCCTCCTAGATTCGAGCGATCCTCCTGCCTCAGCCTCCCAAGTAGCTGGGATCACAGGTGCCCACCACCATGCTCGGCTAATTTTTGTATTTTTAGTAGAGATGGGGTTTCACCATGTTGGCCAGGCTGGTCTCGAACTCCTGACCTCAGGTGATCCACCTGCCTTGGCCTCCCTAAGTTTATGGTCAATTTTAAAAATGCAAAAATGATTCTAATTATTTAAAAGTATTATTATATTGCAATCTGTAAAGTACTCATTGAGATACTTCTAAAATAGCAGAAGCAATACAGCAGAAGACAGTACAGCTCTTAGCCTTTTTTCATAAAAAATTTTTTATATTCAAACTATGTTAGTCTTCATTGTAATTTTAATAGTTTTGCTTGAGCTTTAAAAGAGCAAAAGTTTACACAGAAACTTGAAAAATCTTTTTAAGTTGAGAGAGTTTAACTAAAACAACATTTTTCTTAAAGCATTAAAATAGAAATATATTTAATTAAAAATAAAATACATTTTAAATATGACAAGAAAAAAGTTTTTAATGTTTTTATTGATTGGGGGGTCAATCTTTTCTACAATTAAAATTTTAAATAAAAAAGCAAGATATAAGATTATCTATGAGGACTAAACTCTGATTTTTTTTTTTTTTTTATCTTGCCCAAATTCCTATCTAAGGGGTCTGGGAAGTCATGCCCTACAAACCATAAATTCTCATCAGATGGGTTTTATTTAACCCCATATATCGTGACTTACTTTCCAACCTGACTCTGGCATAACATTACGAGACAAGGAAGAAAATAAAAATGTTTTACCCCAAAACATGTTTCTTTGCCATGTCTTGAAATGGCCCTGCAAATCTGTCCTTTGTGGGGGAAAATTTGCATCTGTAAAGAATCCTATTAACATAGCTAGATCTTCTTCTTCCAGGCCAGTCCAATCCTGAAGAGGTTAACTAAGAGTCTAGTACCTTTTAAAGGTCTGAACAGGAAACATTGTCATCTATTATCTCTAAGGGCAGCCACTGTAAGACTTCAAAAGAACCTTGGTCTCCACAATCTTTTATCTTAACCTGAACATTCCCTTTCTGTGGATCTCAGGTCTTTAGACAAACTCAACCAATTGTCAACCAGAAAATGTTTAAATGTTTAAACTTACCTAGAGCCTGGAAACCCGTGCCCCCCCCAATCCAGCTTTGAGTTGTCCTGCCTTTCTGGACCAAACTAATGTATTTCTTAAATGTATTTGATTGATGTCTCATGCCTCCCTAAAATGTATCAAACCAAGCTATGCCCCGACCACCTTGGGCACATGTTCTCAGGACCTCCTGAGGGCTGTGTCACAGGCCACGGTCACTATATTTGGCTCAGAATAAATCTCTTCAAAGATTTTACAGAGTTTGACTTTTTTCATCAACATCTAGAAATGTTAGGTTAGTCACCTACTAAATAAGAATAGGGCACTTAGAACAGCCATATTTTAAAATTATCTAGAAATCCAATAGGGGCTATATTTAACCAAATATTTTAAAGTGCCATTTTAAAGCTAAATCACATCAAGATGAATTTCAAACAGGATCGCCACTACCACTGATTTTTCATGATCCATGCTTCAACTATTAGTCTTGCCTTATTTGTGTTCTAGTCTTCCCTTTTTGTCTTGCTGCTTGGCTTTTGATCACATATATTATTTACTTTCACTCAGTTACAGAGAATGAAGATCAAAAGCTACAATGAGATGAACATTCCTTATTAATTACTATATATTATGAAGCTTTGATGGAAGAAGAGGTTGGGCCTAATGTCCCAAATAAGAATTGTGGCACCAATCTTGTGAGTGTAACAATATTGGCAGCCATCACGAGCAGAGAACACTGACTGCTGGCTGTAACTTACTTTTATGTTTTATCTAACAATATGCATAATCCTGGCCTCCAACTCAAACTATACGAAGATTTAAAGACTTTGTTATTTTCTAAAACTGTAAGATTATTAAAGTGCAGTTTCATATAAACAGGAAGAACTGAGAGATGCTTGTTATGAAAGATCTTCACTTCAGTGTTGGGCAGTCTGTTTCCTACTACACTGTTACTCACCTTACTCCTTGTTCTGTAAATGGCACTGGTCCACAAATGCAGACGAGAACTTTGGATTTGTCCAAATTTCTTTTCAAAAATTCAGAAAGAAGAGCTGGTGAAATATGTCCCTGTTTGCCATTCCATTCAGAAATAGGTGCTGAGAGAACAAATTCAACATCCAGTCTAGGGAAAAGAAAAACAGCTTTTTAAAGTTTATTATTTTAAACATATTATTAACATGTTTCAAGTTCAAGAATATATTTCTCCCCTAAAGGAACAATTTAATATATAAAGATACACTTACTTGCTAGAAAAACACTGAAAAAAATTGTAAGATTTAACAAAAACGTATAGGTAAATCTATATTTACTAAGGATTAGCTTTTCCTATAGATAAGGAATGTAATTTGGCATTTTTTTTTAAATTGAACTAATTATCCAAGCATGGTAGCTCACACCTGTAACCCTAGCATCTTGGGAGGCCAAGGTGGGAGGATTGTTTGAGAACAGGAGTTTGAGACCAGCCTGGGCAACACAGTGAGACCTAGTTTCTACAAAAAAAAAAACCCAAAAACAACAACAACAAAAAAAACTGTTTAAACTTAGCCAGGTGTGGTGGCATGTGCCTGTGGTCCTAGCTATTTGGGAAGCTGAGGCAGGAGGATCGTTTGATCCAGTGAGATATGATTGCACCAGCCTAGGCAACAGAGCAAGAACCTGTCTCTTAAAAAAGAAATTAATTAAAAATAAATATATAAATGAAATAAAGATCCCAAGGGATCTCAGAGAACGCTACATTTCTATTAATAATCTACTAGTATTGAAAAAAAAGAACAAATATTGCATGTTCTCACTTATGAGTGGAGCTAAACCCTGTGTACATAAGAACATAAAGATGAGAACAATAGACACTGGGGGCTCCAAAAGGAGGGAGGTGTAGGGAAAGGGGCAAGGGCTGAAAACCCTCCTAGTGTGTACTATGTTCATTGTCTAGGTGACAAGATCAATAGAAATCCAAATTTCAGCATCACGCAATATACCCTTCAAGCAAACCTGCACATGTACCCCCTGAACCCAAAATAAACAATAATAATATGCTGGTATAAATCACAGTAAATAGCAATTACCAGTGACACATGCATTTTAATCTCTGGCTGCAATTTAAGGATATTCTAAAGAGGCTGTTATCCTGCTTATCTCCTTTTCATACGCTGAGAAAAGAGCTTAAACTGGAACAGGAGCATTCCCAAGTTAAGACTCAATAATTCTTTAATGAAAGATTTTTTATATCAAAATATAGACAATTCCTGTGGAATACTCTCTCCTGGGTTTTCTGAATGAAGGTTAACTTACTGTCTAAAAAATTACAGCTTTGAGATGCTGGAGACATGTGGGGGGCACACAGTAAACATCCTGAAATTCTTTTATAATTTCAAAAGTGCCAGAAGGGGTTGGGACCCTTGAAAAGGTTACCTGAAAATAAATTCAGATAACCCATAAAATACAAAGTAATATGAAAGAGGAAGAGAACAGACCTGCTTCTGATGAGTGCCTATGTGATCTCAAACGTCAATCTAAGTAAGCTTGTCAAAAATTTTATTTTAAAGTAGGCTGATAGTGATCTGAGATGACAAGTCTTGAAATACAAATGTATTCATTTAGTCTAAATCATTAGCAGTCATCCAACGACTTATTCCCTCCTCCTCTAGCCAATCAGCTTCAGCAACTTGCCTCCTTCATTTTCTCACACAAAGTCCCTTACCTTCCCATTTTTACTGTCACAACTCCAGATCAGGTTCTTATATCTCATCTAAAATATTACATTAACAGCCTTAGCCCTTAATCTATTTGATATACCATTGCCATATTAGTTCCCCTAAAAACTCTGATACAACTTTACAACTTTTTTGCTTAAAAGCTTCAGTGATTCCTCACTGCCCACAGATTGGTATTTCAGAGTACTTGGGGCCCCAGCTTTTCCTGCTTTTGTTTTTTTTGTTTTTTGTTTTTTTTCTAGCTAAAGAAAATGCCTGCAACTGTAGTAAAAATTGCTATGTGCTCAAAGGAAAAAAATCTCACAAAACTAGGAATCAAAATTAGATAAAATATATATAATTATATATGTTTCCATAATTATATGGAAACATTTCTTAAAATGAATCTAATGAAACACTAGTATGCCTCCAGATGTTAGTAGTTATTCCATGAAAGCAGGCTAACTATCAAATAAGTCTGTGACATACTGGGTTAAAAAAAGTTAAATATATTTCCGTAGAATTTCAGAAAGCCTTATATATGCTAAGTTCAGAGTAAATCTTCAGGAAGGCATATACTGTTTCCCAAATTTATTCAATCACAGAGTCCATTCCGGGGAACACATTAACATTTCAAAGAACACATTCTGAGCAACACAACATCTGAGGAACATCTCCTGGAAGAAACCGAAAGTGCTATAAGGCTCCAGATTAGTGGGCTGCATATCTGTCAGCATAAGAGGCTGGGGAAAAAGAAACAGTTTCAGGTATACTGTTCAATTTACTTCTGCTTCTGGCATCATCAGCTTTTGCTAACTTAAATGGAACTGCCACATTGCCAGTCCCAATACTGACATCAGAAGACAAAAACATATAGTCCACAGAGCCTGTCAGCACTACAGGGAGATGAGCCACAGAGTGTCACTGTGCCTTCTTCCTATGTCTATCTGATATATAATATTTACTTCACATATTAATTACATTCAAGGTCTTTCAGCACCTGATTTTAGCCTATCTTGTTTCCTCAATTGTAAACAAAAAGATCAGAAATGATAACTATTAAGATTCCTTCTAAAACTGATATAAGGTTTAATGGGTTTATTTTTAGTTATTCTGCATCATTCTCCTTCATGCACAATATTTATTTCAACAAAACAACTCTACTCTGTCATTAAAACACTAGAATATCCTGGCCCTCATGTCTTATGCAATCCTACTACCCAGATTTATTTTCCCGCTCCAAGAAATGCTAATCATTTCCCAAAGCCCAGCTCAAAAGCCCCTTCTTCCATGAAGCTCTGATATTCCCACCCTCACAAAAATGGAATAAAATTCTTTTCACTAGATATCTATGGTATGTTTTTTGTTTCTCTCAAGGCACAGACTTTACAGTCACTTATGTACTTTAGAACTTCACCACCACTAGGGTAGTCTTACTGATTTCTTATCTTTTTGTAATGTCAAGCACATTTTGCAGGGAGTGAGCACACAAATCTTTAAAGTGATGTAAATTGTCTTCTATCTTCTATTGGTGCATATAAGTGGGTAAATAGTCCCGTTTCCTTTGTGACCCATTTCCATGCTGCTTAGAATCCCTTTATTTCCCCTCTCTCTTTTGCCCCAACTAACCTCCCAATCCACTCTAGTGTAAAAATAATGACACTAACAACATCACTGTTAATGACACTGTCAGTGTTAATGTCATCAACAATGACAATGTAGGCTGGGTATAGTATTCTCTGCTAAGTGTTTTCATTGTCAGAGGCATTTGTCAAAATGTAACAGATGCTGGAGAGGACGTGGAGAAACAGGAACACTTTTACACTGTTGGCAGGAGTGCAAATTAGTTCAACCATCGTAGAAAACAGTGTGGCGATTCCTCAAGGATCTAGAACCAGAAAGACCATTTGACCCAGCAATCCCATTACTGGGTATATACTCAAAGGATTATAAGTCATTCTACTATAAAGACACATGCACATGTATGTTTATTGCAGCACTATTCACAATAGCAAAGACTTGGAACCAACCTAAATGTCCATCAATGTTAGACTGGATAAAGAAAATGTGGCACATTACACCAGGGAATACTATGCAGCCATAAAAAAGGATGAGTTCATGTCCTTTGCAGGGACATGGATGAAGCTGGAAACCATCATTCTCAGCAAACTAACACAGAAACAGAAAACCAAACACTGCATGTTCTCACTCATAAGTGGGAGTTGAACAATAAGAACACATGGACACAGGGAGGGGAACGTTCCACACTGAGGCCTGTTGGGCGGTGGAGGGGCAGGGGAGGGATGAATTAGGAGAAATACCTAATGTAGATAATGGGTTGATGGGTGCTGCAAACCACCATGGTACACGTATACCTATGTAACAAACCTGTATGTTCTGCACATGTATCCCAGAACTTAAAGTATAGGTATCAAGAGCCTTAAAACAGTTTGACCTAATAATTCTTCTTTATCCTGAATAGTTAGAGAGGTATTGAACAATTTCTAGTCACTATGTCAAATAACAGAGAATTGGTTAACTAAATTATGGTATGCTCACATGACTGAACACAATGCAGTTATTAAAAATCATGGTATACTGCAGGATTTACTAACTGGCACAACTGGCATTTTGGGCTGGATAATTCTTTGTTGTAGGGGGGCTCTCCTGTGAATTGTAAGATATTTTGTAGCAATCCTGGCCTCTACTGACTAGGTGTAACACGTCTTCCCCTAGTTGTGATAATAAATGTTTCTGGGGTGGCAGAGTTGCTTAAGGTTGAAAACCACCTGTTGAAAATATTCTTTATGTAAAAAACACACAATACAATGAGTAGAAATGTAGTTATAAAAATTATAGTTAGTATGACTACATTATTTTAAATATACAAAACAAAAAGGTAGGTATGCATATGAATAGAAAGATACAGACCATAATGTTAATAATTGTTCTTTGGGTGGTAGGATTATGGGTGATTTTTTTCTTATACCTTTTCTATATAAACATGTATTAATTTTATAAAAAGAAGGGAAAATCAACAAATGCTGTTTATAAAAAAATGTACCACTACCTTTACTAAAATAAGATTAATGGTCTCCAAGAACGACTCATTTGAAACAAAAGGAAAATACCTGTTATATTTATATACCACAAAATGTTTTCTAGAAGTCAACCTCATTGTCAAACTGTACCACCTGTCCCACCCCACAAAACTCATTCTACAAAAGCAGAGACATCACAGAGCTAGGGCATTCTGCTGATGGGAGCAGGTGGGCCAATGTGTACTGAATGAACTGAGCCTCATACACTGATCACATATTTGGGAGAAGGATAAGTGGAATTTAGTTTGGATTTCAGTTTACATAATTAGTTAAATCCACTACTGCACATATTTGCCTTATGTTTTGTCTCATTTTTCGTAAGAAAAAAAGGATAAGATTTTGCTAGACTTGGAATGTGGTGAATTGAATCCCAATTGCTAGAACAGTCAAGTTTAATAACACATTTGGATAAAATTTGGGTACACATTTTTTTTTCTGTTCAGATTTCATACTTAATGACATGAAAATCAGATTGAAATAGAAAGAGTAGTATTCTAAAAATTATTCATGAAGTATCTATATTTTTGCAATTCTCCTGAGGGCAGTAATTAGGGAAAATGAAGAGATTCATTCCTTGGGCTGCATGAGAAAATAAGTAAACACAATATCGTGTCACTGTTGGATCCATGTGTACAGGTACATAATAGATGTTACACATATTTTACGAATGAATGAATGAATGTCTGCTACAAACATACTAATTCTGGGCTAGGAACCTACATATGCTAACTCATTGATTCCCATGTCCAAATGATTCTGTGGTGTAGGTATTAATGTTTGTTTTATAGATGGAAAAACTGAAGCTCAGCCAGATAAAGTAATTTGCCCAAGGCCAAGAGATTAATAACTTTCCATTATACAATTTTATTTTGAAGAATTCCATTTGCTAATGATATTCTCTAGATAAACTCTGCGGACAAGCATAGCACACTTGCTGAAAATATTCGATCATATGTCAGCCTCAGAATCCATAATTCCTATCCCTCTCCTTGTTCCACAAAGGATGGAGTAGAAGACTGGGACCTAATTATATAGACAGTAGGGTATTTCTCTTAACTACAAAATTTGTTTTTTAATATTTACAATTCAATAATAATTTAACCACAGAAATGTGTTCCAGTAACATATTTTGGCATCAGGAACTTTACTACTAAAACTGAAAGTGATATAGAGAGGGTCAAGATATGGTAAAGAGTGATGATTTACTATATTAGAAAATGAAGATCCTTAAATGCTAACTAAAATACAACTGTGACTAATTAAAATCATCTCAACTTAAATCTTAACTTTTACTTTCCTTTTTTGTATGGGACACAATAATTATGTTTTGGCTGAATAGTACTAGCAAATGCAATCAATAAGCCTTTAAGGCCAGGGTTCTCCTATGTTTTACATCAAGCCTCAGAATATGGTAAAATTCCTGCTAAATCTTCCAAAGCCATATACACAGGCATGGTCATTTTGTTTTCTAGCTAGGGCTTGACCTGACCTCACTAAAAAAAAAAAAAAAAAGCCCAAAACGCCAGGAGTCTATGGGGATCATAAATTACACAATACTAGGAGTCAGTGCCTCAAGCAAGGACAACAAAGTCTCCAGAAAGAGGTTAGGGAGGAGAGAGAAAGAGCACACCCAAGCCAGCAAGGGAGAGCAAGAAGAGAAAGAGAAGGAACAGCAGAGGGAGGATAAAGGCAGGCCAGAGGTTGGAACACTATCACTTCCGTCAGCAAGCTGGAGAGTACCACTCACCTGATGAGTGCTGTTAGAGCCAGGCATCCAGACATGAAAAAAAAAGGGGCCTTTCCTCATCCTCAAAACTCCAGCCTATGCAACCTCACCAACCCAAATTATGTAGATCAAAACGAAAGAAAAAACACAGTTGACTCTATTAAAAGATACTTTATGTTCAGAGACTGTCAACACTTTCCTTAACAATTAATTTATAAATCAAGTTGAAGTCAAAAGTACAATGTCTATTCCTAAAAAAATAAAATTTTACAAAATTGCTTTTATAAGGTAACTATCTAAAAGAATACCTTAGCCAAAAAACCATCAGAAATACTTTTCTAAAAAACAATCTTAAGCCTACCTATGTCTGTTTACTTTTTAAAAAAATTATTATACTTTAAGTTCTGGGATACATGTGTAGAACGTGCAGGTTACATAGGTATACATGTGCATGGTGGTTTGCTGCACCCATCAACCTGTCATCTACATTAGGTATTTCTCCTAATTCTATCCCTCCCTTTGGCCCCCACCCTGTGACAGGCCCTGTTGTGTGATGTTCCCCTTCCTGTGCCCATATGTTCTCATTGTTCAACTCCCACTTATGAGTAAGAACATGCGGTATTTGGTTTTGTTTCTGTGTTAGTTTGCTGAGAATGATGGTTTCCAGCTTCATCCGTGTCCCTGCAAAGGACATGAACTCATCCTTTTTTATGGCTGCATAGTATTCCATGGTGTAATGTGCCACATTTTCTTTATCCAGTCTATCATTGATGGACATTTAGGTTGGTTCCAAGTCTTTGCTATTGTGAATAGTGCTGCAATAAACATACATGTGCATGTATCTTTACAGTAGAATGATTTATCATGCTTTGGGTATATACCCAGTAATGGGATTGCTGGGTCAAATGGTATTTCTGGTTCTAAATCCTTAAGAAATCACCACACTGTCTTCCACAAGGGTTGAACTAATTTGCACTCCTGCCAACAGTGTAAAAGTGTTCCTATTTCTCCACACCCTCTCCAGCATGTTGTTTCCTGACTTTTTAAATGATCGCCATCCTAATGATGTGAGATGGTATCTCATTGTGGTTTTGACTTGCATTTCTCTAATGACCAGTATGTTTGTTGGCTGCATAAATGTCTTCTATTGGAAAGTGTCTGTTGATATCCTTTGCCCACACTTTCTGATGGGATTTTTTTCCTTGTAAATTTGTTTAAGCTCCTTGTAGATTCTGGATATTAGCCCTTTGTCAGATGGATAGATTGCAAACATTTTCTCCCATTCTGTAGGTTGCCTGTTCACTCTGACGATAATTTATTTTGCTATACAGAAGCTCTTAATTAGAGCCCATTTGTCAATTTTAGCTTTTGTTGCAATTGCTTTTGGAGTTTTAGTCATGAAGTCTTTGCCCATGCCTGTGTCCTGAATGGTACTGCCTAAGTTTTCTTCTAGGGTTTTTATGGTTTTAGATTTTATGTTTAAATCTTTAGTCCATCTTAATTTTTGCATAAGGTGTAAGGAAGGGTCCAGTTTTAGTTTTGTGCATATGGCTAGTGACTTTTCCCAACACCATTTATTAAATAGGGAATCCTTTCCCTATTGCTTGTTTTTGTCAGGTTTGTGGAAGATCAGATGGTTGTAAATGTGTGGCATTATTTCTGAGACCTGTATTCTGTTCCACTAGTCTATATATCTGTTTTGGTACCAGTACCATGCCGTTTTGGTTACTGTGGCCTTGCAGTATAGTTTGAAGTCAGGTAGCGTGATGCCTCCAGCTTTGTTCTTTTTGCTTAGGATTGTCTTGGCTATACGAGCTCTTTTTTGGTTCCATATGAAATTTAAAATAGTTTTTTTCTAATTCTGTGAAGAAAGTCAATGGTAGCTTGATGGGGATGGCATTAAATCTATAAATTACTTTGGGCAGTATGGCCATTTTCATATTGATTCTTCCTATCCATCAGCATGGAATGTTTTTCCATTTGTTTGTGTCCTATTTCCTGGAGTAGTGGTTTGCAGTTCTCCTTGAAGACGTCCTTCACATCTCTTGTAAGTTGGATTCCTAGGTATTTTATTCTCTTTGTAGCATTTGTGAATGGGAGTTCACTCATGATTTCGCTCTCTATTATTGGTGTATAGGAATGCTTGTGACTTTTGCACATTGATTTTGTATCCTGAGACTTTGCTGAAGTTGCTTATCAGCTTAAAGAGTTTTTGGGCTGAGATGATGGGGCTTTCTAAATATACAATCATGTCATCTGGAAACAGAGATAATTTGACTTCCTCTTTTCCTATCTGAATACCCTTTCTTTCTTTCCCTTACCTGACTGCCCTGGCCAGAACTTGCAATACTATGTTGAATAGGAGTGGTGAGAGGGGATATCCTTGTCTTGTGCCAGTTTTCAAAGGGAATGCTTCCAGCTTTTGCCCATTCAGCATGATATCAGATGTGGGTTTGTCATAAACTGCTCTTATTACTTTAAGATATGTTCCATCAATACCTAGTTTGAGTGTTTTTAGCATGAAGGGGTGTTGAATTTTATTGAAGGCCTTTTCTGCATCTATTGAGATCATCACGTGGTTTTTGTCATCAGTTCTGTTTATGTGATGCAATACGTTTATTGATTTGTGTATGTTGAATCAGCCTTGCATCCCAGGGATAAAGCCCACTTGATCGTGGTGGAAAAGCTTTTTAATGTGCTGCTGGATTCAGTTTGCAAGTATTTTATTGAGGATTTTTGCATCGATGTTCATCAGGGATATTGGCCTGAAATTTTCTTTTTTTGTTGCATCTCTGCCAGGTTTTGGTATCAGAATGATGCTGGCCTCATAAAATGAGTTAGGGAGGATTCCCTCTTTTTCTACTGTTTGGAATAGTTTCAGAAGGAATGGTACCAGCTCCTCTTTGTATCTCTGGTAGAATTCAGCTGTAAATCCATCTGGTCCTGAGCTTTTTTTGTTTGGTAGGCTATTAATTACTACCTCAGTTTCAGAACTTGTTACTGGGTCTATTCAAGGATTCAGCTTCTTCCTGGTTTAGTCTTGGGAGGGTGTATGTGTCCAGGAATTTATCCACTTCTTCTAGATCTTCTACTTTATTTGTGTGGAGTTGTTTATAGTATTATCTGATGGTAGTCTGTATTTCTGTGGGATCAGTGGTGATCTCCCCTTTATCATTTTTTATTGTATCTATTTGATTCTTCTCTCTTTTCTTCTTTATTAGTCTGACTAGCGGTCTATCCATTCTGTTATTCTTTTCAAAATACCAGCTCCTGGAGTCATTGATTTTTTGAAGGGTTTTTCATGTCTCTATCTCCTTACATTTTTCTCTGATCTTAGTTATTTCTTGTCTTCTGCTAGCTTTTGAATTTGTTTGCTGTTGCTTCTCTAGTTCTTCTCATTGTGATGTTAGGGTGTCGATTTTAGATCTTTCCCGCTTTCTCCTGTAGGCATTTTGTGATATAAATTTCCCTCTATACACTGCTTTAGCTGTGTCCCAGAGATTCTGGTACGTTGTGTCTTTGTTCTCATTGGTTTCAAAGAACTTATTTATTTCTGCCTTAATTTCGTTATTTCTGCAGTAGTCATTCAAGAGCAGGTTGTTCAGTTTCCACGTAGTTGTGCGGTTTTGAGTGAGTTTCTTAATCCTGAGTTCTAATTTGATTGCACTGTGGTCTGGGAGACCGTTATGATTTCTGTTCCTTTGCATTTGCTGAGGAGTGTTTTACTTCCAATTATGTGGTCGATTTTAGAATAAGTGCTATGTGGTGCTGTGAAGAATGTATATCCTGTTGATTTGGGGTGAAGAGTTCCATAGATGTCTATTAGGTCTGCTTGGTGCAGAGCTGAGTTCAAGTCCTGAATATCCTTATTAATTTTCTGTCTCATTGATCTGTCTAATATTGACAGTAGGGTGTTAAAGTCTCCCACTATTATTGTGTGAAAGTGTCTCTTCGTAGGTCTCTAAGAACTTGCTTTATGAATCTGGGTGCTCCTGTATTGGGTGCATATATATTTAGGACAGTTAGCTCTTCTTGTTAATCCCTTTAGCATTATGTAATGCCCTTGTCTTTTTTGATCTTTGTTGGTTTAAAGTCTGTTTTATCGGAAACTAGGATTGCAACTCCTGCTTTTTTTTTTGCTTTCCATTGGCTTGGTAAATCTTCCTCCATCTCTTTATTTTGAGCCTATGTGTGTCTTTGTACATGAGATGGGTCTCCTGAACACGGCACACTGATGGGTCTTGACTCTTTATCCAATTTGCCAGACTGTACCTTTTCACTGGGGCATTTAGCCCGTTTACATTTAAGGTTAATATAGTTATGTGTGAATTTGATCCTGTCATTATGATGCTAGCTGGTTATTTTGCCTATTAGTTGATGCATTTTCTTCATAGTTTCAATGGTCTTTACATTCTGCTATGTTTCTGCAGTGGCTGGTACCAGTTTTTCTTTTTCATATTTAGTACTTCCTTCAGGAACTCTTGTAAGGCAGGCCTGGTGGTGACGAAATCCCTCAGCATTTGCTTGTCTTTAAAGGATTTTATTTCTCCTTTGCTTATGAAGCTTAATTTGGCTGGATATGAAATTCTGGATTAAAAACTCTTTTCTTTAAGAATGTAGAATATTGGCCCCCAATCTCTTCTGGTTTGTAGGGTTTCTGCAGAGAGATCCCCTGTTAGTCTGATGGGCTTCCCTTTGTGGGTAACCTGACCTTCCTCTCTGGCTGCCCTTAACATTTTTTTCCTTCATTTCAACCTTGGTGAATCTGACGATTATGTCCTGGGGTTGCTCTTCTCAAGAAGTATCTTTGTGGTGTTCTCTGTATTTCCTGAAGTTGAATGTTGGCCTGTGTTGCTAGGTTGGGGAAGTTCTCTTGGATAGTATCCGGAAGTGTATTTTCCAACTTGGTTCCATTCTCTCTGTCACTTTCAGGTACACCAAATGTAGTCCCATATTTCTTGGAGGCTTTGTTCATTCCTTTTCATTCTTTTTTCTCTAATCTTGTCTTCTCACTTTATTTCATTGAGTTGGTCTTCAATCTCTGATATCCTTTCTTCCGCTTGATCGATTTGGCTATGGATACTTGTGTATGCTTCATGATGTTCTCGTGCTGTTTTTCAGTTCCATCAGGTCTTTTATGTTCTTCTCCAAACTGGTTATTCTAGTTAGATACTCCTCTAGCCTTCTGTCAAGGTTCTTAGCTTCCTTGCACTGGGTTAGAACATGCTCCTTCAGGAATTTGTTATTACCCACCTTCTGAAGCCTACTTCTGTCAATTTGTCAAATTCATTATCCATCCAGTTATGTTCCCTTGCTAGTGAGGAGTTGTGATCCTTTGGAGGAGAAGAGGCATTCTGGTTGTTGGCATTTTCAGCCTTTTTGCATAGGTTTTTCCTCAACTTCGTGGATTTATCTACCTTTGGTCTTTGCTGTTGGTGACCTTTGGATGGAGTGTTTGCTTGGTCATCCTTTTTTTTTTGATGTTGATGCTATTGCTTTCTGTTTGTTAGTTTACCTTATAACAGTCAGGCCCCTCTGCTGCAAGTCTGCTGGAGTTTGCCGGGAGTCCACTCTAGACCCTGTTTTCCTGGGTATCACCAGCAGAGGCTGCAGAACAGCAAAGATTGCTGCCTGTTCCTTCCTCTGGAAGCTTCATCCCAGAGGGCACCCACCAAATGCCAGCCAGAGCTCTCCTGTATGAGGTGTCTGTTGACCCCTGCTGGGGGGTGTCTCCCCGTCAGGAGGCTCAGGTGTCAGGGACCCACTTGAGGAGGCAGTCGGTCACTTAGCAGAGCTCGAGCACTGTGCTGGGAGATCCACTGCTCTCTTCAGAGCCAGCAAGCAGGAATATTTAAGTCTGCTGAAGCTGTGCCCATAGCTGCCCCTTCCCCCAGGCACTCTGTCCCAGGGAGATGGGAATTTTATCTATAAGCCTCTGATTGGGGCTGCTGCCTTTCTTTCAGAGGTGCCCTGCAGAGAGGAGGAATCTAGAGAGGCAGTCTGGCTATCATGGCTTTTCGGTGCTGTGGTGGGCTCTGCTTAGTCCGAACTTCCCAGTGGCTTTTTTTACACTGTGAGTGGAAAACCACCTACTCAAGCCTCAGTAATGGTGGACGCCCCTCCCCCCACCAGGCTCAAGTGTCCCCCATCAACTTCAAACTGCTGTGCTTGCAGCGAGAATTTCAAGCCAGTGGATTTTAGCTTGCTGGGCTCCGTTGGGGTGGGATCCGCTGAGCAAGACCACCTGGCTCCCTGGCTTCAGCCCCCTTTCCAGGGGAGTGAATGGTTCTGTCTCTCTGGTGTTCCAGGCGCCACTGGGGTACAAAAAAAAACTCCTGCAGCTAGCTTGGTGTCTGCCCAAATGGCCACCCAAGTTTGTGCTTGAAACCCAGGGCCCTGGTGGTGTAGGCACCCAAGGGAATCTCCTGGTCTGCAGGTTGCAAAGACTGTGGAAAAAGCGTAGTATCTGGGCTGGATAGCACAGTCACTCATGGCACAGTCCCTCATGGCTTCCCTTGGCTAGTGCCAACCACTTGAGCTTCCCGGGTGAGACAACACCCCACCATGCTTCTGCTCGCCCTCCATGGACTGCACCCACTGTATAATCAGTCCCAATGAGATGAACCAGGTATCTCAGTTGGAAATGCAGAAATCACCGGCCTTCCGTGTTGGTCTCGCTGGGAGCTGCAGACCGGAGCTGTTCCTATTTGGCTATCTTGCCCAGGAATCGACCAGTTTAAATTCTTTTAAACATTTACTTACAAAAACAGAAGCTCTAACGGTGAAGACAGAAAACAAACATGTACATAGGGGTCCTCTATAACCACAATTCAAATGTCTGAGGGAGGGCTTCACAGGTTCCAAAGCATTTACGTTATCTTCTCCAAAGCTCACAATACTTTATGAAGTAGAAAAGACAGCATTATTTTCTTTTGAAGATAAAGAGGCCCCCAGAGGTAAGTAATTTGTGAATAAAGTTTCATGCTGGTGAGGAGCAGAATGGCAACTGGAATTTAGGTCTTTAGGCTTCTTGATAAACGCTTCCAATTTTCCACTTTGAAAATGTGTTAAAAAATACTTGAAAAACTAAGAACTTGAACTTCTTTAAATAATTCTCTAAAATGCCACACAACTACTTATAATAAATGTTCTTAGGTCTATGTTTTTAGTATGTAAAGAATAGTAAATACTTCAAGGATAAATAAATTCAGGTGTCATCCTTAATTTTGAAAGTCATTTATTAAAAGACAAAGTGGAGGATGATGGGAGACAGCAGGGAGGGAAAAATGGGAAAAGACCACAGCATTTTCTTATTATGGACATTCAGAAAATATTCAGAAGAACCTCGAGCCCCTGGACAGCTAACAAAGTTCTAAGGGCTTTACTCTTTTAAAAGGCCTAGAATTTTATGTATACCATCCTTTCATATACATACATATTTACTTCAGATCTTTTGTGTAATTTATAAAGCCCTAAAATTCTTAGAAATAGCTTTTAATGATTATAGAAATGCTTTAGAAAGTATGATAACTTATTGAATTCACTTTTTGTGAAAAGATTGTTCTGAACTTCCTACTGCTTTCAAATCTTTTTAGGGGAAATGGAGCATATATTCAGTTAAATTATCTTCTTATTTTAGTTTACTGGGCTGAGCTCTTTAATCAATAAAATAAGTTTTCACTTTTGTTATCCTTTCTGTCCCATTCCACTACTGAGTTCAGCTTGACTAGAACTTTTTTCTATTATCTGTACCAGCACTTCCCAAAGTGTGTACCAAGGATCACTAGTGAAAGAGCGAAGAAGTGTTAATGCAAACAAACAAACATAAAAGGAATTTTGCTAAGCAATGCATAAAAAATTCCTCTCTTGGAAAGTCACAAAGGATACTAACATATTAAAGGCTTTAGAAATCCCATATCATGTTTAATTTTGCTTAATCCATTCTCACCAAATGCTTATTTTATCAGCCCCAGTATAACAGGAAAAATCTTGCATTACCAAACTGGCTACATTGGAACATTTTCAGTGAAACCCAACTCAGTATAAATCACATAACATGATCATAAAGCCCAATATGCATCTTAGTGACACATATATAAGGTTGCCTAGATCTTGCCAGACAGTGTTTCTTTGAGGGAAGGGGAACATTTAACATGATTTCTAGTTAGAGAATTATTGGTTTATTTTTTTTCTTTGAAGGAGCTTCCTGGACAATCAAAGCTTCAACCAGAGAAGATAAGGCATAGACTTACTACCCAGGTATAAATAACTAAACGCAGAGCTAATATCAGTTTAATACCTTTTATCTTTAAATGCTAATTTCTCCAATTGGCTTCTCCAAATTATATCATCTTCTGTTTTATTGAAGAACATCAGCTTCACTTTCCTTAAGAGAAAAAAAAAAACTCAGAAATAACTAATTAATTACATTTAAAATATGCACAAATGGAAAGTCTAAAGTGAACCAGTGTGAATGTTTTAGTGCCCAGTAGGTAACTAAAAATCATCAAAAACTGAAATGAGATAAAAGAACCTAGTTAATAAAATAGCTAGGATTAGAGGAGGCAAAGTAAGAAATGATGAATGAGGAAATGGTAACATGTCTATTAAGGTCCAGTGAGTAATCAATTTAGAATACCTTATACTAATATAACAGCCTCAAAAAGGATCGTAATTAGAGACAAAATTACATACCTGAGACTGGGTATATCAGTCAAAGCATAATTCAGTATTTTAACCATTGGTGTGAAGCCTGTTCCAGCTGCCAACAAAAAGAGATCTTCTAATTCTTGGAACTTGGATATTTTAAAATTGCCCTCAGGACTGCTTACAGAAACAAAATCTCCTAAACAATGAAACATAAGCTAAATCAGAAAAAAAAAAAACAAAAAACAAAACAAAAAACCCAGCGGGGAAACTAAGAAGCCAAAACTAGCTGAATTTAAAACACTGAGGAGTAACAGTATAAATACTTAACTTGCAGACTATTTATCAGTCTTTAAGATATGTAAGTAGTCTTAAGGATACTCATTAGGCCCCTAAGTATGTCTGAATTATATCATTACAGTCAAATTAATAATGAGGTTTTATGATATAATTTCCCACCACTATTTTGCCAAACCATCTGAAGTCTGAAATTTACAAACTACTGCAAAGTACTTATCCACAAATTATCAATAAAGGATTGATTGCTAAACTAAATTCTAAGTACTTCAAAAGCAGAGTCCATATATATTTGTCTTACCTGGTACAGAGTAAAGAACAGATATTCACTATTTACACATTGATTATTAACCACAGTAACAGGATTAGTAGGAGAGAAAATTGAAATAGAAATGCATTCTAAAATCTTATGTTGATTAACACACCAACTTCTCTTCTACCAAATTTTTGAAAAGACCTATTAAGAAGGGCTATTCTGAGTTTAATTCCCATAAAAACAAAGCAAGATCAGAAATGCAGTCAACTATACTTGGAGCATGTCACTTACCAATCTAGAATCAACACAGTTGAGAAATCAGTGCCCATTTTCTACAGCCCAGTTGATATAATCACCATGTACCATTCATATGAGAAAATTACCTTTAGGACTAGATTCAGAAACTTGAAATGTAATCTTAAAAAGGAAAAATAAAGCTGCTATAATTTTTAAATGATTTAAAATACTCTATTTTAAAATGCTTGGATGCTCATAATTTTTCCTGTTTTCCATTGCAGGATAGTAAGAATCTTGCAGTAGTTGATGAAATAAGTATTTGAAAATAGGGCTGGGCGTGGTGGCTCACACCTGTAATCCCAGCACTTCGGGAGGCCAAGGCAGGTGGATCACCTGAGGTCGGGAGTTCAAGACCAGCCTGACGAACATGGAGAAACCCCGTCTCTACTAAAAATACAAAAAATTAGCCAGGCATGGTGGCACATGCCTGTAATCCCATCTACTTGGGAGGCTGAGGCAGGAGAATCGCTTGAACCCGAGAGGCGGAGGTTGCAGTGAGCCGAGATTGCGATGCCACTGCACTCCAGCCTGGGCAACAAGAGCAAAACTCCATCTCAAAAAAAAAAAAATAATAATAATAGAAGCTCCTCATTATAGTTTGAAAAAGACCATAAGATTAGAGTGTCTTTAGGAAAGCCAGATAGTTGTTTACTAAAGAAGCCTCAGAGGAGAGTATTAACTTGGTAACTTTTACCCACAGCCCAGTCTTTCCAATGTTAACAAAATTGATTAGACTCACATAGGATAACTGATGCTAATCAAATTCAGAAGAGATTAAAGCACACATGCCAGAATGGCAACTGACTTACAGCTGGGGTTACATGTATCTAGTGACCTGAACATTACATGTCCCATTGAGGATATCTTGTTTCCAGTATCAGAACACATGGAAAGCCAAATTAATCATGTAAAATCATGTTGCTTAGTGAACACGGGATTGAAACAAAGAGATGAATAATTGTATGGGTTCATTCATTTAGTGTACAACTCTCTAAGTGACACAAATATTTGTGCCATGTCAAGCCTCCCTAAATGAAGTTGAAATAATACTTCATCTTGTTCTTTGAGCTTTCCCTTTCCATGCTCTAGGACAACTCTCCACCCTGCTATGTTCGCAAAAATCTCCGTAAATAGGCTATAATACCATTCCTTAAGTTTCCACTTACTTTATTACAATCATGCGTCAGTCCTTCTCTCACAAGGTGATAATCACCTTCATTAGATTTGTAGGTACTCCAAAATACTTCAGGTTCAAATTCATATACAATATTTTGGTTTACGTAACCAAGGATGACTAATCATATCTATTATGTGAAGTAGACATAATTAGCAGAATCATATCTACTACATTTCAGAAAGTAATGTAATTTTGTTTATTTCCAAATTTTAGTAATCCACTTCACTGGTATCCCAATGTATTGCTAATGCTGCCTTGGAAAGAGGAACACTTTTGCTATTAGGTAAAAAGTGAAAAGAAAATATAGAAAAAGGAGGTGACACCAAAAGGGAGCAGAAGCAAGAGAAGTTTTTAAATCTTAATAGATCTCATTATAGTTCTTTATTCATTCCTTCAAAGTACCTTTACTGGCTGGGCACAGTGGCTCACACCTGTGATCCCAGCACTTTGGGAGGCCAAGGCGGGCCAATCATCTAAGGTTAGGAGTTCGAGACCAGCTTGGCCAACATAGTGAAACCTCATCTCTATTAAAAATACAAATATTAGCCAGCATGGTGGTGTGTGCCTGTAATCCCAGCTACTTGGGAGGCTGAGGCAGAAGAATCACTTGAACCCAGGAGGCAGAGGTTGCAGTGAGCTGAGATCGAGCCACTGCACTCCAGCCTGGGCAGCAGACCATCTCAAAAATAAAACAAACAAACAAAAAAACAAAGCACATTTACTGACAGCCTATTATGTACCAACTGCCATGCCAGGTGGTGGAAATACAAAGATAAGTAAGACAATTTCTGCTCTTAAACTCAAAGTCTTGTAATGAAGAAATATATTTATTCTTATAAAAGAGCTATGAACAAATGTTAGTTATTGAGGGTTTCAGGGGAAGAGGAGGGCTCCATAAAGTGATATTCTGTTTGGGTCTTTTTATTTATTTTTATTTTTTATTATTTTTTTTTGAGACAGAGTCTCGCTCTGTTGCCCAGGCTAGAGTACAGTGGCACGATCTCGGCTCACTGAAACCTCCGCCTCCCGGGTTTAAGCGATTCTCCTGCCTCAGCCTCCCAAGTAGCTGGGATTACAGGCGCCCGCCATCATACCCGGCTAATTTTTGTATTTTTAGTAGAAACAGAGTTTCCCCATGTTGGCCAGGCTGGTCTCGAACTTCCGACCTCAAGAGATCTGCCCACCTCAGCCTCCCAAAGTGCTGGGATTACAGGCGTGAGCCACCGCACCCAGCCCATGTTTGGGTCTTTTTAAAAAAGTACTTGACAGGTAAAGAAAAGGTTGATGGGCATCTTGGGTGTGGCAACTGCATGTACCTGTGAATGAGGATGACAAATCTGTGGAACTCTGAGTAGCACAAGTATTTTTGTATAGCAAGATATGAAGCTGGAGAGATTATCAAAGTCTTTGTAGGTCATGCAGTACAGATAATGGGGACCCATCAGAGGTTTCAAAGCTGCGAAGCAGTAGGGTCAATTGTAAGGAAACAGAAGCCAATGAAGATATGATGAAGGCTTACTGTAAGACAGTGGCAGAAGAGGTAGCTGAAAAAGTCACTGAGATGTAGACTCAACAGAACTTAGCGGCTGACTGGACTGGGAAAGAGAAAGTGGGAAGAATCAAGGCCGACTCGAGTTTCCAGATTGGATCAAGGATGAACAGTGATGCTGCAAATAATAAAAATAAGGAATATGGAGCATGGCCACGCTGTGTAGGACAAGGAGAAGATAACTTTGGTTGTAGACATGTTGAGTTAAAGATATCTGATAGACTCCTACATGGAGATAACTAGAGGACAATGTGATCCAATCTAGAGCACAAATGAGGTTTAAAAAATGTAAAAATACTAACCAATCTGAAGACGATCAAGCTCTGGTGTGAAGAGTCCAGTGGGATAGATTTTTATCAAAAAGTAGATGTATTTATTGTTGGGAAGAACTGGTTCCTTGAACTCTGAGAGTAAGGAACCAGATACAGGTGTATATGGCTTTACTATTTCTGTACCTAGAAAAAAAAATCACAGCAAAATAATTAAATTCTAAAAATCCAAAAATCTCAATGAAAATGAAACATCCAAATTTTGACACTATCAGTATATATTTAAAACTATATACCTAATGGGCATATAATTCTAATTATTTTTCTATATGTATATAGTATATATACCCCAAGCCTATGTGTGCCGAAACAATTTTCACAAATCAATACTGTACCCATAATATAAACAATCTGTTTTTATGATGTATAGTCTAATTTAATAGAAATATATGGTAATAATTTTAGACAACCATCTATTCCATCAGCAAATAAACTTTGTAATGGGCTACAACAAAAACGGCATCAAAAGTTACCATGGAGATGTAAAAAAAAACTATTTACCTAATAATTTTAATTATACACCAAATTTTTAAAAATGTTACTGATGACCAATGGGATCATTTGGCGGAGAAAAAGGAAGAAATTTCACTTTTTACTTTATGTACTTTAAATTGTTTTAATATTTTAACATATTACATATTACTTTGGTAACTGAATAAAAAGAATGTTAATCCAGCTACTTCTAAGAATATATTATTTTCTTAAAGAGTAAAATAAATAAGAACTCATTTTATTTTAGGTAGCCAAATTCCAAAGAGAAGAATCATTGCATGTTTGAAAGACCAAAAATTTTACGCATGGCTCCTCAATGTATACAAAATACATATATAAATTAAAATGCATTGGCAATAACTGGAGAAGATACCAGCTCTTGAATTAGGTAACCAGGCATTAGTGATGAAAAAGAGAAAACCAGCCATTAGTGATGAAAAACAGAAAACCTTAACAGTGCCTCATCATAATATATCATATCTTCTGAGACCTAGGTGGTAACATTTTAGACGACTGCCAGAAACACTACAGCTGACAGGAGAATTTTACCGTTTGCAGCTTCAAAAGGCCAAGAAAATGTTGGACGTCAATAAGAAGGGTATTCAAAACAAGTGAGGTAAATTTAGGATGAAAATGAAAGAAAAAAGAATTCATATTTATACATTTATAGAGCTTCTTATACTGGTAGCACATATAATAAAATCATTTCCAATCATTCACTTATTTTAAATTTTATAGATTCAACTTCATAAATGATACAACCCTAAGTAGCTGCTAAGAGACACCAGTATGAGCTTCTAGTAGTTGTCTTCATGGAGGACTATTTGTGCAGTCTCTCATCTCTTTCCTTTAGGGTTTTGTTAGTAATAAATTACAATGCTGGTGGAATCATCTGTCTAAACTACTGGCAATATCTTTGTTCCATATGATAATGTGGTACAGCTATAGTTCCAACATGTAGGACACGTTGCAGTCACAAACCTACATTCTGACTATCACTAAATCTAGCTGCCTGGAAACATTTATTAATAACTTAAATGGTTGTTTTCTAGAGAGAATAGTACTGATTTTGAACTGCTTATAAAAGAATAAATTGTGTCCCAAAGCCTCTATTCACCTTACCTGTAATAGGTAGCTTGAGGTAAACATGTTGCCCAATGGGCACTTGAAGATGAGTGCTTGGTGGCAGCATCAAACAGAAAAGCCTCGTATCATGAGTAACATCTTCCTTGGAAATTAACTGGCACTTTCTGTAGTACAAACCTAAAAAGTGATTCATTTTCTCTTATTGATACATAAAGTAATAAGAAGTAATACTAAACCACTAAGAGAAAGCATATACTCAGCTTCTGTTTTCTAGAAAGCTTCAATTTCACTAAAATGCCTATACATTTAAAAAATTAATCAATATTTTAAGGTTAATTTTTCCATTTTATTTCCTGAGATATGTGTTGACCAAGACCTGTAAATACTTCTATAACTTGAAAAATGAACTTAATGAGTGTTATTTCCTCATATCTGTTATTATAGCATGTTAAACCATTATGTTATAAAAAATAACCTAATTTTATTTGATAATGAAGAAACTTACATTCTAAAGTCTTTTTTTTTTTTTTAATTTTTTTTTAAAGAGATTGGGTTTCACTATGTTGCCCAGGCTGATGTCGAACTCCTGGACTCAAGCAATCCATCCATCTTGGCTTCCCAAAGTGTTGAGATTATAGGCATGAGCCACGGTACATTCTAAAATCTTTTCTTACACCATGGAAAAGTCCTGAAACTCAAGCCTTTAAGGCTTAACAACAGTAGCACTAGTAAGCAATTTTAGAATATCTCTTTGACAAAGGCAAGAAAGATAGACATTCTTGTGTCTCTATGTTTGTGTGTATGTATTTTATATACATGATTAGAGAACATTTTAACTGTCAAAAATGATTAAAACAAAAACATTTATGCTTAAAGGTGTAGGTTTTGGTATCTGAAAATTAATTCAAGTGAAAAGCTGAAGATGGTAGGAATAGGATTATGGTACTAACATACAAATAGATAAAAGGAATCAAATATTTTTATAAATACTAGAGAAATTTGAAATATCCCAAGCTCAGAAAATATTGTTTGTATACAGAGCAAATAATACCATTTGGATTAGAAGAATTTATTACAGAATTTCTGAAAGAATTAAGATTTTCACTTGTAAATTATCTTTGAACATAAACAGCATATCAGAATAACGTGAAGATATTAACTTTTTATTTCCTCTCTCATAAAATAGTATTTACAGAGATGTAAATGAATAAACCCTGATAATATATTTCTTACTCTATTCTCTTTTTTTTAAGCTAAAAATATTCAAGTAGGTGCAGAAATATTTTCTCCAGATCTTAGAAAGTGAAGGGCCAACAGCTAATAATCAATGCTTAGTAGAAAACTGAAATTCACCTATAATCCTAAGAAATCATTTTAGTCACAAATGAATCCAACTTCCCTTCTCCCTTTTGCTCCCAACAGATCAGTCACTCAATTTTCCACCTATCATGGTAGCAGTAAGTATATAAGCTTAGACTATATCGCTTTATGCAAAGACCTTGGAGTATCACTAGAGGTCACCTCACTCTAGTGCCAGGGCACAGGCTTGGACCAGATTACGGCTAAGAGCCCACCCTAAAGTTATCCCGGAAGGCCTAACAAGCACTGGACTAACCAAAGGGTCAAAGGACATAGGCCCATGCACAAGGAGAAATGAAGGTGCAAATGATCTCTTTATTTCTTTCTCCAGACCCTTTCTGGAACCTACAGTAAGAATACAACTAGAGACCCACATACTATATATGTATAAATATTTAACGTTATAAATCACGCAAATAACTGTCAAAGTATGTTCTATGCTACATCTTGGAATATATACCTTTACAAGGTCCTAGAAGGCTAGGTTCAAATTCGGGATTCTTAAACTCCTCAGTGTATCAGTGAGATGGCAGAGGAATGAGACCTGCACTCTTACTGCCTGTCCCCCTTGTCTTCTCATCCTTGGCTCTGTCTGACAATGAGTAGGGTCTTAAATGGGTGTGGATACATTAACGTAAAGGCTCAAGCTCATGCACTAGCTTTTCACATAAACAGCCCTGGCCACTCCTTGGATAGAAGTAGATTTGGGGTCATTTGGGCAGGGAATCATGGTTCTAGATACAGAGGGTGAAGTTGAAAGAAAGAGGATGAGCTCCAGGTGGATACTTCGTGGCCTTGCAATACTCCTCACCTTGTGGGAGGGGTGTGGCTGGAGACAGTCACGTGGGGCTCTCCAAGTGTGGAACCCAGGGCAGGTGACCCTCTTGCACAGGTCTAAGGACCACAGTGTTGTTTTCTTCTAATAAAATCTAGTGCATATCATCTTGATAACTTTACAGCTGTATGAAAATGCTCACCTTCTGGATTGACAATTTCTACTCTAGCATTTGCTAGAAAAGTTTGCTATAGTAACTATGCAACTCTCCAATGATATTTAAAACACAAGGAAATCCTGGGTTACAGTGATTTACTGACTTTCCTTGTTAGAGAGTTGACACAGCATTCTTGTTATTTAACACTACTGAGATAATTTCAATGTTCTACCCATAGAAGCCTGACTATAATTTCAAAAGAACAGCCTAACTATAGGTTCCAAGGATTTTAAGAAAGATTTAAGAAAGTTTTCATCTTTCAATTGCATCAAGGAGAAAGCACAGACAGATGGGAACTGCAGTATATAAGATAAGAAAAAAGAAGTATACCATCATTCTCAGCAAACTATCACAAGGACAAAAAACTAAACACCGCATGTTCTCACTCATAGGTGGGAACTGAACAATGAGAACACTTGGACACAGGAAGGGGAACATCACACACTAGGGCCTGTTGTGGGGTGAGGGGAGGGGGGAGGGATAGCATTAGGAGATATACCTAATGTAAATGACAAGTTAATGGGTGCAGCACACCAACATGGCACAAGTATACATATGTAACAAACCTGCACATTGTACACATGTACCCTAGAACTTAAAGTATAATAAAAAAAAAATATATATATATATAAACAAAAAAGAAGTATAAAGCAGATGGCACTGACTACTTCAGCCTGCACAATGCCATTATCTAACTGTCCACTTTTTGGCTTTCTAAGCACAGGTAATTATGCTAAAAAATGAGAAACTGAAAATAAAGACAGTAAAACAAAAACATAAGACAGAAACATTACTGCCCCAAATACCTAACTTATTTGAATTAAATACATACAATTAATATTGAGATACTCAGGGTAAGGGTGAAATACTGAGGATAATAAGACTATTTGGGCATACTTTTCTCTTAATGTTAAAAAGAAACTGTATTTTCCCTTTTAAAAAATAGAATTTCACAAGGCCAAAACAGAAAACACAGGTAAAGTCTTCAATGGGAGATAGAAGAGAAAGAGAAGACTGCACTAGGAGTCCACACTGCCTTCAACTGGCTTCTCCTTCTTGCACTTTTGAAGCACTTAGTTACTCTTATTTTCCCTGCTGGAAACAGAAGCTTATAGAAGTTAAAAAGCTTGTCCAACATCTCAGGGCAGCTGGAAAAGATGTGGGATGGAGTAAGACGCTATTAGCGTTTCTTGTCCCAACTCAGTAGGCCTTGTTTTAAAAGTTTGAGAACATGATTAGTAATTATTAGTAGCCAATCACTATAGCCAAGTTGTGGATGCAATGGAAAAGCTCTTGAAGGAAATTAAAAGTCCTACTTCAGTGAGCATATGAATGATCTGATAAGAAAGCGAAATAGGCTTATTGCTGATATGCAGAAAGTCTGAGTGGTCTGGATAGATGAAACCAGCCAGAATACTCTCTTAAGCCAAAAACCTGATCCAGAGCAAGGTCCTACCTCTTCTCAATTCTAGGAGGGCTGAGAGAGGTGAGGAAGCTACAAAAGAAAAGTTGGAAGCTAGAAGTTGGTTTAAGAGGTTTAAGGAAAGAAGCCATCTTCATGACAGATATCTCCATCAGAGTTTTTGGGTGACTGTCAATGAATGATAACAATTTGAAAGGAATCTTTTTTTTTTTTTCACATAGTAAGTCTCAACAGCGGGCTTCAAATATAGAAGTTTCACCATTCTAGATGCCATTAAGAACATTTGAGATTTATGGGAGGCAGTCAAAATAGCAACATTAATAGGAATTTGGAAGGTGATTCCAGTTCTCACAGATGGCTTTGAAGGGTTCAAGACTTCAGTGGAGGAAGTAACTGCAGATGTGGTGGAAATACAGCAAGAGAACTAGAATTAGAAGTGGAGCCTGAAGATTTGACTGAATTGCTGCAATCTCATGATAAAACTTGGAACAGATGAGCAGTTGTTTCTTAGGGATGAGTAAAAAATGTAGGTTCTTGAGATGGAATCTACTCCTGGCAAAGATGCTGTGAAATGTTGCTGAAATGACAACAGAGAATTTAGAATGATACATAAACTTAATTGATAAAACAGCAACAGAGTTTGAGAGGACTGACTTCAATTTTGAAAGCAGTTCTACTGTGAATAAAATGCTATCAGAAAAATCTTTTGTGAAAGAAAGGGTCAATCGATGTGGGCAAACTTCATTTTTTCTTAAGAAATTGCCACAGCTACCCCAAGCTTTAGCAACCACCACCCTAATCAGTCACCAATCATCAGCATCGAGGCAAGACTCTCCACCAGCAAAAAGATTATGATTCACTGAAGACTCAGATGATTGTTAGCATTTTTTAGTAATATACTGTTTTTTAAATTAAAATGTATAAGTTGTTTTTAAGACATAATGCTATTGCATACTTAACAGACTAAAGTATAATGTAAATATAATTTTACATGCACTGGGAAACCAAAAAAATTGTGTGACTTGCTTTATTGTGATACTCTATTGTGGTGGTCTGGAACCCAACCCACAACATCTCCAACATGTGCCTGTAAGTGGCTGTTAACATATCAAAATTGTGAGACAATTTTTTTTTTAAATCTTGTTTCCTAAGACTAATTGACTGGGTTATTTGTTGGCATATCTTTAAAATTACCTTTGTTTGGTGATCCAAGACTCCATATTAAAGACAGTATCAATTAAGATAAAATGCTAATGTTACCTTGGGTATAGAAATAGCAATTCAATTATCTATTGATTTCTGAACCCTAATAGAGAAGTTCCTCAGCCATCTCTTTCTCTATAGCTTTCTCTCCCCCTGCCTCTTTCTCCCACACACCCCCCAGAGCTACTCACTCATAATCTTCATTTCCGGGAAGAAAAAAATTAATTGGAAGCATCACACTTATAAATCATATTGGTTCAATTCATACAATTTAAAATACTGACCTACTACATTTGGATGGAAGGTAAAAAATGAAAGTTTCTCTTCTCTGATTGATGTTCTTTCTGATATATGAATCCTTCAGGTAAGTATATTCTAGATTTGACATGTGAAAACATTATATTAAAAGTTTTTCAACTTATACACTTGTTTTCAAACAAGTTCTTTTAGCTAAGAAACTAGTAAGATGGAGCCAGCATACTATTATCATAAAGTCAATAATTACAGCAATACATATTGAAAATCTAGGAACCACATAATTGGCTGTAAATCTTTAAGGCTACTCAAAGCAAGTTAATTATAATACTTTGCTGATGTAAGCATTCGGCTTTGCTAGTGAATAAAATAACCTAGTTTTTGTCATGAGTTAAGGAGGAGAAAAGAGAAAGATGAAATTATCTTTGCTAATGCAGTGAAATAAACAAAAATATCTCCTAAACTCCAAGTCATTTTCCAAAGTGGAAAACCTTCACTGAAAAACACATTATAGCTCCCATTTCAAACAAGAAAGCTAAACCTTTCTTTTTTAATGGTGTTTCAGGATTCAAGGAAAAATTTACAGCAGAAATAAAAGAATTCATGGAAAGCCTCAAGAAATTACAGAGAATATCTGAATGATGTCGTTCTAACTAGTATTTCCAAATGGAGGTCAGCCCAGGTTCTCAGTATCATTTATTTCTTGGACTTGGCTTTTACCTAGTTTGCTATGATTTTTCAGTCACTAGATAAGTCAGATAATTTCAGGGAAAGAGACTTCACTCTAAAAATACCTTTTCATTTCCATTGTCCCTTTTCTATTGTTTTCTGATCTGCTATATCACACTATCATTTCTCTATGACCAAAAAATTCAGACTTCTTGCTCTGGTAAAATTAACCCATTTGAACTTTCCTATATATGCCACTTACATTTTTCTCTCTCTACACCCAGCAAAATGCTTGGCACAATATGCAACCAGTAATGATCTGTAGCTCCACCTGGAAAGTCCCATATAGTTTTTGTTTTGTTTTTTTTTTCTGAAAGCCATGGACCTCACTTTGAAAATACTGCTTCAAATTCACTTCCTTGAGGCAGTCATTCAAGACCAAATTCATCTGTGTCTATTCACTTGGGGCCACCACAAAACATGTTTAGTTTGTACTGTATAACTTGTCCTTGTCGGCCTGTTTCCTTATAAAAGTATTCTTCAATTTCATGTTTGCTTATTTTCTATCTTCCACCTGGGAAACTAAATTTCCCATACTCTGTTTCATTCCAGTGCCTGAAACAGTCTCCTACACACAAGGTGTACTCAAAATAAGGCTGCCTCATACTTTTCTGAAAATTATCTACAAATATATTTTCGTAATTGTGAATTAAAAAGAAATACTTATTGGTCTGTGTCCCTGGTTCCTGACATAGAACTCCTAAAATCCTTGTAAAAAGACACTAAAAGAATCTTCTATTCTAATATTTGGTCTTTAACCCTGGTTCCTGACATTGAGCTCCTAAAACTTTCTGTAATCTCCTAAGTACTACAAGTGTCTTAAACAGAATTCCTAAATCCCTGAAATTTCCTGGGTGATAGGAGCATCTTTTGTTCTAATGGGGAGAATCCTGGTGGGCTCCTGGATAGCCTCAAGATGGGACCTGTCTGCCTGGGAAACCAACCATGTGATTAAAGGATTGGAACCAGCAGGCCCCTTCCTAGACCTCTGAGGACAGGACAGGCTGAAAGTTGAGCTGCTCACCAATGGTCACTGACATAATCAATCACACCTACGTAATAAAGCCCCCATAAAAACCCAAAACGACATGGTTTGAAGAGCTTGTGGAAAGCTGAACACATGAAAATGTTTGGAGGGTGATGCAATCACTGAGGTCATGGAAGCTCTGTGCCCCTTTTCACATATTTTCCCTATGTATTCCTTCCATCCAGCTATTTATCTGTATCCTTTGTAATATCCTTTATAGTAAAATGATAAACTTAAATGTATCCCTGAGTTTTGTGAGCCATCCTAGCAAATTTTTGAACCCAAGAAGGAGGCTGTGATAACACTGATTTATAGGTAGCTGGTCAGAAGATAGATCACAACCTGGAATTTGCAACTGGCATGTGAAGTAGGGGGCAGTCTTGTGGGACTAAGCCCTTAACCTGTGGGGTCTGCCCTAAACTCCAGGATGTATCAGACTTGAGTTAAATTGTAGGATAGACAGTTTGCTGTAGAATTGGTTGTTGGTGAGAAGAAATCTCACATTTTAGTGTTCTGAGTGGAGCGGTAAGACTAGGAAAAAGTTTGTTTTTTCCTATCTCATGCAATAAATTATATATGATAATTTTACATATTTAAAGAAGATAAACTGAATACATGCAGTTAGTTCCTTCTGAATCCCCTAAAATAACAACAAAGAGGGTTTTTGTATGTGTGTTTGATTTTTAAGGCATAAGCCCACACAGACAGGAAGAACGGAAATCAGAGACAAAAGCAACAAAACTTTAGGAGCTGACAAGGCAGAGAGAAGACTGGTAAATGACTCAACAGACCCAAGACAGATGAATGCTAAGCCAGAAGTGTAGAAAGCCAAGAACCAACATGCTTATAATACAAAATTCCTTTAAGGCCCAGAAACTGGCAGGACCAAGTACCTCTGGCATCAGAGTCAAGGTAGAATTAAAATTACTTTCTCAATACAAGTTCATTTAAGAAGCTTGGATAGGTCTTCCCATCCCCTTGAAGTCCTCCCCTACTTAGCACAGCCACATGACTGACACTTCCCCACATGAGCAAAATATAAGAAGTTTGCACTCTAGAGGGTAAACAAGGGGTCTTTGGATTGGGTCTATGCTATAGACTGAATTGTGTCCCCTCACCAAACACATATGTTGAAGTCATAACCCCCAACACTTCAGAATGTGACGACATTTGGAAATGGGGTCTTCATTTAAAAGGTAATTAAGTTGGCTCTAATTCATTGTGACTGGTATTTTTATAAAGAGGACATTAGGACACAGACACACAGAAGGAAGACCATCTAAAGAAACAGGAAAAAAGGAGGCCATCTACAAGCTAAGGGAAGAAGTCTCAGAAGAGACCGACTCTGCCAAAGACACTCAGTCTGTAGTAGTTTGTTACTGCAGTCCTAGCAAACTAATATAACATTCTAAGAAAAAAAAAAAAAGAAAGAAAAAATTAAGTGACGCTTACAGATATACCAGAAGCTAGGCCCAGCCTTCTTCCCCACATGGCTTCTGAAATGCTGGGTACAAGGTAGGAGATTGTTCACTCTAGGGACTCTTGGCATTGGACTTTTCCCAAAGAAATGTTCCAGCCATATAGTGAATATAACCGTTGACAAGCCACACCCACATGCACAGTTTCCAATTAGCTTTACAGTCCCACCCTGAAATATGAGCAGATAGTAAAAGATTAGGAAACATTCAAAGAAAGCATTTAATATTAAAGACACCATAACAAATGAAAAACAACAAACCTGAGGGACACAGAAGTTATACAGTGAGAAGAAAACATTACCAGTCATTCTTTAAAAGATAAGCTAATAAGAATAGGATGCTAAAACAAAGGAAAAGAAATCAAAGGATTTATAGAAGTTAAAAATATGAGTAGAAATGAGTAACTCAATAGAAGAGCTAGAAGACACAGCTGAAGACATCTTGCAGAAAGTAGAACAAAAGGACAAAACTGAAAATAAGAGAGAAAAGATAAGATAATTAGAAGAACAGTTAAGGAAGTTCAATATGTAGAAAGTAAAACAGACCATGGGGAGAAGAAAAACCAATAATAGTTTCCAAGAACTGAAGATCATTAAGTTTCCATATTGAAAAGATTAGCACAAAAAATGTATACCCAGCATGAAGGATGAAAAATCATCCATGTTCTGGCACATCATTGTGAAATTCCAAAACACTTAGAACAAGGAGCAAATACTACCAATTTCCAAAGAGAAAATACAGGATATGTTCATTTTGCAAAGTATCATCAAGTAGAGCACTTCTAATATGCACCCTTTTCTATATATATGTTAAACTTAGATAAAAAGCTTTTTAAAAATGAAAAGAAATGAATGGTATCATCTTTTAGAAAAGATATGGTTTGGATCTGTGTCCCCTTCCAAATCTTAGGTTGAATTGTAATCCCCAGTGTTGGAGGTAGGGCCTAGTTGGAGTTGACTGGAGCATGGGGGCGGATCCTTCATGAATGGTTTAGGACCACCCTCTTGGTGGTGTTCTCGTGACAGAGTTCACACAAGATCTGGTTGTTTAAAAGTGTGTAGCACCTCCCCCATCTCTCTCCTCCTCCTTCTCCAGCCATGTAAGATGTGCCTGTTTTCCATTCACCTTCTGCTATGATTGTAAGTTTCCTGAGTCCTCCCCAGAAACCAAGCAAATGCCAGGACCATGCTTCCTATACAGCCTGTGGAACTGTGAGCCAATTAACCTTTTTTCTTTATAAATTATCCAGTCTCAGGCATTTCTTTATAGCCATGTGAGAAGAGACTAATACAAGAAGTAAACTGAGAAACCAGTTTAATTAAGAAGAAAAATAGTAAACATGTCTTCCTCATTAGGAAAAATATCAAGCAGACATACAAAGCATAAACTTAAACTTGTTTTTGTATCTTTCACAAAAGGGGACCTGAAAGAGAAAATGGTTGATCAACAGTCTAAGCACAAGTGGGCTTCTTCATTCAGGTATCATTACGTAATGACTTTGCTATGCCTAAACATTAGATAGTAGAGTCTGAAATTTAACTTCTATGGGAAAAAAAAGCAGGACAACACACATTGTCCCTTTCAAACTTCCTAGCAGTAGATACAAGGACCCTTCAGCTCATTTCAAAGCAGCCTTCCAAACTCTGGTACAACTGTACAACTAACAACAATTTCATGAATGTGAAATTAACGTAACAAAAGAACACAGCATACCTGTATCTTTCCTTGGAATAAGTGAATTATGATTCTTCAGGGGATGGCCAAGAAAGTCCCAAGAAGTATTCTCTTTTTTTTGTAGAACAATCTCTATTTTTCCCACACTCTCAACAACCCGCACTGAAAAGAAGATAAATTCCATTTGTGTTCATCGATACTAAATACAAGATTTTATTTTAAAACCAGTATTTCTCAAATAGTACAAGTGTCCTGATCTAATATGAATGGTACTGATTATTAGTGGGATAAATAAGATTTTGCTTACATATTCAATCACAATCATAATTGTTTATCCTTATATGCTTTATTTTATTAATAGATTCAGATTAAGTTCTTTCAAACTAATTTATTAAGGGCCAAACTACTATGTGTTGCTGGTTTTCAAACAAGCTCAAATATAGCCATGGCAACTAATTGACATAAAGCTAACAAAAAAAAAAAAAAAAAGGTTGAGATGTACAAATTAGCATCGAATGCCCCCACAAAAGCAAATTTAATTCTTTTTTTTTTTTTTTTTTTTGAGACGGAGTCTTGCTCTGTCACCCAGGCTGGAGGGCAGTGGCGTGATCTTGGCTCACTGCAAGCTCCGCCTCCCGGGTTCACGCCATTCTCCTGCCTCAGCCTCCTGAGTAGCTGGGACTACAGGCGCCCACCACCACGCCCGGCTAATTTTTTTTTTTTTATTTTTAGTAGAGATGGGGTTTCACTGTGTTAGCCAGGATGGTCTCGATCTCCTGACCTCGAGATCCGCCCATGTCAGCCTCTAATTTGTTTCGTTAACATTCCTTAGAATCTGAAGGATTCTGATGACTAAATTCAGTAGACTAATACTGAGCCTACTAAACACAAGAAGAGCCTCATGAGAATGAGTTCCTAGTCAATAGAGTAAATTGATAAAGTGCATGTGAATCTTTGATAAAAATATTTTAGATTACCTTTTTATTTATTGAATAATTAAAATGTTTACAATATATGGGTAAAATAATAAAATATGTGCTTTCATATGCTGATTTAAATTTTATGAATTGAACATGCTTTTAAAGATTTAAAGCATATTTAATTTTTCTTCAGAAACAATGTTCTGCTCTCCCCTATAGTGAACACAACACCCAGTAACAATTTAACTTTTAAAGATAGATGAGTCAAATGAATTCAATTCAATGAGCACTGATTTGAAGCTTAACCAAAATAAAACCATGGTCTTTGTCTTTAAAGAGCCTGATTTATACAATTTACAGAGCCTATAATGATATACGGAAAAGAGGAAACATTGGACCAGTGTAAGGTACCATGACAGTACTTGAAAACAAGAATATACCATTCTATGATGAGTCTTCTATTATTAAATAGCTGTGTAAAACCTACGCTGCATGTTTATATGCAGCAACATTCATAATTTAGTATGCTCTCTCAACATTAAACATTTAAATATATAGATGAAAGAAAAATTTGTCTAACATAGTATATTTCTATAAGCTGCATGTCAGGAGTAGGGCAGATACGAGGAATGAAGAATAAAAAGGAGACAGATTTTTTTTTTTTTAAGGAGAAAAAAAAGAAAGGTTAAAGAGAGAAAAAAAATAAGGGGGGCCAGTCGGGGCCACATGTGAAACCCCGTCTCTACAAAAAAAAATTAGCCAGGTGTGGTGGTGTGTGTACTGTGATCTCAACTACTCAGGAGGCTGAGACGGGAGGATCACTTCAGCCTGAGAGGCAGAGGTTGCAGTGAACCAAGATCACACTGCTGCAGTCCAACCTGGGTGACAGAGTGAGACCCCATCTCACACACAAAAAAGGAATAAGGGGAAGAAAAAATAGGAAAAAACCCAAAACCAGAGGGAGGGGTATATTTAAAAATTAATGTATTTGTTTGTATCTGTACAACAAACCCCCATGACACACATTTACCTATGTAACAAACGTGCACATCTTGCACATGTATCCCAGAACTTAAAAGTTTAAAAAAAAAAGAGAAAACATCACATCTTTGTTTTGCAATGTGAAAATATAGACATGAAAAATAAAACAAATGCTAATTTTTCAATTTTTTCGTATCTCTCTCTCTGTAGGTATGTGTATATGTACGTACATACATAATTTTTGGTTTTTGGTAGCTTACCAGAAAAATCTTCCTGAACCTCATGGCTTAGCCCTAGGACAGACAAATTTATTTAGTTAAAATAGAACTTCAATTCATACAGTTTTTGAACACCATATGTCATTTAAATGGCTCTTTTATGTACTATTTCAAATCCCTCAAGACAAAACGTGTTCTGAAAGACCAAAACAATTTTACACAATCAAAATAAAGAATCAAATCATTTAAATACATACATTTTCAATTGTTTCATTTTTCTCCCTTTTAACTAAAGAGCAAATACTCAATTGCCCATAAATGGGTAACCCACGCTAGTCCAAGCATGGATGGTTCCAGACTGGGAATCCTACAAACCAAGAGAGGAGCAGGCTACGGAGAGGCAGCACCTGAAGCACGCAAGCCCCAGTGTGTGAGTGTGTGTGTATGTATGTGAACAGAGGCCAGGTCTGGGTCTAGCTTACCTTTTCTTATTGTTCTCCAAAGTTGACTATCCATTCAGTTATTGAAAAAAAATTTTATTGAGCGTCTATGTGTGACAGGTATTTTCTAGGTATTATGGACACAACAGTTAATAAGACAGAAACATTTCTGCCCCTATGGAACTTATATTCCAGAAGTGGGGGATGCAAGAAATACGCTTACAAATGTCTGCTGTAAATTTCACTGTGTTCATATGGTTATCTGGAATTTACAATTTTGTATGATTTCAGTCATTCCAATGCAATATTGGCAACCAAGAGTTTCATATTTTTAACTGTGGAATTTTTAGTTTTTTAAAATATGTATGCTAGTGTAGGGTTCCCTGGTTTCTACCACTTTTTTCTCTGTCCTGATAAAAAAATACAAAGTTGGTCTTTAGCCACGAAGGGACTGACAGCTGGAGGATACAATACAAATTTGTAGTCCAGGCTGCTTTGCTGCAGCCACTGACTTCCTATGGCAGAACTGGCAAGGAACAGACCAGTGGAATGGGCCACCTAGCGAAGGACAGTCAGTAAGACATGTGACCAATGGGCCTTGGAAGACTTCTTGTAGGTGTCAGGCACGAGAGATTTTACACAACTGGGCCAACAAGTATTTTATATTATTGATTTTGATTGCATCTAATTGCTTAAACTTCGAAAGGTGAGGTCACACCGCCACTTGCTAGTACTTTTATTAGTGTAAAGAAATTACAGGAAAAAAACTGATCAAAAATGACAAACCAAAATGGTAACAGCAGATAAAATATTACAGTTACCTAGACTGTAGACCAAGTTATTGCCATATTTAAAGAAAACCAGAGCTCTTTCCATTAATAATAATAAAGTACTCACCAATATGTATAAGATATAAACAATCCTTAATAATTGTTTCTGCTCTAAAGGAATCATTCTGATGATCAACTATTATTGAGTCTAAATTGATATCCTTAAAGAGAAAGCAAAAATAGAAAGATTAGAAAGTAAAATTTTCCCCCAAACTTCTACAACTATACTTTTAAGGTGATCTGCGGTACTTCATACGGTGCTTCTTTATTGAACCTCCAAGCTAAACAAATGTGACTTCTGTTTTTCTCTTACAACCCAGTTCTTCTCCTTCAATTGACACACCAAATTTTAATTACTACATATTTGTCTCTGTTTAATATCTACCTTATCCACTAATCTCTAAGCTCTAAGGTTAAGGGACTATCTTTAGAACACTGTTTGGCACCTAGTAGGTGTTCAATAAATATTTTTTGAATAAGCCATATGGAACCCTCCCCCCACCCCCCAGAAAATTACAATCAGCAGAAACCAAGATATTTGTTGTTCATCTTTATCTTTCCTGTAATGTATGATCCTGGGCAAATTACATAACCTCTTGACCTTAGCTTATAAAAAAAATCAATTCACTAACATATTTTTAGATGTCTCTAACTTCTACATAGCCTTGGTGTAAGATATATATTATTTATATTATTCAATGAATACATTATTCCACATGGAAACCTTTCCTTTTCCCTTAGCCATCCATCCTCTGTGTTCCATTGATATTACCAGTGCAAGTGGACCTCCCTAGAGCCTGTGCTCTGGGTTTTGAACTGTGTGATGAAGAGACAATATCAAGAGGGAGTGGAAAACAGGATAAGTAGTGCCTCTGGCCATCTTGGCTCTTTCCAAGCAGAGGCTGGTCACTCCTGCAGAATGACCAAATCATGCTGCAAGAATGAGAGGAACCCACTGGTTCAGACATGGTTCTGCTACTATAGAAGTAGCATAAATTCTCAAAAATTCCTAGCTGCCAGAGCTTGTCTTTAAATCTACATATCCCTCAAAGTGTGGGAACCTCAACAGTTGCTGGAGGATGTGCTTGGAGATATTTTAAATTGTCTGCATATTTATCTGATTTTCCAGCTGGACTGTAAGCCTTTTGAAAGTCAGGTCTCTACGTATCTGACCTATTAGATCCCTGATCTCTAAGGCTGTGTTCTACATGAAGCAGGTTATAAATACTTAGTGAATGAACTACCTCCCTAACTTTAGTTTTGATGGTTACTGAATTACCTCCCTAACTTCAGTTTCAAATGGGCATCTGAACACCATTAGTGGTTTAAACATACTAAGCCACAGCCACAGCGAAATACCTTCTCCAATCCTAGTTTATGTCTAGGAAATTTGTTCTTATGGTGATGTTAACTGAGATTCATTTTTTGTTATCCATGCTTTACACACACACACACACACACACACACACACACACACACACAGAAAAACACATAAAATACTTCCTACTCTGATTTTTAAGAGGCTATAGGAATGGCTGTTAAGAGCAGATGTTCTGGAACCAGACTGCCTGAGTTCCAAATGCCAGATCTGCCACTCAGTGTGTAACTTTGGGTGAATTACTTAATCTTTTCTTTGTTTCCTCTTCTGTACAAAAGGGATAACAATACTATCTACCTCAAAGAATTATAGTGAGAAGTAAATAATATAAAAAAGTGTTTAGAAAAAGACCTGGTACATAAATTAACATTTATTATTTTCTTCTTTTCTGATTTTAAAGACATATTTACCTTCTGTTTAGTATATATGGCAATGGTGACTAAAGAGTCTGTTTGGAACCAATCATAGCTGTAAAATATAAATAAAAGGATGAATAATTATATTGACAATCATGTGCATTCACATATATTAATCATTAAATGTTTAAAATTTATAATGAGACATATCTGTATTTCTCTAGGTTAAGCTTTTTTTCTAAATAAACTGGTCTTACCATGTTACATTCTTCATTATACAGCTGACAACTATTTCTAAATTTAAAATATCTAGACTTCCATGTATTCCCACTTGAGTAAAAACAAAATATCCTCAACAAGACCCTTTTTATAGAGCCTATACATCTCTTTACTAAAATCTTCTTTTATCAGAGCAAAACCAAAACAACATATTTTGTTAAAGAGCATGAAAAAATGCACATGTTTATTATCTTCATTCCTCCCTGTCACAAATATATTAGTAGTGAAGAAATGAACTCATCAAGGTTGTTTAATGGGTCCATAGTGAAACTTAAAGTGAAACTAAGTCTTCTGTTTTGTTACAGCTATTGATCAAATTGATACTCTTTTTGCACTTATCACCTATATAGTCTAATTTACAGAGGGCATCCTTAGTCCCTAACTTAAAATTGTATATGAAATAATTTAACAAATATAGCAGGATGCTGATATTAGAATAATATAGACTGGTGGTAGAGAGAAAAGGGGTAAAAGAAAAAACTACAGAGAACACACCTGAAGGCATTTTAAGTGTCATTAACGAAATATATATGTATTGCTTAAGTTACTGTTAACTGTTAAAGACAACTATTGGGCAATATATTTTGAAGAATTCTCATTAAAAATTGATAAAAATGAACTAGATATAAAAAATAGAATATTTAAATACATTATGGCATGGTCATATGATGGAATGCAGAGAAAAATGCTTTCGCAGAATATTTAACAGCATAGAAAAATGCTCATATACTGTCATACCAATATTATAAAAATAGAATAATATGGAAGTAGGTATTATATTAATCTAACTGGAAAATATAAATAATAGTATACATCTAAGGATGGTGAGATTACAACTGATTTTATCACTTTCTTTTGTATTTCTCTATTTTCTAAGTTTTCTACCATTAATGTATTTTTTTATAATCAGAAAAATATTTTAGAATAGTTTTTTAAAGTATTGGTGTTTAAAATGGATCAAACTTCAGTTATATTTAAAATTCACATTTATGGAACAGCTCATTCTCCAACAACATCTAATAAATGAGGCATTACAGTTCTTGTGTCAAAGAGCATGACTAACAGTAAGCAATAAATCAAACCCAGAGCTACTTTATTTTTTAAATGTGTACATTTTTGTACATAATTGATTTAACTTTAAAAATTTTAAATAAGAATGCATACCTTGGATAACTAGGACCTTCTTTGGCAAGTGTATCTGTCACTTGGCTCTTGGGAAGCATGCCTTTACAAAGAAAGATAGCTATAGTTCATCTACAAAGTATTTTTAACTTTTTGTCTTTTAAGTTAACTTCTTAGTGAAATATCACATATATTCATAAAAGGATACAAATCACAAATGTACTACTCAATATATTTTCACTTGATCTTAGCCAAAAGGCCGTGATAAAGTGAAACATACATACCCTTGCAGTCAGCACTCTCTTCATGCCCCCTTTTCAATCACCACCCCTGCCTCAAGAGTAACATGTATTCTGACTACTAACACCATGGTTAGTATTTGCCTGTGTTTGAACTTTATATAAGTAGAATGATAACACATGTTCTCTTTTAGTCTGGCTTTTTGTCCAATATTCTAGACATTACAGTTCTTATGTGAAATAAGCATGATAAATAATAAGCAATAAATCAAATCTAGGCTTTCTGAAATTTTATCCATGCTACTGAATTCATCAGCTTGGTCCTTTTTGTAACTGAGCAGTATTACTTTATATGTATAGTTCACAATTTATTCATTCTCCTGTTGATGAACATTCAGGTTGTTTCCAGTTTGGAGTTATTATACACAGTGTTGATATAAATATTCTTTTACAGGTACATGCATATTCTTAAAGAACACATATCTACATTTTTGGTTAGTATGAAGGGTGTTTGTATGTTTAGCTTTAGAAGATACTACTGAATGGCTTTTCAAAGTGGTTGTACCAATTTACACTTTTTACCACAGTAAAAAGTGTTTGAAAGTTCCAGCTGCTCCACAACCTCACCAACATGTGGTCTTCTGTCTTTTCCCATTTTACTCACTCTTGTGGGTATGCATTCTTGTGGGTATGTACACCCACAAAATGCATCTTGGGTGTATGATGCATTTTAAAAGCCCACTAATGCTATGGTTTTTAAATGACTTCAGAAAACTCTGAGGCATGGAAGAACTCAAGATATTGCAAACATTAAGTGTTTCCCCCCTACAATAGAAGTGCATTGTTTGTATATGGTAAGATTTAGTTTGGAAAAAAGAAGTACTGCTGCTACATGACTTTTGAAAATCATTGCATCAATTATATTACTATTTTTCAAACTATACAGGAACAAAAATTAATGGTTAGTATCTGCTGAGTCTTGGGTGCCCAAATTAGAAATCAAAGTATTTGATATAAATTTAAGAGTTGCAAGACACCTTTGGGACAAGACAGTTTAGAGGTTTTCAAGATTCTTTTTAGACACAAACGTTTTGTTTCAAGACAAGCTCAAGTGCAAGTAAGATGTAAAACAGTCATATTTTTCTGAATGGGCTGATGGTGAGCCCTGAGTCCAGGCCTTACTCATTCAGCTTCCATTTCTTCCCACATAACTCTGCAGAACACTATTTTCAAATAAACAAAGGAAGCCTCAGAGATGTGACAACAAGGTCAGAGTTGTGAACTAATAATTAGCAGTGGGCACTAAAAGAAGAGTGCTCTACTACAAAACTACACGTAAAACAAGAGAGGACTACAAGAATTAAATGTATTTTTTCTAATATGGTAAAAGCAAGACAAAATAATCTTATTAAATTAAGAAGCACTGAAAGATTTCAGAGATTAATGTTGTTTCTCTTTTGGAAGTCTCTTAAGTATATAAATAAAAATCAAATGCATCAAAATCTAAGAATTTCTGTAAGAAAACGCTATAAACAGAATTGATAAATTGTAAGTCAACATTGATCTTGTATGACCTAATTAGGACCAGAAAATCTATACTTAAGCTCGGTGCCAGTACTGTGATTTTATGCAAGCCACTGTTTCCTCTTCCTCAAATTGGAACTATTAATAGCAATGAAATGGTCCCTGCAATCTCATGGGTGAGCAAATGAGACAATAATCAAACATTCTAAAAAACTATTTAGTATAATTAAGATATATCTTATTAAAACAGAATAATAAGCCATGGAATATATCTTAATTTAAAACTAACTAAAAACAAAAAAAACCCTCAAACTTTACATAATATTATTTTGAGTAAGTTGAAAGAATACGGGGTGAATGTGTAGTGAAAAAAAATAATTAAGTAATGCAAGGTGGACTGAATGCATGTTCTCCCTTCCATAAGTATTGGTTGATTGAATGTCGTCAATTTGAAGGGATCGGGTCTCTAGTGGAATAGGAAAGTAGTCCAACCCATTCAGTATTTTAAGCAGCTATTGGAATAGTAACATAGAATGCAGGCAGATCACATTTGCAAATACAGAGACATACCACATAGACTTAAATGAGCCAAAAGGGAAAAGCAGCTAATAAATATATAGATAGACAGATATGTTCCAATCTTACAGGGTCCAGGTCACAAGAGGTAACAGTGCTAACCAAATCACTTGTGGAGTGCTATATTCCATACTTAATGCCACCTTTTACTGAGAAATTAGTCAAATGCAGTGCATCCAAAGAAGGCAACAGAAAAGTACAGGTTCTGGAAGCCACATGTGGTGGAAAGAAAATGCCTAGTCTATCGGTAATCAATCATTAAGCAATGGTTGCTTTTGTAGTGCCACAGAAGAGTCAATCATCAGACGAAACCAAAGATCAGTCCCTCATTTAATAGAGTGTTATATTATCCGATGAACAACTACAGGTACTATAAATTGCATAAATTAGTCCACAATATAGACTATTTCAGTTAACAAAGAAAAAGGTAACTCATCTGGCAATCTAGCTTGTTAGTTGCATTTCTGTAACTTGCTTTTGCAAATGAAAGAAAAAAATGTTTCTAAATGTACATCAATATAGTTCAGTCAGAGTTAGCACCATGCATTTTATGTCAGTAGTGACCACCATGCCAAACTTTTTTGCGGGGGAGAGGAAGTGTCAGTCATTATTTGCAAGTCATCCAGAATGGCTGGATGCACCACTCAGCTTAAAAAATTGTAGATTAATAAACTATTTGGCATGTGTATGCAAACAATGGAGGTGAGCTCACATCTAAGAAAACTGACTTATTTTGTCTTGTTTCTGAGGAAGAAACTCCTAACTGCTACAAGTATTCAAGCTGAGGGAAGATAACATGTATTCAGGGATGTCACAGAAGGCACGACGATAAGAGTAATGGCTGGAATAAGGAGCCTATAAAACCCTACAAAAGACTCTTAAGTTTGGGCCAGTAAAGCTATCTTTCATATTAAAAAAAAAAAAAAAAAATCTAGGCCGGGCACAGTGGCTCACGCCCGTAATCCCGGCACTCTGGGAGGCCGAGGTGGGCAGATCACGAGGTCAGGAGTTCAAGACCAGCCTGACCAACATGGTGAAACCCCATCTCTACTAAAAATACAAAAATTAGCCAGGTGTGTGGTGTGCACCTGTAATACCAGCTACTCAGGACACCGAGGCAGGAGAATTGCTTGAACCCGGGAGGTGGAGGTTACAGTGAGCTGAGATGGTGCCACTGCACTCCAGCCTGGGTGACAAAGCAATACTCCATCTCAAAAAGAAAAAAAAGAAAAAAATTTAAATGCCCCAGACAATTCTGTGTATCAATACTATTCATAAGCATGTGAATATGATTCATTTATTATAAATTTATAGACTTACCATTTAAGACTTTCTTTTCCTCCTCACGATAGTCTGTATAGTGATTTAGAAAAAAAAGTCAAATAAGAATACTTTAATGTCAATGAGAATGTCAGTCCACATTACTGATTTCAAGATAACATCCCTTCTTTTTTGAAGGGCTTTCTTCTAAGGCCTGAGGAGAGAAACAGGCCAATATAGAAACGGCCTTTGTTTTAAACAAGTAAGTTTCATCTCTGAAGACTGCCAGACCATATTTCTCCAGATGTTTGTCTCTCATTTCATTTGGATTTTTTCTAATTCTTTGGTCACTTTTTTCTAATATCTTGGTTAATTTCTATATGAGCATATGTAAACGTCAAGTTTCATCCGTGTTATCATATTTTAAATTAGTCCAAGTTAACCAGAATTTATTAGATTATACTTCATAAATGAAACACACACATTAACAACTCAAAGAAAGATGCCTTATCTTTCCCTTTTACTGAGTTCAATGCATAAAATGATCGTTATTACAAGTTTAAAATATGTTCAGATTTTTGCATGTATACCCAATGCAATTATTAGTGTTACAAACCCAGGAAAAAAATTAACAGGTATTTTCTTTCAGGATGGCGGCCAACTCACAAAGCTATATTATATTCTAATATCCACAAGTGTTATACCATTATAGTCAAACTAAACACCTCAGCAAGTTGTCAAAATTTAAAAAAAAATGGGATAAGCTAACAAAAAATATTCAAGTAGTCAAATGGAAAGACATCATTTCTTAAGCTGACATCACCTTGTTTTATACAAAAAGAAACTAACGTATTTAAAATCAAAGCTTTCAAATTTTTTGTGTTCCAATATTTCACCAGAAATTCCATAATTAATTACACTTCACTCATCCATCCCAAAATAATAATAATTAAGGAAGCCAAATGACCATCCTTTTCCTTTTCCTCATTTTACCAAAATAATTTTACAGCTGAAAGGAATTTACCACATACAGCAAATTATCACCTGATCTCCTAAAAAAGGCTGAAAATCAGAGGTCAAAGGACTTGAATGAAATCTACCACTCCAGTAAAAAAGCCAAAATTAGATTTGTCTCTCCTGAAACACAGTCCCATTTTTCTTGGCAATCCAGGAGTTAATATTTCCTAAAAGGATAGTAGGCCTAAAAACCATTTAAACTATACTTCAAAATGAGCTTTGTTTATCAACTGCCACATACAAATCTGGCCATTACAGTTTGCAAAGGATCACTGATGTCCCTGCTTGGCCATGTACTTTCATCCAGTCAGTTTTATCTGTCTTTGCTGTTGCAGTTGTGATTATTTGTTTTATCTTAGAAATTCACAGAACATGTATCTATTTTCAGTGTACAATAAGGTCAACAGTTTAATAAATCTCATTTATCATGTAAAACAATTAGTTTTTACCTAAGAGGTTCACAGATTTTGAAAAATTGTCCCAGGTAATTTATTTCTAAGAAGAAAATATTATCTCTTATGATTATTTCTTGCCTGATATGAATAGATTTGAATCTGTCAGAACTTTCTGGATTCTGCAAAATTAGTAGTTCCCCCCCACCACCAAGTCTTTTTTAAATACAAGAAGTACTAGTAGAAAGAGAACTTCCACTTAAAGAATCTGGGTTACCTTTAAAAATTCTCCTACTCTGTTTTTACAACTCTTTTCAAAAACTGAGTTACAGAAATGGAGGAGACTGTTTTTCACTTTCAAGCATATTTACATCTGAATCATTTTAGTCACAGGAGATACTTTCTTCTCTGAAAAGAAATCTGATGTTTTCTCTTGGTAACTAATTCCATCATTTAGTTGGCTCCATGGCCAATCAAATTTGTATCTTCTCATAATGCTGGTTAAACTGCTTTACTCTGATGAGAATCTTTATTTCCGGAGAGGTCAGAGTCATTTAGAAGGCTGGTGCTGTGATCTAACAGCACTCAGCTCTTCCTTGGTAAGGATCTTTAATTATGACCCAAATCTAGTTTACCTCTGCTGAGCAGAGGCACAGGAGGATACCCTGGAATAAAGAAAGATCCAGTAGGAAGTTCTTTTACCAATATGCTCATTCTTTAATAAACATCTATTGATCATCTTAACAGCGATATTGACATAATACGGACATTGACATACCATTTGGATAAAAAGTTAGAAAAATAAGAAAATATATTCAGTCTGCTTATCATACATAAAGATAATTTGGAAAGAGTCACAACAACAACAACATCAACAGAAACATGTCCTTGGTGTGTGCATGGGAGAGGAAAACAGTAGATGGGAGGCAGAACTATGATAAGGATGCTTCTTCTTGAATCACATGAGTGCAATACTTATTCAAAAAATACCATAAACGGAATTAAAAATAAAGTCAATAGGCTTTTTTTTTTTTTTTTTTTTTGAGACAAGGCCTCTCTCTGTCACCCAGGCTGGAATGCAGTGGTGATATCTCGGCTCACTGCAACCTCTGCCTGGTGGGCTCAAGAAATCCTCTTGCCTCAGCCTTCCGAGTAGCTGGGACCACAGGCATGCACCACTAGGCCTGGTTAATATTTTTGTAATTTTTTTTTCTTTTTTGTAGAGACAGGGTTTCGCTATGTAGCCCAGGCTGGTCTTGAACTCCTGAACTCAAGTGATTCACCTGCCTTGGCATCCCAAAGTGCTGGGATTACAGGTGTCAGCCACCGTACCCAGATGATACGCTCTTTTTAAGATTGCGTGTGGCTGTAAAAGAGGTATACAGGAGGTGTTATTGAAGCACAGAAGAAGAACGTTTCTACTGGAAGAAATTTGAAAGGACTCTATAGAAGAAGTAGTATTTTAGCTAAGTTTTGAAAATGTGTAGGCATTTGTCAGGAGTCCTTGAAGAAAAGCATTCTAGGAAAAAAAAAATGCTGAGCATTAATTGAATGTTTTACAATTATCTTGTAGCTACATTCCTCATTCCCCTTTCTTATTCCAAAAGGTTGGTATTATGTCACCATCAGATAAGAGCTCAGTCTTGTTGCCAGGGATCTTACTCACAAAGTCCTAAATTTACCATTCTGTATTCCCTTACCTGCTTAGCCTTGCCAGAAGACTTCTTGGTTCTGTATAATGTGTTTAATAACCATTTTTTCCTCTAGAAATTCCTCCATATCTCTAAACAGAACTCTTCATAACACAACTTAGACCTGATTCTTTTTTTTAATTAAATATAATTTTTTTTTAATTTTTGTAGAGACAGAGTTTCACTATATTGCCCAAGCTAGTCTCAAAATCCTGGGCTCAAGCAGTCCTCCTGCCTTGGCTTCCCAAAGTGCTGAGATTACAGGCATGAGCCACCGCACCTAGCCAGGCCTAATTCTTGTTTTTGATTTAAAAGTCATACTTATTTCTCAAATCTTACAAAACTTAATTTTTGCAGTTTTAAACTATCTTTACCTTACTTTCTTCTATTCATCTTTGTAATCATCTTCTGAATCATCTTTCAATTTTATACATCTCTCAAACTTCTAGTTCACTAGCAGAATTAAAATGAAGACTTAATAGTTCAAATCCACATATTCTGAAAAATCCGAGGATTAAAAAGCTTTAAAAATACCAGAGTATTAATTTATCCTAGGATCAGTTTTTCCTCCATTATTCATTTAATCACAGCATATGCTGTATTTTTAGAAGTTCATATTTTCTCCCCAAGTTGGCTTCACTTGTCATTTTTTTAATCAACTCTGCAATTTGTCAGTTATTTTCCATTCCTGTCCTATCATCAGAGGGATTACGATTCCTTTCTTATCTGGAATCACCTGTACATGAATATACACATGTTCAAAATTCCTCTTTCTATGAAAACAAAACAAATGCTAACACAAACAAAACATCAGTCAGTCATACCACTACAGAAGACACACTTCCTGTTTAGGTCTGCATCTGCCCCCTAACCAGGGACTTCTTACTTCTACCTCCCATTTTTAATTACCTTTCCCTTAAATCTTTCTGGCAAGAATTACCCAGACAACGGGCCCTATAGCAGAAGGAGCAAATTAAGGCAGCCAGGCTGAGATAGCAAACTTGTCTGTCTAGTAAAGCCCACTTCAGAATGACTCCCAGCCTCCCTCTCTCCACCAGTAACCGTCTTACTTCTCCCCTATCAGTTAGTCTCTGAGCTTGTGCTTTGTCTACCTAAATTGTCTCCATTTTACCAATGAGGAAACTGAGGCTTCTAGAAGAAAGAACTTTGACTGACTTTACAAAAGTTGAACTTCCAACTGGCAGGCAGCCCATTCAATAGATGTCTTGTCCTTGCTCACAGTGCTGTGACAGTAAAAGAAATCTTTGAAAGTAATGTCTCAGCCCACTATAGGTCCTGGTGTCTATCTCCATCCTCAGCTCTACAGGTGCCAGAGTTTGCCTAGGATGAACCAAAGAGCTGTCCAATGCATGCGTACCAGCTTAACATGTATGTGCCACTAATACCATCATTTTTAATAATAAAAAACTAATGCATATAAGATGGTTTCTCTACTTCAACACTATTAACATTTTAGGCCAGAAAATCCTTTGTTGTGGGGGTCTGTCCTGTGCAACGCAGGATATTTAGCAGCATCTCTGACCACTATCAATTAGAATGCCAGTAGCATTTACTTTCGTTCTAACAACAAAAATGTCTTCAGACATTGCCAAATGTCCCCCTGAAGAGCAAAATCAACCCCAGTGAAAAACAACTGGCATATACTAAAAGAAAATACATTACAAAAAAGCAGGTACCATTTAATGAGGCAACTCTCTGCCTTACAAAAGGTTTGTTTACCCATGGTTTCTTCAAGTGGGCTTTTTCAATTAAATAACTCTGTAGTTTTTAGTAAGATACAATACCTACAAGCCTCAGTATCTTCACTTTTAAACTGCTCTAAATCCCTCTTCCATCTCAGAGCTAGGGGGAAGAAACTGGTTATACTTTAGAAGAAGTTTAAAGTAAGAATAGGGGTTATCTATAGTGAAGGCGCAGAGTCGGAAGGTCCATGGCAAATGGGAGAAAAAGCTGGGAGGGAAAATTTCACTGTATAACTTTTTGTATTTTTAAATGTTTGAATCATGTGACTATATTATTCAAAAAATTAAATTCTAAAAAACTAATCTAAAAATCAACCCTAAGTGTTGTACTCCTCACACTGAACTTTCTCTAAACAACAGTCGAACTTTTAAGGGAAAGTCACAATATGATTCTAGAGAAGAAATGAAGGAAAACCTCTGGAGTGGCTAGACCAGGAGGCCAATGAAAATTACAAAACCATAGTGATTTGTATAGACCTAGTTGTTTAAATCCAAGTTAAAAAAAAATACATGTGCACCACACATCCATGCTGGTTTAGCACCAGCACCACTTACCTTTCAGAACAGCAGGTTTAATGGCCATTCTGCCAACCAGGCATTCTTTCAGCATGGATTCATAATTGACCCAACGATGAACCTGGTATGTAAAACAAATGATGGAAAAGCAACATGACTAACTCCACAGGATGCTCTCATTTTAGTACGAGCAAAACTAAACTTTCTGAAACCACTCTCAACACACACCTAAAAACTAAGAAGCATATTCAATTAGTCTACCAGGGTGTGATAGAAAGGCTGCACAGATAGAGATTGTTTAGAATAGTATTCTCAAAGTGTTGGGACCTTTGGAAGTTCCTGACACCCTTTCAGGTCTCCATGAGGTCTCAATTTGTTTCATGATAATACTAATAAAAAGTTACTCACTTTTTTTTCAGTTTTGACATTTGCTCTGATGCTATAAAAGCAATGGTGGGTAAAACTGCTAGTATCTTGCATTAATCAAGGCAGTGGGTCCAAACAGTACTAGTAATTATTATCTTCTTCACCACCATGGACAGGGGAGGGAGCATGAGGAAGATATTTAAGAATACTTAAGAATATCCTTCATGAAGTAGAAAAATTATTAATTAAATTTTGACCCTTGGGTACATATTTTTATTATATTTTGTGTGACAAAGTGGGAAATTCTCAAAAAGATTAGTGCTACAAAGTATGATGGTTTCCCGGTGAAGAGACACTTAGGTGATTGTTTGATTTGCAAATGCAACTAGGCTTTTTTCATGAAAGGCCATTTGGCACATTTTACCTACATAACAAACCTGCACATCCTGCACATATACCTCAGAACTTAAAATAAATTAAAAAAAGAAGAAGACATACATGCAGTCATCCGGCAGTGAAAAAAGCTCAATATTACCGATCATTTGAGAAATGCAAATCAAAACCACAATGAGATACCATCTCATGGCAGTTAGAATGGCATTAATAAAAAGTAAAAAAATAACAGATGTTGGCGAGGTTGCGGAGAAAAGAGGATGTTTATACAACTGTTGGTGAGACTGTAAATTAGTTCAACCATTGTGGAAAGTGATATGGTGATTCCTCAAAGAACTAAAAACAGAACTACCATTTGACCCAGCAATCCCATTTCTGAGTATATATGCAGAGGAATATAAATCATTCTACCATAAAGACTCATGTACACGACTGTTCACTACAGCACTATTCACAATAGCAAAGACATGGAATCAACCTAAATGCCCATAAATGACAGACTGAATAAAGAAAATGTGGTAGATATACACCATGGAATACTAGGCAGCCATAAAAAAGAACAAGATTATATCTTTTGCAGGAACATGGATGGAGCTGGAGGCCATTATCCTTAGTAAACTAACACAGAAACAGAAAACCAAATACTACATGTTCTCACTTACAAGTGGGAGCTAAATGATGAGAACTCCTGAAAACAAAGAAATGAACAACAGACACTACTTGAGGGTGGAGGTTGGGAGGAGGGAGAGGAGCAGAAAAAATAACTATTGGGTACCAGGCTTAGTACCTGGATGATGAAATAATCTGTACAATGAATCCTCATGACATGAGTTTACCTATATAACAAACCTGCACACGTACCCCTGAACCTAAAATAAAAGTTAAAAAAAAAAAGAACAAAAAAAATGAAGGGCCATTTATAAGAACTGCTAGTAAACAAACTGATTATTCAGACTCAGATATTTAACAGTTATTTTCTTGAAAAGAAACAAAGTGATTCTACTGCTTCAAGGAAAAGAACTGACAGTATTTGTTGTCAGATGCCACTGGTGGAAATTATATTTAAACAACCTTTCTGCAAGGCACCTTCTCAATATGCCTTAAAAGTCTTAAAATAGGCCAGGAATAATTTTAAGGTGGGGTGGCTCATGCCTGTAATCCCAGCACTTTGGGAGGCTGAGGTGAGAGGATCACTTGAGCCCAGGAGTTCGAGGTTGCAGTAAGCTGATCATGCCACTACATTCCAGCCTGGGCAAAAGAGCAAGACCCTGTTTGAAAAAAAAGGACTTAAAAATCTGCAGCTCTTTCACTCACATATTTAGGAATTTACCTGAGAAAATATTTGCATGTATATAAAGATGTAGGTACCAGGATACTCATCACAGCACTACTTAAATTAGCAAAATACTGGAAACAATTTAAATGTCCAATTGTAAAAGACCGGCAAAGGAAAATCAATATATAATGCCATTCAATACAATACTATATAATCATTAAAATAACCAGCCAAAAAAATGTTGATACTGGAATCTTTATGGTATATTCCAGAGTAAATAAATATGCACTAAAATAGTAAGTATGTAAAGTATAGAAAGAAGATAGTTGACTAGAGGTATTTCATACTTGCCTCCTCCACTAAGAACCAAGATAGTGAATGGATAATTACATTCTGAATAGACCATCCAGAGAGAACACTGAAATTCAACAGTAAAGTGACAGGAGATACCTAAAGCAAGAAATGAAAAGGAAGTGAGGCAGCCTACAGGGCTGGGATCAGCTGGGAGCTGAGAAAGACTCAGGTTGGAGAACTTTAGCAGTCTACATTCCCACCATGGACTCATGCAATCCTAGCCACAGAAGAACCCTTTGACCTTTGCAGGCCCTGACATTAAAATAGAGAGCTGCTGGGAGATTGTGTGATGGCACTGCTCCAGGGAGGGTGCTTGCACTGGGTCTCACAAGCCCCCTGAGACCTAAGCAGCTACAGTAAACGATCATTTCAGAGCCCTAGCCCCAACAAACTGCACACTGTACTAGAACCCAGCAGAACCCAGACTGAAGTGCAAGAGAAGCATGGCTACTGCCCCAGGAGTTTAGGTTCAAGGAACTGCCAGCTACCGCACCATGGGCTGAGGCAAGAGCAAGTCACCAGGGCTGAAGAACAGCTGGTACGTTCATTCCCCATCCACTGGCCTAGGCTGCCTACCACTGAAGGCAGCACCACTCTGCCCAGAGGCAGGGTATCACCACAACTGCTGTCTCCCTCCACCTGAGCATTCCACTGATAGCCTGGGGATTGCCCCTGCCTACCATGCCTGCCATGGCTGGCCTCACCCCCCTCTGCCTATTCCACAGCACAGTTTGAGGGCCAGGAGATTGCCCAGTCCAGTCCAACACACTGGCACCTGAACACTCCTCCCAGGGGCCTGAGGTTGGACATACCAACCTGGCTGCTATCACCACAGCTAGCACCTCCTTGCACATGCCATCTGCAGGGTTAGAGACTGGCCTGCGCAGCCCATAACAGCCTCCACCAACATAAGCGTGTACCACCTGGGACCCAGAGGTCATCCTGCGACTGCCACCGTCACCACCCATGCCACACCACCTGCCCAGGGGCCCAAGAACTCACCCACTGTTGCCACTATTGGGATCCAACTAGGCCACCAAGAGGCCCAAGAATCAGCTTGCCTTGATGAACCCTGGTGCCAGCATATGCCATCCTGGGGCCCAAGGACAGACACACTTAGCCCATTGCTCCCACCACTGGGGCCCAAAGACTAACCTACCTGGGGTCCTAGTAACCAGCAAAACTTCATCGCAGCCTCCACCAATAATTGTACCCTAAGACACCGAGGAAGTCACAGTCATCACTGATGCTGTTTACACCTGAAGAAATCATATAGAGACTACACTACTGCACACACCCAGGATCAAAGCCGAAGTGTCCTACCCCACCAACATCACAGATACATCTACAGGAAAAATTTCTCCCATATGAAAGCAAATTTAAAAAAAACTGAAAAAGGGCCGGGCGCAGTGGCTCCGCACTTTGGGAGGCCGAGGCGGGAAGATCACCTGAGGTCAAGAGTTGGAGACCAGTCTGGCCAACATGGTGAAACCCCATCTCTACTAAAAATACAAAAAAATTAGCCAGGTGTGGAGGCGCGTGCCTGTAGTCCCAGCTACTTGGGCGGCTGAGGCAGGAGAATCTCTTGAACCTGGGACGCGGAGGTTGCAGTGAGCTGAGGCTGCACCGCTGCACTCCAGCCTGGGTAACAGGGTGAGATTCTATCTCAAAACAAAACAAAAAACAAACAAACAAAACAAACATACAAAAAAAAAAGGAAAGAAGTGACTGTTACACCAGATGTGCAATATCAACATAAGGACACAGGAAACATGAAAAAGCAAGGAAATATGACACTTCCAAAGGAACACAATAATTCTCTGGCAACAGATCACAATCAAAAAGAAATTTATGAAATCCTAGAAAAAGAATTCAAACTATTGATTCTAAAGAAGTTCAGTGAGGTACAACAGAATTATAAAAAACAATACAAAAAACAATTCAGAATATGAATGAGAAATTTACAAAAGTGATAGACGTCATGAAAAAGAACCAAACAGAAATTCTGGAACTGAAGAACTCATTGAATGATATACAAAACACATTCAAAAGCAAAGTATTATTTGATCTAAAGAGAGAGAGAAACTCCAATACAATAATAGTGGGGGAGTTCAAAATCCCATTCTCAGCATTAGACGGATCATCTAGGGAGAAAAATCAACAAACATTGGATTTAAACTGGACTTCAGACCAATGGACCTAGCAGACATTTATAAAACATTTATCCAACGATTGCAGAATACACATTTTTTTTCATCAGCACATATAACGTTGTCCATGACAGACATATGTTAGGCTACAAAACAAGTCTCAACATATTTTTAAGCACTGAAATCCTCTTGAGTATATTTTCAGGCCCCAGTAAAATAAATCAATACTAACAGGAACTTTCAAAACCATACAAATACATGGAAATTAAACAACATGCTCCTGAATCACCATTCAGTCAAAGAAGAAATTAAAATGGAAATAAAAAAATTTCTTGAAACAAATGAAAATAGAAATGCAGCATACCAAAACCTGTGGAATAGCAAAAGCAGTATCTAAGGGGGAAGTTTATAGCAATAAATGCCTACTCCAAAAAAGTTGACAGATTTCAAATAAACAATCTAACAATGTACCTCAAGGAACTAGAAAAGCAAGAACAAACCAAAGGCAATATTAGGAGAAGAAAAGAAATAATAACTGTCAGAGCAGAACTATATGAAATAGATTTTTTAAAAAGATACAAAGGATCAATAAAACAAAAAGTTGATTTTTGAAAAGATAAAACAAAATTGATAAGCCACTAGCTAGAATAACCAAAAAAAGGGAAGACCTAAGTAAACAAAATCAGAAATGAAAAGGAGACAACACAACTGATACCAAAGAAATACAAAGGATCATCAGAGACTGTTATGAGCAACTATATATTAACAAACTGGAAAACCTAGAGAAAATGGATAAATTCCTGGAAACATACAACCTATCAAGATTGAATCAGGAAGAAATAGAAAACATGAACAGACCAATAACCAGTAGCAAGATTGAATCAGTAATAAAAAAAACTCCCAAGAACAACAACAGCAACAGCAACAACAAAGGACTAGATGGATTCACTGTAAAATTTTACCAAATGTAGAAAGAAGAGTAAATCAAAATCCTCCTCAAATTATTCCAAAAAATTGAAGAGAAGGGAATTCGCCCCAATTTATTCTACAAGGCCAGCATTACCCTGATACCAAAACCAAGTAAGTGTACAAAAACAACAACCAAAAAAACCCCACAAAACTACAATATCACTGATAAACATAAATGGAAAAATGTCAAGAAAACACTAGCCAAATGAATTTGACAGCACATCAAAAATATAATAAAACATGATGAAGTGGAATTTATCCCAAGGAGTCAGGGATGGTTTAACATACACACAAATTAGTAAATGTGATACATCACATCAACAGAATGAAAAACAGAAACTGTATGATCATCTCAGTCACACAAAAAAGTATTTCATAAAGTTCAACATTCTTACATAATAAAAACTCTCAACAAACTAGACATAGAAGGAATATACCTCAAAATAATAAAAGGCCATATATGACAAACCCACAGCTAACAACATATTGCACTGGGAAAAGTTAAAAGCCTTTTCACTAAGAACTGGAACAAGACAGGACGCCCACTTTCACTACCCCTATTTAATACAGTACTGGAAGTTCTAGACAGAGCAATGCAAGAGAAAGAAATAAAAAGCATCCATATTAGAAAAGAGAAAGTCAAACTGTCCCTTTTAACAAATACTATTTTGTATTTAGAAAAACCAAAAGACTCCACCAAATACCTTAGAGCTGATAAACAAATTCAGTAAAGTTACAAGACACAAAATCAACATACAAAACTCAGCAGTGTTTCTATACGCCAATAATAAAATAGCTGAAAAAGAAATCAAGAAGACAATCCCATTAACCATAGCTACAAAGAAAGAAAGAAAGCTACAGATAAATTTAACCAAAGAGATGAAAGATCTCTACAAGTAAAACTACAGAACATTGATGAAAGAACACAACTGGTGAAAGGACACAAACAAATGGAAAGATATACTGTGCTCATGGATCAGAAGAATTAGTAACAATCAGAAGGAACATACAGCCCAAAGCAATATGCAGAATCAATGCAATCCTTATCAAAATACCACTGTTATTTTTCACAGAAATAGAAAAAACAATCCTAAAATTCATATGGAACCAAAAACCCACTAGAATAGCCAAAGCAATCCTGAGCAAAAAGAACAAAGATGGTGACATCATACTACCTGATTTCAAAATATATTCCAAGGCTGTAGTAACCAAAACAGCACAGTATTGGTATGAAACTAGACATATAAACCAACAGAACAGAGCAGAGAACCCAGAAATAAATCCACATATTTATAGCCAACTGATTTTCAACAATGACGTCAAGAATATACAATGAGGAAAGGACACCTTCTTCAATAAATGGTGCTGGGAAAATTGGATATCCATATGCAGAAGAATGAAAATGAACTCCAATATTTCACCATATTAAAAAATCAACTCAAAATGGATTAAAGACTTAAAATATAGACCCGAAACTATAAAATCACTAGAAGAAAACACTGGAAAAACACTTCATGACATTGGTCTAAGCAAAGATTTTATGGTTAAGACCTCAAAAGCACAGACAACACAAAAATAGACAAATGTAACTATATTAAACTTAAAAGTTTCTACACAGCAAAGGAAACAATCAAGAGAGTGAAGACACAACATGTTGAATGGGAGAAAATATCTGCACTCTATTTATCTAACAAGGACTGATATCCAGAATATATAAGGAACCCAACCATAAAAAAAAAAGTAATCCCATTAAGAAGTGGGCAAAGAACATGAATAGACAATTCTCAAAAGATGACAAATAGTTGATGAGTACATGAAAAAATGCTCAATATCACTGATCATCAGGGACATGCAAATCAAAACCATAATTAGACATCATCCTATCCCAGATAGAATGGCTATTACAAAAAAAAAAACAAGAAATAATAGACGCTGGTGAGGATGTAAAGAAAAGGGAACTCAGAAATGAACAAAGCCTCCAAGAAATATGGGACTATGTGAAAAGACCAAATCTACGTCTGATTGGTGTACCTGAAAGTGACGGGGAGAATGGAAACAAGTTGGAAAACACTCTGCAGGATATTATCCAGGAGAACTTCCCCAATCTAGCAAGGCAGGCTAACATTCAAATTCAGGAAATACACAGAAGTCCACTAAGATACTCCTCGAGAAGAGCAACTCCAAGACACATAATTGTCAGATTCACCAAAGTTGAAATGAAGGAAAAAATGTTAAGGGCAGCCAGAGAGAAAGGTCGGGTAACCCACAAAGGGAAGCCCATCAGACAGCTGATCTCTCGGCAGAAACTCTACAAGCCAGAAGAGAGTGGGGGCCAATATTCAACATTCTTCAAGAAAAGAATTTTCAACCCACAATTTCATATCCAGCCAAACTAAGCTTCATAAGTGAAGGAGAAATAAAATTCTTTACAGACAAGCAAATGCTGAGAGATTTTGTCACCACCAGGCCTGCCCTAAAAGAGCTCCTGAAGGGAGCACCAAACACGGAAAGGAACAACCGGCACCAGCCACTGCAAAAACATGCCAAATTGTAAAGACCATCGAGGCTAGGAAGAAACTGCATCAGCTAACGAGCAAAGTAACTAGCTAACATTTGACAGGATCAAATTCACACATAACAATATTAACATTAAACATAAATGGGCTGAATGCTCCAATTAAAAGACACAAAACAGCGAATTGGATAAAGAGTCAAGACCCATCAGTATGCTGTATTCAGGAAACCCATCTCACGTGCAGAGACACACATAGACTCAAAATTAAGGGATGGAGGAAGATCTACCAAGCAAATGGAAAACAAAAAAAGGCAGGGGTTGCAATCCTAGTCTCTGATGAAACAGACTTTAAACCAACAAAGATCAAAAGAGACAAAGAAGGCCATTACATAATGGTAAAGGGATCAATTCAACAAGAAGAGCTAACTATCCTAAATATATATGCACCCAATACAGGAGCACCCAGATTCATAAAACAAGTCCTTAGAGACCTAGAAAGAGACTTAGACTCCCACACAGTAATAACGGGAGACTTTAACACCCTACTGTCAACATTAGACAGATCAATGAGACAGAAAGTTAACAAAGAAATCCAGGAATTGAACTCAGCTCTGCACCAAGTGGACCTAATAGACAGCTACAGAACTCTCCACCCCAAATCAACAGAATATACATTCTTCTCAGCACCACACCGCACTTATTCCAAAATTTACCACTTAGTTGGAAGTAAAGCACTCCTCAGCAAAAGTAAAAGAACAGAAATTATAACAAACTGTCTCTCAGACCACAGTGCAATCAAACTAGAACTCAGGATTAAGAAACTCACTCAACACCACTCAACTACATGGAAACTGAACAACCTGCTCCTGAATGACTACTGGGTACAAAACGAAACGAAGGCAGAAATAAAGATGTTCTTTGAAACCAATGAGAACAAAGACACAACATACCAGAATTTCTGGGACACATTCAAAGCAGTGTGTAGAGGGAAACTTAAAGCACTAAATGCCCACAAGAGAAAGCAGGAAAGATCCAAAATTGACACCCTAACATCACAATTAAAAGAACTAGAGAAGCAAGAGCAAACACATTCAAAAGCTAGCAGAAGGCAAGAAATAACTAAGATCAGAGCAGAACTGAAGGAGATAGAGACATAAAAAACCCTTCAAAAAAATCAATGAATCCAGGAGCTGGTTTTTTGAAAAGATCAACAAAATTGATAGACCCCTAGCAAGACTACTAAAGAAGAAAAGAGAGAAGAATCAAATAGATGCAATAAAAAATGATAAAGGGGATATCACCACTGATCCCACAGAAATACAAGCTACCATCAGAGAATACTATAAACACCTCTATGCAAATAAACTAGAAAATCTAGAAGAAATGGATAAATTCCTCGACACATACACCCTCCCAAGACTAAACCAGGAAGAAGTTGAATCCCTGAATAGTCCAATAACAGGCTCTGAAATTGAGGCAATAATTAATAGCTTACCAACCAAAAAAAGTCCAGGACCAGATGGATTCACAGCCGAATTCTACCAGAGGTACAAGGAGGAGCTGGTACTATTCCTTCTGAAACTATTCCAATCAATAGAAAAAGAGGGAATCCTCCCTAACTCATTTTATGAGGCCAGCATCATCCTCATATCAAAGCCTGGCAGAGACACAACAGAAAAAGAGAATTTTAGACCAATATCCCTAATGAACATTGATGCAAAAATCCTCAATAAAATGCTGGCAAACCAAATCCAGCAGCACAGCAAAAAGCTTATCCACCATGATCAAGTCGGCTTCATCCCTGGGATGGAAGGCTGGTTCAACATACACAAATCAATAAACGTAATCCAGCATATAAACAGAACCAAAGACAAAAACCACATGATTATCTCAATAGATGCAGAAAAGGCCTTTGACAAAATTCAACAATGCTTCATGCTAAAAACTCTCAATAAATTAGGTACTGATGCCACATATCTCAAAACAGTAAGAGCTATCTATGACAAACCCACAGCCAATATCATACTGAATGGGCAAAAACTGGAAGCATTCCCTTTGAAAACTGGCACAACACAGGGACGCCCTCTCTCACCACTCCTATTCAACATAGTGTTGGAAGTCCTGGCCAGGGCAATTAGGCAGGAGAAGGAAATAAAGGGTATTCAATTAGGAAAAGAGGAAGTCAAATTGTCCCTGTTTGCAGATGACATGATTGTATATTTAGAATACCCCATCATCTCAGCCCAAAATCTCCTTAAGCTGATAAGCAACTTCAGCAAAGTCTCAGGATACAAAATCAATGTGCAAAAATCACAAGCATTCTTATACACCAATAACAGACAAACAGAGAGCCAAATCATGAGTGAACTCCCATTCACAATTGCTTCAAAGAGAATAAAATACCTAGGAATCCAACTTACAAGGGATGTGAAGGACCTCTTCAAGGAGAACTACAAACCACTGCTCAACGCAATAAAAGAGGATACAAACAAATGGAAGAACATTCCATGCTCGTGGGTAGGAAGAATCAATATCGTGAAAATGGCCATACTGCCCAAGGTAATTTATAGATTCAATGCCATCCCCATCAAGCTACCAATGACTTTCTTCACAGAACTGGAAAAAACTACTTTAAAGTTCACATGGAACCAAAAAAGAGCCCACATTGCCAAGTCAATCCTAAGCCAAAAGAACAAAGCTGGAGGCATCATGCTACCTGACTTCAAACTATACTACAAGGCTACAGTAACCAAAACAGCATGGTACTGGTACCAAAACAGAGATATAGACCAATGGAACAGAACAGAGCCCTCAGAACTAATGCCACATATCTACAACTATCTGA